>NC_000023.11:24637488-25887488 GCF_000001405.40 Homo sapiens | reverse complement strand
TGTGTTCTCATTGTTCAATTCCCACCTATGAGTGAGAACATGTGATGTTTGGTTTTTTGTCCTTGGCGATAGTTTACTGAGAATGATGATTTCCAGTTTCATCCATGTCCCTACAAAGGACATGAACTCATCATTTTTTATGGCTGCATAGTATTCCATGGTGTATATGTGCCACATTTTCTTAATCCAGTCTATCATCGTTGGACATTTGGGTTGGTTCCAAGTCTTTGCTAGAATGGAAGCACTCACTGCCTTTGTTCCGGAGTGCTTTTTCAAGGATGTTTATATAAGGGATAGCTTTGGAAAAGAGAGGTAGTGTCTCCCTCCTGAACAAAGAGAAGGTATGCTTATTGCTCATTATAAAATAATCAGGCTCCTAAGCTCAGGGTTTCTCTTCTGTAACATTACTCATTGCATGTGCTGCTGTCACTTGGCCCTAATCATGTTGTCCTGGGGAACTTGGGCTTGGAAAACTGACACAAGATAATGCTGATACTCTGGGTACTGCTATTGCTGTAAGTTATAATGTCCTTTGTCTTTGACCTGATATTCTTGTGTCTTCTACTAGCATACATGAAACTCTGGCAGGCTAACTTGTTAGCTTGCAAGCACAGGAAATTCTCAGACACTTCACAATTCTTGACAGAACATTTAAAACATCTCAGTTTCAGTTGCTAATACTGTAAATATCGATAGACAAAACTCGTATAAACAAAAGCATTTTAAGGTCTTCAATTTTTTGTTAGAGTGTAAAACTGTCCTTAGATAAAAAGTCTAAGAACCATTGCTATTATAGGTTTTCATTGTATGATGTGTCCTATATTTATTTATCCATTTACTAACAGACATTGGGTTGTTTCTCATTTTGGCAATCACAAATAAAACTGCCACAAACATTCTAACATATGTTTTTTGATTCAGTTTTATTTTGGGAAGATATGTGTGCTTTATACTATTATAAATGGTATCATTTTAACATTTTATTTTCCAATTTTGCTAGGATATAGAAATGCAATGGATATTTTTGTATTAAACTTGCCAATACCATTATTTATTTGATTAGTCTTCCTGTTATTTTTAATTTTCTGAATAGACAATGATATATGAGAATTACAGTTTTATTTCTTCCTTAAAAACACACGTACTTTCGTTCATTTTTTTGACATTTTTGCACTCTTGGAACTTTCAATTCAATGATGAATAGAAGTGATTATAGAGTACATCCCTTTATTCTTTATCATAGAGGGAAGCCTTTCAACATTTTGCGATTAAATTCAATGATGTTTCACATAGTTTTATTTTTTGTAGAAAATCTTGACAAATTTAAGAAAGCTGTCTCCAATTTCTAGTTCGCTAAGAGGTTATTTTTTCTTTTTGGTAAGTAATGTTTGGACATTGTATTTTATCAATTGCTTTCCCCATATCAGTTGAAATGATCATGTGATTTTTTTTATCCTTTATTTGATGGTGTGCAAAATGGCACTGATCTATTCTTAAATATGAATCCAACCTTTAATTCTCGTAAAGCTACTTGACCATAATACATTTTATTTTATGTATATTTTGATGTGTTATGCTAATTTACACTCCCACCAACAGTGTAAAAGCATTCCTATTTCTCCACATCCTCTCCAGCATCTGTTCTTTCCTGACTTTTCAATGATCACCATTCTAACTGGCATGAGATGGTATCTCATTAATTACTGCCTCAATTTCAGAATTTATTATTGGTCTACTCAGGGATTTGACTTCTTGCTGGTTTCGTCTTGGGAGAGTGTACATGTCCAGGAATTTATCCATTTCTTCTAGATTTTCTAGTTTATTTGTGTAGAGGTGTTTATAGTATTCTCTGATGGTAGTTTGTATTTCTGTGGGATTGGTGGTGATATCCCCTTTTACATTTTTTATTGCGTCTATTTGATTCTTCTCTCTTTTCTTCTTTATTAGTCTTGCTGGTGGTCCATCTATTTTGTTGACCTTTTCAAAAAACCAGCTCCTGGATTCATTGATTTTTTTGAAGGTTTTTTCCTGTCTCTATCTCCTTCAGTTCTGCTCTAATCTTAGTTATTTTTTGTCTTCTGCTAGCTTTTGAATGTGTTTGCTCTTGCTTCTCTAGTTCTTTTAGTTGTGATGATAGGGGGTCGATTTTAGATCTGTCCTGCTTTTTCTTGTGGGCATTTAGTGCTATAAATTTCCCTCTACATATGCTTTAAATGTGTCCCAGAGATTCTGTTATGTTGTGTCTTTGTTCTCATTGGTTTCAAACAACATCTTTATTTCTGCCTTCATTTCGTTATGTACCCAGTAGTCATTCTGGAGCAGGTTGTTCAGTTTCCATGTAGTTGTGTGGTTTTGAGTGAGTTTCTTAATCCTGAGTTGTAATTTGATTACACTGTGGTCTGAGAGACTGCTTGTTATGATTTCCATCTTTTGCATTTGCTGAGGAGTGTTTTACTTCCAACTATTTGGTAAATTTTAGAATAAGTGCGATGTAGTGCTGAGAAGAATATATATTCTGTTGATTTCGGGTGGAGAGTTCTGTAGATGTCTATTAGGTCCACTTGGTCCAGAGCTGAATTCAAGTTATGGACTTCCTTGTTAATTTTCTGTCTCGTTGATCTGTCTAATGTTGACAGTGAGGTGTTAAAGTCTCCCACTGTTATTGTGTGGGAGTCTAAATCTCTTTGTAGGTCTCTAAGAACTTACTTTATGAATCTGGGCACTTCTGTATATAAGGATAGTTAGTTCTTCTTGTTGCATTGATCCCTTTACCATTATGTAATGGCCTTCTTTGTCTCTTTTGATCTTTGTTTGTTTAAAGTCTGTTTTATCAGAGACTAGGATTGCAACCCCTGCTTTTTTTGCTTTCCATTTGCTTGGTAAATATTCCTCCATCTCTTTATTTTGAGCTTATGTGTGTCTTTGCACGTAAGATGGGTCTCCTGAATACAGCACACTGATGGGTCTTTTAACTGGGGCATTTAGCCCATTTACATTTAAGGTTAACATTGTTATGTGTGAATTTGATCCTGTCATTATGATGCTAGCTGGTTATTTTGCCCATTAGTTGATGCAGTTCCTTCATAGCATCGATGGTCTTTACAATTTGGTGTGTTTTTGCAGTGGCTGGTACCAGTTGTTCCTTTCCACGTTTAGTGCTTCCTTCAGGAGCTCTTGTGAGGCAGGCCTGGTGGTGACAAAATCTCTCAGCATTTGCTTGACTGTAAAGGATTTTATTTCTTCTTCACTTAAGAAGCTTAGTTTGGCTGGATACGAAACTCTGGGTTGAGAATTCTTTTAAGAATGTTGAATATTGGTCCCTACTCTCTTCTGGCTAATAGGGTTTCTACCGAGAGATGTGCTGTTAGTCTGATGGGCCCCCCTTTGTGGGTAACCCGACCTTTCTCTCTGGCTGCCCTTAACATTTTTTCCTTAATTTCAACCTTGGTGAATCTGATGATTATGTGTCTTGGGGTTGCTCTTCTCAAGGAATGTCTTAGTGGTGTTCTCAGTATTTCCTGAATTTGAATGTTGATCTGCCTTGTTAGGTTGGGGATGTTCTCCTGGATAATATCCTGAAGAGTGTTTTCCAACTTGGTTCCATTCTCCCCATCACTTTCAGGTACACCAATCAAATGTAGATTTGGATTTTTCACATAGTCCCGTATTTCTTGGAGGCTTTGTTTCTTTTCACTTTTTTCTCTAATATTGTCTTCTTGCTTTATTTCATTGAGTTGATCTTCAATCTCTGATATCCTTTCTTCCACTTGATTGATTTGGCTATTGATACTTGTGTATGCTTCACGAAGTTCTCTTGCTGTGCTTTTCAGCTCCATCATGTCATTTATGTTCTTCTCTCAACTGGTTATTCTAGTTAGCAATTCGTCTAACCTTTTTCCAAGGTTCTTAGCTTCCTTGCATTGGGTTAGAACATGCTCCTTTAGCTTTGAGGAGTTTGTTATTACCCACCTTCTGAAGTCTACTTCTGTGAATTCGTCAAACTCCTTCTCCATCCAGTTTTGTTCCCTTGCTGCCAAGGAGTTCTGATCCTTTGGAGAAGAGACGTTCTGGTTTTTGGAGTTTTCAGCCTTTTTGCGGCGGTTTTTCCCCATCTTTGTGGATTTATCTACCTTTGGTCTTTGATGCTGGTGACCTTTGGATGGGGTCTCTGAGTGGACGTCCTTTTTGTTGATGTTGCTACTATCCCTTTCTGTTTGTTAGTTTTCCTTCTAACAGCCAGGCCCCTCTTCTGCAGAGCTGCTGGGGTTTGCTGGAGGTCTACTCCAGACCCTGTTTGCCTGGGTATCACCAGCAGAGGCTGCAGAACAGCAAAGATTGCTGCCTGTTCCTTCCTCTGGAGGCTTCATCCCAGAGGGGCACCCACCAGATGTCAGCAAGAGCTCTCCTGTATGAGGTATCTGTCAGCCCCTACTGGGAGATGTCTCCCAGTCAGGATACATGGGGGTCAGGGACCCAGTTGAGGAGGCAGCCTGTCCCTTATCAGAGCTCAAATACTGTGCTGGGAGATCCACTGCTCTCTTAAGAGCTGCCAGGCAGAGACGTTTAAGTCTGCTGAAGCTGCGCCCACAGCCACCCCTTCCCCCAGGTGCTCTGTCCCAGGGAGATGAGGGTTTTATCTATAAGCCCCTGACTGGGGCTGCTGCCTTCTTTTCAGAGATGCCCCTGCAGCAGCCTTGCTGAGCTGCAGTGGGCTCCATCCACTTTGAACTTCCAGGATGCCTTGTTTACACTGTGAGGGGAAAACTGCCTACTCAAGCCTCAGCAATGGCGACGACCCTTCCCCCGCCAGCAAGCTGGAGAGTCCCAGGTGGATCTCAGACTGCTGTGCTAGCAGCAAGAATTTCAAGCCAGTGGATCTTAGCTTGCTGGGCTCTGTGAGGGTGGGACCCATTGAGCCAGGCACGGGAGGGAGTCTCCTGGTCTGCTGGTTTCGAAGACCATGGGAAAAGTGCAGTATCTGGGCCAGAGTGCAGTTTCTCCCGGTACAGTGTCTCACGGCTTCCCTTGGCTAGGAACGGGAAATCCCCCGACCCCTTGTGCTTCTGGGGTGAGACAATGCCCCACCCTGCTTTGGCTCACCCTCCCTGGGCTACACCCACTGTCCAACCAGTCCCAATGAGGTGAACTGAGTACCCCAGTTGGAAATGCAGAAATCACCCACCTTTTGCGTCGATCTCGCCGGGAGCTGCCCTGGCATATATATTTTGTTTATTGTCCCAATCATTCTTGCCAGTGCATTGGCCATGTTTTAGTCTTTTCAAAGGACCATCTTTTCACTTGTTTATCTCCATCACTTTCCATTCTATTAATTTCTTTTATCTTTATCATTTCCTTTTTATTTGTGTAGAATATGCTGTTCAAATGTCTTGACACAGTTGTTTGTTAGGATGCAGTCTGGAAAATAGAAATCACACAAATACTTAAAACAGATTACTTTTAACAAATAGCATTGTTTAATTCCTATTCTCAGCCTCAGATAACCACTAATGCTTTTTATCATTATAATTTAGATTTGTCATGGCTTGAATTTTATGTAAATAACATCATATAATATCTACTCTTTTATACCTGGCTTTTTCACTCAGTAAAATGTTCTCCAGATTCAGCTAAGATATGGCATGTTATCAGTAGTTCTTTCTTATTACTAAGTAGTATTCCATCATATAGGTATACCATAATTTGTTTATTCATTTATTTGTTGACAGACATTTGAGTTGTTTGCAGTTTTTGGCTATTAGGATCATCTTGATTTGTTTTCTGTTGCTAATAACAGAATAACTGAAACTGGGTACTTTATAAAGACAATATATTTATTTCTTACAGTTCTGGAGGCTGAGAAGTCCAAAGTCAAGGGGCCACATCTGATGAGGGTCTTCTTGCTGGTGGGGACTCTGTGCAGAGTCCCAAGTTGTCACAGGGCATCACATGGCAAGGGGACTGACCATGCTAATGTGCTAGCTCAACTCTCTGTTCCTTTTCTTGTAAAGCCACCGGTCCCACTCCAGTGATAACCCATTAATCCATGCATGAGATTAAGTCATTTATGAGGGCAGAGTCCTCTTGACCCAATCACCTCTTAAAGCCACCCCCCACCTTGATAATGCCACATTAGGGATTAAGTTTCAACATGAATTATGAAGGAGACAAAAATTCATACCATAGCAGAGATAAAGATTATATGAACAGTACTATATAAGTTTTTGTGTGTATATATATATAATTTTTCTCAGTTAAATAACTTGGTGTGGAAATTCTCAGTTATATGGAAATCATATTGAGATATTAAATGCAATTCTTAAGAAGGTTTAGTTAGTGGTAACCCCTCTTATATTCTCTTAATAGCTTAACAGTATACTTTTCAGTATTAGGCACTTTTTTCACTGTAACTTCATTGATATATTTGTGGGTTGTTAGGTGATGCTACACTTAAATTCTAGGCCTGAATTCATGGTAGTAAACATTTGTTAAGTGCTAACATAGTGTTAGCAGTATTGTAATTACTTTATGTCGTTTAATTTTTATAATAACCCAAAAGAGTCTGTATTCTCAATTTTTAGATGAGTTATAAACTGAGGCAAAATCACATTAATTAACTTACCCAAAGACACAAACCTAGTAAGTAAGTTGCAGAGCTAGGAATTGAGCCAAGTTGTCTTCTCAAGTCCATGTCTCTGTTACCTTAAAAAGTCCATGTCTCTGTTACCTTAAATATAGAATTAAAGGGTAAGTATGTACCTAAAAGTTGAAACAAGAAAGAAAAAAGATGCATGTGGATTTAGCAGCAACTGCAATGTTTATTTAAATGAAGTAGATTCTGGATGTCTCTTTTTGTTCAATATATGTAAATTACAGATTAATTAAAGTATAGAAATTAGGCTAGAAAAAAGAAGTTGAGGTATATTTTAAAACTCTCATTAATTTTGTCTATCTTGTGAGACTCTGATAGCCTAACTCAGTTTGAGAACTATTTATTTCAGAAGTCAGAACTCAAACTTCTATTTATCTATAACATATACACACTGTATTAGTCTGTTTTCATGCTGCCAATAAAGACATACCCGAGACTGGGCAATTTACAAAAGAAAGAGGTTTAATTGGACTTACAGATCCACGTGGCTGGGGAAGCCTCACAATCATGGCAGAAGGCAAGGAGGAGCAAGTCATGTCTTACATGGATAGCAGCAGGCAAAGAGAGGAGCACTTGTGCAGGGGAACTCCCCTTTTTATAACCATCAAATCTTGTGAGTCTTATTCACTATTTCGAGAACAGCATGGGAAAGACCTGCCCCCATGATTCAATTACCTTTCACCGGGTCCCTACCACAATATGTGGGAATTCAAGATGAGGTCTGGGTGGGGACACAGCCAAACCATATCACACACCAAATATTGTTTATGTATTATTTTGGTATTAGAATAGTTTTTGTAAACACTAATAGTACACAATTGATTAAATAATTAAAATGATACATGCCAGTCTTGGTCTGTTTTTGGTGCAATGGCAAAATACCATAGACTAGGTAATTTATAAGTAATACAAATTTATTTGTTATAGTTTTGGAGGCCTGGGAAGTCCAAGATAATGGTGGCAGCGTATTTGACATCTGACAAGGGCTATTCTATAGATGGCCCTTTGTTGAGGCATTCTCACATGGTGGAAAAGACATAAGGAATAAACACTGTCTTCACACATGACAGAAGAAATAGAAGGGCCAAGAAGCTGGAGCCTCCATGGTAAGGACACTAATCCCATTCATGAAGGCAGAGCCCTCATAACTACTTCCCCAAATGGTCCACCTCTTAATACCACCACAATGGTAATTAAGTTTCAATATAAAATTCAGAAGAGCACAAACACTCAAACCATAGCAATGTCATAGTTTTGGGTTTTCTTCTACTTTTTGCAGCCGTTGTTTGTTTGAGTTTCTGTACAATTTCTTCTATCAGTTGTATAAAACAAATGCCTATATAGCTGTCATATCTTCACTTTATTTCTCAGCTGTTGACAACAAGGAATGAATGAAAAATCTACAGTGTTACCGTATTAATCATGATGATAGGAAAAGTTCAATTACATGTCTCTTTCAAAGAAGAAAAGCAACAGTTGTTTAGTACCAATTTTTTGACTACTTGAATCTCTTGTTTTTTAAGAAATTATTTTAAAACTTGCTAGCAAGAGAGGCTTTAAAATAACAGTTTATGTTCTCAAATATAGAAACTACATTACAATCTATGTAAACAATGTGTGTTTGTTGGGTGCAATGCTTTTCAGTTAATCACAACTCCTATTGATATAGAATATTGCCATTGAGATCTCTAAAGAGAACAGTAAATAATAATTTCCTGCAAAAAAATAGTATCTTTATCAGATAAGTGAAAACAGTTTAATTTATTAGAGACCTATAAGACAAACATTTGAGAGAAGAAAAGTCACACTTTCCACATGCCGCCTGAAAAGGGTTGCTTATAGGAAGCAAAGGGGCCATGTGCATTGTAAGATAGAAAGACAGGAATTTGAACTACTTAAATAAACAATCATAAAATATCTGCTCACATAATTAGTACTTGTAATACAGATTACAAATATTTTTCTGTTTGCCCAAGAAGAGAATTCCCTTGTATGAGCCATCTCTGATTTTATAAACCATAGAAGAAAAATCATGAAAACAATAGCCAATTTTGTTTAAAAAAATACAACATCCAAGGTTTTAGAACTGATATTTAGTTATTATAAACTGCACAAATTCTCAAAACTATTAACTGCCTTAAAAATAAACTCTCATATCCATTATAAAAAGGCACATTCACCACTCACAGAAATGCTGATTTCAGATTGCAAGAAACCCATGCAAAATATATATGGAATGCCATTTAGAGTGTCATAAAAGTGAAATGTGGCTAATGAGCCCTTCCCAGTGGTTTGCATCATGCTCATTTCTAACTCTGCTTTTATGGCAGCTACTGTTCAGAAAAAAGCCCATCCATTCCATGTAAATCCGGCTGTTCCTTGCTCTAGTACCAGTGTTAGGAAACTCAATTTAAATCAAGCCTAATCACTTCTGCCAGCTGCAGTGCACTTCCCAGTACTCCTCACCCACCTGTACATTCTAGCATGACTTTGTTTCTTGCATCTCTCAGCCTTACTCCAATTCAACCATGCTCTAATTGGCTGGCTGGGGATTCCACTGTCACTCAAGCTAAACCCCAGGCTCATTGAGAGAATTGGAAGCTGAGTTTGCAGTTTGAGTTTGGCTCCCAGGGTACATATTTCCTGGCCTTTTTATTTTTTCAAGCTCCTATAAGTAGCCAGAGAGAAAGTAAAACAATGCATGAAACTGTACCTTAAAATACAGCAGCTTTTTTTTTTCTGACAGGTTTAATTGTTTAGTTCCATGCTGGTGGTCAAGAAGGGAACTGAAGGCTTGTCTTCACATTTTGCTGTGAAAAAAATGAATCATGACATCATTCCGTGGCCCTTTTCAACAACCACTGGTTTATCACTTTTTAAAATGATCTCTTGTGACCTAAACATTATTTGGTTTCTGAGAGGAAAGTTAGCATTACTTTTCTGTGAGTACCAACTCAGACAATTTAAGATTTAGTTTTCTGCTTCTAAATTGGAGCTGTTAGCCTCAAATCATTTAAATGTTTTAAATTCACAAAATGTGAAATATTTCTGGATTGTTACTAATGTCCATGATACTAGATAATATAAAAGACAAATTGTATCTCAGTTATGCTGTGCAAACGTCAGGGGAGATGTTATTACCTCTGTGTCACTGAGTTTTAATTTCACTGACAATGAACAAAGGACCAGCTGGTGGAATCTCTGACTGTGTGATAAGTGTAGGGGGGTGACAAGAAACCTGACACAAAGTCCTTGCCTTCAAGTAGTTTCCGTCTTTTGAAGGAGATATTTAAATATAAAATGCCCAGTTACATATAAATTAAGTACCAAATTTGTAACACAGGCCAAAATAAATAAAGTACTCTGAGAAGGTGAGAGACGACTAAGGTAGGTATTTGTCTCAGTTATCACTCTTGACTAGACATTTTCTCCCCTGCTTCTCTGGTCAAAGGCAGAGCAGCAGCAGAAGTAAACCCAATAATTGGTTAACCTCAGCCCTCAAATAATTCTAAGTGGCTTTGTGTCATTCAGCAGGAACACATAGTATGGCCATTGCACAATCCATTTCCAGGAGTGAACTGCAAATCTGACTTATATCAAAACTACAAATTTGCCAAATTGACTTCAGCAACGAAAAACAATCTTTTTACCCTAGATTTAAGTTCATGTGAACAAGTACCAGACTAGAGTTGACTCCTAGGGAACCGAAGTGAGCTTTTTTTTTTCTTTCTTTTCAGAAGATGTTGGTATGTGTATACATATGTTTGTTTGTTTTTTGATCAAATATCTTTAACACAATCTTTTTTAAATGCCTTGTTTTCATTTCCTAGCATAAAATGTCCGTATGCTCACTTTTTATTTCCAATCTTGGTCAATTAAATATTTTAGTATATACTTTCCAGTTGTTGCTTATTTTCCCCCTTTTCACAATTATCTTATTTAACTTTATCATATGCTTGACCCATTTTGTTTCTGCTAGACAAAATGTAAGCAAATCTCCTCAATAAAAGAAACGTTTGTTGTTGCTCCATTAAAAACAACATTAAATGGAACATGAACCTTACTTATAATGTTCTCACTTCTGAGGCGCTGTCATGTCATTGAGTTGGCTTTTATTAACTCTGGGAATTCAAATGGCTTATCCCTTTAAAATGGAACAGCCAATCAATCAGTAGATACAGAGTACCTACCCTGCTCCTAGGCTCACACAAATCACAAATCTAAGTCATTGGACTAGGCACTGAGAAGGACAGAATGAGTCTCATCGTCTCATTTCCTGTTATATAAAATCGTTCTGTATAATTTCAGATTTTTTTCTCTCTAGAAAAAGGTCCCTTAAGTATCTTTGTCTGAAACAAGCTATTTTATTAAATACTCTAAGCAATTTTCCTAAATCTTCATTCTTTGTTGATGAGGACGAGGATAATGTTAATTTGGGAGGTTATCTAGTCCAAAATAATCTTTCCAAGTATATTGCAAGCTAGAGATTTATATGAGATTTTTTTTTTCAGTGATTTCAGCTTTACCAGAAAGCTGGTCTCTTCTCTTGTAGCTAACTTGCGGAAAGATAATAACCAAAACCCTGTGGCATAGAAGGAAAAAATACCAGTTTTTAAAATATGTAAATTTAACTATTAATCATTAGCAGGTCCCTTAAATTCCCCGAACCTCAATTTTCTCATCTCTAAAATGAAAACATTGGACAACATATTTTTTAAGATCTGCCATAGATAGATATTGAGATAAAGATCAAGATAGATACGGAAAGAGCTGCAATTGCATGAAAGCAAACTTCTTAGGAAATTTAATGATTAAGCCCATAGATAGCCCAGAACCACTATTTACTTAATTTTCCCAAACTCTTCCTTTTCCTACCATCCAGATGAATCTCCATCAGACTGGACCACCCAGTGTTCTCACTTTTTCTACTTTACTTCACCATTGTTCTTCCGGTCTTCTCAGATCCCTTCCATCCTCACAAGTCCAGCTTCCTTTTCCTGTCAATCTCATCACACACATTAAGGTAAGGGGCTTCAGATTCTGAGTGTAGCAGGCAGGGATGAATGAAATGGTATAATGAAAACAAATCATAAATTGTTTTCCTGGTAAAATGATAATTTAATGATATAACATCAATATATTGTTACACTAACAGCATATCTGTTCTCCCCATCTTACCTTATTACTATTGCCCTATCTTTGTTTTGATCAGGACCTAAGGGAGCTACATCAATATATGCTAATATCACACTTTGGAAAAGAAATTAGGAGGTAAATAGCATGCCTTCAACATATGATCCTGAGGCACTCTCCACATTATTTGTCTTTTCATAAGCAGGTATGTCCTGGTAAAAGTTGTTGCTTTCCTACTGTTTTCAGTGACTAGCAGTCTCCACTGTAATAGGATATTCAAGCTCTTATTTCCCTAGGGATCAAGCTCATTATGAAATTGTACCTTCTGATTTCCATCTCTAATCAAAAGGATGCCTGTTCTATGTATTGATTATTCAAGTCCTTGTAGATAAGCTGATAAATAATTTTAAATAATATGCTAATGATTGCTCATTAATGTGTCCACACTAGTATTTCATTTTTTAATTTTATTTATTTATTTTTGGAGACAGGGTCTTACTCTGTCAGCCAGGGTGGAGTGCAGTGACACAATCATAGCTCACTGCAACCTGGAATTCCTGTGCTCAAGCAATCCTCCTAAGTAGCTGGGACTACAGGTATAGGCACCACTACACCCAGCTAATTTCTGTATTTTTTGTAGAGACAGGATCTCACTGTTTCCCAGGCTGGTCTTGAACTCCTAACCTAGTGATCCACCCATCTTGGCCTCCCAAAGTGCTGGGATTACAGGCATGAGCCACCGCACCCGGCCCAGTATTTCTGTTTTTAAAAGTCTTCAGTGACTATACTAAAAGAATCCAAGTATATAACCATGTGAAAATCGTAAGTTCAACTGTAGGACTAGAGGGGAGGAAATATTTTGGGCTTGGGAAATTTTTAGAATTCCTCTATTTATACCAATGAGGAGAATGCTTATGAATAAAATTATCAATAAGTATTTGAAAATAAAATGAATGAGTTTGTCTACTAAGGATCTACATACAGAAGACTGAATGATTATATACATAGAATTGACTGAAGTTATTTTTGAGACAGAGTCTTGCTCTGTCTCCCAGGCTGGAGTGCAGTGGCGCAATCTCGGCTCACTGCAACCTCCACCTCCTGGGTTCAAGCAATTCTCCCTGCCTCAGCCTCCCACGTAGCTGGGACTGCAGGCACCCGCCACCCCGCCTGGCTAATTTTTGTATTTTTAGTAGAGAAGGGGTTTCACCATGTTGGCCAGGCTGGTCTTGAACTCCTGATCTCAGGTGATCCACCCACCTCGGCCTCCCAAAGTGCTAGGATTACAGGCGTGAGCCACTGCACCTGGCCAGAAGTTCTTAAATACAAATGCATGTGTATATGGCAATTCAGACAGAATGTTCATCTGTATCCTCTGACTCTAAAGCTTCCAACTACTTCCCATAATTTTGTTTCCCTGTTCAATAAGCAAAATGCCAATGTAACAAGGTACCATAAGGCAAAATTTTCTCTTAGAATTTTGCTATCACAAAATTCCTGTCCCTTTCCCATACCTCTTTCACATTTAGAGTACTTAATCAGTGGTTAAAACTAAACATAGAGCAGGCCTTGCTTCAGTTTTCTACCTTTGGGATAAACTACTTAAACTGACATCTAAAGTACTTGAAGACTTTGTGAAGGAAAAGATCAGGAAACGTTGAGGACAAACCATATGGAATTTAGAGGAAAAGTAGCTATAAGTAAGAGGGATTTTTGAACATGTTGACATTTAATGAATATGTAATGTTTTATGCAAATAAACATACATAACTTTTTTCACTGAATCAGTACTTCTGATAATCAGAATCTGATACCATTGTCACTTGGTTTAAACAGAAATATTTTGAGTAATTCAATAACAATTCAACCACGTGACTATTCTATTTAGGAAGCAGTCTAATTGTTACAATAATCAACATCCATAAGCTAACAATATGCGTCTGAATTTCTTAAGCAGATCATGATTATGCAATGTTTTCAGCAATACAGAACAACTGAAATACAAGATATTTGAACTGGATTATTCCCTCCATGATTCTTTTCTAATATTTAAAATGATACTTATTTCTGTCCCATTAATGTTCCTCCTTCAACTCTGATGTGTAAAGGCATCTCATACTTCAAAATACCAAAAAAACGAAATATGACTGTTGGTTCTTTTTCCTCCCACCCACAACAATAACACCTACTTCACATTAAGTCATATTTAGTTTGAACAGCTGTCCCTATTTGCCTAGGACTAAGGGTTTTCCCAGGACACAGCTCTTTCAGTGCTGAAACTGGGAAAGTCTGAGACATGCCAGGATGAGTAAATCACACTAAGCCATCATCCGTGTACACTCATGCATCACTTAATGACAGGAATACATTCTGAGAGGTGCAGCATTAGGCAATTTCATTGTTGTGCAAACATCATAGAGTGTACTTACATAAACCTAGATGGGATAGCCTACTACACACCAGCCTATATGCTATAAACTAAACTATGCTCCTAGGCTATAAACCTATACAGCACATGACTGTACTTCATGCTGTAGACAGTTGTAACACAATGGTAAGTGTGTGTGTGTGTGTGTATTTAAACATATCTAAATATAGAAAAGGTATAGTAAAAATACTGTATAAAAGATAAAACAAGGGTACACCTATACATGGCATTTGCCATGAATGGAGCCTGCAAGTCTGGAAGTTGCTCTGGGTGAGTCAGTTAATGATTGGTGAGTAAATGTGAAGGCCTAGGACATTACTGTGCACTACTTTAGGGCTTTATAAACATTGTACACTTAGGCTACACTAAATTTATTTTTCAATTTTTCTTTCTTCAGTAATAACACTGGCATCAGCACAAATATGTGAGTAATGTATTGTGCTATGATGTTACAACAGCTATGACATCTATAGGCAATGGGAATTTTTCAGCTCCATTATACTCATAAGACCACTGTCATCTATGTGGTCCATTGTTGATTGAAATATTATGTGGCACATGACTGGTTTTTCTACATCAAAATCTAAGTGTCACCCAAGATCCCTCCTTCTTGTTAATTCTCTTAGATCTAAACATCAGTAAATCTTGAAGTCCCTGCTATTAAAATGACCCCTGAACTTACCACTCTACGTCTGTCTCAGCTGTAGCTACAGCAGGTGGAGCCAGCATTACCCCTCACCTGTGCTACTATGAGGGCTAAGGAAGTATTCCCCTTGTAGCCTCGCCCATTTACAAAACTCCGTACGCGTGACTACCAGGTCATGCGTGATCTTGTCTCATCTCCTATTACTCTTGAACCTGCCACTACAATTCAGTTACGCTGTCTTTTGTTCCTGTTCCTCAAACATGCTGAGTTTGATCCTGTCCGGAGATCTGTACACCACTGTTTCCATAGCTTGCACTGATATTCACCTGTTTTTTCCTGCAGCTTCCTGCAGCTAATTACAGTGCTTGCCATATATTCTAAGATTACGTAGAACTTCCATAGAGAGCCTTCATTGACCACCCAATTTAAAAATCCACTCAGTGACTTTCAGTCACATCACCACAATTTAATTCTCTGCATAACAAGTATTACTGTCTGATATTTTCTTGTTTCTTACTTGTTTATTCTGTATTTTAAAGTTAAATTTTTACACAAGATGCATAATTATGCACACCATGACAACACAATCCTTTAAAACAGATGCAAAAATATATGCAATGAAATATTTAAAACTAATACTAATGCGTATCTTTGGGAGGTAAGTCATGGGTGATTTGTATTTTTTTATTTATGCTTTCTATATATTCCATATTTCTATTATATTCAATGCTTTTATAAGTTTATAATTAAACAAAATCAATATCATAAAAGGGTTCAAGCCTCTGCTATGGCCTCTGCTTGGAAGCCTCACCCAGAATTGTTTAGTAGGCCATAATCCCCGTTGCTTTTTCTTTTCATTTTTTTTTTGTATGCCTTTATCATAGTACTTATTGGATCATTTGCAATTTTCTCTTTGTAAGTCTCACTCTAGGTTCTGAGCTCCAGTGATGAATAAAAGGCAAGGTCTGTGTCTTTGGGTTTTCATTTCTAGTATCTACAGCATATATAAACAAAGTCTGCCTTTGAACATTTCCATTCATAGTTATGCCATCTATACTGCTATTTATCCGTAATTTTAAAATGGTTTTACACTTCTAATTCCTATCTATACGTTTGGTTGCATAGTTTTTCTTAAAATAACAATCTCAGCATATGTCAATAAACTATCTTAAGCACATCACTTGAAACTGCTCAACCAACCAGTTCACTCCCCTTTTAAATTTCAATAATCATACATGGCAAACTGCTCGGGATAGTCTAGATTTCCTATATTTTGTTGCATCAACCACATAAATATGCCATAACTGGGTTGATTATGTGTTTCACTTGCTTGGGTTTTTTTTTTTTTTTTCAAAAATAAATGTCCGCTGTAGAAAGTTTTCTTAGAAAAATAAATTTTTTAATTTAAAATTTTTCCTTAATGAGCAAAATATTTGAACAGACACCTCACCAATAAAGACATACAGATGGCAAATAAACACATGAAAGACGCTCATAACCATTAGTCATTAGGAAAATGCAAATCAAACCCACAATCAAATACCACCACACACCTATTATAATAGATGTAATTAAGACTGACTATACCAAGTGTTCGCAAGGATGTAGAACAATTAGAACACTCAAACAATCCTGGGGAATGTAAAATGGTGCAAATTATTTGGAGAATAGTTGGACTGAGTCATGTAGTAGGTGCATATTTAAATTTTTCAGAAAATATAATTTTTAATCCTATCAGAGTTTTAAAAATTAAAAATCTTGGCATATATATTCTGGAATTAATATGCCTGTCTTTATCTCCCTGGATTTGTCTGTCTTCTCATTGAGTGTGCAAAGGAAATAGCACAAAAACTCATGACAATCTAGTGATGTGGAAAACATAAATCTATCACAAGACAACATTTTAAGTCCCGCAATTGTTATGTAAATCATTTACCATTGACTTTGCAACACAGGAAAAGTTAACAAACATTAGAAATTCTAATTATATCACTCTAATTTATGTCAGGTACCATGGAAATTAAAGAGAGAGCTAACTTCTCTTGGGAGAATTAAGTAAGGCGATATATGTCTTGCAGCTTACAAATAAGAGGTTTCCAGGTGAAAGTTAGGAAAAGGTGATCCAGAAAGACTCAACAGCATTATGAAATGTATACAATTGGGAGGAAGTTAGAATGCAGGGATTTTAGAGAAAACTGGAAGGAGAGAGGGTTACAGATATAGATAGGGAATCAAGTTACAAAGGAATGTATTTGTATGTGGAACTGAGGAGACAGTGTTTATTCACTAGAAAACTGGGAGCCATTTGAATAGAAGATTAGAAGTTTTAGGTGATTAATCTGACAGAACTGTAGAAGATGAATTTAAGAGGACTTAATGTTAGGAAGAATGCCTGAGAATCTTAAAATAAAATATACTGGTACAATTTATTGCCTTTGAGATAGCTTCAGAATGTATCTTATTTCTTATTTTAGATTATTTAGATTTATCAAGCTATATATTATCAAACTGTCTCTTACTCATTTCCTTTTGTGTTTGGTTTGTTTTACCTTCTGAAACACCATGAAATTAATATATTCTTTCACACCAAGCGTGTATATGAGGCAATATCTAAAAATCATTCTTTAAGACAATACAAATATTTTAACACTTAGTAATAAATAATACTGAGCAAACTAGACAATACAAATACTTTAACACTTAGTAATACTGAGCAAACTAGTAATAAAGCATACTGAGCAAACTACTAACATTTTTTATGCACCAACAAGCTTGTAAAAAAGTTAATAGATAACAAAATAAAAATTCAGTCCTCTAGACCACCATTCTATGAAATTTAATTACTATCCTAAAATGGCTCTAATTTAACAATTATCTAAGCTACTTTTGAGTGGTGTTTTTCTTTTCACAATAGTAATTTTAGTTCTCACAGATATAAGGAAGATAAATATTTTTCCTGAGGAATCACTCAAGATCTGATTATTAGTCCACAATTTACCATGTTATTGTTTAGAATTTTGAATAAAATAAGAGATATAAATACCATGTCTTTTATCTATGAATGAAGTTTCATTTCACTTCATTTCTAATGTTCAATAGCAGAGTATCTTGACTATAATAATGTATTACATATTTCAAAATAGCTAGAAGAGAGGACTTGAAATGTCCTGAGTATAATCAGTTATATTTTTTTTCTAAGCAACTGTAACAAACATAGGGAAAGCTGAAATACATCTTTAGATCTATGTTGGAAGGCACTGGAGAAATATTAAGGCAGTGAAGATTCAAGGGGTCAACATGCCAAGAGAAAGAAATCCAGAGCAGTGAGCTTCAAATACCACACTGCTTTACTTTTTGAGGCTTTTGTAAATTCACAATTAGTATGAATCCAAACAGAAAGCAGTGGACTAAGAGGATGGGAAGATGAGCAGAGCTGCTAGTACTCTTACGCAGGTCAAATGATAAAAGCTAAGGTTATGGCCCATCAAATATGAGGGGCCCTGGTAGCCACTACAGATATTCAGTTGTGATGGCCAAAGGATTAAGAGTGAAATAGATTAGCCTGTAAAAATACTGAAGCCCTGTTTTGAAACAGCTCAACCCCAGATTGGGTTAGGTTTACTTACCTTGAATATCACTGCCTGCCAGAATCAATGTAAATTCCCTCAAGAGTACATCATCCAGTGATGCAAATTATTTCACAGTGTGTTCTGCATAATGTCCAGCAATCCATTAAAAAGTAAGCAGTCCTATGAATATAAGACCCAATACATGAAAAAGAAAAGACCAAATAACCAACAGGAGCAGAATCTAAGAGATCCAGATATTAGAGTTATCAGAGGTGAGGTTTAAAATGACTGCAATTAATATGTTCAAGAAAGTAGTTGAAAGCATGAAGAATTTCAGAAGACAACAGAAAACTATGGCAAAAATGAAATATTTAGAACTAGAAAAGATAGCAGCTGATATCAAGAACACAATGAGTGTGCAATAATAGCACATTAGACATTGTTAATTTTAAAAAGGTGTTGTGAACTGGAAGACAGTTCAGTGGAAAAATGCATATTAAAATATGGCGAGACAAGGGGTAGAAAATACAGATGAGATCATAAGCATCATACTGAACATGGTGAAAATATCTAACATATAAGTCATTAAAATAGTAGAAAGGAGAAAGAGAGGGAAAGAAGCAATATTTGAAGAGATAATGACCAAGAATTTTCTCCAGTCCATGAAAGACATCAAGCCATAAATTCAAGAAATACCCCAAATACCAAGTAGAAAACATGCAAAGAAAACCACTCCAAGACACATCATGGTAGTAAAACTGCCAAAAAAAAAATCTAACAGTTGATGCCAAAAGACAATGGAATTAGTCTTCAATGTGTGATGGAAAAAAAACTGCAAGCATAGAATTTTATACCGAGAAAAATGTCTTTCAAATATAAAGGCAGCAAAAAGACATTTTCAGAGAAATAAGAACTGAGAGGAATCGATCATCTCTAGCCAACCTGCAATAATGAAAATATTAAGGGAAGTACTTAGGCAGATCAAAATGAACCCATTTGGAAGCAGAGAGGATTGAAGAGTAACACAAAATATTAAATTAAAATAAATAAATATTGGCTGTCTAAAAAGTAAAAATATGGTATTTAAAATAAATGTATTATAAGAGTATATGAAAATGAAAGCACAAAAGATGGGAGGTTAGTAAAAGTATTCTCAGTCTGCTTTTCTGGAAGTGACAAGTACTAATTTACAATATACTTTAATGAGTTAATGATGAATATTTTAATTGCTTAGATAAATAAGAAAAGTTAAAATATAAGCTGACCAAGTGTAAACGGTCAATATTTACAAAAGCAAAACAAAAGAAGGCAAAGAAGGAGAGAAATGGGCTAAAGAAAAGTTAGGGGAAATTAAAGAGCATATAGTTTTATAGTTGATTCAAACCCAAATATATTACTAAACGCATTAAAGTGTTTGAATGTGAATTGGATTGTAGTAAAACAAGGTTGGAAGCAAGGATCTCACTGTGATGGTTCAAGAGAGAGAGGTTGAATGAAATGATGCCAGAAAATATCAAAGGGACTGTTCAGAGACACAAAGTAGAAAACAAACTAGGCAGATAAACATGGTCATGGCTGGTTGCAGTTAAGATGATAACATGAAGTAGATATGGGATCTTTAATTTACTCTAAGATGGTGTATTAGTTTGCTAGGACTACCATAAACAAGTGTCACAGACTAAGTGGTTTAAACAATAGAAATTTATTGTCTCACAGTTCTAGAGGCTGGAAGTTGAAATCAAGGTGTTGGTAGTCCTTCTGAGGAGTGTGTGGAAAGGATCTGTCCTACGCCTCTCTGCTTGGTTTTGTGGATGGCTTTCATCTCCCTAAGTCTTGTCACATTGTCTTCCCTCTATCTATGTCTGTGTACAAATTTCCTCTTTTAGGGACATGAGTCATATTGGATCAGGGCCCACCCTAATAACCTAATTTTAATTTGATAACCTTTGTAAAGACCCTATTTTCAAATAAGGTCACTTCTGAATCACTGGAGGTTAGGACTCCAACAATGTGAGTTGGGGGTGGGAGGACATAACTTCAGCCATAATAGATTGCTTATCATTAGTGTAGTGATTTGAAAATAAAATGCATTTGGACTGCTAAATAAGCCTTTTGAAAATGTTAGCAGAGCTATAAAAATGTTAGTGGAGTATATAATTCCTGTTATACATGAGTGGAAGTAGATTCTGTCATCATTAGCAGTAAATCAGCTGAAGGATCTCTTATCTGTATACAATTATGGGTCCCACACATAGAAAGATTTCAAAATGCTGTAGATTAATGCAGAACTTCCAATAGAACTAAAGTGTTAATGGGATACCAGTTAATATCATTTACAAAGAATAAGAGATTTGAAATCAATTATTTAATAAAAGGATATTCACTTCTTTTTTTCTCATCCCCAGAGCACCCAATACCCACCCCAAAAATGTTGGATGAGGTTCTACAACTCCTTTTAAATATTGCCTGTGGCATTTTAATGACATCATAATTGAATACACGCTGATATACACTGATATTTTTTAAAGTTCTACTTAGAGTACATAAATGTTCAGCTATCTTGCCTCTTTTATTTTTAAATAATACCTTAATACCATCATATTAAATTATATTTTTGTCCTTCAAAGTGGGTTGTGTGAAAAACAAGAAGTTTGCAAGATATTCAATTTGGGTAGAGGAAGGAAAATGTAATTTATTTTAATTCCAGAAATATAAAAAATTAAGCTTCGATTTTTCTGGTAAAATTTGTGCATTTGAAACCTGATCCCCAATGCAGACATACAGGGAGGTGAAACTATTAAGAGGTGTTTAGATCATGAGGGTACCATCTTTGTGAATGGATTAATTATGTGGATTTGTTATTGTGGGAGTGGGTTACCTATAAGAGAATGAGTTTGGGCCCCCTCCTGCTCTTTCTCTCTTTTTCTTGTCCACTCTTTGCCCTTCTGCCATGGCTTGACAGAGCAAGAAGGCCCTCAGAAGAAGCAGCCCCTCAATCTTGGACTTCTCACCCTCCAGAACCATGAGCCAATACATTTCTGTTCATCATAAATTAGCCAGTCTGTGGCATCCTTTCTAGCAGCACAAAATGGGTTAAGACAGAAAATTGGTATTGGAGAAATGGAGTGCTGCTATAACAAATACTGAAAATGTAGAAGCAGCTTTGGAACTTAACTCTTGTTCATATCAATGAGCTTACTGAAAATTGGTTTTGTTATACATTGTTTCACTTAAAGTCACAGTGTCCAAGAACCTATCAATGACATTAAGTGAGGACTTACCGTACAGGTATTAGAGTTTTCTTTTTTTCTTAGTTTCTGTAGAAAAGTATTTCTGAATATTGTTTGTCTTTTTAAAAAAACTTAGTTTTTTATTTTTAAAAATTGATACATAATTGTACATATTTTTGGGGTACATGTGATATTTTGATACATGTAAATAATGTGTAATAATCAAATAAGAGTATTGGGATATTTATCATGTATCAAACATTTATCATTTATGTTGGGAACATTCCAAATCTTCTAGCTATTTCAAAATGTATAATAAATTACAGCTAATTGTTGTCACCTTACTGAACACTAGAACTTACTCCTTCTACCTAATTGTATTTTTGTACCTATTAACCAATCTCTCTTCATCTCTCCCTCCTGCCTACTTGCCCCAATCTCTGGTGACTGGCATTCTACTCTCTACCTTTGTGAGATAAACTTTTTTTAGTTCCCACATATAAGTGAGAATATGCAATAAGCATCTTTCTGTGCCTGGCTTATTTCACTTAACATTATGACCCAGTTACATCCATATTGCTCTAAATGACAGGGATTCGTTCCTTTTTATGGCTGAATAGTATCCCATTGTGTATATATACACCACATTTTATCTCTTTATTCATCTATTGATGCATACAGACTGATTCCATATCTTGGCTACTGTGAATAGTGTTACAAAATCATGATAGTGCAGATATTTCTTTGCTAGGCTGATTTCCTTTCTTTGGATAAATAACCAGTAGTGGGATAGCTGGATCATATGATATATCTATTGTTCATTTTTTGAGTAACCTCTATACTGTTTTCCTTAGTGGGTGTATTAATTTACATTCTTACCAACAGTGTGTTAGTGTTCCCCCTTCTCAGAATTCTCACCAGCATTTGAGATACGGAATAAGAAAAGATGTACATTGAAACATCAGTAAATCAAAATGGGCTGAGAGATGATGTTAAAGTTTAGAGTTTGTTTTGTTCCTTTTTTTATTTACTTACAATTAAAAATAACTTGTTATAACTAAAGAAGTCTTTTATAAACCTCATGGTAACTACAAAGCAAAAACCTATAATAGATACACTAAATATATACAAAATATATATATCACAGAATAAAAAAATGTGCTACTAGAAAAAAAAATCATTTAACTGCTAAGGAAGATGGTGAGACGGGGAAAAAAAGGCACAAGGAATCTAAAAAAAAAAAAAAGAAAGAAAAAAGAAAACTAGTAACAAAATGGCCACAGTAAACTCTTACTTATCAAAAATAACTTGCATATAAATGGATAAAATTCTCCAATTCAAAGACAGAGTGCCTAAATGGATTAAAAATAAGACCCAACTATATGCTGTCTACAGAAAACACTTCACCTATGAAGAAATGCACAGACTGAAAGTGAAGAGATAGAAAAAGTTACTCCATGCAAGTGGAAACCAGAATAGAGCAGGAGTAGCTATACTTTTTTTTTTTTTTTTTTTTGAGACGGAGTATCACTCTGTTGCCCAGGCTGGAGTGCAGTGGCGCGATCTCGGCTCACTGCAAGCTCCGTCCCTTGGGTTCACGCCATTCTCCTGCCTCAGCCTCCCGAGTGGCTAGGACTACAGGTGCCCACCACCACGCCCGGCTAATTTTTGTGTTTTTTTTTTTTTGTAGAGACAGGGTTTCACCATGTTAGCCAGGATGGTCTCAATCTCCTGACCTTGTGATGTGCCCGCCTCGGCCTCCCAAAGTGCTGGGATTACAGGCGTGAGCCACCGCGCCCAGCCAGGAGTAGCTATAGTTTTAACAGATAAAAATATGCCTTAAAAATGGAAAAGAAAAAACAAAGAAGACCTTTATATGATGATAAGGGAGTCAATATAACAAAAGGATATGACAAATTAAAAATGTATATGCACCCAAAACTAGAGAACCCAAATATATTATTTATAACAAATGTTGCTATTTTCTATTGCTTTTCTATTATCTAGTTTATTTATTTCAGTGCTGATCTTTATTACTACCTTTATTCTAACTTTGGGCTCCTTTTGTTCTTCTAGTTTCTTGGGGTACAAAGTTAAATTGTTTATTTCAGATTTTTCTTTTCTATCAGTGTAGACATTTATATGCAGCAAAAGCTGTTCTAAAAGGAATGTTGTAAGTTTTTGTGTGTTGTGTTTCCATTTTCAGTTGTGTTAAAATACTTTTTGATTTCCCTTTTGATTTCTCCTTTGATCCACTGGTTTCTCAGAAGTACATTGTTTAATTTTCACATATTTATAAATGCTCCATCATTCTTTATATTATTGAGTTCTAGTCTCATACCATATCATTGAAAAAGATATTGATATGATTTTAAACTGCTTAAATGTGTTAAATTGTTTTGGGGACTAACATGTGATCTACCTTGGAGAACATTCCATGTGTGCTTGGAAAGGATATGTATTCTGCTGCTGTGGGATGGTATGTTCTGTAAATGTCTTTTAGGTTCATTTGGTCTGCAGTATTGTTCAAGTTTATTGTGTCCTTACTGACTTTCTGTCTATGATCTATCCATTGTTGAAAATTGGGTATCGAAATTCCATACTATTATTGCATTGTTATTTCTCCCTTCGGTTCTGTTAATATTTACTTTATGTACTTAGGTGTTCTGATCTTGACTACACATTTACATTTTTATATCCTCTTGATAAATTGACCCCTTTTTGTTTATATAATTGCAATATTTGTTTCTTGTGACAGTTTTTTTTTTTTTACTTAAAGTTGTAGCGTCAACTCTGATCTCTCTTGGTTACCATTTACAGTGAAATATTTTTCAATCCCTTCACTCTCAGCCTATTTGTATCTGTAAAGCTAAAGTGAGTCTCTTATTGGCAACATATAGTTTCATCTACTTTTCTTTCATTCAGCCACTCTACATCATTTGATTAGAGATTTAATTATTTACAGTTAAAGTAATTATTAGTAGGTAAGAACTTACTACTGTCATTTTATTGTTTTCTATATGTCTTATAGTTAATTTTCCCTCTTTCCCTCTCATGTTGCCTTCCTTTGTGTTTTATTGATTTTTTGTAGTGACTTTCTTTGATTTTTTTACACTTTATTTTATGCATCTTCTATAGTTATTTCCTTTGTGTCTACCATGGGTCTTGCATAAAACATCTTATAGTTACAACAGTCTATTTTAAGTTGGTAACAACTTCAACTGCATACAAAAACTTTGCACTTTAACTTCTACCCCCATATTCCTGTTATTGATGTCAATTTACATCTTTTATGTATCTATCCACTACAATTTACTGTAACTATAGTCATTTTAACACTTCTTTCCCTTAACTTTTGTACTAGAGTTAAAAAGTGGTTTACACATCACTATTCCAATATTGGAATATTCTGAATTTGACTAATAGTAAGGTTTATACTTTCTTATATTTTCATATTATTCATTAGTGTCTTTTCATCTCAACTGAAGAGTTCCCTTTAGCGTATCTTATAAGGCAGATATAGTGGTGAAGAAGTCCCATAGCTTTGGTTCATCTGGGGAAGTCTTTAGTTCACCTTTATTTATGAAGGACAACTCTGAAAGCTATAGTATTGTTGGTTGACAGGTATTCTCTTTCAGCAATTTGAATATATAATCCCTCTTTCTCATGGCCTGCAAGATTTCTGATGAGAAAACTATTCATAGTGTTGTATCTTTGACAAAGCAAATAAAAACATAAAGTGGGGAAAGGACACCCTGTTCAACAAATGGTGCTGGGATAATTGGCTAGCCACATGTAGGAGAATGAAACTGGATCCTCATCTCTCACCTTCTACAAAAATCAACTCAAGATGGATCAAGAACTTAAATCTAAGACCTGAAACTGTAAAAATTCTAGAATATAGCATCAGAAAAACCTTCTAAACATTGGCTTATACAAGGATTTCATGACCAAGAACCCAAAAGCAAATGAAATAAAAACAAAGATAAATAGGTGAGACTTAATTAAACTAAAGAGCTTTTGCATGGCAAAAGGAACAGTCAGCAGAGTAAACAGACAACCCACAGAATGGGAGAAAATCTTCATAATCTATACATCTGACAAAGACTAATAACCAGAATCTACAATGAACTCAAACAAATTAGCAAGAATAAAAACAATCCCATCAAAAAGTGGGCTAAGGACATGAATAGACAATTCTCAAAAGAAGACATACAAATGACCAACAAACATACGAAAAAAATGCTCAACATCACTAATGATCAGGGAAATGCACATTAAAACCACAATGCGATACCACCTTAATCCTGCAAGAATTTCCATAATCAAAAAATCAAAAAATAATCAATGTTGGCATGGATGCAGTGAATAGGGAACACTTCTACACTGCTGGTGCGAGTGTAAACTAGTACAACCACTATGGAAAACAGTGTGGAGATTCCTTAAAGAACTAAAAGTAAAACTACCATTTGAATCAGCAATCCCACTACTGGGTATCTACCCAAGGAAAAGAAGTCATTATACGAAAAAGACACTTGCACATCATGTTTATAGCAGCACAATTCACAATTGCAAAAATGTGGAACACACAAATGCCCATCAATCAACTAGTGGGTAAAGAAACTGTAGAATATATATACACAATGGAATACTACTCAGCCCTAAAAAGGAGTAAATTAATATTCTTTGTTAGGGAGTTTTTGGATTTCCTTTTCTTTAAGGTTGGTTACTGGTGCTTTATTTTTTTTTTCCTTTGCTGGTTTTAAGTTTCCCTAATTATTCATAATCCTGTGACCTAGCATTAGTATTTGTACATATAAAGAAGTAGGAACCTCTTCCAGTCTTTTTGCACTGGATTTGGCAGAGAAATCTTTCACAAGTCAGCCCATCCAGACATTCTGGGTGGGCCCACTGGCAGGGACTGCAGGTGAGCTTGCTGCTAGAGTCCTTGGACTGGCTTTCCTGGTGCTAAGGTCAGCAGGCATGTGGGCCTGGCTACTGTGTCCACAGGGGCTAGCCTAATGCCTTTGTCTATAGGAGCAAGCCTGGAGCCTGGGCCAACTGATGCAGGTCTGGTGCCATCATCAGCTTGGGTGAGTTTGGCACCTGCATAAATGGGGCAAGCCTAAACTATGGGTCCACAGGTATGGGCCTGGATTCTGGGTCCACAAGGGCTGGCTGTCCTGGGTCTCTGGGGTCCAATGGTTTAGGCCTGATGACTGTGTCCACAGGAAACGGCCTGGAGTTTGCATCCATAGGGATGGACCTAAAGACTGGATCCATAAGAGCTGGCCGGGGGCCACTGGGGCTGGCATAGTGCTAAGGTGGGCCTGGAGCCTGAATCTGCTGGGGCCAGCCTGGAACCTGGGGCTACAGGGGCCTGCTTATACTGGGGGATACCTGAAGCCTGGATCTTCAGTAGCGGGCTTGGAGTCTGAGACCTTGTGAGCTGGCCTGGAACTTGAGTCTGTGAGGGCTGGTCTGGTGAAGTGGTTCACTGGGGCTTGCCTGGTGCTGAGGTCTGTGGTAAAGTTGAATGCTTAATTCACTTTCCTTTCTCTGTACATAGGGTATCTCTCTCCATACTTTACTGTGCAGATGTGAGAAAGGGGTAACACATGTAATGTAAAAGTATCCTTTCTATCCTCTTCACTGCATTTTTCTTATTTCTGCATTCCTCTTAAGTGCCGTAATCTCTCACCTGGATTCCTTAGCTCTTGTGAAGGTATTTTTATGGGTGGATGATTGTTCAAATTGATGTTTTTGTAAGAGCATGAGAGCTGGAAATTCATATTTTTCTATCTTGCTGACATCAGTCTCTGAATATATTTTGCGGGTAAAACCAATAGTACTTGATGTGGAATTAGGAGAGAACAGGAGAAAATTGAAAATAGCTCTAAGGTTTAGGGCCAAAGCAATTCGAATTGACATTGGGAAGAGCCTGTTTGGTTTAGGTTGGGTGGAGGAGGTCATTAGGGAGAATGATGGAAGGTCATTAAGGACAAAGCAAGTGCATTAGCAAGGAGAAAGAAAGTTTGGAAGTGTTATATAGGAACGAGGAGTGGGCCCGCTCTAGATCCATGGTACAAACAATGAGTTTATGAAATACTAGAGCCAGTAGAGAAGGAAGCTGCAACGGAAGCAGTGCTCTCAGGGGAAAGCAAGGTTTCAGACAGAGTAATAAGATGAAGGGAACATCTTAAAGATTTAAGATATACAGATTTATGATGTGGAGTTTTGCTGATCAGAATAAAATGAGGTTCAGAGACACTAGTGGAAATATTTGTGAAAAGAGGGTTTGGGATAGATTAAGGAATGTACAGAGTCATGTGGGTATGAGAGTCAGGGAAGAGCGATAATCTTGTTGAGTAAGTGACATTACAAAATGGAGGGCATCATATAGTAGTGCCTACTGACCTAATATTTTGATAATTGATATTATGATAATGTCATTTGATTAAAATATATCATTATTATTTCAAATATAAAGTTCCAAAGAACTCTTGAAGACAAACCATGTAAAGAAGTTCAATGCTAAACATGCTAATAACAAGGCACAAACACCACCTTCAAGGAAATAACAATTTAGTTGGAGATCTAATCCAAATACATGAAAATTTGTATAAATTTAGTAATTTATAAAAATTAAAAATATAAAATTGTTATAAGCCTATATTTAAACAAGCACCAAATGTGTGACATATTTTTCAAAGTACAAGTTCAGAGGAGAGATAACTAAGTGTGGTCTCAGGTTGCCTGAGGAGGTATAATAAAAATAGTGAAAAACAACATAGTTTCAAGGGGGAAGAAGAATTCTAGGCAGACAGAAAGATAAAAATGTAAGGAACTTTGCTGAGTTTCTAGGTAGATTTTCTTCTATTTGAAACATAAATTCTATATGAATATTGAAATATTGCATTAGTATGATTATTATTGGATGATTATATTTATTTTCAAATGTATTAACCAGCTTGTCTCTACTGACATAGCAAGACATTTTTATTTTTAATTATGCTACTGACATAAAAAGAAAGCAAAGAGAGCAGACGTGTATTCCACAGGATTTAAAGATTAATCTATCCTCCATTGCACCCACTTAGTTTCAGGCAGGAAGAAACACTTGCTAATGAGTCAGATGATTACCAGCACAGAGTTTATTTAGAGGAATTCCATGTGTGAGGGTGGGCTTGGAGTGAGTACACTCAGAAGTGAAAATGCGAATGCCATTCTTTCAACATTATTAATATAAAGACATGCTGACATTGCTTTGCACAATTGATGTTTATCAATTGTTAGTGCTTTAAAGTGAAGCTTAAATCAAGATGTTCTCCTAACAGATACTAATTTTATAGGTGTTGGTAGGCTGCCCACACAGCAGAGGTATGCACGATAAAAACCAGAAATTGAAATAATGCCATGTACTTGGAAAGTCTATGACAAGAATTCTACTGCCATCAAGAGCATCTTTCCTTCATAGCAGGTTAAATGTGTCTCTAATTCAATTTGTAAAATGCTAAATCTTTGTTGGAGAAATAGCTGTACCAGCTCCCCCAAAGCACTATGAAATACTCTATCTACATCAAGCTGAAATTTATTTTACAATAACTATTTGCTTTTAGACGTAAACTAAACAATTCACTCCAACAATACATGCTATTAATTTGCTAAGAATGTTAGAGGGACACACACATACTAATAATCTGCCACAAAAAAAAGAAAGCATTTCTTCTGATTTCAGATTATAATAATTGCTTGGTTATTTTGTTTCAGTAAACAAAATACTTCAAATTTATAAGTTAATGAGTCTGTTTGCAAACACGTTATAAAATATATTTTCTAGCTTTGAATTTTTCAATTCTATGTTAAAATGCTGTTTTAATTTTTGTCTTTTCTCCAAATAGCCATCTTATCTCTTTTCAGGAAATCTGCTGATTTCAGAAATATTTAAGATACTTGTTAATCTGAAAGGGGCTCCACAGTTTAATTATATCCAATCTTAGGTAATACTCTTGTACAGCTACAGTGAAAAAATCATTAATCTTTCTAGAGTGAGTCTGACATATCCCCAAATAAAAGATTTACTTGAGGATTGTCTCCTTAAAAATCATAGTATCACAGAGTTTATAGTACCATTGCTCCAAGGTTTGTACTAAAAGGTGATTCTGAGCAATATTTACAGATGTTGACATTTATCTGATAATGTAGATTAAGATTTTTGAATTAAGTGACTGTGCCTTTCTCATAATGGTGCAAATGGTCAAATACATTAATGAACAAAACCGTTGCTTACAGCATTTTTGTTTTCTAAGTTTATAAATAAGCTATATGCTCTAGTGGAGAGAAAACAGATCCACTATCTAGAATCCAGATACCTGGGTTTGAATCTTATTTGCTGTTAGTAAAGCTAACTAACCTGAGTCTGTTTCTTTTAATCTTTAAGACAGTGACCTTAACTTATATTTCATGGTTGTTGAAAGAATTAAATGATTGCCTGTCACATATTTGGTGACATCATAACTAAAACTAATTAACTGCCTATATTGGCTCTAGCCCCATGAAAATTATTTAAATCAATTATACGATTATAAAAGGTGATAGAAGGGAAATATTCACTAATAGGTAACAGCAAGTTATCTGGGAAAATAGTTACTTCCACAGGCATAGAATCAGTATTATATGCTCTCTATTTTCCCATCCTCAACACACACATATGTGCCATCATGGTCTCCACACTACCAGAACACATGAGGCACCCATTAAAGGAAAGACTATTACACCTCCATATAGTAATTGAAAGTAGGAATTGGATGGGAAAAAGAAAGATACAAAGGCCAAGATCTAAATCTGAATAACATGAAAGTCAAGGTATAAAATAAAGGAGAACATTAGTGCAATGAATAAACAGTCATTCTAGGATTTTGACTTTAGCAATTCGAAGAGCATCTGGAAGAGGCAAAGGCAGCAGAGAGTGGATATAGGTATCTAGAGTTCAGGAATGAATTCTAGATTAGATGTATACATTAGAAGTTCAACAGCATTTAGGAACTAATTGAAGCCATGTGTGTGGATGAGATTTCTCTGCAAGAATACATAGGATGAGAAAAGGCAATGTCGAAAGATAGAATATTACCGTAGGGGCGCTTATATACAAGCATAGTCAAAGGAAAAGAAACCCACATTGGGAAATAAAATATTGGGTAGACAGATATAAGGAAAACAAATATGAGTGTTCTCACAGAAATTTGGGAAAAAGGAGAAATAAGAAATAGGAAATAAGAAAAGTGATCATTGGATTTAATGGTTTATTGGTTATTTTCTAAGAAAAGTGACAACAATTGCCACACTTGTTTGATGAATACAAAATTAGTGACTTAGAAATTGCAAAAACAGTAAGTATAGCCTATTTCATTAGGAAGTTTGGACACTATTTATTATGGGACATAGGCTCTAAATATGGTATTTTCAGAATATGTCTTAAGCAGAGGAATATTCAGTATAAAGAAAGAAAGTTGAAATGCAAGGGAGAGAATAATAGATACCAGAGGAGAATGGAAATGACTCCTGAAGAGGGGGAATGGATTAAAATCTAAAACTTAGTGTGATTTCCCATGACTCCAAGGAAGGACAGATAAAAGGTTTCATTAATGCATAAAAACTGTCAGATACAACATAACATCACTTGGTCATCTGCTAGAAGTCACATTCAGCTAAGACAGTTCATATAATAAATTATTGACTTTCAATGCTGATAATTCTATTATTTCAACAGTTGAGAAGGCAGCCTATGAAAAAGTGCTAAACTCTACCCACTAGAAAATTGGAGGTGAGGTAGAAGGGATAAAATGTCTGGAAGAAAGTGACTGAATCAGATGAGAAGTTTCAACTGAAATTAAGGAAATGTCTGGAGCCTGAAATGGGCTACAGACAAGAAGACAGCTTCTAGAAAGTTCACAGTAAAAGCCACTGTGCTGAGTTGGGTGGAGATTACAAACACAAGATTCATACCAAAGGATAAAAGATATCTGGGAAAGATAAATAACAAAATTTGTTTTACTTCTGATATTGCGAGCTAGAAAAAAGACTATGAATCTAGATCAGAACATGATGTCCAGAAACAGGTGGTTTTATCTGAGAATACAGAACCTTTCAATATTTATTTTGATTGAATCTTTGCTACCAAGGACCATAATTTTCAAACTGAAAATAATAAAGCAAGCATGGTCAAAAGGTATTTGAAACTCACAGGAGGTGACATAAGAGAGAATAATTTCTGGTATTAAAGAATACATAAATAATTCCCAGAGCACAAAAAGTACTAGCAAATCCAGCAAATACAATCCTTTGAGACTGTTATTTTTAAATGGAAAAACAAGAAAGGTGCAAGGAAACATGAGGGAAAAATCATCTTAACTACTTTTCATAAAAGAGAGATCACAGAATCTAGGAACCATAATGCCAGAATAGGAACCATAATGCTAAAGGCAAAATGCTATAATGTATTATTATATAAATACTTTGTACATATGAGAGATCAAAGAAGGAAAAAGTGATAACACATAGCTTGTGGGGTGTCTTAGTCCATTCTGTGCTGCTATAACAGAATACCACAGACTAGGTACTTTATAAACAATAGAAGTTTATTTGGCTCACCGTTTTGCAGGCTGAGAAGTCCAAGAGCATGGCACTGGGATCTGGTGAGGGCCAGGGCCTTCCTAGTGCATCATGCTGTGGCTGATGGTGGAAGAGTAAGAGAGCAAGAGTAAGAGGAAACAAAGCTGACTTTTACCAGGAGGCCACTCTTGTGGTAACAGCATAAATCCATTCATGAGGACAGAACCCTCGTGGCCTAATCACCTGTTAAAGGTCCCACTTCTTAATACAGTTTTGGTTGGGTATTCAAACCATAGCATGGGGATATCCACAAAGGCTCTTTGGAAGAGTTGCCTTTTGAACAATAAAGAATGGGAATATTTTAACTTGGGAAAGAGGGCAGGAGCAGAGCAGGGGCAGTGGGCAGGGCATGTCAGACTATGGAAATAGCACTTCAGAGAAAGAAGCAAGAGTGTACTTGTTACATTTGAAAAAAATAAGTGGTATACATATGGTGGAGTAGAAAATAGATCTGGAACTAAAATGTAGTAAGTGGGTATATTATGCTTTTCCTGGTAATGATAGTGTTAGCAAATGATAGGTTAGCTTGAATGCCAAGCTAAATATTGACCTTTTTAAAATTTCAAGGTAGCATTCATAATATTAAAAAAACTCTACTTTAAACTCACAACCAAACCAACAGGGAAGAAGCTAGGCCTCTATCAAGACATCTTTGCAAATTCTAACATGTTAGGGGTCCTTTAAAGAAAGCCTCGCTAACCCTTCACCTTACTGTAGCATTCCAAGTCAATACTCCAGTGCTTCCTACACACTTTAAAGGTTTTCATTATTCATTTATTAATATGCCTTGGGTCGTCTCCAATACATCCCTTCACAGTGTAGGTGTTCTGATACGGGTTTTGCTCTATTTTATAAGATGTCAGCCTGGCAGGCAGAGTTGTGGAAAGAGCGAGCGATGAGAGTCAAAGATGTTCAGAACTCCGATGACCTAAGTATTAAATTTTGATGATGTGCATCTTTTTAAATAAAAAATTCAATAAAGGTCTTGATACTTCAAAGACTTTTACCCATCAATACTAGTTCCCTTATTGTCAAGGTATTGTCACCACCAGCCTTCTTCAGACTAAATGCAGAATGCAATATGGCAATTTTATTTATGCATGAATAAACTTATTCCATTGCCTTAAGTTTCCGTAGTAAAGCAAACAATATAATTTTCTGGGCAGTTGGAAAAATAACACTAGTACATTTCAATAGCATTCCAACAGATGTACTGGTAGATATTTTAATAGCTTAGGCAATAACTTAAACAATAGTGTTGATTATAGACTTGGAAAACTCAATTAAAATTATAAAACGCATACATAAATTGAATTTAGAGTACTAGCAAGGGACGCATGTTACACTGACATAAACTTGGATGAATGGTATCTGGTTTTGAACTAGGGATCCATATGTTTGACTCAGATTTAGCCTTCCAGTTAATCATCTGTAAGATGGGAATCACTTACATAATTGTGATAGTATCAGAAAAAAATTAAATATAAAAGTATATAGTATATAGTAAATGTGCAATAAGTGAAGACTCTAATTTTATTGTAACATTTATATTTGTGTCTTGTAATAAGGGTATTTCTGGACCCAGATTTGGCACAGACATTTGTCTAAATGATTATTTAAAATATTTGAAATTTTTGGAAAACATGTAAACTCAAGTCTATTAAGACCATTTTGTTTTGAAATATTAATTTTTCTCAACCAACCTATTTACTTCACAAGGACTTCTGTTGTATCTTCGACACAACCCATTTTTTTTCACAAGTAACTCAGCTTCAACTTGCAGGGAATATTTCATCTAGTCAAGTATTGACATAGAAAATGTATTCCTGTCCTAACCCAGGCAATAAACAGCCGACACATAGAGGTTCAATATTTGTGCACCAAGTGTTATACAGATGATTTGTGATGACACAAAAGTGTACTTTTCATCTTTTTGAAAGCATTTCCTTGGCTTTCTGCTGAAAGAGGGGAAAAACCTGCCATCACTCGTTTCTATTTAGACACCTGAATTTCATTGAGAAGGAGACTTGGTGACAGAGTGACATGATTACATGCTGCCTAGTGCTTTTGCTGAGCAGGGGGTACCAAGGCAGGTTTGAGGATGAGGGAGAATGTGAGAAATGAGGAGTTAGTTCATGCATTTGATATTTGCTTATTCTCTTAACCAAAATGACTATATTTAGTTATAAAAAGACACACTGCTTTTGTATGCATCTTTCACCGGCCATATTTTAACCCCCAATTAGCTGAAGTCTCCCTGGTTTTCCCTAATGCCCGGCCAGCTGGCTTCTGAACATAAGGCAGGCCTGATGCCAAATCCTAGAGTATCTGGCACCTACAGGTATAATGACCTGCCTGTGGCCGCAGGTCACCTCCATCTACCAGGCAGGAGTGACAATTTGATTTTTATATCTCTTGTCATTACAGTGAAGCCGACACACAGTACTCATGGCATCTATTTCCTGTCACTGGGAGAAGGAATTGGTAACTTTTTTTTTAAACTAGGTCAGTTTACTTGCCAATGAAAACAGGTTTTCCTGAAGCAGCTAATAACCTCAAGGCACATGGATGAGACAAATTTCTTCAAAATGGGGACATAATTTCTTCTCAAGCTGTTGAATTCGTGTCGCCTTAGGCCAGAGGAAACTGGGAATGCAAGCCAATTGAGAAAAAAGTACTTGGGGGATGACCCTCAAGTATAGAGCACTCATTTTACAAAACAGATTAGGTCTATTCAATACACAGAACAGCTACAGTTTTACGTGGTTCATACATATCTCCTCAATCCCAATAGATACATTCACCAGTTCTCCACAAGAAATAGATTAAAAGGGAGTACCCATCCCAATGAAATGCTCTTAGCAGTCCAGTGAATGGAAGAAATGGAGAGCAAAATGCAGTCATCCATCAATGACAGCCACCACTGTGCTACTTTTAGCATCTTTGGAAGCCAGCAGCTAGAATGGCAGTCCCACTCAGAACACCCACATCTATACCCAGCTCCTACCTACACAGTAAAACTAGGAAGCTTTTTCTTCCTGGTTGATCATTTTCCATTTTTAAAGTTTTCTTTGAAGAATATCAAACAAGTGAAATGCCTAACATTTTCACTAATGGCCTTGATCTCCTACAACTCCAAACACAAATACTGAATAAATCAACCACCAAAGTAATGTTTTTTATTTGAGATATTTTACTCTTCTTCAAAAATGGAAGCATCTCAAATGAAGCACAGATCTAAACTGGTAAGGAGTACAATAAAAATGATATATACATATATATAGTGCATGTGTATGAATGTGTACATATATACATACTTGATGTTTCATATTTAATATTTGGCATTTCCTCATGGGAATACATTTCTATTCATTTCTGCATTAAAAAACAAATTTTGAAGCAAAAGTGTTCCTTTTACCTTTCAACATCTATTTAATTAATTATGTTTAGGAATAGGGCTTTAAGATTATAACAAAATCTACATAGTTATTCTGCTTCCTCCAAATACTATTGGTCCTAAAGCAAGTTCACAGTTAAAAGGGCATTAGTCTCAGTCTAAGAGTCATTCTATTTTTAACACATTAAAAAGTCTAGTGTGAAGGGAGACAAATGTTTAATCTCTCCATTTGGATTGGCAAGCTATATACAGTTTGTGTTTCTCTCTCTCTCTTTGTGTGTTCACCCTGTTGTATATCGTGTAACTTACCTCCCTGGAGATAACTTTGACACAACTCAGGCCCTGGAAAGTGCCCCAACACCTTGGGAATAGGCATCAGGCCAGGCTGACAGATGGATATCAGTTTGACAAGAAATATGCTGGGCTACGCATCATGTTAGAGCATCACAAGCCAAATTCTCCTTTGAAACCACTCAAAGGGAAGCCTGTGAATACTTGCATGCTTTTATACGTGAAGAGATTTTCTAATTAGGCTATTGCAGTATTATCTTAAATGGATTACTTAGAAGTAAATTTAGTTGTTCTAGTTTGATTTACTTTTTTGTTAGACTTTGAGTATACACTTATCCATACACAACACGAAATGGTTTTTATATTGCTGAAATTTGTGGAATGCTCTCAGAAATTGTATCCAAAAGGCTTCTGTCCTCCTGCGCAAGCCTCTAGCCAAAGCAGGAAAATAATCACTCAGGACTGTTTCTCCTGGATGCTGAAGCTTGCTACGGAATTGCTAAATGTATTTTACCCCATCTTGTAGTTGATTGAATCTGCTCTATAAACTAAATGAAGATGAAATATCACCTTCTTTGATTATCACTAAATAGTTCACAGATTAGCATGAAACTGCAAATGAAGGGATAATGTGTCTTTTTGAGAAAAACAGATGCTTTCTGTTCTAAAGTATATATGATAATACAGTGGAATAGTTAATGTACAATGCATGCCATCTGCTGACTAATACAGAGTATTTACAAGGGTAAATACTTCCAATAAACTGTGCTTAGTAAATGACTATCTGACTTAATACAACTACATTTGAACCACAAATTTGATTTTGCCCATTGTTTTAACTTTTTAATGGCCAAGATTTGGCATTCAACTAATTAGAAAAAAAATATAAAGGTAATTGCTTTGAGGTCAGATATCATGGTAAGTTTTCAAATGCCTCTCAGAGATGTAATGAATAAATCTGAATGCTTCTCCCTTTATCCATGTGAAGTGAAGAAATACATTTCTTAAAACCCCATAGGGAGAATCATGAATTTCTGAACTTTTCCTGTTTCTAATGTATGTTTTGTGCTACTTTACAAATCAATTTGAATTAAATGTAAAAAACACAATTGAAGAAATGTGATTTGTTATGTCTTTGTTTAGTAACAGCAAGTAACAGATGATTTTTAGAGATTGTGGACAATTTATAAACAGAAGAAACAATTCAAAGAAATGATGATTACCTATCTCTGTACTGTTAATTTAATAGTTCAATCCATACAACTGGAATGTGTTTATATGTAAATCCATTTAGCAGTGCAAAGCAATTTTCAGGTAGTAATTTTATGGCTATAATAATTTCTGTCATTAAAGATAAATAGAATAACAGAATGTTAATTATATTGTTTTCTAAACTAAAATTTTACCTGTAATGATCACCTTTGATTTACTGCCACAGATAATACATATTTTCAGTTTCCAAGGTCAAATATCATTTTAAATGTCGTGGAAACTTTATCACCAAATTCATTTGATTTGCACATGTTATCACCACCTCTGCATAGGTATTTATTTGAATTGATGATGTGAATTCCCATTTTAAGGGTCATGAGAAAATAAAGTATAAAGCAGACAGAAACTGAAAGTAATTTGAGTCTTAAAATAAAAGAATCTTACTTTGTGATCAATTAAACACCTTTTCACCTGAGGGCACTTCTTAGTTCTTACAATGAGGAATAGTTAGAACTCAAGGGAAATCTCAGTCTTACTGCCTTGAGGAGTCAGAATATAAAGTTTTAGGTGGTCTGAACGGTTGGGAATTGAGGAAAGAATTCACAGAAAAGAGAGTCAAAGAGCGGGGGCTCCAAAATCTGCATATAAATTCCATTCAAATATTTAGTTGACCCCCAGATTGTGCACATGCAAGAAAGACCAGGAACAACAAAAGGAAGGATAGCCGCCTATTTCAGCAAAGACAGAGTTTGAATCCAGCCAAGATAACTATGTACTACAACAAAATCAACACAATTCAGAAGAAGAAAACATAACATAGAATTTCTACAACATATAATTGAAATGTCTACTAAATAATAAAAAATTATTAGACATAAGTGAAATGTGATTCATGTTTAATAGAAATCAAGCCTGAAATGACCCAGATGTTGAAATTAGCAAGCAAAGGTTTTAGATCAGCTATGAGAAATATGTTCAAAGACTTAACAGCTATGAATGTACCAATGGGGAATGTCAAGAGAGAAATGGAAGTTATTTTTAAAAGGACCAGATAGAAAGTCTAGAAATGTAAAACACAATATCTGAAAGTACAAATTCAGTAGAAGGGCTTAATAGGAGATTAGGAGAAGACAGAAAGGTTGCAGTGAACTTGAAGAGAGAGCAACAGCAATTATCTAATCAGGAGAACAGGGAGAAAACATACTGAAAAACAAAATAGAGACTAGGGACCTGTGGGACAATATTAGGTGATCTAATACATATGTAATTGGAATATTAGAGACTAGAAGAGAGTGAGAGGATGAGGCAGAAAAAAACTGAAAAAAATGGCCAAGGTTTTATAAGTTTGGTAAAATATATATAATATATTATATTATATTATATATATTTTATACATAAATTATATATAATATAATATAATATATTATATTATATTATTTTATATATATAAATTATATATAATATATATTATAATATATTATAATATATATATTATATTATATATATACATTATATATACATTTATATATTATATATATATAAATGTATATATATATATAAATTTCTTACAAACTCAAGAGGTCCAGAAAACCCAAAGCAGGATAATGCCAAAAAAACACGCCTAGGCATAGTATAATCAAACTTCTGAAAGCCAAACATAAACATAAAATTTTAAAACAGGCAGAAAAAATAACATATTATATAGAGGAGAAGAATACAAGTAATGACTACAATCTCATCAAATGAGACCAGATGTTATAATTAAATTTCTGAAAGAAAAAAAATCATTTAATTCAGAATTATATGTCCAGTGAAAATATCCTCCAGAAATGAAGCTGAAATAAAGACGTTCTCAAAAAGAAGACCTGCAGTAGAAAAAAGAAATGCTGAAAGTATTTCATCAACCCAAAAAGAAATTGTACCGTAAAATCCCAGGTGTTAAAGATGAAATGAAGAACACCAAATAAGGCCAATATCTGGGCAAATGTAAAGGACAAGTTTTTATTGCCATATATTTTATTTTCTTAAATTTATTAGAACCATGACTGTTTAACTCAAAATATGAAACAGTAATTGTGGGTTTCATAGCTATGGCATAGTAAAACATAAGATAACAAAAATTAAAATAGCAGTAGGTATAAATAGAGTTATGAAGGCTTTAATATTATGATAAAGTAAAATACTATGTGGACTTTAATTCTGTAATTTGTAATCTCTAGATCAACTGCTAAAATAACACAAAGAGGTACAGTTAAATGTCAGTATAGCAGGCAAAATAGAATCTTAAAAAAAAAAATAGACCATACTCCTTAAGAAGGCAGGAGATAGGGGAAAAGAATATGTAAGTATAAAAATTGATATACCATGAAAACATTGGTCTTAAGAAACCTGATATGGCTATTGCAATGTAAATCCGTGTAGACTTCAAGACCATGCATATTGCTAGCAGAGATAAGGATGAATATTTCACAATGATAAAATGATCAAATCATCAAGAAAATGTAGTCCCATATGTGCATGCACCTAGCAACAGAGATTCAAAATATGTGAAGCCAAAAACTGACAGAACTAAAGGTCAAAAGTAGATAAATTTATAATCATAGTTGAATATTTTAACACCCATTTCTTAGCAATTTATGGACAAGTACACCAAAAGAATTGAAAAATACATAGAATATTTGTACAAGTACTCAAAACAAATGATCAAAATCAACCAACTTAATTGAAATATACGAAAAATTATACCCATGAAGAGAATACATTTTCATTCCAGAGCACTTGGAACAGAACAATGACCAAGATAAATCAAACTTTGAAAGGACTGAAATCGTAGTGAATATGTGCTCTGCCTACAATGGAGTGAAATTAGGAATCAATAAAATAATGTATCTAGAAAAGGCTCAAATGTTAAGAAAAATTATCAACTTACATCTAAATACCCACGGGTCAAATAAATTAACATCATTTTTTCAGGAATATTCAAATTAAAACAAAATCGTGATACAATTTCACAAACACTAGGATGCCCCCCCCCAACAAACAAAAACAAAAACAAAAAAAAAACCTACCAAAACCAAACCTGAAAACACCAAAGGTTGGAGAGTATGTAGATCAACTGCAACTCTCTTACTTTTCTGGCAAGCAATTAAAATGGTACAACCACATTATTAAATATTTTAGTAGATTTTTACAAAGGTAAGCACACACCTGCTTTTTGCCTCACCATGTATACCAGGTGTTTATTCAAAAGGAAAGTAAACATATATTGATGAAAAGACTTGTACTAGAATGTGTATTGCACTATATCCATAATAGCTAAAAATCAGATACAACCCATCAACAAAAATAAATAAATTAGGGTATATCTATGCAATGGAACTACACACATAAAAATAATGAACTAGTGATACACACAATAGCAATAATGAATCTAAAGAACTGTACGTTTAGTGAAGAATCCATACATGAAAGAGTATGTTTTGAATAATGTTGTATCTGTGAAGTTAAAGGAATAAGCAAAATTACTGTATTGTGATGGAATCAAAAAGAGGTTGCCAATGAAGGTTACAGGTTGGCTGGAAGTGGACATGAGAAACTTGTCTGGGGCTACGGAGTTTTCCTTTTTATTGATTGGGATAATTATTACCAAATTACATACATATTTATCAAACTGTACCCTTCATAACTGAGCATTTCACTGTGTGTAAATTTCACCTAAAAATAACTGTAAACAAATATTGAACTCTAGTTAGTAGACGAGGTTTGCTTTTCGTAGTGGCATGGGTTAGCAATTCTGAAACTAATTTTATATTCTAGGTGTGAACGAGTAAGTTAATATATTAAAGGTAATAGGTGGAAGTTTTCTCATTATTGGAGAAAAGTTACAAAGATGGAAGAGAAGGCTAGAATAAACCCTTTAGTACGGAATTGGGGTTATCAAGGAAATAAATTGTGTGTGTGTGTGTGTGTGTGTGTGTGTGTGTGTGTGTGTTGGTCTGTTTGTGTTTTCTAGTTCAGTCCACTTAAAGTAGCAATAGTTTCCCAGAACATGGCCTACCTACTACCTACATCTTGGTTTCTAAATACCATTCTCCACCAAAAAAAGAAATATGGCTTCCTAGGGAAACAGCTGACTCCAGCATTGAGACTGTGCCAGAAAATAATTAAGTGCTCAAAGAATTGAAAGAACACACAAAGCATACCATAGCCAGCTGAAAGAAACTTGCACAGCTCAAATATGGGAAAATTTGAATATCAAAATAAATTAAAAAATACTAAGGGAATACAGCCTATTGAGTAAAATAAGAGTCCAAGAATCCATGTTTTCATATTAATACTAATAAAGAAATGAGTTAATACATAAAGAAGGAAAAGATCTTCATAGTACAATGCCAACTAATAGATGTAAAATCCGTAATGGTGTTAGAATATTATCAATGGAAGATAAAGCTAATGGGTGAAAACTGAATGAAAAAGGATATTTCTATAGCCTCATTTCATCACTCCACAACTTATAAATTACAAACAAAAATATAGTTACTTTACATTGGCACATTCTGGCAGACAGTATTTTAACCAAGTTCAGGGAATGTATGCATACACACACACAAACACACACACACATATATTTATAGAAGGAGGGAATGATTAAGGAGCAAAACAATACATAAACAATTGGTAGACTTGATAAGGATATATGACAGTTCTTTGCACTATTTTTATATCTTTTATCTTTGAATTCATATTAAAATTAAAAGTTAAAAAATAAAATATCATCGATGTTCTGGTCCCACTGTAGTAGTATAAACCCACTGCAACCCATTGCCCCATTGATGACAACAACAACTCTGACCAAAATATAAAAGCCAGCTACCTGAGGACTCTGAAAAGTAAAGAAAAGCAGGAAGATTGTGGAGGGAGGGGATCAAAACATGGTAAAGCAACCTGTTAGGAGGAGCCTATACTCAGCCTGTTTTCTAAGCGTTTTTAGAATCTTGCTTTATTTTCACAAACACAAAACTGAAAATCATACACAGTCCATCATGGTTGCAGTTATGGAAAAAAAAAAAAAAAGGTAAAGTTCATGCAGTGGGATAAAATCCAAAGAAATTTTAGTGAATAGATGCAAGCTATATTTTTTTAGTATAGGTAAGTATTTTTAAAACATTATGGTTTGCCATTGAGTACATGGAAACAAAGAAGGGAACAGACACCAGGGCCAACTTGCAGGTGAAAGCAGATAAGAGGGTACGGATAGAAAAACTACCTACCTACTGGGTACTATGCTTATCAGTTCAGTAACAAAATAATCTGTACACCGAACCCCTGTGACATGTAATTTACTCATATAACAAACCTGCACATGTACTTCTGAACCTAAAATAAAAGTTTAAAAAATGTTATGGTTGGTATTTATCATATTTTATGATTTCCCACTTACCAAACTTTTTCAATTTACCAAAACTTTTGGCCATAATCTTGTGATATGATGGAGTTTCTACTCTACTAACAAATTCACCACTGGCAAAAATAATGAAAAAATTTGATATTTGGTCAATATAATATGCACACGTACAAAATTTTGCTAAGATTGTGCTTCGTGTTTTGTACTTTCCAGCTTTAACCAAGGAATTTCTTAAATTCCTATGAGATTAAAAGAAAATTAGATTAAAACTAACCCCAAAATGTAATGATATAGAAGATTAAAAATGTCAAAAAGTCTACGTAAATGCTAGACCTTTTAGTTTTGAATATCTACTGTTTGGAATACTTGGAGGAAGTTTGAATATTTTATAGAATTGGGAGTTATTAAATTAGAATCCTTGCAAATGATAAAGTATAATTTTAATGAAAGCATAGGAAGAACATAAAGTTTAAAGTTAAATATAAATGTCTTAAATTTTATCATAGGTATTATCATTATTATTACCATAATTTTTATGTGCTACATCACTAAAATCACTCTTACTGAGGAGATCTTGAGGAAGCATACAAAAGCGTTGGGACTGGAGAAAGAAAGTACCTTGATCTATTGTACATTAATAGAGAACAAACATTAAAACACAACTCATTGTAACAGATAATCATAAATTTTTGCCAAAAAAATTCCATATGGTTATGGAACAAGAAGATCAAGAATTGAGCGACTGTTATCTTCAACAATTTGGGGGACAAGGTGGAAGACAGATTAGAGAAGGTTACATTTTAAGGTGATTTTTCCTTTTCAATTTCTTTGATCAGTGTTTTGCTATTTTCATTGTAGAGGTCTTTCACTTCTTTTGTTAAATTTAGTCCTAGATATTTAATTTTTATAGCTCTTGTAAATGGGATTGCTTTCTTGATTTCTTTTTCAGAGTACTCACTGTTGATGCATAGAAATGCTACTAATTTTTATATGTTGGTTTTATATCCTGAATTTATCAGTTCTAAATAAATAGAACTGATTCTTTATTATAGGAATAGTTTTCTTTTGATGGAGTCTTTAGTTTTTTCTAAACATAAGATCATGTTGTCTGCAAATAAGACAATTTAACTTCCTCCTTCCAATTTGGATGCCCTTTATTTATTTCTCTTGCCTAACTGGTCTGGCTAGGACTTTCAGTAGCTATGTTGAATAAAAGTGGTGAAAGGTGGCATCCTTGTCTTGTTCCAGTTCTTAGAGGAAAGGCTTCCAATTTGTCTCCACTCAGTGTGCGGTTAGCTGTGGGTTTGTCATATATGGCATTTACTGTTTTAAGGTATGTTCCTTCTATGTCCAATTAAGTAAGGGTTTTTGTCATGAAAAGATGTTGAATTTTATCAAATTCTTTTTCAGCATCTATGTTTTCTTGGTCTTTTTTAAATTTTAATTTTTGGATTCATGGGGTACATGTGAAGGTTTGTAACAAGAGTATATTGCGTGATGCTGAGGTTTGGGTTTCTATTGATTCCATCACCTAGATAGTGAACATAGTACCGAATAGGAAGTTTCTCAGCCCTTCCCCCACTCCCTCCCTCCTTTTGGAGTCCCCAGTGTCAATTGTTCCCATCCTTATGTCTGTGTGCACTTACTGTTTAGTTCCTACTTATAAGTGAGAACATAGAATATTAGGTTTTCTGTTCCTGCATTAATTCACTTAGGATAGTGGCCTACAGCTGCATCCGTGTTGCTGCAAAAAAAAATGATTTTTTCTTTATGGCTTCACAGTATTTCATTCTGTATGTGTACCACATTTTCTTTATCCAATCCACTGATGATAGGCACCTAGGTTATTTCCATGTCTTTGCTATTGTTTCAGCATCTATTGAACTGATCACATGGTTTTGGCCTTGATTCTACTAATATGATGCGTCTCATTTATTAATTTCCATATGTTGAACCATCTTTGCATCCCTGTGATGATTCCCACTTATCCCACTTGATCATGGTGAATGATATTTTTAATGTATTGTTGAATTTGATTAGCTAGTATTTTGTTGAGGATTTCTGCATCTATATTTATTACATATCGGCCTGCAGTGGGGTGTGTGTGTGTGTGTGTGTGTGTGTGTGTGTGTGTGTGTGTGTGTCCTTGTCTGGTTTTGGTATCAGGGTAATGCTCCTGACTTCATATAATGAGTTTGGAAGTATTCCCTATTCTTCAATTTTTTGGAATACTTTGATCAAATTTGGTATTCATTATTCTTTAAATGTTTGGTAGATTGAACGATATCCCATGTTTATGGATTTGAAGAATATTGTTCAAATGACTGTACAATCAACTGTGATAAACAGATTCAATGCAATTCCTATTGAAATATCAATGACATTTCTCATGGAAATAGAAAAAACAATCCTAAAATTTGTTTGGAACTACAAAGGACCCAGAATAACTAATGCAATCCAGTACAGAAAGAATGAAGCTGGCTGCATCACACTATCTCACTTCAAAACACACCACAAACTGTAGTTAAGTAAGCATGGTACTGGCATAAAAACAGATGCATATACCAATAGAACACAATAGAGAATAGAGAAATAAATCCACATGTTTCTAGCCAACTCATTTTTGGAAAAGGTGCCAAGAACATAGATTGTGGGAAAAGCAGTCTCTTCCATAAATGGGACTGGAAAACCTGCATATCCATTTGCAGAAGAATAAAACTAGATCCCTATCTATCACCATATATAAAAATCAAATTGAAATGGATTAACGACTTAAATGTAAGACCTGAAACTATGAAATTACTAGAAGAAGACATTGAGGAAATGCCTTGGGACACTGGTCTGGGCAAAGGCTTTAGGAGTAAAATCTCAAAAGCATAGGCAATAAATAAAATACCAACAAATGGGATTATATCAAGCTAAAAAAATTTCCACCCAGCAAAGGAAACAATAGAAGGAAGAGACAAGCTACAAAATGGGAGATAATATTTGCAAACTATCCATTTGACGAGGAATTAATAACTAAACAACTCAATAGCCAAAAAAACCCATTTTAAAAATAGATAAATGATTTGAATAGACATTTCTGAAAAGACATAGAAATGACCAACAGCTATATGAAAAAAAGGCTCACCATCATTAATCACCAGGGAAATAATACAAATAAAAGCCACAATGAGGTGTCACCTCACTCCAGTTGAAATGGCTATCACTGAGAAGACAAAAAATAAAATGCTGGTGAGGATGCAGAGAAAAGGGAACTCTCAGACACTATTGGTGGGAATGTAAATCAGCATAGCCATTATGAAAAAGAGAGGTTTTTTGTAATGGAGGTTTCTTAAAAAACTTAAAATAGAACTCCCATATGATCCAGCAATCCCATTACCAGGTATATATTCAAAAGAAAGGAAATCAGTATTTCAAAGATATATCTGCACTCCTATGTTTATTGCAGCACTATTCACAACAGCCAAGATATAAAATCAACCTAAGTGTCCATCGATGGGTGAATGGATAAAGCAAATGTGGTATATACACATGATGGAATATGATTCAGCCAAGAAAAAGAATAAAATTCTTTGATTTGCAGCAACACGGATGAACTTGGAGGGCATTATGTTAATTGAAATAAATCAGGCACAGAAAGGCAAATATTGCGTGTTTCCAGTTATATGTGGGAGTTTAAAACTGGATCTAGAGGTAGAGAGTAAAATGATGACTACCAGAGGCTGGGAAGGATAGAAGAGAGGGAGGAATGAAAAGAGTTTTGTCAATGGGTACAAACATACAGTTAAATAGAATGAATAAATTCTAATGGTCAATTAAGGTGCTATAGTTAATAATAATTTGTTGTATATTTCAAAATGGCTAGAAGAGAAGATTTGGAATATTTCCAACACAAAGAAAATATAAATATTTGAAGTGATGGGTATCTCGATTACTTTGTTTTTATTATTACACATTCTATGCGTGTTCCTTTGTTTAAGTTCAGGGATACATTCGCAAGTTTGTTATACAGGTAAAGCCATGCCATGGAGGTTTGTTGTACAGATTATTTTGTCATCCAGGTATTAAGCTGAGTATCTATTGGTTATTTTTCCTCATCCTCTCCCTCCTCCCACCATCCACCCTCCAGTAGGCCCCAGTATCTGTTGTTCTCCTCTATGTATCCATGTGTTCTCATCATTTAGCTCACACTTATAAGTGAGAACATGCAGTATTTGGTTTTCTGTTCCTGTGCTAGTTTGCTAAGGGTAATGGCCTTCAGCTCCATCTATGTTCCTGCAAAGGACATGATCTCATTCCTTTTTATGGCTGCAAAGTAGTCCATACTGTATATGTACCACATTTTATTTATCCAGTCTATCATTGATGGGCATTTAGGTTGATTCCACATCTTTGCTATCGTGAGTGTGCAGCAATGAACATTCGCATGCATGCATCTTTATGACAAAATGATTCATATCCCTTTGGGTATATACCCAGTAACGGTATTGCTGGGTCAAATGGTAGTTCTGTTTTTAGCTCTTTGAGGAATCCCCACATTGTTTTACACAATGGTAGATATAATTTACACTTCCACCAACAGTGCATAAGTGTTTCTTTTTCTCCACAACCTCACCAGCATCTGTCATTTTTTGATTTTTTAGTAATAGCCATTCTGACTGGTGTGAGATGGTTTCTTATTGTGGTTTTGATTTCCATTTCTCTAATGATCAGTGATGTTGAGCATTTTTTCATATGCTTATTGGCTGTATGTGTGTCTTCTTTTGAAAAGTGTCTGTTCCTGTCCTTTGCCCAATTATTTTTTACATTGGATAAAATTTATTATTTCTTCCATGTATGTTTGCATGAATTTCCCAGAGAAATATTGTGGGTCTTGAATTTTCTTGTTTTTATTTTTTATTTCAATAGCTTTGGGGTACAACTTTTTTGTTACTTGGATGGTGGTGAATTCTGAGATTTTAGTGCATCTGTCAACTGAGTAGCGTACATGGTACATAATGTGTACTTTTTTTTTTATCCTTATACCCCTACCCCTCCTGACCTCCCATTTCTGAGTCTACAAATTCCATTATATCACTCTGTATGCCTTTGCTTACTCATAGCTTAGCTCCCATTTATAAGTGAGAACATACAGTTTTTGGTTTTCCACTCGTGTGTTACTTCGCATAGAATAATGGCCTTCATTACAAGTTGCACAAAAGACATTATTTCATTCATTTTAATGGCTGAGTAGTATTCCATGGTGTATATATACCACATTTTATTTATCCACTCATTTGTTGATGGGCACTTAGGTTGTTTTTACATCTTTGCAATTGTGAATTGTGCTGCTATAAACATACGTGTGCAAGTGTCTTTTTTATATAATGACTTATTTTCCTTTGGGTAGATACCCAGTAGTGGGATGGCTGGATCAAATGGTAGATCTACTTTTAGCTGTTTAAGGAATCTCCATACTGTTCTCCATACAGGTTGTACTAATTTACATTCGCACCAGTAGTCTATATGCGTTCTCTTTTCCCTACATCCATGCCAACATCTATTGTTGCTTGGCACTTTAATAATGGTCATTCTTGCAGGAGTAAGGTGGTATCTCATTGTGGTTTTAATTTGCATTTCCCTGATGATTAGTGATGTTGAGCATTTTTCCATATGCTTGTTAGCCATTTGTATATCTTCTTTTGAGAAATGTCTATTCATGTCCTTTGCCCACTTTTTAATGGGATTATTTGTTCTACTTGTTGCTGATTTGTTTGGGTTCTTTATAGATTCTGGATACTAGCCCTTTGTTGGATGTGCAGTTTGTAAATATTTTCTCCCATCCTGTGGGTTGTCTGTTTTCTCTGTTGATTATTTCTTTTGCTGTTCAGAAGCTTTTTAGTTTAATTAGGTCTCATTTATTTTTGTTTTTGTTACATTTGCTTCTGGGGTCTTACTCATGAATTCTTTGCCTAGGCCAATGTCTAGAAGAGTTTTTCCAATGTTGTATTCTAGAATTATGGTTTCAGGTCTTATGTTTAAATTTGTGATCCATCTTGAGTTCATTTTTGTTTAAGGTGAGAGAGAAGGATCCAGTTCCAGTTTCATTCTCCTACATGTGGTTTGCCAGTTTTCCCAGAACCATTTATTAAATAGGGTGTCCATTTCCCAACTTATGTTTTGTATGCTTTGTCAAAGATGAGTGGGCTGTACATATTCGGCTTTAATTCTGGGTTTTCAATTCTGTTCCATTGGTCTACGTACCTACTTTTATACCAATACCATACTGTTTTGATAACTATAGACTTGTAGTATAATTTGAAGTTCTGTAATGTGATGCTTCCAGATTTATTCTTTTTGCTTAGTATTGTTTTGGCTATTTCGCCTTTTTTTGTTCCATATTAAATTGAGGACTTTAAAAAATTGTTTGCCCACTTTTTAGTTGGGTTGATTTTTTCTTGTAAATTTATTTAAGTTTCTTACAAATGCTGGATATTAGACCTTTGTCAGATGCATAGTTTGCAAATAATTTCTCCCATTCTGTAGGTTGTCTGTTTGTTGATAGTTTCTTTTGCTGTGCAGAAGCTCTTTAGTTTAATTAGGTCCCATTTGTCAATTTTTGCTTTTGTTGTGATTGCTTTTGGTATCTTTATAATGAAATCTTTGCCTCGTTCTATGTCCAGAATGGTATTTCCTAGGTTATCTTCCAGAGTTTCTGTAGTTTTAGGTTTAATATTTAAGTCCTTAATGCATCTTGAGTTGATTTTCGTATACAGTATAAGGAAGGGACCCAGTTTCAATCTTCTGCATATGGCTAGCCGGTTATCCCAGCACCATTTATTAAATAGGTAGTCCTTTCCCCGTTGCTGGCTTTTGTCAGCTTTGTCAAAGATCAGGTGGTTGTAGGTGTGCAGCCTTATTTCTGGGCTCTCTACTATGTTCCACTGATCTATGTGTCTGTTTTTGTACCAGTAAAATGCTGTTTAGGTTACTATAGCCCTGTAGTATATATAATTTGAAGTCAGGTGACATGATGCCTCCAGCTTTGTTCTTTTTGCTTAGGATTGCCTTGAGTATTTGGATTCTTTTTTGGTTCCATATGAATTTTAAAATAGTTTTTTCTAGTTCTGTGAAGAATGTCATTGGTCGTTTGACAGGAATATCATTGAATCTATAAGTTGCTTTGGGAAGTATGGGCATGTTAATTATATTTATTCTTCCTATCCATGAGCATGAAATGTTTTTCCATTTGTTTTTGTCATCTCTAATTTCTTTGAGCAGTGTTTTGTAGTTCTCATTGTAGAGATATTTCACCTCCCTGCTTAGTATTCTATCACATGTACCCCATGAATATATACAACTATTATGTATTAATAAAAAAGGAAATAATATATCAAATTTAAGAATATTAGTTGGGAGGCTGAGGCAGGAGGATCACTTGAGTCCAGGAGTTCAAGACCAGCCTGGGCAAAATGGTGAGACACTATCACTACAAAAAATAAGTTTCAAAAGTTAGCTAGTTGTGGTGGTGTACACCTATAGCCCTTGCTACTCAAGAGGCTGAGGTCGGAGGATCACTTGAGCCCAGGAGATTGAGGTTGCAGTGAGCTGTGATCACACCACTGTACTCCAGCCTGGGCAATGGAGCAAGACCGTGTCTCCCAAAACAAAACAACACAACAACAAAAAGGAATATTCATGGGATCCTTCGAATAATATAAACAATACACATTTTAGAACATTAAAAGAAAATTTGAAAAAAGTGATATTTCAAAATACCTAGGCATTTAAACTAATTTTTTACATCATTATAAAATTTAATTTGAGGAGCTAGACTATACTTAATTTAAATATGCCCTAATTCTTAGAAAATGCCTGAGATTAGGTTACTGTATTAGATGACAGTGAAGAAGACTATGTAACACTATCTAACATCTTAAAATTGTTTTTGATCCTTGGCTTATTGAGAAACACTTGAATTCATCAATCTAATCCAATTAATTTAATTTGTATTCCTAAGAATAGTAGGGCTTTTGCATTTTAAAAATTAATTTTTACATAACTCAAAGCCACTTTTATTCTTATATTTTTCTAAACTTAGAACATGCTTCAGGAAACAATAATAAGTCATGAGTTATTTCAATTTTATTTTTCTTCATTCCTTTCTGCAACAGCTCCAAAATCCTCTGACATCCAACATCTCTGTAGGTTTGCATTTGAAAACCACAATAGCCAAGCCTCAACCTCTGTAACTTTTATTTCTTCACATCCCTCATTTATTCTGCTTTCCCTGGCGTATTTTTCAGATGCTGGTGCTTCATCTCTTTAAAATGCAACTAGATTTTTAAACCTAACTCATCTCTCCAAAGCTTCCCTTGACAAAGACTTATAGAGCCACCTGGGGATCAGTATAGAAGACAGTCTAATAAAACAGAACAGTCTCAAGACTTTTCACTTAGGCTGCATTGAAAGAGGACGTGTAAACCCTTATTGCAGAGATCATTGTGAGGAAAATGGAGTTGGAGTTCCATGAAAATGAATTGCTCCCCCTCAAGTAAAGGAAATAGAAAATATTTTAAAAGGTAACACAAGTAAAGTAGATCTGAACAAAATACATAAATTAGATTTAAATGTAAAGAAAAGATGGTAGAAAATGTTCTTTTTTAAAAACTGAAATACCGTTATTTGCAGCAACATGGATGGAACTGGAGGTTATTATGTTAAGTGAAATAAGCCAAGTACAGAAAGACAAATGTTTCATGTTCTCACTCATACGTGGGAGCTAAAAAGGTAGATCACAAGGAGGTAGAGAGTAGAACGATGCTTATCAAAGGCTGGGAAAGGAAGGGAGGGATGAAGAAAAGTTGGTGAAGGATGCAAAAACACAGTTAGATAGAAGGAATACATTCTAGTATTGGTAGTATGATACGGAAATTATAGTTAAAAATTATTTATTACATATTTAAAAATAGGGTAGGCACAGTGGCTCATGTCTGTAACCCCATTGCTTTGGGAGGCCAAGGTGGGAGGATCTCGTGACCCAAGAGTTCAAGGCTGCAGTGAGCTGTGATTGCAACACTGCACTCCATCCAATCTAGGTGACAGAGCAAGACCCTGTGTCAAAAAAAAAAAGCTAGAAAAGAAGAGTTGTCATTTTCTCAAAACAAAGAAATGATAAATGTTTGAGTTGACTGATATCCCAATAACCCTGACTTGATCATTACACATTGTATACAGGTATCAAAATATCACATGTATCCCTCAAATATGTAAGACTATTGTAGATCAACAAAAAATTTAAAGATTAATATGTAAAAAACCATTCAATGCTGAAATAATAATTGAAAATATTGCATTCAGTAAAAACATTTACTTCACCGATATAAGAAACACATATGTGTATATCATGTAAGAAATATATGTATCATATAATATGTAATATATTTATATAAAATACGTATTTCCTATAAGAAATCTAATCAACCTTTATATCTGTGTACAGTTACTGAGGCATAGAATGTTCACATATTTGTTATGTTCTTGATGTACAATATATTAATGGTTTTAGACGCTAAATGAACCAAAACAAAACCATCTCACAATTATGAGACCTTAATGTAACCTAATCCAAGGACGAGGCTATGAAAAGCCTGCTAGATTTCAACTGATCTTCAATCCTTACGTTGAAAGGTGACAGTTAAATTGCATTGTAGTGGTTCAATACTTAATTTTACATAACTTAATTTTTAAATTTTTAATATATATGACATATTTTTACCCCAAGGCTTCATTCAGAAAATGATATATTTGTTTAAAACATATTCTGCAGCACTTAAAATAGATCTGTCTCCATCTTAATATAAAAATGACCATCCATTTGATAAATATTTCCTAAATAATATATATTATTCAATAACTATGAAAGGTATCTTTGTGACCAAAACCCATCAGGTTACCAATCTGTTAGGGCAATCAATCATCATCACAGAAATAAACTCAATAAAAACCACTTAAAAGGAGGGCTGAAGCCAGATAAAAATTATCAATAGAGATAAAGCAGGGAGTTAGTAATATCCTTAGAAAGTGAATATGTGCACTTGGTCAGACATTATTAGCTTTCCATGTTCTTAAGAACACTCCTCGATACTCCAAGGAAAAACTTTTAAGGAATTTTGAGTGCTATTTGTCTTGCCTAGCTTTACTGCAAATATTTATCTTAAATTCTTAACATCATGCTTTAACATAATCAGTAGAATAAAGCACATTGGTCCATCAACATACATTTATTTAGCAATTGTAATGTGTAAGGCATTGCCAAATTCAAAGTCTGTTGTTGATCTCTAGCTAAAATTTGAGGTTTTTTCCCTCCAAATAGGTTCTTCATAATGTTTTAAAACATCAAAACCTCTTCACTTGGTAATCAATAGACTTTAAAACTTGTAACTGAAGTGTAATATAATACATAAAAGGACATATTTCATAAGCTGACACTTTGATAAATATTTACCAAGTATATAATTGTACAATCAACACCTTGTATTAAGGGTGCTAATTGTGGCATCAACATCCTGTATTAAGGGTGTTGACTGTTCTCTGTATTAAGAAGCAGAGCATTACATGCATCCCAGAAGCCTCCTTATTTACCCTTCCAGTGATTCCATCTCTACAAATAACTACTATCCTGCCTCTAACTGGATAGGTAAGTCTTTGCCTCATATTGAACTTCATGTAATGGAATCACATAGTACAAGCTCTTCTGTGACTGGCTTCTTCCAATATTACATTTGTAGGATTCATCCACATTGTTATATGTAGCTATAGGTCATTCGTTTTCATTGCTGTACAGTATTCCACAATGTGAATACACCCCCCATTTATTTATCTATTCTTCTTTTGTAGAACTTCAATATTTCCGTTTGAAGCTATTACAAGAGGTGATGCTAGGAACATTCTAATGTATGCCTTTTAGTAAACATGATTATGTAACTGGGATGTAATTGCTAGGTTATATATACTTATTAATTTGCAAATACATGTTAAAGTTGAAAAATGAAAGTGTTAAAATTCACTAGGAAGTTCACCATTTTGAAAAAACATACAAAGTGAGAAGTTAAAGGAACATTCCCCAACTTTAACCTAATTCTTATCCCATGCCAGATAACCACATTTTGCAATCTTATATGTACTTCTCCAGACTTGTTCTGTGCTATGTGGAATTAATAAAGGCAGAACAACCATTACAAATGAGAGTCAAGAGTGAAATCACACCAGGTGTTCAGTGAGGCTGTTAATTCTCATTTCAAAAATATCTCATGACCAATGTACAGAAAATACTTCCGACCACATCATGGTAATTAAACTGAGAAGCAGACAGCATGAGATTGGGAAACTACCACTATCTTCACCAGTAGATAGCCAGCAGCTCGAGAAATTTGTTTACTGACATTTTAAGGTACTTTCATTGATTTTATAATTTGAATGGCACCCAGCTATGTGATCCCTTATGGTAATAGCAAAATTTTACAGCTTTACAAGTGTTTAACATAAAAGCATCTGAATGAAAGCACTTCTGTTTCAAATTACAGGAGATACATGTATTTTTCCACCAGAAAAAATAAGCTTCACACCTTTAATTCTCTCAGTTTACATACTATTTTCAAACTTAAAAAAAATTAAACACAAATATTTGTCACTATCTCTCATATAAAGAAACATAAAGCCAGACAAGGACACAACAAAAAACAGAGCTACAGATCAATATCCCTGATGTACACAGGTGCAAAAATCCTCAACAAAATACTACCAAACTGAATCCAACATCATATCATGAAGATAATATACCACAACCAAGTGTGTTTTATTCCAGGGATGCAAGCATGGTTCAACATATGCAAATCAATAAATGTAATTCACCACATAAATATAATTAAAAACAAAAACCCTATTATTGTCTCAACAGATGCAAGCAAAAAAAGAATTCAATAAAATTTAGTATCTCTTCATGATAAAAACCCTCAACAAACTAGGCATAGAAGAAACATACCTTAAAATAATAAAAGCTATGTATAACAAACCCACAGCCAACATCACACTGAATGAAGAAAAGTTGAAGCCACTCCCCCTAAGTACTGGAAAAACAGAAAGGATGCCCATCCACCACTCTTATTCAACATAGTACTGGAAGTCTTAGCCAGAGCCATCAGGCATGAGAAAGAAAAGGTATCCAAATTGGAAAAGAGAGAGTCAAATTATCTCTGTTTGCTGACAATATGATTTTATACCTAGAAAACCCTAAAAAATCCTCCAAAAGACTCTAAGATTTGATCAATGAATCCAGTAAAGTTTCAAGATCCAACATCAACATACAAAAAACAGTAGCATTTCTATACAACAATAATGATCAAGCTGACAACCAAATCAAGAAGTCAATCCCATTTACCATACCTACAAAAAAAAAGAAATAAAGAAACCTAGGAATATTTATCTAAGGTGGTGAAATATCTGTACAAATAAAACTACAAGACATTGATGAAACAAACTATAGATGACACAATCAAATAGGAAAACATCCCATGTTCATGGATTAAAAGGATCAATATCACTAAAATGACCAGACTTCCCGAAGCAATCTGCAATTCACTTCCATTCCTATCAAAATACCAATGTCATTTTCACAGAATTAGAAGTAACAATCCTAAAATTCATAGGGAACCATAAAGGAGCCCAAATAGCCAAAGCAATTCTAAGCAAAAAGAGCAAAGCCAGAGTCATCACACGACTTGATTTCAAATTATACTGAAAGTCTGTAATAGCCAAAACAGCATGGTACTAGTATAAAAACAGACACAAAAATCAATGGAACAGAATGAAGAAATCAGAAATAAAGACAAATACCTACAGCCAGTTTGATCTTTGACAAAGTCAACAGAAACATACACTGGGAATAGGACACCCTTTTCAATAAATTGTGCTGGGAAAATTGGATTCCCATATACAGAAGAATGAAACTGGACCCCTATCTTTCACCATATGCAAAAATTAACTCAAGATGAACAAAATACTTAAATGTAAGACCTGAAGCTATATATACTAGAAGTAAACCTAGAAAAAACTCTTCTGGACATTGCCGTAGGCCAAGAATTCATAACTAAGACCTCAAAATTGAATGCAACAAAAACAAAAATAGACAAATGGGACTGAAACTAAAGTTTCTGCACAGCAAAAGAAATAATCAATAGAATGAACAGACAACCTGCAGAATGGGATAAAATGTTCAAAAACTATGCATCTGACAAGGGACTAATATCCAGAATCTACAAGGAACTCAACTCCACAGCAAAAATCCAAATAATCCAATCTAAAAATGGACAAATGATCTGAATAGTTATTTCTTTAAAGAAGACATACAAATGGCCAAAAGGCATATGAAAAAATGCCCATCATCACTAATCATCAGAGAAATGTAAATTAAAACCACAATGAGATATCATCTTATGCCAGTCAGAATGGCTATTATTGAAAAGTCAAAAAATAACAGATGTTAGCAAGCTTGTGGCAAAAAGGCAACTCTTGTATAGCATTGGTGGGAATGTAAATTAGTACAATCTCTTTAGAAAACAGTACAGAGATTTCTCAGAAAAACTAAAAATAGATCTACCCTGTGATCCAGCAATCCTACTACTGAATATATACCCAAATATATATCAAAAAGATAAGTGCACTCATATTTTTATAGTACTATTCACAATAGCAAAGATATAGAATCATATCTTTGCAAAATGGATGGAACGGGAGGCCATTCTCATAAGTTAAATAACTCAAACAAAGTTAAATACCAAATGTTCTTACTTATAAGTGGGAGCTAAATAATGTGTACACATGTACATAAAGTGTGGAATAAAAGACATTGTAGACTCAGGGAAGGGAGACTGGGAGGGGGGTGAGGGATAAGAAATAAAATAATGTGCAATGTATACTGTTTGAGTAATGGTTAAAGTCCAGACTTTACCACCACACAATATATCCATGTGACACTTGTATCCCCTAAATTTATACAAATAAAAAAAAGAAATATATTTAACAATGATAATCTTAAGCAAACAATTTTTTAAACCCCACTTTCTCTTCTCACAGACATTTACATACTTAAAATATCCCCACCACTTTAAATAAGTTTCATTTTCCCCACTATTTAAATCTGCATTAAACAACAGGTTTTCTTTGAACCTCACTTAGTTCTCTTACTGCACTCTACTCTTCTTTTTCTCTACTTTTAAATTTGCTGAAGATTTTGAAATATCACAGGAAACAGAAGGTAATAGTTTACTTTTGATTTTAGACTAAAGATATTTTGAAGCATCCTTCTGTTTTCAGATAAATTATTGTATTAGGTAAATAGCTACTTCCTCAACAGTAGCCTTAAAAGCGTCTCAATGCCAAAGATTCCTTGTCTCTTTCTCCTGAAGTTACTCATACATACAGATCTTACTTGTAAATAAAATCGACATCTCAGTGTTTTAAAAACAATTCTCACTGAAACTTATTTGAACAATAGTTTTTTAAAGTACACTTTTCCTTTGTAACTAACATTTATTGAGTGCTTAGTATACATCATGTCCTAACTTAAGTGCTTTGTATGTATAATCTCACTTAGGCTTCACCCCCTCCTCAACAAAAGGAAAGCTAAGATAAATAATATTATTGTGGTCATCATTCTCGTTTAATAAATTAAAAAATAAGGCATAGTGAGGTTAAGTAATTTTCTTAAGACCATGCGCAATCAAATGCGGGAGCCAGGATCTGACCCAAGGCAGAGCGACAGTGAAGTCCACCTACTTAACTACCATGCTGTCTCCCAGTTTCACGGATATGTCTGTATATTCAAAAGACTTTTAATCTACTCACTGTTCCCATACAAAACTCTCAAGAACAGTAAGAAATAACTTCATTCACCAAGAACTGGAATAATTACTTGGAGTAACATTCAGTACCCCTAGAGACTGGATTGTCAAAAAACTAAGGTGGCCTATTGACACCAAGTGAGCATCTTAAGACTGATGGCCCTTGTAAGTGGATTCAAAAGGAAGACGGAACAACTTAGGCATCCACACTCCATGAAAAAGATCATCATCTCGGGTATGTGCAGTGACTGAAGGAGCAGGCAAAATGTGTCAAAGATTCAGGGAAAGTGGGTGCACGAATGATAGGAGTTGGAGTAAGGGAAGAAATTAAGGAAAAGAACAGATCATCAGTATTTGCAGTTCAGAAAGAATATTTGCTATCCTACTACAAAAATGCTTACATTTCCTACTCAACCCCCAAGAGTCAATGCTATATAAGCCTGCCTTAAAACTGGTGGGAGGTGAACACATACTGATGGTACCTGAGGGCAGGAAACCAACCCCTAAATGAGAAGAGATTGTCCTTATGTCAGATTAGCATAGGAGCCCTGCAAAGGGAAGTGGGAACAAATCAAGCACTATAAAATACTCCAAGTGGGGAAAAGGTGCCGATTCCAGTGTCAGAGCCACTCCAGGTAAACTTTCCCTGCTTAGAAGTTTTACACTGAGCAATACACAAAATTATGGAATTACAATATTAGAGGGATTTCACAAAGTTTAAGTATGCATATCTCTAAATATCTTGTTTACCCACCTCTACTGCTTTTTTCTTCTCTCTTCCAATCAAATCAGCAGGGGAAGATAAGATAAAAGAGATAAAAGTTGAGAGGGAGGAAATCAATCTGAAAGTTTCTTTAAGTCTCATGCACATGCATATAACACACATACAAATGTCTCAATTCTATAACTGAAATATTAAGCCCTTGAAATCATCAAAACTCTGGACTATATTTAGTGTTAAATCTTTTCCCCTTCCCTAGCTGGGCTCTGCCAGTGTGAAGTGAGGAAGAGTAAGGGAAGGTAGAAAAACAGAAAGAGACTTAGTTGTCTTTGCTTCCAAAGGATGTCACCATTATTTTCCGGGCCAAAAAAAATTTATTATGTTAATTCTGTCTAATGTAGGTATTTTTATGGATTCTTCCAAAGCCCCTACTAAGAAAAATCATTTGCACTTCTCATGACACAAGAGACTCCCCTTGAGGCAGACCATTCTACACAGACTATTGTTGCTCCTTGGCCTTTCTAACTTGTCCCCTTTGGGCAAGATTTTTAAAAGGCCCAGGCCAGATCTGTTTCCTCACTTGACCCACATCTGGTCCAACTGCATCTTTTGGAAGTCCCACCCAAATTCCATGTAGCTGCCTCTCCTCATTGCATCATCAGAGCGAGCAGCCCCATCCAACACCTCTCAGATGTATACTCCTGAACTGTATGTCAGATGATAGGCCACTCTGTCCCCATACAGCAGCAGACACAAATCAAGCCCTTTGAATGTTCCTGTCAAGTGTTATCTCACCTATGGTGAACTGAAAGATAAAATTCCTCATGTCTTCTTCTCAGGAGGGTGAGTTTACAACATGCTAGCAATTCTCCCCCAGCTAATCTTAAATATAAGGCTGGGTGTGGTGGCTCACATCTGTAATCCCAGCACTTTGGGAGGCTGAGGTGGGTGGATCACCTGAGGTCAGGAGTTTGAGACCAGCCTGGCTAACGATGATGAAACCCCATCTCTACTAAAAATACAAAAATAAGCTAGGCATGGAGGTGCATGCCTGTAATCCCAGCTATTCAGGAGGCTGAGGCAGGAGAATCGCTTGAATCCAGGGGACAGAGGTTGCAGTGAGCCGACTGCACCACTGCACTCCAGCCTGGGTGACAGAGAGAGACTTCCTAGCAAAAAAATAAATTAATTAAATTAAATTAAATTAAAAATAAATCAAACCTTTCTTGATTACCACTTAAGACAAGGTGGAAAGTAAATGATAAATAGTAGGAGACCAGAAAAAAGTCTTTAATTTGGGCTTAATATTATTAAAATATGCTTATTTTATTTTATAAATAAGTTTAGTTGCAATGCTGCCCTATTTATTAGAACAAAATAAGAATAAATCAAGTCCAGATTTTTTTGCCTAAATAATTTCAACAAAACTGTACAATGTCATATGACAGTTGCCATTTAACTTTTGACTTTAGGTGGCTATCTTTTAAAGAAGATCATGTTGTAAAAAATACTAGAGGGCTTTATCCTTAGTTTCAGTGTACCCTACGAATACTTTGTTATTCAAGTAATCCATTTCTGAAGAGCTTTTGCAATTGTTTTGCATTGTTATTTCAGTTTATCTTTGCAACTTGTGGCAACCAAGGAAAGACCAACAGGAGAGGCACTAATGTCAAACAGAGAAGGATTTGGTGGGGTGCAGGGAAGACTGATTGTATATCTCTTTATTTATTAACAAATGTTTTAACATTGCAACAACTTTTATTTTTCTAAAAATTTCCCCAAATATGGGACTCTGATGATGAGCACTGAGATAATAAAGACCCACTATACTCAGTTATTGTGGGCGTATTTATATATTGATAAAGGCACAGAATAGCATCTAGAAGGAAATCTACCAATCATACATGTATGGACACTAATGAGGTAAACATCTGTCAGTTTAATTAGTTGATTCATTTATGTCCTCATTATGAGCCTTATTTTCCCGCATCTTTGCATGTCTGGTAAATTGTGATTGTATTTCAAGACATCGTGAATTTTACTTTGTTGGATACTGGATATTTTTGTATTCCTAAAATATTATGAAGCTTTATTCTGGGATGCCATTAAGTTACTGGAAATAGTTTTATTATTTCGGATCTTCCTTTTAAGATTTGTTTGGAAGGACTAGAGGAGTGCTCAGTCTAGGGTTGATTATTCCTCACTACTAAGGCAAGACTTTTCTGTATACCCTACCTAATAATATATGCTTTCCTTCTCTGACTGGTGGAAACAGGTACATTTCTTAGCCCTGTGTGTACGTGGGACACTTCTACCACTAATTATTTTAAGTTTTTCTTTTCCCTGACTCAAGTAGTTTTGTCACATACACGTGCTGATCAGTACTCAACTGAATACTTGGGTGGAATTCTTTGCAGATCTTTGGAGCTCTCTCTATGAAGCTCTCTCCTCTCTAGTGTTCTGTCCTGGAATCTCTAGTCACCTTGGTCTCCCAGTACTCTCAGCTTTCTCCTTAAATTGGTGAGTTTACTGGACTTTGCCTGATTTCCACTCCTACACTCCCATACGTGCACCATGGCCAGGAAACTTTCTGCAGGCAGTAAGCTGGATTTATCATATGGTTCTCCTTATTTGTTTCTTATCTCCCAGAGATCTGTGCCCTTCATTGCCTGATGTTCAGGAGTTCATTTATTTTATTTTTCCTTTTTACTGTTATTGTTTCAGGCAGGAGGTTAAATCCTGCCCCTTATTCCTTCTTAGCTGAAAATGGAATTCCTCTGTTTGTTTTAAAGAGAAGAAAAGGAAGAAGATATATACACACACAAACCCCTTCTGTATCTTCTATATATACGTGTGTGTGTGTATATAGATACATATATAGATATCCCCCATACACACACATGTGAATGCGTGTGTGCATATTTTAAATCTGTCTTCCAAAGGGGGCTTTGTTTTCATCTCAGAGTCTGTTAGATCTATTCCAATGGGCCCACTAAAACTGCTTAAATTGGCTGCTAACGATTCTGCTGTGGCCGCAGCAAGCACCTGTTGTTCAGGAACCAACTTTTGCGACCTTTTTCTCTCTGTGAACTTGACAGCTGTTTTATGAAGCTCCCAAGAGAAGAACCTGGATCTCTCTTAGAGTTGAGAACAACTTTCTCTGGGATGTACTGAAAGAGAATCTCTGGTACCACTAAGCATCACACAAAAATGCCATGACTCTTATCTCCCAAAAGACCCCGAGCAACTCTCCCACACAGGCGCAAACTTTTTTCTACACTCTAAGGTCAAGACTTTCCTACTGTCCCTTACTTCTAGCATCATTACCAAAGAATTGGTCTAGAGACTGCATTTTCAGATGACATATCTTGCCCCTCCACCCTTTTCCACCTTTCCTCACCAGGGTTCCTCACTGTGCTTAAATAATAGAATGTATATGTTTTAAATACCTTTTGTTCATTTTATGTAAAATGATATTTCCCATATCTGAGATATTTTATTGATGAATAATGTAAAATAAGATTTTCCTACATGAAACGGAGATTATTACTCTGTTGAAAATTTAGACTGTTTATGATCATAATACACGTAAGGCAATGTTTTATTGCTCTCCAAGAATAAAGGAACAAATTTAAAATTTTCTATGTGACATACATAAACTCACTTTTAATAATGTAATCGGAAACATTAGCTGTTCCTGTTTGTCCCTTACTTCTCATCTTTGATTTCTTTTTATCTCTCAGCCCCCTATTTTTCTTTTGCATTTGAAAATGTTTTACTTCACTTGTATCATCCTGTCCCCTTTCAGCCCTTCAAAGTATGTAGACACTTCTGGAGTGCCTTTGAATCTGCTTGGTATCTTTACAAAAAGTGGTAATATAAGTTGAAGAGTTTACTTAGCTTTCCTTTTTCCTAATCCATTAATAATTGCCTAATAGACCCACAAAACTGAATCCTGGGAGACGTGATAGCATGTTCTTATTTGTTTTATCTGTAAAGAAATAAATCTACTTAGAAGATTTAATCTTAGAATCCTTTAAGAAATGGGCCCAAATGTCATTGACTTCCAACTGAGAAGTCAATTTTTTCAATTCAGGAAAATAACACACCATCTTTCATGAGAAAAATCTTTATCATTGTTGGATTTTTAAGAATATTATCATTAATATCCATTTAAAATACACTTAATGTCAGACTGTACAGATCAAACAAGAAGAGTCATTCTTAGGTTCATGTTACATAAGCTTTTAGATGATGTAGGAGTGTGTGGTGGTGTGTGTGTGTGTGTGTGTATGTATGTTGCATATTAGTAACATGAGAAATACAATGATTATAAGAAGATGCCTTTCTTTTTTGATAGATAAATGGATCAGTGGATGGATGCATTGGAAAAGAACATAAATTATGTCTGCACTAAAGACAGTACAAAGAAAATTTCTTATACATATACATAAAGCCAGAAATGTATCAAATATACTTTTGACCGCAATCTATACTATTGATTGAAATCGTAAAATCTTACTTTTGTAAGATATATATATTATATATATGATATAGAATATATCATATATAATATATATGATATATTATATATATTTATTATATTAATAAGATATATTATATATATTATATATTATATATACTATATATTATATATATTCATTATATAATGAAATATATATAAGAAATTATATAATACATATTATATATATGTATAATATATATTATAAAATATATAATATATATTACATATTTTGTTATACATATTTCATTATATATAATACATATATTCATTATATATAATATTCCATTATATATTTCATTTTATAAAATATATAATATATATTATCATATAAGATATATAATATATATTTATCATATAAGATATATAATATATATATTTATCATATAAGATATATAATATATATTATATTTATCATATAAGATATATAATATATATAATATATTATCATATAAGATATATAATATATATTATATATTATATAAGGTATATAATATATATAATATATTATCATATAAGATATATAATATATATTATATATTATATAAGATATTTAATATATATTATATATTATCATATCAGATATATAAGATATATTATATATTATCATATAAGATATATAAGATATATTATATATTATCATATAAGATATATAAGATATATTATATATTATCATATAAGATATATAAGATATATTATATATTATCATATAAGATATATAAGATATATTATACATTATCATATAAGATATATAAGATATATTATATATTATCATATAAGATATATAAGATATATTATATATTATCATATAAGATATATAAGATATATATTATCATATAAGATATATAAGATATATTATATATTATCATATAAGATATATAAGATATACATTATCATATAAGATATATAAGATATATTATATATTATCATATAAGATATATAAGATATATATTATCATATAAGATATATAAGATATATTATATATTATCATATAAGATATATAAGATATATATTATCATATAAGATATATAAGATATATTATATATTATCATATAAGATATATAAGATATATATTATCATATAAGATATATAAGATATATTATATATTATCATATAAGATATATAAGATATATATTATCATATAAGATATATAAGATATATTATATATTATCATATAAGATATATAAGATATATTATATATTATCATATAAGATAGATATATTATATATTATCATATAAGATATATAAGATATATTATATAAAATATATAATATTATATAAAATACATAATGTATATAATTATATAAATATTATATTTATTTATATATTTTTGTTATTTATATATTTATTTATATATTTTATTTTTATTTATATATTTTTATTTTTATTTTTTATTATATTATTATATATTATATATTATATAAAATATATAATATATATAATATATAATATATAAAATGAAATAATATATAATGGAACATTATATTATAATGAATATATATATTATATATAGTGAAATATATATAACAAAATGTTGCATATTATGTATAATGGAATATTACATATCATATATAACAAAATATTGTATACTCTATATAATGGAATAGTATATATTTTTTATATAATGGAATATTATACATATATATTAATCACACACCATACATTATTCATTCATACATTCATCCAGACACTTGGTTGTTTCTGTATCTTGTCTAATGTGAATAATGCTGCAGTGGACATGGGAGTATAGATATCTCTTTGAGATTATTATTTCAATTATTTTCAATATATACCCAGAAGTAATAGTGCTGGATCATATGGTAATTCCATTTGTAATTTTTTGAGGAACATCCATGCTGTTTTCCATAGCTGCTGTACTATTTTATATTCCCAACAACAGTGTACAACAATTCCAGTTTATCCAGATCCTCACCAACACTTCCTTTTTAATAGTAGCCATCCTAACAAGTGTGAGGTGATATTTTATTGTAGTTTTGATTTGAATTTTCCTGTCAATTAATGATTTTGAGCACATTTTCATATACCTTGTTGGTCATTTGTATGTCTTCTTGGAGAAATTTCTGTTCAAGTCCTTTGCCCATTTTTAATTGGGTTTATATGTTTATTTCCTATTTGTAGGAGTTCTTTATATATTTTTGAAATTAGCCCCTTATCAGATGTATAGTTTGCACATATTTTCTCCCATTCTGTAGGCTGCCTTTTCATTCTGTTGATTATATCATTTGGGGTGTAAAATATTTTAGTTTGATGTAGTACCATGATATTATTTGGCCCTCTGTCCCCACCCAAATATTATTTTGAATTGTACTCCCATAATTCCCATGTGTTGAGGGAGGAAACTGGTGGGAGATAATTGAATCATGGGGGCAGTTTCCCCCTACTATTCTCATGTAGTGAATAAGTCTCATGAGATATGATGGTTTTATTAGAGGTTTCCACTTTTGCGCCTTCCTCATTCTCTCTTTGCCTGTTGCCATACATGTAAGACAGGACTTGCTCCTCCTTGCCTTCTGCCATGATTGTGAGGCTTCCCCAGCCACGTGGAACAGTAAGTCCAATTAAACCTCTTTCTTTTATAAATTGCCCAGTCTCACGTATGTCTTTATCAGCAGTGTGAAAAAGGACTAATTCATAACACTTCTCTGTTTTTTCTTTTGTCGTCTAAGCTTTTGTCATCATATCCAAGAAATCATTGCAAAGACCAGTATCCAGAAGATATTCCCCTATGTTTTCTTCTTGAGGTTTTATGGTTTCAGGTCCTACATTTAAGTCGTTAGTCCATTTTGAGTTGGTTTTTATGTGTGGTGTAATATAGGGGTCTGATTGTATTCTTATGTATGTGAATATCCAGTTTTCCCAACACCATTTGTTGAGCAGTTCCCTTTTCTCACTGTGTGTTCTTGGAACTCTTCTCAAAGATCAGTTGGCAATATATGTACGGATTTATTTCCGTCCCTTGGTCCATATCTCCATCTTCATGCCAGTACCATATTGTTTTAATTATTGTAGCTTGTAATACATTTTGAAATCAGGAACTGTGATGCCTCCAACTTTGTTCTTTCTCAAGATCACTTTGTCTATTCTGGGTCATTTGTGGTTCCATATGAATTGCAGGATTGATTTTCTCTTTCTGCATAAAACATGCTATTCTAATTCTGTTGGAGATAGCACTGAATCTGCAGGTTACTTTGGGTAGTACAGACATTTTAACTTAAGTCTTCCAATGCATGAATACAGGATGTCTGTCATTTATTTGTGTATCCTTTAGTTTCCTTAATCAATGTTTTGTAGTTTTTAGTGTATACACCTTTCACTTCATTGGTTAAGTTTATTTCTATTTTATTCTTTTTGATGCTGTTGTAAATGGGATTGTTTTATAATTTCTGAGAGTTCATTATCAGTGTATAGAAATGCAATGACTTTTGTATGGTGATTTGTATCCTGCAATTTTACTGAATATTTTATTAATTCTAACAGTTTTTTTGTGGAGTCTGCTTTGTGAAATCTTTATAATCTATTGCCTAATGTCTGAGAAGTACAAAAGACTTGGGTTCTGTACATTATAATAAAATCTTTTTTATTTACATAGATAAATTCTTTATAGGATATTCTTTATAAGAGTACTAATAGTCAAATTTTACTGTTTAAATTCTATTTAAAGAGTTAAATAGAATTTCATATGCTTCAAGAGCTCTGGTGAAGATGTTGGGATATGGAATAAATATCTCAATCATTATCCACTTTTTAACCTGCATCTGAATAAATGTAGCTGCTCTTAGTCATCTCGGTTGCCATCATCACAGGTTCTATATAGCAATCAGGTGTGGCTAGTCAAAGTAGATTCAATTATACACCTATAGAATGTTTTTACTTATAGCACAAAAATGTCAACACAGATATATTTTGAATTCTATACAGTAGAATTATAGTATGTTAGAAAACTTTCTTAAACTTGAGCAACTCCGAAAGCTCTGAAAACCTTCTTACCCCGCATCCCTCACAGATTGTAAATGGTACATAGATGTCAGTGAGAAAACTCAATTTTATTTTTCAGAAAATTTTATTTCTGAAAAATAAAATTTTCTCAATTTTATTTTTCACCATGGTATGTTTGTTAAAAGTCCATTTCCAAGGCCAGAGAGTCTGTTGCTATTCAAGTAATTTTCCAGGTGTTCTGAAGAGGGACTTTATTCATGGTTTCTGTGTTGCTAAAACTTAATCACTTAATCTCCTACCAAGTCCTGAGATGGTACAAAGTAAATAATGTTTTACTGAACAACAAGGGGAAAGTTAATGAAAAGGTTAGGGAGGGGAAAGAAAAAGAGCAGGACCCCACAGAGGAAAAAACAGAATTGGACTTCTTCCATTTAGTTCTGGTATATCATGAAAACTAATGATATAACTCTCATGAACTGCATGCAAATCAGGGCATTAATCTCTAGCAGAATGGCTTATGTTATAGGAACCCACAAACAGATTTCCTTCAACTGCAGTAAATCAAACATGGTGGGTAGTTTCCGTTTGACTGATGAGTACACATGTCACTGGCGGGAGGGCAGTGACATATGGAAGAGCAATAAATATTTTTTTCTGACACTTCAGCAGCCCTTGTTCAATGACACTAAAGGAAGATAGAAGACTTCAAGAGAAAATGCAAGCCTGTCTGTATCAGCAGTTGTACCACTGCGGAGGCAGCAACTCCAAGGTGATATGGTGTTCTTTGGTGTAGCTTGCACATTTGTCTTAAACAAATGAGTAGTCTGAAAGCAAAGAATCAATAGTTCTCTCAGAACAGTGCTTGCATTTTCCTTCTAATTATGGCATTCTCTCAATAACTTAGATGTCCTTTAATAACAGTGATATTGGGCATCTTTAAATTCTATGACACGGTGCCCAACCAAATTTTGTTAAAGCCTTTATTCTTTGTCCCCTTAAACAATACAATCATAAAGAAAGAAAGTGTCTTTATAATTTCCCATTTTTAATGGGAAAAAATCAGGGACAAATGTGTTAAAATATATTACACATGATGCATGTTACATATTATATTATAATCCATGTCCAAGAGATTTTGAGGTATTTGGTTCCAAAATGCCTTTTACTAATTTTTCAACTACCTCAGCATTTTCCCAACCTCTTCAAATGTTATGATTATGTCACTGATTAAGCATGTTTATTAATTGCTACCATAATTCCCTCTAATAAATAGGCAAAATTGAACTGTATTAAAATATAAACCTGAGTTATTTGCAATTTGACACATGTGGCTTCTAATTCCTTGGGAACACCCACTGTCATGTACCAGAAGACACCCTTAATGTCAAGTGCTGAGTTGACTCAACTCATGGTTGACCAAACACATTTCAAAATGGACCTCTACCAATTCTGGTGCCAGGAACCAAGTATAGTGAAGTATAAATAACTCACGTGATTCAACCAGATTCTGTGAGCCAGTACTGGGAACGCAGAGTCCTGAGTTTGCCACGGGGGACTGATCCAACCAGACAGCCAGCTGTTTTCAGGGCTGCCAAGCAAATCACACAAAGAGATGTATGTGGCAATTAATAGCAATAGGAGACAGGCAAAGTATCCATTTTGAGATCCAAAGAAAATAAGCTGGGGAGGTATGGATACCACATCATGGTAAAAGTATTATAAGGCTCTTTGGTCATGTTACTAGGAGCTGTGTTTGCTTATTGAAAGCCCTTATTTCAATTTCCTGATTGCACATTAAGAGAAATTAACAAATGTGTCTTAGCCTCATATTTATTCAAAATTTCATACTCAAAATATAGGAGTATTATGGAACAGAAAAAGAGGTCAGAAATTTGGAGTTAAAATTTTCTTCTGCCACTAAGTATCTTTATGACACTGGGCAAATCACTTATCATTTGTATTTATTTATGACATGTTTTCGTTGTGCTAAATGAAACCTAGGGTAGTTCTACCTCTCAAATTCTGACATTTTAATTCTACTCATTATTGAAGAGATATATTTACAATCATATCTTTCTATTTAGCTGTTGTGTTATAATCACAATTTATAAGGAATCATTCTTGCTTATAAATTATGTTATGCATTCTCAATTTTACAAAACATATTTCAAGATTTAAAGTTTTCATGAATTGCAAGTGTCAATATACCTAACATATAATGTAGTTTTCTTCAATATACCTAATATATAAACATTACAAAACTAAAAATTAAAAAACTAATATATAAAAGCTAAAACATTTGACAGAACAGATAAAAGTAGAGAGATAACTCTTCACTATACTAAAAGTTAATTTTTTTCATCAATTAATTCAACAACTATTCATTGAACAAATACCATGAGCCAGATCCTGTATTAAGGGGCTTAGGATAGAGCAGTGAATAAGGAAGATAAGGACTTTATCTTCATAGACCCCATATGTTGGGGGGAATTAAAATCAGCTAGGGAATATTTGTATTGTCATTTATAAATGTCCTGTGCAGTGTAGTCCCTGTCCTAATGAAACATAGTTTAGCTGGAAGAAACATCGTTTAGCTGTAAAACAAGTGGTTACATGAATACTTTCACTCATGACAGGTGTTACAAAGAAGTGCAAGGAATAGAGGGAACATAAAACATTGGAAATGAACCTGCTCTGGGGATCAGAGGATGCTTTTCCAAGAAAGCGACTTTATCCTGTAAGATAAAGGAGAGAATTTTGCTTCTTAAAAGTGAGAAAAGCAAAAGGAAGAGGGAGGAAAAGAAGAGTGTTTCTGGTGTGGAGCATGTGCAAAAGCCTGAGACAGAATGGATTTTGGAACACTGGAGGAAATTAAAGGCCACTGAGTATTATTGGTGCAGAGTAACTGAGAGGTAGAATTGCAAATCAACACTTTGGGGAGATGGACAGTGATCGTATCAGCTAAGGCCTGGTTGCCAATTTTCTCATTTCTTTGATTTTAAAATAACAAATACATTTTAAATACAATTCAACCCATTTAAAATATTGTGTAAAATTGTTTAATATATATCTCTTTTGTAAAGTGAGAAAAATAATATGTAAAGCTGAGATTATCAAAATGTTTGAAATACTGATGTTAACCTGCCCCTGAGTATATATGCCATATCATTTTTATGTATGTGTGTGCACGTGTACATTCTATTACTGATAACTTCAGAATTGTATAAGCTCTTTCTCAAGGGACACATATGTCTCCTATAATACTCAAAATAAAAAACTATTTTGCTGGCAAAACATTTAAAAATATTATCTGGTTAGTTATGACGCTGCTGGGAAAGTGACATAAATTGTAAGGACGACATTAATTTTCTAGGGCAGTTCCAAACATTATATACTTAGTTCATGTACTACAGAGTAAAGAAAAAATTCTAGTGTTCCCAGCCCAGATTCTGACTCAAACATTTTATTTTTCCTCATGCAGAGGCTTAATCAGGCCAATTGAACACAATAAGGAATTCAATCTTATATTTATAAGTAATCTTGAATAATAAATTATTCATAGACATAAGAGAAATAAATTATCCTCCCTAGACATTGTATCATGAAGATATATACCCTTTATATCAATAAACTATCTGTAGAATTTACTCTGAAACTTAGGTATTCCAAAACTTAAGAGAAGCTCTTAGAAAGGACACCAACACAGCTAGATTCATTGATGAGGACTGGAATAAGACACAAAGCAATGCTCTTAGTGGCAGATGCCTCTAAATCATTCTATTTTCTAGCAAGCCCTGAAAACTTAGCTGCTCTGACATGAATCACACCCATTCCTTACATGAAGTACAAGCTAGGAACATGCAGCCAGAAATTGATGAGGGAAACAGTGCACTTTGAGTGTAAACATTTCTTTTTGAGGTTTTTAAATTTCCCATTTCAGTTCCATTAAGTCTAGCTATATTTCCACTTCTTTTCTTTCATCTTTTTTTTTTCTGATACATCCCTCTATCAAACATTGATAAATGTATGAAGTAAATACATGTATTAGTTTATTTTTGTGTAATATAATGTCACATTGTGTAAACTAAGGGTTCAAATTCCAATTCTGTATCTGACACCATTTTCATTTGTTATTTTTATTTTTCAGAATCTGGGGCAGAAAGTTCAGGCTTAAAAAAAATAGCAGTTAAACTCAATCTACCACATATTTTAGATTCAGTCTGTAAACAAGGAATAGTTTTTTTGTTTTTGTTTTTTCTTTTTATTCTTTGAATCTCAGAAGATTAAAGAAGAAAATATAAAACCCAATTTGGATCAACTTTATAACATGTTAAAATTAAAGTTTAAAACAAGAATCAATGCACAATGAATATTACATTTCAAAGTCAGATTACTACATGCAGAAATTATAGGCCAGATGCAGTGCCCTATTCCTATAATCTCAGCACTTTGGGAAGCCGAGGCAGGAGAATTGCTTGAGGCCAAAAGTTCAAGACAAACCTGGGCAACAGTGTGAAACCCCATCTCTACAAAATTAAAAAATTATTTGGGTATGGTGGTGCACACCTGTAGTCCTAGCTACTCGGGAGGCTGAGGCAGAAGGATCACTTGAGCCCAAGAGTTCCAGCCTGGGTGACAGAGCCAGACTCTCTCTCTGTCTCTCACCCTTTCTCTACCTACCTACCTACCTACTTACTTACTTATATGTGTGTGTGTGAAAATATGTGTGTGTGTGTGTATATATATATATATATATGAAATATTTTTTTAACTTTTGGATGCACATTGAAATAACCCAAGGAGCTCAGGAAAATACTGATGCCTCAGTTAGTTCTATCTCAAGGAATTATTACATTTGGCTGATATAGCTTGGGAACTGGGATTTTTAAAAAGCTCCCTGTATTAGCGTTCTCCAAAGAAATATAATGAATAGAGGAAAGAGAGTAAGAAAGAGAAAGAGAAATAGGTAGATGAGAGGAGATTTATCGGGGAAACTGGCTCACAGAATTATGGAGTCCGGGAAGTCCCAGACCATCTGCATGCTGCAGACACTAGGATATCAGTAATATCAGTAGCATGGCTCAGTCCAAGTCTGAAGGCCTCAGAACCTGGGGGACTGCTGGTGTTAAGTGTTGGAATCCAAAGACTGAAGAGCCTAGAGATCCTGTCCAAGGCAGGAGAAGAGTGTATCTCAGCCCCAGGGGAGAGAGAGGGGGAAGGGGAGAGGGAAGGGGAAGGAGAGGGAGGGAGAGGGGGAGAGGGAGAGAGAAGGAGAGAAGGAGAGAGGGAGAGAGAGGGATAGAGGGAGAGGGAGAGAGAAGGATAGAAGGAGAGAGGGAGAGAGAGGGAGAGAGAAGGAGAGAAGGAGAGAGGGAGAGAGAGGGATAGAGGGAGAGAGGGAGAGAGAGGGATATACGGATAGAGGGAGAGAGGGAAAGAGAGAGGGAGGGAGGGAGAGAGGGAGAGAGGGAGAGAGGGAGAGAGAGAGGGAGAGAGAGGGAGAGAGAGGGAGAGAGGGAGGGAGAGAGGGAGAGAGAGAGAGAGGGAGAGAGGGGGAGAGAGGGGGAGAGAGGGAGAGGGAGGAAGAGGGAGGAAGAGGGAGGGAGAGGGAGAGGGAGGGAGAGGGAGAGAGAGAGAGAGAGAGAGAGGGAGAGAGAGGGAGAGGGAGGGAGAGGGAGAGAGAGGGAGAGAGAAGGAGAGAGGGAGAGAGAGAGACCAATCAGACTTTCTTCTGTTTTTGTCCTTTCCAGGCTTCCAGCTGACTGGATGGTATCTACACACGTTGAGGGTGGCTCTTCCCCCACTTAGCCCATCTAGACTCACACACCAATGTCCTCTGAAAAGACCCTAACAGACATACCCAGAAATAATGCTTTACCAGTTCTCTAGGTATTCCTTAATTTACTCAAGCTGACACGTAAAATCAGCCATCACAAAATCACCCGTTGTCAACTTTGCACCCATTTGTATCTCCTTAAATCATAATTTCCTGCATACAACCAAAAATGCACTAATTCCTTTCTAGAAGAAAAGATAAAGTCATTGGGTGATGTTTACTCTTCTCCTGATATCCCATAACATATACTATACTTTTTTTTTTTTTGAGACAGTCTTGCTCTGTTGCCCAGGATGGAGTGCAGTGGCATGGTCTCAGCTCACTGCAACCTCTGCCTCCCGGGTTCAAGCAATTTTAGTACCTCAGCCTCCCGAGTAGCTGGGATTACAGGCATGCACCACCACCCCCGGCTAATTTTTGTATTTTTAGTAAAGACGGGGTTTCACCATGTTGGCCAGGCTGGACTCGAACTCCTGGCCTCAGGTGATCCACCCGCCTTGATCTCCCAAAGTGCTAGGATTACAGGTGTAAGCCACCATTGCCCAGCCTATGATATAAATTTAACAATACTTAAATACTGATATAAAGTCAATAAATTTTATGTTACATGATAAAGAAATAAAAGAAAGAATATGTACTTAATATTGAAAGCCACCATTTTAGCTAATAGTAATGATTCAGAGAACGTTAAGAGGATATACTTTCCAAATAATTAACCAATGTAGTTGCTCAATAAATATTTGTTGAATTAAATGAATAACCAATGTCTCAAATCCTAAGGCTAGTGAAATATTATGTAGGAATTCTGTTTAAACTAGTGAAATAGAGATTTACGTATCCCTCAGTTGATACTGCTTATGGACTTGCTAGGAATAAAGCCAGCTGTCTTTACAGTCTTTCTATAAGAAGTGTAAGACCATAGCTAGTTCTTCTGTTATTTATTGAATCATATACAGTGTAGGTTTATTAATGTCTAGATCAGCTATAATTTGATCATATGTGTAGAAACTTTTATTAAAGTCTAAAAACAATATTCTTGGAGTAAATGTTATCTGGACAGTACATTTCCAAAATAGATTCTACCTATTAAATTTGTAGGTGTTGTGTTACAGAAAAGTAAGGAGTATTCTTCTTATACAGGTCACAAAATAACAGTTACAGACCTGAATTTGGGAAATAATTTAGGACTGTCAGAAAGCTCTACCAGCTGAGAGGTTTTAGCAAAATAATAATTAATTATTTCAATTTCCCATCAAGCCTTCTACAATTTACTCTGTACCTGCACCCTTGTGTGTTACCATCACATTCACATTCTAGCACAACCAGAACTTTTTACTTCAACTATTCTTTCCTCTTTTGTACTTAACACCAGTCAATTTGCTTTGCTTCTTGTATTTCCAACAACTTTAAAACTCTAGTCTGAGGGATGCTCTACAGTATTGGGATTAAAAGCAGATACAGTGGCAGCATATCAACAAGAAAGTTGTGTTGTCCATACATATGGACAATTAACTTTGGGAGTTTCGAGAAGGACTGGGAATCACTGAATATTAATATCTCCCATGTAGCATCATAACTAGAGAGGTTTAGACAGTTGTCCTTTTCTTTAGCCAATAGTGATATAAATTCTTTCAATGGTCCTTCTGCTTGCAATATTATAAATGTCTCATTGATAGGCTCTCAATTTGCAGAGAAAAGATAACTTTTGAATTTTGTTATTTTATTCAAAGAAACAGTTATTTTATGTCATGGTCAGTTAATTTCTGCCTGTCAGCAAGGAAACTGTTTTCTTAGTTGGTTGATATTTGAAAAGACTGGGCATATTCTTTAATGACACTGGCTGAAAACCAATAAAAGACCTCAGTATCACTTCCAATGAGAGACATTCGTTATTATCCATATTAAGAAACTCCTCAAATTGCATTTCACAAAGTGATTATATTTCTGCTGAGGCTGTTACTCAATACTCTAGAAAAGTAGAAAGCACTATATTGTAAATTTCTTTGTGTAAACATCACTGTAATATTTAATAATGATTTACATAAAGTTTCTGTCATCTTCATCCACCTCACCATAACTCTTTTTGTTCATAAATAAGTGCAAGTGTAGGGTATATGGCCATTTGACAGCATATTTTTTTCTCCACACTGAGTACCCCAAAGGTTTAGGACAGATTCCTAAAATCCAGCAGAGTTAACAAGACTGAGATACAGAAAAGACTAAAGACATAAGGAAGAACTAGCCTACTGATTTCATTTGTTTCCGTCCTGTTACAGATTTGGCCTGGCAAAGTTTACAAACTCATGAAACTAAGCTCAATAATGTCCTCAAGGACAGGTATTGTTAAGTACAAGTGTAGTCCACCAATAGAGGAGCAGTTCTATAGGGAGGAGGCAATTACTTTGCAATTAGACAATCCTACTGTCAAATGCTAGCTCTACTACTTACTAATGATTTAACTCCTCTAAGCCGCAAGTTATCATTAGCACAATAGAAAGAAGTTTCTGAGAAAGCTGAGTGGTATTCAGTCAGTTTAGACTGTTATTCAGCAAATATTCATAGATCATTTACTGTATCTCAAGTATAACACAAGGGCTGAGAATATGAAAATGAAAAAGGCAGATTCTGCATTTAAGGGGACTAAGAGGTGACAGGGATACAGACTTATAAACCACTATAATAGAATATGGTAATCACTGTAATTACAGTGTGTGGTGGGTGGAAAGGGGAAGGAAGTCCAGGGATGCTTAGAAGAATAAAGGAACTCTCCACAAGGAAGATAGCCCTGGGCTGAGGCTTTGAGGGTTCAAATAAATTATTAGAGATACTATCTTAGGGATGGCATTCTAGACAGAAGGAAGAATGATATAAATGACATAAAGATATAAGATTAGTCTTGGGCAAGAGATTAATAGAGGATATTAAAGAACAGTTATAGAAAATTGCATTGGTCAGGGAAGTGAGGGCCAAGAATGAAGACACTAGTATATCATGCCAAAGAATCTGCTATTTTATTCTACAGGTGATGAGATATTTTGTGAAAATCTCAAGAAGAGATTAACTTCTTACAAAAAATATTTTATCCAAGAAAGATGATTATCAAAAGATTTTTGGAAGATGGATTGGAGATGGGTAAAAATTAAGGAAGAGAGAACAGTGAAGAGGATATTCAATGGTATGGGTAAGATATAATGAGTGGCAGAAGGGCTGGAGACAAAGTTCATAGATCAAGATATTAGTCATGGAGTAGAATGAATAAATATGTGTACACATGGAGTATGGGAGATAGGGAGAGCTAGAGCTAGGTTTAGGTTTGGAACTTGGACAACTGAATGGATGATATTGTTAATTAACAAGATAAGAAATTTCAAAAGAAGCAGGTAGAAATGAGGAGGTGGTGAATTTCATAATAAGCCTCCAGAATACAAGGTGTTTATGACATGTTCATTTGAAAGTGTAAACCATCTGGAAAATAGCCTGGCACATCATAGTCGATAAATTGTAAATCATCTTCATTTTGCACCAAGAAGAATTTTCATCAAGATACTGAATACATGTAAATTAACTTGAAGAAGAATAACTGATATCCTTTCAGTTTAATAACAAGTTCTTTTCTAGAGACATTGCACATGCTCGTCCTTTTGCCTATACATTTCTGCCTGCTCAGTCTTTCACATGGCCAGTGAAAGACTTCTTTCATGCTTCCAGTCTTGATTTGAACATCTACTAAGTCAGGCTTTTTCCGGTCATGCTAAGCAACAGTCTTTTCCCAACTTAGTATGTATTGTGTATTTCTATCTATAACCTTCATAGAAAATTTCTCAATTTTCAAATAAATAATTGATATTGACTTATTTTCTTATTAGATTATCTGCCTTTCCCACTAGATTCTAACCTAAGGTCTACACTGAATAAATGAATGAAATCAGTACATTCTGTTTTATTCTTAATTATTCAACTTGTGGATATAAAAATTATTTAAGTTGTGCATATTATAAATATATGCAAAACTCATTGTTTTCAGCTTTTGCTTATTTTACTCCTAAACATCTCAGAATAAAGCAGGGAAAGAAGAGGACGTTAATAAAACACAAGTAAAACTGTGAAATAGTCTTTTCCACAAGTATTAATAAATGCCTGAGGTTTTTGCACCATCCCATGGCAAATGTATTGATGATTAGAATTCTAACAATAACAAAAAAAGAACCAACAAGGAAATATCCCCAAGAGCAATAAAAGTCGAGAAAATCCTACTTGAGCATCTATTACAGAAAAAACACTGTACCATTTTTCACATGTGATAAAAATGATTTACAGTATCTTTCTTAAATGAATTTCCAATTTAGTAATGATGATAAGAAAATTACAAATGACTAAACCACATGGCAGAATGTAAAACAAACTATGAGAGATGTTCAAACACAGCAACATCAGAAACTATAAAAGTCATTTCCCAAGTCAGCAATGTGCTTTCTTAAAATATAGTGACATCATTTTTAATGTAAGCATAGACAAAGTAAAAATCCTGAGAGCAAGGGAGTGAGTCAGGCCATGGGAATGTGATGCTGTCTTTGGAAATACACGTCACAGAGTGTAATGCAATCATAGGATCAGAAACCACAGAATAAGTTCATGGTCTTTAGTGTATATTTGGTATCCATATCTTCTTTACCAAATTTTTGTGAGTTTTTAAGCATCTTAGTGAAAACAGTTTTAGTAAAATGTAACAGTGACTACAGAATACATTTTTAAGGAATTCCATATTCTACCTAGGGGGATGCTAAATTACTGCATATACTACTATGTTCTAATTGTTTTTCTTTCATGTAACTTTTGACTTTCAAATACACATAAAAGACCCATAATGTCTATAGCCTGAGAAATTATATTTGTGATTTTTATACTTATAGTCCTTGTACTGCTTACCTTGTCACCTGAGAAATACAAATCAATGGTCAATTCATTTCCTTAATGATGTAGGACCAAATAAAACCCATGCCAATTGTCCTGGTTGTGAAGTGATGAGAAATTTTGTCAAAGTAAATAGGATATGAAGACATCGAATGATACATTAAATAAGGTTTCAATGATAGAGTCATCTTTATCATTAATTCCACAAATTAATTATTAACTATCTGCTTCCAAAACTTTTCTTCATGTTGAATTTTAATACACCAGAATTTTTTTTTAAAACATAATGAAGAAATTCTACAGTAAAATTAAAAAATCTTACTTCTTTTGGCCAGGCGCAGTGGCTCATGCCTGTAATCCCAGCACTTTGGGAGGCCGAGGCGGGCAGATCACGAGGTCATGAGATCGAGACCATCCTGGCTAACACAGTGAGACCCCATCTCTACTAAAAATACAAAAAATTAGCCAGGCATGGTGGTGGGCGCCTGTTGTCCCAGCTACTGGGGAGGCTGAGGCAGGAGAATGGCGTGAACCCGGGAGGCGGAGCTTGCAGTGAACCAAGATCTCACCACTGCACTTCAGCCTGGGCAACAGTGTGAGACTCTGTCTCAAAAAAAAAAAAAAAAAATCTTACTTCGTTTACAACATAGCTCAGGCCAAAATTTACAATAATGCTTATGACTCCCATGACTATTGCTTTTAGATTAAGTTCAATGTCTGTATTCTTCCACATATGTTAATTTGTGTCTTAACAATTTAATGCAGTCATTTGATAATGAAATAGATCATTTTATTTCTACCATATTCATTATAGTTATTATTTTGTCAGTAATATTTCCTTATGTGTATGATTTCATTACAATTTTACATTAACTGGAAGAATTTACTGGTGTCAATGACTCCATTCTTTCAATAGATAGTAGCAATGCATTCTCTCTAGCACTCCACTCATCACTTTATCCTTTTATTAACGTTTTATTTATTAACATTAACTTTTATTAACATTATATGCATTAATAAAAAGTCCTATGTTACTCCTTAGAAGTCCTATGTTACTGACAAAGGATATAATAGTTGCGAATTACATGAAACTCCCTATTTATTTGTAAATGGTACAGCATAAAGAAATAATTTTCATAACAAAACATAATGCACTGTGGGGGTGGGAGGGTGGAGCAAGACGGCAGAACAGAAGGTTGTGCCAATTGTCCCTCAATCCCCCTGCAGGAACATCATATTTAACAACTATCTACACAAATAAGTCACCCTCGTAAGAAACAAAAATCAGGTGAGCAATCAGAGTACCTGGTTTCAACTTCATATTCCTGAAAGAAGCACTGGAAAAGGCAGGAAAAAAAGTCTTGAATTGCCAGTGCCACCCCTCCCCCAGCCCCATGGCAGTGACTGAGTAATGCAGAGAATCTGTGCATTTGGGATGGAAGAACACAGCAATTCTGAGACTTTGCATTGAACTCAGTGCTGCCCTGTCACAGCAGAAAGCAGAACTGGGCTGTATTTAGCTGACACCCATTCATAGATGGAGCATTTGGACCAGCCCTAGCCAAAGGGGAATCACCCATCCCAGTGGCTGGAACTTAAGTTTCTCTGCAGGCCTCACTACTGCAGGATAAAGTGCTCTGGGGTTCTAGGTAAACTTGAAAGGCAGTCTAGGCCACAAAGACTGCAACTCCTAGGTGAGTTCTAGTACTGAGATGGGCTCAGAGACAGCGGACACATGAACTGCTGAGACACCAGTGGAGGCAGCTAAGGGAGTGCTTGCACCACCCCTACCCCAACCCCAGGCTGCACAGCTTGCAGCTCCAAGAGACTCCTTCCTTCTGCTAGAGGAGAGAAGAGAAAAGAGGACTTTGTTTTACATCTCAGATACCAGCTTGGCCACAGCAGGATAGGGTACCAGTGAGAGTCATGAGTCCCACTTTCCAGGCCCTAGCTCCTGCCTGACATTTCTAGACATATTCTGGGCCAGAAGGGAACCTGCCTCCTTGAAGTGAAGGACCCAGTCCTGCCAGGACACATCATCTGCTGACTAAAGAGCCCTTGGGCCCTGAATAACCAGCAGCAATACCTAAGTAACATGCTATGGGCCTTGGGTGAGACTGAGATTCGCTGGTTTCAGGTGAGACTCAGCACATTCCCGGCCCTGGTGGCCATGGGGAGAGATTCCTCCTGAGAGAGAAAAATAAAGTAGACTTTTTCTTGTACCTTAGGTACCAGCTGGGCAGCAGTGGGGTAGGGTACCAAATGCCCTCTTGAGGTCCCCAATTACAGGCATTGGTTCTTAGACAGAATTTCTGGATGTGCACTGGGCCACAAGGGAGCCCACTACCCTGAAGAGTGAGTCCCAGGCCAGGCAGCATTTACTGCAAGCTGCCTGAAGAGCCCCTGGGCCTGAAAGGAACATCAGTAGTAGCCTGGCAGCACTCCCCATGGGCTTGTGGTGGTAGTAGCCATGGAATGAGGCTCCTCTGCCTTTGGAAAGGGGAGGAAAGAGTGGGAAGGACTGCGTTTTGTGGTTTGAGTGCCAGCTCACCCACAGTACAACAGAACACCAGGTAGACTTCTAAGGTTTTTGACTCCAGTTCCTGGCTCCCAGACAGCACCTCTGGACCTGCCCAGGACCTGGGGGAACTTGCTACCCTAAAGGGAGGGACACAAAACTGGCTGGCTTCACCACCTGCTAATTGTAGAGCCCCAGGGCTTTGAAAAAATAAACACAGGCAGTAGCCAGGTAGTGGTTATAGCAGACTGTAGGCAAGACCGAGTGCTGTGCTGGCTTCAGGACTGACCCAGTACAGTCTCAGTGCTGGTGGCCACAGGCCACAGGACACAGTGCCTGTGTCACCCCACCACCAGCTCCTGGCAGCTCAGAACAGAGACACAGACTTTTTTTGATTGGGAGAAAGTAAGGGAAGAGAACGAGAGTCTCTGCCTGGTAATCCAGAGAATTCTCCTGGATATTACACAAGATCATCAAGGCAGTACCTCTACAAGTATGCAAGTACCAGTGTTACTCAGCTTGGATTCCCCTAATACAAGCTTAAATCACAACACCCAGATCCTTTCAAATACCTGGAAAGCCTTCCCAAGGATGGGTACAAAAAAGTCCAGCCTGACAAAACTACAATAAATAACTAAGCAATGGCCAGACACAGATGAATATCCATAGGTATCAAGATCATTCAGGAAAACATGATCTCACCCAGTGAATTAAATAAGTATCAGGGATCATCCTGGAGAAACAGAAATATGTAACCTTTCAGACAGAGAATTCAAAATAGCTGTTTTGAGGAAACTCAAATTCAATATAACACAGAGAAGGAATTCAGAATTCAATTAGACAAATTTAACAGGGAATGAAATAATAAAAAAAGAATCAAATAAATTCTGGAGGAGAAAAATGCAATTGGCATGCTGAAAAATGCATCAGACTATTTTAATAGCAGAACTGATCAACCAGAAGAAAAAATTAGTCAGCTTGAAGACAGGCTATTTGAAATTACACCGTGAGAGGAGAAAAAGGAAAAAGGAATAAAAGAAAACAAAGAAACATGGCTACAGGATCTAGAAAATAGCCTCAAAAGGACAAATCTAAGAGTTATTGGCTTTGAAGAGCAGGTAGAGAAAGAAATAGGGGTAGAAATTTATTCAAAGGTATAATAACACAGAACTTCTCAAACCTAGAGAAAGATATTAATAACCAAGTACAAGAGGGCTAGAGAACACCAAGAAGATTTAACCCAAAAAAACACTACCTCAAGGATCCCAAAAGCACTAAGAGGAAAGAACCAAATAACATACAATGGAACTCCAATACATCTGGCAGCAGACTTTTCTGTGAAAACCTTATAGGCCAGGAGAGAGTGGCATTGAGAGGTGACAACGTGCTAGCAGCCCTTGCTCGCTCTTGGTGCCTCCTTGGCCTCGGCGTCCACTCTGGCTGTGCTCGAGGAGCCCTTCAGCCTGCCGCTGCGCTATGAGGGCCCCTCTATGGGGCTGGTGAGGCCAGAGCCAGCTCCTTCTGCCAGCTGGTGCGGGTTCCGGATGGGCGCGGGCTCGGCGGGCCCCCGCACTCCGCGCAGCTGGCTGGCACCTGCTGGGTTTGATTGGAGGCAGGGTCCCATGCATGGACCGCTGTTCCCTCTTCGTGGGGTTGTTGGCCACGATGACAGGTCTCCGTCTTTCTTGCTTCCCCTCGTTTCCTCTTGGTTGTCTGGGACTAGCTCCCTCTGGGCTGCCAGAGTGCCTGGGCTAGGTGCTGCGAAGTCCCACGGCAAGTGCCAGTGAGAGGTGAAGCCGGCTGGGCTTCTGGGACGGGTGGGGACTTGGAGAACTTTTCTGTCTAATTAAAGGACTGTAAATGCACCAATCAGCATTCTGTGTCTAGCTAAAGGTTTGCAAATGCAGCAATCAGCGCTCTGTGTCTAGCTAATCAGGTGGGGACTTGGAGAACTTTTGTGTCTAGCTAAAGGATTGTAAACACACCAATCAGCACTCTGTGTCTAGCTAAAGGTTTGTAAACGCACCAATCAGCACTCTGTCAAAATGGACCAATCAGCTCTCTGTAAAACAGACCAAACAGCTCTCTGTAAAATGGACCAATCAGCAGGATGTGGGTGGGGCCAGATAAGGGAATAAAAGCAGGCCACCCAAGTCAGCAGCGGCAACCCACTTGGGTCCCCTTCCACACCGTGGAAGCTTTGTTCTTTCGCTCTTTGCAAAAATCTTGCTGCTGCTCACTCTTTGGGTCAGCGCCACCTTTATGAGCTATAACACTCACCGGGAAGGTCTGCAGCTTCACTCCTGAAGCCAGCGAGACCACGAACCCACCGGGAGGAACGAACAACTCCAGACTCGCCACCTTTATCAACTGTTACACTCACCGCAAAGGTCTGCAGCTTCACTCCTGAGGCCAGCGAGACCACAAACCTACCAGAAGGAACAAAGAACTCCAGAAGTGCCGCCTTTAAGAGCTGTAACACTCACCGCGAAGAACTGCAGCTTCACTCCTGAAGTCAGCGAAACCACGAACCCACCAGAAGGAAGAAACTCCAGACATATCTGAATATCAGAAGGAACAAACTCTGGACACACCATCTTTAAGAACTGTAACACTCACTGTGAGGGTCCGAGGCTTCATTCTTGAAGTCAGTGAGACCAAGAACCCACCAATTCTGGACACAGCATGACATATTTAAATGTGTTGAAGGGAAAAAAAAACATACACACACACACAAACTTTTACCCTAGAATAGTATATCCTGTGAAAATATCCTTCAAACATGAAGGAGAAATACATGCTTTCCCAGACAAACAAAAGCTGAGGGATTTCACAAACACTGAACCTGTCCTACAAGAAATGCTAAAGAGAGTACTTCAATCAGAAGGAAAAGGACGTTAATGAGCAAAAAGAAATTATCTGAAGGAACAAAATTCATCGGTAATAGGAAATACACAGATAAAAACACAGAATATTAAAGCAATGTAACTGTGGTGTGTAAACTATTATCATAAGTAGAAAGACTAAAAGATGAACCAATCAAAAATAATAACTACAACAACTTTTCAATACACAGACAGTACAATAAGATGAATAGAAACAACAAAATGTTAAAAGGTGTGGGGAATGAAGTTAAGGCATAGAGTCTTCATCAGTTTTCATTTTGCTTGCTTGTTTGTTTATGAAAATAGTGTTAAGTTGTTATCAGCTTAAAATAATGGGCTATAAGATAGTATTTGCAAACCTCACAGTAACTTCAAATAAAAAGTAAAATGGATAAACAAAAATAAAATCAAGAAATTAAATCATACCACCAGAGAAAATTACCTTTGCTAAAATAAAGGAAGGAAGGAAATAAAAGAAGACCAGAAAAAAATAACAAAATAAGAGGAATAAGTCATTACTTATCAATAATAACATTAAATGTGAATGAACTAAACTCTCCCATAAAAAGACATAAGAGTGAACTAATTTACACTCCCACCAATAGTGTAAAAGCGTCCCTATTTCTCCACATCCTCTCCAGCATCTGTTGTTTCCTGACTTTTTAATGATCGCCATTCTGACTGGTGTGAGATAGTATCTCATTGTGGTTTTGATTTGCATTTCTCTAATGACCAGTGATGATGAGCTTTTTTTCATATGTTTGTTGGCCACATAAATGTTTTCTTTTGAGAAGTGTCTGTTCATATCCTTCACCCACTTTTTGATTGGGTTTCTTTCTTGTAAATTTAAGTTCCTTGTAGAGTCTGGATATTAGCCCTTTGTCAGGTGGATAGACTGCAAAACTTTTCTCCCATTCTGTACGTTGCCTGCCATTGTGGAAGACAGTGTGGTGATTCCTCAAGGATCTAGAGCCAAAAATACCATTTGACCCAGCAATCCCATTACTGGGTATCTATCCAAAGGACTATAGATCTTTCTACTATAAAGACACATGCACACATATGTTTATTGCAGCACTATTCACAATAGCAAAGACTTAGAACCAACCCAAATGCTCATCAATGAAAGATTGGATAAAGAAAATGTGGCACATATACACCATGGAATACTATGCAGCCATAAAAAAGGATGAGTTAATGTCCTTTGCAGGGACATGGATGAAGCTGGAAACCATCATTCTCAGCAAAATATCACAAGGACGGAAAACCAAACACCACATGTTCTCACTCATAAGTGGGAGTTGAACAATGAGAGCACATGGAGACAGGGAGGGGGACATCACACACCGGGGCCTTTTTTTGCGGGGGCGGGGCTAGGGAAGGGATAGCATTAAGAGAAATACCTAATGTAGATGATGGGTTGATGGGTACAGCAAACCACCATGGGACATGTATACCTATGCAACAAAACTTCACATTCTGCATATGTAACCCAGAACTTAAAGTAAAATTAAAAAAAAAAAAAAGAATGCCTGAATGAATTTAAAAAAAAAAGACCCAATGATCTGTTGCCTACAAATAACACCAAGAAACACACTTCACCTATAAAGATACACATAGACTAAAATTAAAGGGATAGAAAAGGATATTTTATGCCAATGGAAACCAATAAAGAGCAAGAGTCACTATACTTATATCAGACAAAACATATTTCAAAACAAAAAGTACAAGAAGAGACAAAGAAGGTCACTATATAATGATAAAAGGGTCAATACAGCAAAAGGATACAAAAAGTATAACTACACATACACCCAACATTGTAGCACCCAGATATATAAAGCAAATATTATTAGAGCTAAAGGAAGCAATAGACTACAATGCATTAATAGCTGGAGACTTCAGCATCTCACTTTCAGCACTGGACCGATCTTACTGACAAAAAGTTAACAAAGAAACATTAGACTTCATCTGCACCATAGAACAAATGTACCTAATAGATATTTACAGAATATTTCATCCAACAGTTGCAGAATACAATTCCTTTCCTTGCATATAGATTATTTTCAAGGATAGGCCATGTGTAAAGTCACAAAACAGGTCTTAAAACATTAAAAAAAACACCTAAGTCATACCCAGTATCTTCTCTGACCACAATGGATAAAAACCAAAAATAACAAGAGGAACTTTGGAAACTATACAAGTGCATGGAAATTTTAAAATATGGTCCTGAATGACCAGTGGGTCAATGAAGAAATTAAGAAGAAAATTGAAAAAAAAATTCAAACAAATGATAATAGAAACACAACATATCAAAACCTATGGGATACAGTGAAAGCAGTACTATTATAAGTTTATATAAATTCATAGCTATAACTGTCTATATTATATGCCTACTATTCTATGCCTATTATTACAAATTTACATAAGTTTATAGCTATAAGTGCCTATATCGAAAAAGAAGAAAAACTTCAATAAACAACTTAATAATGCATCTTGAAGAACTAGAAAATCAAGAGCAAAGCAAACACAAAATTAGTAGACAAAACAATAATAATGAAGATCAGAGCAGAAATAAATGAAATTGAAGTAAAGTTCATGGGTACATTAAAAAAAGAAAGAAATAAGACTTCCTATTTGATAGGACTATTTGGTGACTATAGCCAATAATAACTTAATTGTATATTTTAAAATAACTTAAAGAATGTAATTGGATTATTTGTAACTCAAAGGATAAATGTTTGAGGGGATGGATATCCCATTTTCCATGATGTACCAATTTCACATTACATGCCTATATCAAAACATCTCATGTACCCCATAAATATATGCACCTACCATATACCTATAAATTTAAAAAAAAATCAAAAAATTTAAAAAAGGGAACAATATAAAAGATCAATGAAACAAAAACATAGTTTTTTGAAAATATGAACAAAACTGACAATTTTTTAGCCAGACTAATGAGGAAAAAGAGAGATGACCCAAATAAATAAAATCACAGATGAAAAAGGAATATTACAACTGATACCAAAGAAATTCAAAGAATCATTAGTGGCTAATATGAGCACCCATATGCCAATAAATTGGAAAATCTAGAAGAAATGAACAAATTCCTAGACATATACAACCTACCAAGATTGAGCCAGAAGGAAATCCAAAATCCAAGAGTGAAGCCATAATGAAAAGTCTCCCGGCAGAAGACAAAGACTAGGACCTAATGGCTTCACTGCTGTATTCTGCCAAATATTTTAAAAAGAACTAGTATAAATCCTACTCAAAATATTCTAAAAAATACAGGAGGAGGGAATACTTCCAGACTCATTCTATAAGGCCAGTGTTACCCTGATACCAAAACCAGACAAAAACATATATATATATAAAAAGAAAACCACAGGCCAATGTGACTGATGCATATTGATGCAAAAAGCCTCAACAAAACACTAGCAAGCCAAATTCAACAACACATTAAAAAGATCATTCATCATGACCACATGGGTTTACCCCAGGAATGCAAGGCTGGATGGACATATGCAAAGCAATCAATGTGATACATCTTATCAACAGAATGAAGGAGAAAAAATATACAATTGATAATTTCAACAGAGGATGAAAAATCATTTGATAAAATCCAACATGCTTCATGATAAACACGCTAAAAAATCTGGGTATATAAGGAACATATTTCAACATAATAAAGACATATGTAAGAAATCCACAGCTAGTATCATACTAAACGCGGACAATTTGGAAACCTTTCCCCTAAGATACAGAACATGACAAGGATGGCCACTGTCAGCACAGTACCATTTCTATATGCCAACAGTAAACACTGTGAAAAATAAATTTAAAAAGTAATCCCATTTACATTAGCTATAAACAACATTAGACACCTAGGAATTAAGCAAAGAAGTGAAAGATGTCTATAATGAAAAATATAAAGGATTGATGCAAGAAATTGAATACAAAACAAAATAGGGAAAGATATTCCATGTTCATGGATTAGAATAATCAATATTGTTAAAATGTCCATATGAGCCAAAGCAATCTACAGATGTAATGCAATCTCTATCAAAATACCAATATATTCTGCACAGAAATAGAAAAAAAAAATCACAAAAGACCCAGAATAGCCAAAGATATTCTAAGCAAAAAGAATAAAACTGGTAGACTCACATTATCTGACTTCAAATAATACTAAAGAGCTATTGTAAACAAAACAGTATGTTACTAGCATAAAAGCAGACACATAGATCAATGGAACAGAATAAAGAGCCCAGAAACAAATCCACACATCTACAGTGAACTCATTTTTGACAAAGGTGCCAAGAACATACACTGGAGAAAAGACGGTCTCTTCAATAAACGGTTCTGGGAAAACTGGATATCCATATGCAGAAGGATGAAACTAGACCTTTATCTCTTACCATATACAAAAATCAAATGAAAATGGATTACAGACTTAAATCTATAGTCTCAAACTATGAAACCACTACAGGAAAACTGTGAGAAATCTCTTGGACATTGGACTGGGCAAAGAGTTATTAAGTAATACCCTACAAACACAGGCAACCAAAGCAAAAATGGACAAATGGGTTAACATCAAGTTAAAAAAGCTTCTTTACAGCAAAAGAAACAGTCAACAAAGTGAAGAGACAACCCACAGAATGGGAGAAAATATTTGCAAGCTAGCCCTCTGACAAAGGATTAATAACCAGAAGATACAAGGAGCTCACACAACTCTATAGGAAAAAAATCTAATAATCTGATTTTTTAATGGGCAAAATATTTCAATAGACATTTATCAAAGGAAGACATAAAAATGCCAAACACACATATGAAAAGGTACTCAACATCATTGATCATCAGAGAAATACAAATCAAAAACTAGAATGAGATAGCATCTCACCCCAGTTAAAATGGCTTTTATCCAAAGGCAGACAGTAACAAATGCTGGTGAGCATTTGGAGAAAAGGGAACTCTCACATACACTGTTTTTGGGAATATAAATTAGTACAACCACTATGGAGAACAGTATAGGGGTTCCTCAAAAAACTAAAAATAGAGCTACGATAAGATTCAGCAATCCCACTCATATGTATATACTCAAAAGAGAGGAAATCAGTATACTGAAGAAGACATAACTGCACTCTCATGTTTATTGCAGCACTATTCACAATAGCAAGGTTGGTAAGCAATCTACGTGTTCATCAACTTAGAAAATGGGGTGCATATACACAATGGAGTAATTTAATATTCAGCCATAAAAAAGAATGAGATTCTGTCATTTGCAACAGCATGGATGGAACTGGAGGCCATTATGTTAAGTGAAATAAGCCAAGCAAAGAAAGACAAACATCTCATGTTCTCACATCTGTGGAAGCTAACATTTAAAACAAATGAATTCATGGATATACAGAGTAAAAGGATGGTTACCAGAGGTTGGGAAAAGTTGTGAGGAGGGAGTGGAAGTGGGGATGGTTAATGGGTACAAAAAATAGTTACAAAGAATTAATAAGACCTAGTATTTGCTAGCACAATAGGGTGACTATAGTCCAAAATAATTTAATTGTACATTTAAAAATAACTAAAAGAGAATAATCGGATTGTTTGAATCACAATGCATAAATGCTTGAGGTGATGGATATGCCATTTACCCTAATGTGATTTACACATCGCATGTCTGTATCAAAATATCTCATGTAACCCATAAATATATACATCTACTATATACCCACAAAAATTTAAAAATTAAAAAAAGCACTCTATTAACAGAATAAATTGAAGCTATAGGAACTACTTTTGTAGACATGTTGATTTTAAGTAACTTTACTTTTTAATATCACTTGTTTCCACTCATTTTAAGTCATTTTTAAAAAATCATTATAAATTGTAGGGTTTTTCAAATAACATTTATAATTACAAAGTAAATGAATTGAAAATTGCATACCTAAAATTACAACCATTGAATCTTTCAATACACTGCAATTTACCAATATTTTTCTACTAATAATTGATTATGCAGCAACTCTGACTTCTATTGAACCCTAATGACATTATTCTTCTAAATTTTGGGGAAGTATCTGATTTGTCAGTAAAGTTCCCACTCCAGCTTTAGATTCTGTATTAGTCCATTTTCCCACTGCTATAAAGATACTACCCGAGGCTAGGTAATTTATAAGGAAAAATAAGGGTTTTGTTGTTTTATGTTTTTGAGATGGCATTTCACTCTTATTGCCCAGGCTGGAGTGCAATGACGTGATCTCAGCTCAATGCAACCTCTGCCTCCTGGGTTCAAGCGATTCTCCTGTCTCAGCCTCCTGAGTAGCTAGGATTACAGGCATGCACCACCACGCCCAGCTAATTTTGTAGTTTTAGTAGAGATGGGGTTTCTCCATGTTTGTCAGGTGGGTCTGGAACTCCCGACCTCAAGTGATCCGCCCGCCTCAGCCTCCCAAAGTGCTGGGGTTACAGGCGTGAGCCACCGCGCCCAGCCGGAAAAAAGTTTAACTGACTCACAGTTCTGCATGGCTGGGGAGGCCTCAGGAAACTTAACAATCATGGCTGAAGGTGAAGGGGAAGCAAGATATGTCTTACATGGCAGCAGGCCAGAGAGAGAGAAGGGTAAGTTCCAGACACTTATCAAACCACCAAATCTCATGAGAACTCACTCCTGGCATGAGAACAGCATGGGGAAAACTGCCCTCATGATCAGATCACCTCCCACGAGGTTCCTCCTTCAACACATGGGGATTACAATTCAGATTACAATTTGAGATGAGATTTGGGTGGGAACACAGCCAAACCATATCAGTATTTCCTTAATGGAGAGTGGGAAATTTTTCAGTATATTTTTAGTTTGTCTTGTCTTCATTACAAACATAAAGAGGAAACATTAAAGGTGTTCCTTTTGTGAAACACAATTAAAGGAGAAGTATAATTAAAGGTGAAGCTAGTTCCTCCAACTTTGGACAAGTTCTATATACAAATGTGCACCCTCTGTTCCTCAAATATGTGCCTCATCCTACAAAATATAGTATTATATCTTCAATTAAAAATGGCATGAACTTGAAACGGGCTTACCTTCATTCATTCAAGGCAAAAAGTGTATTCATTTCTAGCTCACTGCTGACAAATGCCGCTAATACACATTGATTTTAATCATTCCCATACATGAAGAGATCCTACAACTGAGCAAGAAGCCAACAGCCTATTAAGAATTGTAGGCAGATGATATGACCAGGCAGTTCACAAAAAAAGAAATTCAAATGGCTATTAAACATATAAAAGGATGCTCAACCTCACTCAAAATAAAAGTGCAGATTAAAACTCTACTAATATACCATTTTTCATCTTTTCAATTGGCAGAAATCAAATATTTTAAGAACGTATCTACTTTGAAAATATGATGATACATACATTCTCATATACTGTGAGTGGGGGTATCAACTGGGAGAGCCCCTATGGAGAGCAATCTGGCAATATCTGTCTAATTTAGAAATACATACACTGTTTTACCAAACAACTCCCACCTCTGGGAATTGATCCTACACATACACATACATGTGTGCACGTGCCAAATGAGACACAAACCGGATTTCTCAGATTAGCATTCATCCCAACTCCTCTTGAAGTTAGGTATGATCACATCACTAAGTGCTTCCCAGTGAAATGAGGGCAGAGGTTATGGGTACCTTTACCAAAGAACCCACAAGTTTGCTCCATTCTTTCCCCTTAAGCAGAGGGACGTTGGAAGCCACATTTCTGGATTCTGTAAATGTCATTTCTGAGTTTTGATTTATTATTAGAAGTGACCCATAGCATGAATAATCAGAATACACATCTTATATACTTTGACAACATGAAAGTGGTGTTATAACTGATAGAAAGTCAGAGGTACAAGAGTAAAGCTGAAGGGAAGTGGTGAGAGGGGGCTATGTTTTTCATTTGACATAGAAGGGGATCAAGAGACACTTTCTAAAATTGATAAAGAAAGAAATGTATGTTTATGTAAATTATGAAATGTAACAAGAGAAACCAAAAATTGAATTTAACTAACCCATATATAGATGAGGAGGGTGATATATGGCATAAGGAAGCTAATCTTCCTCTTTCATAACATAGAGTCAATGCATAGTGCTTAAATATGATAAATCAAAAAACAGAGGGAGAAGCAAATGTATTCTTTTAGAGTTACTAAGGAATATCTTAAACTCCTAAAAAAAAAAAAGTCAAAAGCCATTATCTCTGAGGAGTGAAATTTAGCAAGTACTTTATCTTTACCTATTTTTTTTCCTGTTAACTTCAAACAAAATTTATTTGAATAATTTTATTTAAAATTAGATTAGCTTCCAGTTTCTGAACATCAGTGCTACAGAATAAAAGTACAGAGGGCAATCCTACAGCTTGTACCTTCCTTCTATCCGTCCCTTCGTTTCCTCCTTCCTTCCTTCTTTCCTTCTCTCGCTCTCTCTTTCTGATTTTTCCCCTTATGTACACTCATTTGTTTCTATATGTGGTCAAAATAAGGCTTATCAACTTTGCAGTATACAAATATTCTCATATATAAGCACTCAGAAAAAAAAGAGAGCTGGTATTATTTAGCGTGGTATAGGCGCTCAAAGCAGTCGGAAACATGCAGGTTTTATTTTATGATATTTCCTAAAAATTATGCACCTAACCTCTGATTTGACCTATTCCTTTTCTACCCCAGTGTTGTCTTACTCTTTTCCTTCCTCAAATGCTTTATATCTAATAATTATTGCTCCTGGAAGCACAGTCTTCTTTCCTGCTTCACATAAAACACTTTACTTCTATGCTACAATATCTAAATCAAATCCTATGGTCTGGCAAAAACCACCTGCCCAGATTCTCAGACAACAAAGTAGTCCTTCCTGGGTCACATGAAGCTATTAAGACTTTAGGAGTATTTTTTAATGATGAGCAGCACTTTAAAATGGTAAAAATATACTATGATTGCAACACTGTCCAAAGCATAATGAGAACAGAACTTTCGAATTCCCTAACCTTATGCAGTGACCACCTTGCCAGAAGGTAGTTCTTTTTCCAGTTTGATAGCCCTGCAGCCATCTTAGAAATAAATATCTCATTAGAAACCTAGTATTCAGTTGCCATTTCAAATTTCTAAGGCAAAAATAAGCATGAAGGGCAGCAAATCTAAATTCTGCCAAAACAAAAACCATTTGACTTTATAAAATGAAACAGCAACTCTGACTTCGGTTGAAACCTAATTCATCTAATAATTTATCTATCTCACAAAATCACTTAACTCTCTCACTAAAGCAGAGATGTAGCTACAAAAATTTAAGTTCGAAGCTCTTGATATCAGCACAGAATTAATACCACTAAATTTCCTCATGTTCTTATAAATCATTGATAAAAAGGGTCTTAGACTATGAGTCGAAAAATAACAACTATCTTAGATAGAATGTTTAATTCTCACATTTTCTACTGATTCCTTGCCAAAACATACAATGAAAAGGAGCTAGAGTGTGGCATTATAATTATAGGGCAAAAATGCAGAAAAACACATGAATTGGGACTAGAGCAAAGATGATTCTGCTGTGTTGAAGAATATTCTCACGAGTTTTCTCATTTTAAAATAAGTATAGTGAAGAAAGCAAACCAAGCTAATAAAGTTTGCTCATTCTGTGATTGAGCTGATCTTTACGTTGGAGTTACTTATAATAATATATATGTATATTATTACAAAAATGCTTTGGAATGCTTTGAAGGACTTTGAATATGGTCCTCTTAATTTTCAAAATCTCAACCAAGGTAAAGAACCTGCTAAACAAACCCAGGCTTTTACCGTGTAAGCCTAAGGAACCTGTTAAAGAAAGCAGTCAGGCTCTAAGTGACTTTCAGGCCAAGCCTGTGTTCTTTCTTTTTATTTTGAGCCTAGCGTTCATAGTATATGCTTAATATATCTTTGTTAAACTAAGGACAAAAATAAAGAAATAAGAAAAATGGAAGGGAGGGAGGGAGGAAGAGATGGAAATGGGAAGAAAGAAACAAAGGAAGGGAGGAAAGAAAGAAATGAATCTGAAGAGCAATGCCATGTTCATTTCCTTCTGTGAATTGCTCAAAAATGACATGTTCATTTAAATATACCTAAATATAAACTGATTAAATGAAAGGAAAAAAGGGCAAAATACATTAATGGCTATATAAGGAGGAATACTGATATTGTCACAAGAGAAATCATAAGTGAGGAGAATTTATGGGGCACACTATTTTTCTAAGTTGTGCCACCTTAATACGGAACCACATGAAACCCTGTGATCTGGCAAAGACCACCTTCCCAGGTACTACTATGTTCTCAGACAACAAAATAGCCTTTCCTGGGTCACATGAAGCTATTAAGATATTAGAATTATTTTTTATGATGATCAGCACCTTAAAAATGGTATTAAAAAAGACTTATGATTACAGTATTTTCTTTTTTTTTTTTTTTGAGATGGAGTCTCGCTCTGTCGCCCAGGCTGGAGTGCAGTGGTGCGATCTCGGCTCACTGCAAGCTCCGCCTCCCGGGTTCACGCCATTCTCCTGCCTCAGCCTCCCGTAGCTGGGATTACAGGTACCCGCCACCACACCCGGCTAATTTTTTGTATTTTTAGTAGAGATGGGGTTTCACCATGTTAGCCAGGACGGTCTCGATCTCCTGACCTCGTGATCCGCCCGCCTTGGCCTCCCAAAGTGCTAGGATTACAGGCGTGAGCCACTGCGCCTGGCCTCTGATTACAGTATTTTCCAAACTGGCAAACTTCTACTGGCAATGAAGACCCTGGAACATATATTTGACTAGGTCTTCATGTTGATAAAATTTAAGACCAATTTTTTTTAATCATCTAGTCCTCCAGATATCACATGATATAATCAATTGGTAAACAACTATGCAGGCTCAATTTTATCTATCTGATACCAGGTTTTAGCAATGTTTGAGGAATTTTTTTGCAGAAAGCAAAAATGTTACTTTAAAACATTATTTTTAAAATTGAAGGTGTTTCTGGGTACCAGAAAGTACAAGGAAGGAGATACAGTGTTTTACTAAGAGAAACAGGAAACCAGGAACTAAAGTTGTGAGCATGGAGATGGAATACCAGGTTTCTGCAAACCACTCAGTTTATAACATTTGTATGCTCTTAGAAAGTTGATTCTTCACTCTAATTATTCAGTTTTTTCTTTACAATTATTTTATATCCACTAAAGAATCTACTACCTGGTGACTTGAAAAAGGAAGTTTACAACATTGACAACTGAGAGAAGTAAAACGTAAAATGCAATGCAACCTAAAATACAAAGGAATGAAGTAGAAAATGCTCATTGAGACAAATTAACTTATAGATTTCCTTTTCCTCAATATAGTTGGAAAGAAATACTCAGCGTTCACCCAGTTGATTTCCCTCTATGCTGGGAATTAGCTTACAGTACTTATAACTTGTTTATTTAATCAAAAGAGGCAGGGGATTTTTACAAATGACATTGATAGCACAAAATCTCAATAAAAGCAATAGTTTTGTTCAGCCCAGAGGTTTTTTTTTTTTTCCATTTCTATTTAGGCCATTTATAGTACATGTGAAAATCAGAACTGTTAGCAGGGATATGGGTCTGAACTAATGAGTGTGCTACAAGACAAATGACTGATTTTTTTTTTCAACTTTACTCAACACTGTAATGCAAGTCCATGCACAGTGTCTTTAATGCCTATTAGGAAACCAGGGAGGCAGAAAGAATTGTCACTTTCAGTGAAAATAATGAGAACCATTCGAGTATAAATCCCAATTTTGATCAGGCTAACAAAGCAACAGTGAGATACACATTTAACAAGTCCCAAGTTTGTCCCAACAAATTGCACAAGTGACTATTAAGGACTTAAAATGTGGCACACAATGCTAGGGCCCATTACCAAAGTATAACAGTTGTTAAGTTTTGGAATTTGTCTCAGCTTAATCTGAATAATCATGTCAAGCCAAAAAAAAAATTTCTATACTTTGACATAAAATACTTATAGAACTGCAGTGAAAATGCCCTTAACTAAGTCTTTTTTGATACATAATAGATGTACATATTTTTGAGGTGCATGTGATATTTTGATACATTCATATAATGTGTAATGATCAAATCAAGATAACTGGATCATTTCACATAACATAATGACCTCCAGTTCTGTTCATCTGTCTGTAAATGGCAGGATTTTTTTATTTTTCTATGGCTAAATAATATTGCATGTGTATACATACCACATTTTCTTAACCCATTCATCTATTCATGGGCACTTAAACTGATTCCAAATGTTGGCTATTGTGAATAGTTTTGCAATAAACATAGGAGTGCAGGTATCTCTCTGACATATTGATTTCCTTTCTTTTGGATATATATCCAGTAGTGGAATTGCTGGATCATATGGTAGTTTTATATTTAATTTTTTGAGGAAACTACGTACTGTTTTCCGTAGTGGCCATACTAATTTATATCCCATCAAGAATGTACAAGGGTTCCCCTTTCTCCATATCTTCACCACTAGCATCTGTTATTCTGCCATTTTAATAAAAGCTGTGTAAACTGGGATGAGATGATATCTCATTGTGGTGTTGATTTGCGTTTCTCTGATGACTAGTAATGTTGAACATTTTTTATACCTGTTGGTCATTTGTATATATTCTTTTGAGAAACGTCTTTTCAGATCATTTGCCCATTTTTAAATAAATTTGATCATTTGGGTTGTTTTTGGTTTTGTTTGCTATTAAGTTGAATTCCTTACATATTCTGATTATTAACCCCTTGTCAGATGGACAGTTTCCAAATATTTTATCCCATTCTGTAGTTTGTCACTTCACTCTGTTGATTGTTTTATTTTCTGCATGAAGCTTTTTACCTTGATAAAATCTCATTTGTCTATCTTTGATTTGGCTGCCTTTGCAGAGTGGCATGATCTTGGCTCACTGCAACCTCCACCTCCTGGGTTCAAGTGATTCTCCTGCCTCAGCCTTCCGAGTAGCTGGAATTACATACACGTGCCACCACGCCCTGCTACTTTTTGTATTTTTAGTAGAGACAGGGTTTCGCCATGTTGGCCAGGCTGGTCTCGAACTCCCGACATCAAGCAATCCACCCGCCTTGGCCTCTCAAAGTGCTGGGATTACAGGCGTGAGCTACCATGCCTGGCCTGAGAATATTTTCTTACAGTTTCTGGGTTGCATTTTTACTTTCTTAATGGTGTCTTTTAATGAACAGAAGTTCTTGATTCTCATATGCCCTACTGTGTCATTTTTCTTTCCTTATTGGGTAGTGTTTCTCATATCCTGTTCGAAAATCTCTGACTACTACAGAATCATGAAGATGTTTTCCTATGTTTTCTCCTAAAACTACAGTGGTTTTCATATCATAATTAGTACTGAAATCCATCTGGAAGTGTTTTTTGTATACTCTATGAAGTATAGTACAGACATGCCTTTTTCAATCTGTATAATGAATACACTCAACACCATTTAGTAAACTATTCTTTTCCCACTGCACCATAATGTCATATTTGTCATAAATCACATAACCATGTGTGTGTCAGATTGTTTTGGGGCTATTCTGTTTCACCGATCAGTTTATCTACCTGTGCATCAACACCAGACTGTTGTAATCATTAGAGCTTTATAATAGATCTTGGTATCTGGAGTGAACATCCTCCCGCTTTGTTTTTTGTCAAGACTGCCTTGGTTATTTTGGGCCCTTTGATTACCATATGAATTTTAGATTTAGTTTGTCGGACTCTCCCAAAAATAAATTAATAAAATAATCTGCTAGGATTTTGACCGTGATTGTATTCGGTCCATAAAGTAAGCAGAGGAGAACTGCCATCGCTGAACATTAAATTTTCCCTAATTTAAAATTTATTTTAAAAATCCCTAAACATTTATTTAGGTCTTCTTTATCTATGTTGAGAATGTTTTGTAATTTTTAGTGTAGAGGACTTGTAAATATTTTGATGGGTTTTTTTTCCCCAGGTATTTAATGCTATTGTAAATAGTATCTTTTAACATTTCATTTTCTATGTGTTCATTTCTGCCATATATAATTGATTTTTTGCATTTTTATGTTGCTAATTTTATCTGTATATGTTTTTGAGTTTTCTCACTTTTAGTTCTTCCATTCCAGTCTGTATTCTTTTTTATTTCTTCTATTCTGTGTGCATTTTACTTCTTTTTCTTGACTTATTACATTGGCAACTTCCCTTATTATGTTGAATAGAAGTGTGAGAGCAAGCATCCTTGTCTCATTCCCAATTTCTGGGGGAAAGCTTTCAATAGTTTGCCATCAACTATAAGCATTGCTGTACAACTTTTGTAGACATTCTTCATCAAAAGAGGTTCCCTGCTATCCTTAATTTACGAAGATTTTTAAAATTATTAGTGGTTGTTGTACTTGTCAAATTTTTGCATCTACTGAGATAATCTTATGATTTATTTCCCTTTTTTGTTAATGTACTAAATTACATTAATTTTTTAACAAAAAAGTTACTCTGCATCCAAGGAATATTAATCCTTCTCATTTGTAATATATCAGACTTTTTCTGCATTGTTGGATTAGATATTGTATTCATTTTCTAAGGCTGGCATAATAAAGTACCAGAAACTGTGTGGCTTAAACAACAGAAATTTATTGTCTCACAGTTCTAGAGGTGTGACGTCCAAAATCAAGGTACAGGCAGGATTGGTTCCTTCTGAGAGCTCTGAAGGATGGATCTGTTCCAGGCCTCTCTCCATGGCTTGTTAGCTGTCTATGTTTACTTGGTGATTTCCCTCGATACCTGTCTCTAAATTTCCCCTTTTCATAGGGAATCAAGTCCTTTTTTATTAGGGCCCACTCTAATGTCTTCATTTTAATTTGATTACCTCTGTAAAGACCCTATCTCCCAATAAGGTTACATTCTAAGGGGACAGGATATCAACATGAGTTTGGGACAGACACAATTTAACCTACAAGACATATGTTAACATTTTGATTTAGAATTTGTGCATCTTTTTTATGTGAGAGATTGGACTGTAATATTTCTTTCTTGTTATGTCTTTGTAATGTTTCAATATTAAGGTTATATTGATATATTTACAAATTTCAAATTCTTTTATTACCAGAATGATTTGAGACTTTAGAACTTCGCATTTTGTCTTTGTATTTTGTATTTGATAGATTACATCTTCATATCTTTAGCATCTTTCGCTACGAGGATCCATTTTTTTCTTATCAATTGTAAGAACTTTTATTATGGGATAAGCCCTTCCGCCTGTTGCATGATGCTATATTTTTCAGTAGATTTTATATGTTTTTAACTAGTTAGACATTATTAATACTTAGGTACTCAAGTTTATAATTTTTATGGATTGTTTACTGTCATGCTCTTCCCTTATGAAATCCCTCCCTCATGTCAAAATTATATTATTTGAGGTATTATATGGCCATCTAAGTTTATTATTCATCTTACATACTTGACCTGTTTTCTACAGCATTTAATGTATAATCTAATCTAATATTTTAATGCTGATTTGAAATGCCAACATTATAGTATGATACACTTATGTGTAAAATTACATCTTTTTCTATACTTTCAATTTTTCTCAAGTCATTTATCTATCAATCTGTACACCAATATTTATTTTGGCTACTGTAATTTTCTAATACATTATCATATCTGTAAGACTAAGTACTACCAAAATGTTACATAATACTCAATACATTTTTTTTTCTAAAATCTGTCTGTGCTATTCTCATATGTTTAGTTTTTCAAATAAACTATAGAATCCTTATTCTCAGGTGCAGGAAAAGAAATACACCATTGGGATTTTTGTGATAACTGTGTTAAATGCATAGATTGACTTGAGATAAACTGACCATCTTTACAGTACTGAAACATCCATCCAGGAAAATAATATTTGACTTCATTTAGCCTATTCTTCTGCTAAGAAGTCTTGTGATTTTCTTCATATAGTTCTTCTGCATTTTGGGTTAACTTTGTTCTTAGGCTTAAAATTTGTGATAGGAATAGGATATTTTGTTTCATTTTACTTCTTATTTGTTTACTTTCAAATCATAACTGTTATTTTATTTTAAAATGTACTTATGAACACCTTATCTGATATCAGTGAGAATAGCTACTCAGACAGCTTCTTGTGCAATGTACAATTCTAGGATGTTTTCTCATATATGCTGTGATATAAATGACATCCCCCTGGAGTTGCCTACAGACTCAATATTTTATATTTTTAATGAATTTGACCCTTTGGCTAAAATAATGTATACTTTAGTGTCATTTATTTTTAATTTCAAATTAGTGAGTCATAAGAATAATGGCCAAATGTTCTTTATAAATTTAAATGTTTTGCCTTCTCTGTTATCTCAATAGTGTACTCAGAACTGCAAGTGGTAGAAACATTATTGATGCCAGCAAATGGTGACATAAAGAATAAATGGTGTCACATAAATGGTGACATAAAGAATAAAAGAATATTCATAGTGGTGAGACGTGATATTTTTCCTCACATGGCTCACTTGTGTTCATAACTGTTTCCACAACCACATTTAACTCAGCATGCTTAACACAAAGCTGATCCTCCTCCTCACCCCAAAGAGTATCTCTGATTGGTTTATATGTTTTATTTCTGTGAGCTGGTCCCAGGTGCACTGAGTTTAAAAAGCTCACAGACATTTTCTCCACCTCCAACTAATCTGCAAATTCAATCAATTCTTCCCTCAAGAGGCATCTTGAATTCACCTTTGAATTTCCTCCTTCACCGCCAGCATCCTAGAGGAGGTTTATGTTACAACAGTCTGTTTTACTTCCTTCATTATAAAATGTTAACACAGTAAAGTTAACATTTTTCTTCCTCACATTTAGGTCCATCCTTATTACCCCATTATCTAGGACTAATTTTTGTCCAGGGGCAACATTATTAGTCAGTTCAGGAAAACAACATCAAACTTGCCTTGGCCCTTTGTTTCCTCTGAATCCTTGGTAACTGGATTTCCTTCACCGTTCTCTAAACACATTTTATTACATCTTACCACTGTTCTTGTAGCCTGTCTTCTAACCTCACCATCTTTGCCTACATCCCAGTTTTCTACAGTCTGGCTCCCCAGAACACACTACTGGACTTCCTCATTAAATGTATCTTCCTGGGCTTCTACCATCTCTGAAGTGCTTTAACATCTGCCATGCAGCAATACTGATCTGCTTGGGCCTTGTACTTGGTTGGAATTCTTTGTGAATATGACCTCCCCCCAGCTTCAGGTCAGTCACATATCAAACTTTATTTGACCTTAAAAAATATTCAAATCTTGTTCCCATATTCAGAACACTAACCTTGCCTTTAGCCTACACATGTTCCAAGATCACTTAAATAGGATATAGCAAGTAGTGATTGCTAAATGGAACAATTAAAGAAAGTTGACATGTTTAAAACAAATGGCTATACTGAAATACTAACAAGACTACATAATAGAAAAACAAATAGCAGTTTTCACTTTTCTGAAATTTGCATCTCTCATGATTCAACCATTAAAATCAGTCAGCCAAATGCTTTCATTTATAAATGTCATAAATGTGTGAAGTTTTACTTCAAAGTAAGGGCTTAAAACAATATTGCTAATTGAAAACTGAAAATGTCAACAATTTTTATTGTATTATTGGAAACCATCAGTGTTTTATGTCAGACATATAAAAAAAAAGAGAAACTTCACTTCTAAGTTGATACTTGAAAACCACACAGAATTTAATCATACCTGCAAAGAATGCTTGTTGGAAAATTGACCTCAAATATCATGAAAGCTCTCTAATCTGTCTCGTTGAGATTTGTGTTGCTTGTATTTTCTTCTGAGTAGCAGAAATGGGAAATCTTCTCTAACACAGTTGTCCTTCGGTATCCATGGGGGATTGGTTCTACAACCCGGTGGATACCAAAGTCCATGGGTGCTCAAGTCCTTTATATAATAAAATGGCAGAGGGCTTGCATATAACCTGTGTACATCCTTTTATGTATGTTAAATCATCTCTAGATTACCTACAATACCTAATACGATGTAAAAGCTATGTAAATAGTTGTTATGCTGTATTGGTTTTAAAATGTGTATTACTTTCATTGTTGTATTGCTACTTTATTGTTTTTATTTTCAGAATATTTTCAATCCCCTATTGGTTGAATCCATGGATGCAGAACCCATAGATACTGAAGACCAACAGTATTTATATATACCGAAGACCAACAGTATTTATGAAGGTTGATAGACAATGTCATTGTGCCAGGCATTTTACAGCAGAGGGAGAAACATATGGCTATATTTTCTGATATGGTATTCAGTAGCACTACAGAGAAACAGACAGACATGTATCTCTAGTGTTTTAAGTAGAACTCTATACTTGTTTCCTTTTTTTAACTATCTGGGTCCAATGACCCCTCTTTAAAAATTGTTATTGTAAACTGTCAATTTATAATTGTATATATTACTAGGTACAAAGTAATGTTATGGTGTATAAATGCAATGTGGAATAATTGCTAATTCATATATCCATCACCTCAAATACTTATTTTTGTGGTGAGAACTTTGAAATTTACTTTCTTAGCGATCTTGAAATGTACAATACACTATCATTAACTATATTCACCACACTGTACAATAGATCTCAACAAAAAACCTTATTCCTCCTGTCAAACTTAGACTTTGTACCCTTAGACCATTATTTCCTCACTTCCCCTACCCCAGGCTCTATAACCCCCATTCCACTCTCTGTTTCTATGAGTTTAATTGTTTTAGATTACAGATATAATTGAAAACATGTATTTGTCTTTCTGTGCCTGGCTTATTTTACTTAGCAAAATGTTCGCAATTCCATCCATGTTGCTGCCAATGACAGAATTTCCTTATTATATAAGGATTAATGGTATTCCATTTTGTATATATACCACATTTTCTTTATCCATTAATCTGTGGATGGTCACTTAGGCTGATTCCATAACTTGGCTATTGTGAATAGCGCTGCAATAAACATGGGAGTGGAGACATCTCTGACATTCTGATTTCAAATCTTTTGGGTATATACCCAGGAGTGGGATTTCTGGATCATATGGTAATTCTATTTTTAGTCTTTCAAAGAACCTCCATACATATTTCCACAATGGCTGTCCTAATTTACATTCCTACCAACAGTGCACAAGGGTTTCTTTTTCCCTATGTTCTCACCAACGTTTATTATCTTTCGTCTTTTTTTATTATAGCCAGTCTGACAGGTGTGAGATGATATATAATTTTGATTTCAATTTGCATTTCCCTAATGATTACCAATGTTGAGTATTTCTTATATACCTGTTGGCCATTTTTATGTCTTCTTTTGAGAAATTTCTATTCAGGTCCTTTACCCATTTTTAAACTGGGTTATTTATTACTTTGCCATTGAGTTCCTTATATATTTTGAATATTAACCCCTTATTACATATAGGTTTACAAACATTTTTCCCCAATCTATATGTTACCTCTTCACTCTGTTAATGTTTTCTTTACGATGTAAAAAGTTTTTAGTTTGATATAATCCCATACACTTTGAAGTCAAATTCAACCCAGATCAATGTCATGGAGCTTTTCTCCTATGTTTTCTTCTAGTATTTTTTATAGTTCCAGGTCTTATATTTAAGTCTTTAATCCATCTGGAGTTGATTTTTGTATATGGTGTAAGACAAGGGTCCTATTGAATGATGTTTCTTTGAAACCTTCAATCATTTATTTTGACTCACAAACTCTGTTTTCCCCCAAGAGTAATAGAAGGCTGTTGAAATAACTAATTCTGAATAAGTTTAAAGGTTCTGATACAGCCTTGATGAAAGCCCCCATCTTTCAATGCTCTTTTGCATTAGGTGAATCTTCTGGCCAGTCAAGCCCAGTCTGTTGCTAGTCCGGCCTTAATTGGCCAAAGAAACAGATTGTGAGGAAATCATTATATTCAGGGCCCCCTGAAGAGCATCCTTGTCCAAATACAAGCCAAAGTCCTTGAGATAAATCCAAGAGTTAAAGCCACGTTGGCTAGAAAGAAGCATCCAGTCCAAAGAGAGTAGCAGAGTCACTGGTAGCAGAGATGGAGCCAAGAGTCAGAAGCCAGATGGATTCAAGTGTGGTCAAATGGAGGCAAACAAAGCAGTTTTGGCACAATTGCTTTTCAAAGAGGACAAGATCAACATGGATACCAGTGCTCTTCCAATTGGTATCACAGATATTTGTAGAAAAGGCATTACAGCAGTACCTTCCAATTTGAGTTATTCAATTTAGACAATCACTTATGGAGAACAGATTAAACCAGAAAAAGAAAACTATGCCTGCCAATAATGAAAAAAAAAGAAATTCTTTTTAAATAAAGATGAATCAATTAGACAACACAATACAATCTATTTTATCGAATACTCTATTAACTAACATTCTCCATTAATTGAATCATCTACACACCCATAATGCTATTATAACAGATGGTTATAAGACAGACCCTCAGGCTCTGCAGTATTCTGAAGTAATTTCTTAGCACTAGATGAACACATTATACTACGAATGATTTGGAAGCAAATGTAATCAATAAATGAAAAATTAATTCAATTAAGCATTTAAACTGCCTAGTTATGTACAATGGAATGACGATACAGTTTTTATATTCATTAGAATACTTTAGTAATCACAGCAAGATCTTGCCTCACAACAGAAAGTTTTCTGACTAGATAACTTTTATCTAGTCAGTTTTTTATTCATCAGAATACGTTAGTAATCATAGAAGGATCTTGCCCCAAAACAGATAGTTTTCTGACTAGATAAAAATATAACATTAAACATGAGGAATAATGCTTAATTTCTGTGCTAATGTTATAAAAATAATACTTTATATTTTTTAAACATGTACTATGTACCAAGTTCTATTTTAAATACTTAACATGTTTGCCTCCTTAATGTGAATAGCAGTTCAATGTAGTATTTACTATTATTATCATTTCAAATTTATAGTTGAAAATTGAGATTGAGATGTTAAGTAACTTGGTCAATTTCACACAGACAATATATAAAAGATCTATCATGATGTATAGATAGGCTGGTAGGAGACAGACATAAATAGAAGGATAAGACGAGAGAAAAAAATACTTATTATTTTTTTTTTGGAAGGGCAGACGGCATCACACCCAATTTATAGTTGAGAAACTGGGACTTAGAGATTAAAAGCCTTAGCTAGGATACACGGTAGAAATCAAATTCATCCTTGACTTTTTATTTAGGTTAAACTATATGAAATTCCCAATACTTGAACATTTTTGACCTACAAAAATTGCACTGTTATGTGGTTCAATCTAATATATCCTTTTACAAAGCACTTAAAAGTATAAGTAAATTGCCTCAATATTAGGAGTCATATTACTCATACTACTACTCCTTATGAAACACTTAATTTGGCATTGATAACTAAATAAAATTTATCTGAGCACGCACATAACATTAAAAACAATAATTAAATTTAGGAAGTATCTACTACTACAATGGTTTGATTCGGGTAATAACTTAGCAAATAGATTTAAAATAAGTTTAACACTTTTTATTCAAAATTTTCAAAATACTTTAGAACCACGCCTTTATAAATTCCACATCTTCACGATGTGGGTAAGCTCTTATTATCACTCTTAAACGTCTTGGAAACTGAAACACAAAAAAATTTAAATGGCTTTCTGCTGTCATTCAATGAGTCTGCAGTGATAACAACATTTTGAGTTATTAAACATTATTTATTCCATGCCACATAGTTAATTTCACAATATCATATGATGGGGTATATTTTGTTTGACTTTCATATAATAAATGAAATTCCTACAACACTACCTAAGCAAAAAATATTGAAAGTAATATGATGATTATAAGTAAGGAATTAACCAGATGAAAACTATAAAACTTTGGCAGTTCAGTTGGCTCATCTTTATAGTGGCACCATAGCTGGCATCCAGCAACACCATTCTCTCCTTCATTGCAGTTACAGACAACTGCAAAAGTCTGGGATCATTTTATTCATCATCTTCCATCTGGCTATCTCCCCGTTTAGACCTGTTCTACCATTAGTCAAGTGAAATCTCTTGGTTCCATTAACATTTACGAATAATTTCACATTCGTGATCTGTGAAGTTTCTGATATTTTTAATATTCTATTTGTCCAATACTGTACTCTAAACCCAGTGCTTCATTAAATGTTTGCTGAATAAAGGAATCTCTCATTATGCAGAGGATCCAAAAATACTGAGATGCTAGCAAGCCACTAAAATGAAGCTACTGAATTTGTCTTTGTCTGGTGACGTACTTGGTCAGAATCCTGAGAAAAGTGCATTTTCGTGGTGACTTCACTAAAACAAGTCTTACCTATGGTAAGATGTTTTCATTAAGTGGAATATGCTTATATATACAGTCCTTCCTTCACATGGTCCTGATATACATACATTTCAGTTACCACAATTTAGCTAAATAACACCAGTCCCAGACAACACCATTCAAATTTCATTTGTCATAATATATTAACTGTGAGAAATTGCTTAAAGTATAAACTTTTTTGCCAGCTCTTCAGTCTACAGATCTGAATAACAGATAACATAAATAACAGTGTGTCTCATGACAGGTAACAACTCACATCTCTTCTTTCAAAGTCTGTCAGTGATTGATTACTGGGCATTCAGTACTCACACAGACAGCAAAGTGCATAGTTGTGTTGCCTCCTTGTTTCCCCCATGATAAACCTATGTGACATTTTACACAAATTGGTAATCCAAAGAGGGAATTGGGCAACAAAATGTAAGTGAAACAAAGAAGTAAAGAGTAATAATGCTGGAAGTGAAATTCAAATAGAATGTATATGGATTTATGGAAGAAAGAGTTGACCATGGGAATGATAATACCACTACCATTTGAGGGAATCTAGGTATATAGCCAGAGAAACTTGGTAAAGGTGAACTTAATGGAATAATTGATAGAAGTAGTCATGACAAAAAGAATGATGCTGTCCCAGAGGAAGTGATGCCAGCAAAAATATTCACATTAAAGGAACCCTTGGAGATATTTCATAACATTTAACGAACAAAGGATAAAATGTTAGAAGTTGATCCAATCTGAGAAAAAATAGTATGGCAATTCACCATGGCAGGGAAAAGACTCCTGCTATATTTCATAAGTTTTACAAGGAGAAAGCTAGCACTGTTCAAACTGTTCTGGATAAGTTGTTCACAAAGAAATAAAACACTTTAATTCTCAATGTCCCTAACATTTTAATTTACATGGTACTAAATAAACATTTGTTTGACTATTTTTATCCCTCCACATTTATAAATGAAGACGGTTTTAATATTTTGATAAGAATTTTCAACGGTCATAAAATAATCACAATTTTCCCATTGGTTATTAAAATCATATTGCATTATTTCAAATTGCACAGTCATTTTTATGGTCTTGCACTACCCTGAAAATTGAGTATTTCCTATAGTTTATTATAGGTCAGAATCAACCTCCTGCTAAGAACAACTAGAAACGATGGACTAAAACAACAGATACTTTTTTTTTAGTTGTCTGTTTAAAGCTATTAAACAGAGGCATTATTAGTGAACAGCAGAGGCATTGAGGACTTTTTGACACAGGATTGGAGTGCCAAGTACGTGGAAGTTCTAGGGAACTAGATAGTCTCTAGATCACTAAAAGTGCTCAGTACATGATTGTCAAGTGAGTTAATGAATTAATAATAAATGAAAGAAGGAAAGAATTCAGCTTCCAATTATTACCATTACCTAGGTTAAGAAAAGCAGCACTGATAATTATTCTTTGTGTTGACAGAAATCCTTTCTGGGTTTTCAACTTGCCAAGATTAATGAGAAGGCCATAAAGCAGTTACTGAGTTTAATTCACTGCCAGCATAATTTTTTACTTTTTTTGGCCACAAAAATCCTTGAATAGATAACATCAGTAATAGAGAGAGAATGACAATTTGAGGCTTGATTTCTCATCTGATATTCTGATTACTGTCTGCCATAAGTGTGTTTTGGGGAAAAAATCGAAATATACTGAATTTTGAAGACAGAATTCATTAGGAAATTACTGTATGTGTACATACAAGAATCTTGCCTTTCACAGTAGAATCTGCCATGATCTTCCTTACCTGTCCTTTACTAATAAAATATGTTGCCATGTCCTTTGCTTCCTGATACACACAGCAGAGAAGAAGAAACCATGGCTTCTGATGCCCATCACTTCTACTAATGTTGGCATGGGTTTACTAACATTTGAGTTCAACATTGTCTATGTTTCAGCTGTAAGTTCAGAGTCTGGGAATAAGAATATATAACCAGCTACTAAATTGTGGCCACGAATCCTATGCCCTCTCTCTTTCTATCTAGGCTTTTAGCAACCCAGTCCTTAATGGTTTAATTTCATTGTTATATAAACCCATATATGCCTTTTGTAAGTGAAAGGTACATATCACTCTAAAGATGAGAAATGAACAATACACTTGGAATAAGGACATGATAAAAATCCATGTCAATTTTATCACTCCAATAGTAGTCAAGAGATCTCTGAAAAAAATCACTTCTATTTGATATCACATTGTGAAAACTATATGATAAGTTGTGATTTCATAGCCAGGTAATTTGCTGATACTCTTTGGCTAGCTTAGAAACAAAACCAAATGACTCTATTAAAGAATGCGATGATAGCTGGGTGCAGTGGCTCACACCTGTAATCCCAGCGTGTTGGGAGGCCGAGGCAGGTGGATCACCTGAGGTCAGGAGTTAGAGACCAGCCTGACCAACATGGTGAAACCCCATCTCTACTAAAAATACAAAAAATTAGCCGGGCATGGTGGTGGGCGCCTGTAATCCCAGTTACTCCAGAGCCTGAGGCAGGAGAATCGCTTGAACCCGGGAGGCGGAGGTTACAGTGAGCCGAGATCGTGCCACTGCACTCCAGCCTGGGTGACAAGAGCGAAACTCTGTCTCAAAAAATAAATAAAATAAAATAAAATGAGTGAAGTGATAAGAGATGTTTTTTCCATTAGTTCCCAGTCTTGAATTACAACACTTGTCTGAGAAAACCCTAGGGGGAAATTAGGATAGCACAAGTGTACTCTTCTGAGAGAGTGATACATGGTCTAGTGAAACAATAAAAGATTATATTAACACTACAGGTTTTATACTATAATATACATAAATTAATATATAAAATGAAATGTAAAATGATATTAAGAATTTTAACAGATGAAAGATTAACAAGCTAATTGATACTGTTTTTAGGATTTTGCTTGAATAACTTCATTCATTTGGATTGTACTAAGTTGTATTTCATAGATTTTGAGTTATAGCAATGACAAAATAGGTTGATTCCAACCAATTCTCCCTCTGAGAAAAGATAGATTATATAACTAAAATATTTTACAAAAAAGTCTCCCTTTAAAGGCATTGAACAGCTACCAAGGCAGTGAGCACCTGTAAGGCTAAGATCCAGAAAAGAGGTTAGCCTAAGATTTGGTACTTCAAAGAGAGGTAAGAGGGATTAGGACAGAACCAATATTTGAAGAAATAATTCCTAAGAATTTTCCTAATCTGATGAAAGGCATCAAGGTATAGATTAAAGAAGTAACATGAACATCTAGCAGGATCAATTCAAAGAGAATCACATCTAAAAATATTCTAATGAAACTGCTGAAAATCAAAGACAAAAGAAAATATAAAGTGTCCAGTGTGAAAATATCATATTAGCTTCAAAAAGTAAAACTAAGACTTAAAAATAAGTTTAAAACAAGAACAAATATCTGACTTCCCCAAAAATTAAGGAACACCAGAAAACAATGAGATGATATAATCAAGGTCTGAAAGGAATAATGGCCAATTTATATTTCTCTTTACAGTAAAATTTTATTTAAAAATAAAGATAAAATAAAAACATTTTCAAACAAATAAAACACAATTCATCACAAACAGATCCCCTTCTAAAGAAATACTCAAGGTGGATTTTAGGGCAGAAGTAAAATGAAGCAAATGGAAGATTCAAAAATGCAAGAAGAAAAGAAGAACACAGGAAAAGGAAATGGGTAAATATAAATAAATATTGGCAGTATAAAGTAATAATCAGATCTTCATTGGAATGGAGAGAGAAAGCAAATAAAAAATACATGACAACAATAGTGCATGAGTCTGTAGTAAGTAAATGCCTGTTAGCACTGCAAGTAGTCAATTTTATCCTGGAGATCTCTGAGCAATCAAAAAGAAAAAATGAAACAGAAGTCTTAAGAATTGGAAAGGAATAAATAATCCCTATCCAAATACCTATGACATTCTTCACAGAAATAGAAAAAAAAATTCTAAAATTTATATGGAATCACAACAGACCCAGAATAGCCAAAGCTATCCTAAACAAAAAAGAACAAAACTGGAGGAATCACATTACCTGACCTCAAAATATTCTCCAGAGCTATAGTAACCAGAGCAGCATGCTACTAGCATAAAAGCAGACACACAGACCAACGTAATACAATAGAGAACTCAGAAACAAATCCACACACCTACAATGAACTCATTTTTGACAAAGGTGCCAAGAACATACACTGGGGAAAAGACAGTCTCTTCAATAAATGGTGCTTGGAAAACTGGATATCCATATGAGGAAGAATAAAACTAGATCTGTATATGTCACCCTATACAAAACTCAAATCAAAATGGATTAAAGACATAATTTAAACAAGAAACTACAAACTATGAAACTACTACAATAATACAATGGAGAAAATCTCCAGAACATTGGCCTAGGCAAAGATTTCTTGAGTAATACCCCACAAGCACAGGCAACCAAAGCAAAAATGGACTAATGGGATCACATCAAGTTAAAAAGCTTCTGTGAAGCGAAGGAAACAATCAACAAAGTGAAGAGACAACCCAAAGAATGGGAGAAAATATTTGCAAAGTACCTATCTGACAACTGATTAATAACCTGAGCTCCTTATATGGAGCTCCAACAAACAATTCCATAGGAAAATATCAAATAATCTAATTTTAAAATGGACAACAATATGATTAAGTATTTCTCAAGAAAAAGACATACAGATGGCTTCCAGGTTTATGAAAAGGTAGTCGACATCACTGATCAACAGAGAAATGCGAATCAAAACTACTATGAGGTATCATCTTACCCCGGTTAAAATGACTTATATCCAAAAGATGGGCAATAACAAATGCTGGCGAGGATGTGGAGAAAAGGGAACCCTGTACACTACTGGTCAGAATGTTAGTGCAAACATTATAAGAACAGTTTGGAGGTTCCAAAAACAAAAAACAGAGCCAGCATATGATCTGGCAATCCCACTGCTGAGATTGAACCCACAAGAAAAGAAATTGGTATATCAAACATATCCCTGCATTCCCATGTTTGCTGAAGTGCTGCTCACAATAGCTAAGATTTGGAAGCAACCTAAGTGTCCATCAACATATGAATGGATAAAAAAATGTGGTACATATATACAACAGAGTATTGCTCAGCCATTAAAGAGAATGAGATCCTTTCATTTGCAACATCATGGATGGAACTGGAGATCGTTATATTAAGTTTAATAAGCCAGGTACAGAAAGACAAACATCAGATGTTCTCCCTTATTTGTGGGATCTAAAAATCAAAACAATTGAACTCATGGACACAGATGGTACAAGAAGGATGGTTACCAGAGGCTGGGAAGGGCAGTGGTGTGTTGGGGGAAAGGTTGAGATGGTAAATGGATAAAGTAATCATTAAAAAGAATGAAGAAGATCTAGTATTCAATAACACAACAGTGTGACTATAGTCAATAATAATTTAATTGTACACCTTAACATAACTAAAAGACTACAACTGAATTGTTTGTAACCAAAGGATAAATGTTTGAGAGGATGAATACTCCATTATCCATAATGTGATCATTACACATTACCTGCTTGTATCAAGACATTTTGTGTACCCCATAAATATATACACCTATTATTTACCCACAGAAATTAAAAATTAAAGAAAGTGAAAGTGAAAATCAAAATGACAAAGAAAAAAGTAATGGGCTAAAAAAATACGAGTATAAATAACCCACAAAGACAAAAGTTGGTATTTAATATGCTAATAAAATAATAAACCCCTGGTAAGACTAGTAAAAAGGATAGAAAGAGAAAGCATAAACCAATGATACCAACAATAAAAAATAATTCATTAAGGTTCTTTCTTTTTTTTTTTTTTTGAGACAGAGTCTCGCTCTATTGCCCAGGCTGGAGTGCAATGGCACGATCTCGGCTCACCGCAACCTCCGCCTCCCAGGTTCAAGCGATTCTCCTGCCTCAGCTTCCCGAGTAACGGGGATTACACAAATGCACCACCAAACCCAGCTAATTTTTGTATTTTTACTAGAGACGCAATTTCACCATGCTGGCCAAGCTGGTCTCGAACTCCCGACCTCAGGTGATCCGCCCAACTCAGCCTCCCAAAGAGCTTGGGATTACAGGCGTGAGCCACCGTGCCTGGCTCATTAAGGTTCTTAAAAGTTTAAAAATAAGAGATTATGCAAATTTTTATCTTGCACCATTGTAATATCTATATAACATGGACATCATTTTCTTTTTTTTTATTATTATACTTTAAGTTTTAGGGTACATGTGCACAATGTGCAGGTTTGTTACATATGTATACATGTGCCATGTTGGTGTGCTACACCCATTAACTCGTCATTTAGCATTAGGTATATCTCCTAATGCTATCCCTACCCCTCCCCCCACCCCACAACAGGCTCCGGTGTGTGATGTTCCCCTTCCTGTGTCCATATGTTCTCATTGTTCAGTTCCCACCTATGAGTGAGAACATGCGGTGTTTGGTTTTTTGTCCTTGCAATAGTTTGCTGAGAATGATGGTTTCCAGCTTCATCCATGTCCCTACAAAGGACATGAACTCATCCTTTTTTATGACTGCATAGTATTCCATGGTGTATATGTGCCCATTTTCTTAATCCAGTCTATCATTTTTGGACATTTGGGTTGGTTCCAAGTCTTTGCTATTGTGAATAGTGCCTCAATAAGCATAAGCGTGCATGTGTCTTTATAGCAGCATGATTTATAATCCTTTGGGGATATACCCAGTAATGGGATGGCTGGGTCAAATGGAATTTCTAGTTCTAGATCCCTGAGGAATCACCACACTGACTTCCACAATGGTTGAACTAGTTTACAGTCCCACCAACAGTGTAAAAGTGTTCCTATTTCTCCACATCCTCTCTAGCACCTGTTGTTTCCTGACTTTTTAATGATCACCATTCTAACTGGTGTGAGATAGTATCTCATTGTGGTTTTGATTTGCATTTCTCTGATGGCCAGTGATGATGAGCATTTTTTCATATGTTTTTTGGCTGCATAAATGTTTTCTTTTGAGAAGTGTCTGTTCATATCCTTCGCCCACTTTTTGATGGGGTTGTTTGTTTTTTTCTTGTAAATTTGTTTGAGTTCATTGTAGATTCTGGATATTAGCCCTTTGTCAGATGAGTAGGTTGCAAAAATTTTCTCCCATTTTGTAGGTTGCCTGTTCACTCTGATGGTAGTTTCTTTTGCTGTGCAGAAGCTCCTTAGCTTAATTAGATCCCATTTGTCAATTTTGGCTTTTGTTGACATTGCTTTTGGTGTTTTAGACATGAAGTCCTTGCCCATGCCTATGTCCTGAATGGTATTGCCTAGGTTTTCTTCTAGGGTTTTTATGGTTTTAGGTCTAACATTTAAGTCTTTATTCCATCTTGAATTAATTTTTGTATAAGGTGTTAAGGAAGGGATCCAGTTTCAGCTTTCTACATATGGCTAGCCAGTATTCCCAGCACCATTTATTAAATAAGGAATCCTTTCCCCATTTCTTGTTTTTGTCAGGTTTGTCAAAGATCAGATAGTTGTAGATATGTGGAATTATTTCTGAGGGCTCTGTTCTGTTCCATTGGTCTGTATCTCTGTTTTGGTACCAGTACCATGCTGTTTTGGTTACTGTAGCCTTGTAGTATAGTTTCAGGTCAGTTAGCGTGATGCCTCCAGCTTTGTTCTTTTGGCTTAGGATAGACTTGGCAATGAGGGCTCTTTTTTGGTTCCATATGAACTTTAAAGTAGTTTTTTCCAAAGCTGTGAAGAAGGTCATTGGTAGCTTGATGGGGATGGCACTGAATCTGTAAATTACCTTGGGCAGTGTGGCCATTTTCACGATATTAATTCTTCCTACCCATGAGCATGGAATGTTCTTCCATTTGTTTGTATCCTCTTTTATTTCATTGAGCAGTGGTTTGTAGTCCTTGAAGAGGTCCTTCACATCCCTTGTAAGTTGGATTCCTAGGTATTTTATTCTCTTTGAAGCAATTGTGAATGGGAGTTCACTCATGATTTGGCTCTCTGTTTGTCTGTTATTGGTGTATAAGAATGCTTGTGATTTTTGCACATTGATTTTGTATCCTGATACTTTGCTGAAGTTGCTTATCAGCTTAAGGAGATTTTGGGCTGAGACAATGGGGTTTTCTAGATACACAATCATGTCGTCTGCAAACAGGGACAATTTGACTTCCTCTTTTCCTAATTGAATGCCCTTTATTCCCTTCTCCTGCCTGATTGCCCTGGCCAGAACTTCCAAAACTATGTTGAATAGGAGTGGTGAGAGAGGGCATCCCTGTCTTGTGCCAGTTTTCAAAGGGAATGCTTCCAGTTTTTGCCCATTCAGTATGGTATTGGCTGTGGGTTTGTCATAGATAGCTCTTATTATTTTGAGATATGTCCCATCAATACCTAATTGATTGAGAGTTTTTAGCATGAAGGGCTGTTGAATTTTGTCAAAGGCCTTTTCTGCATCTATTGAGATAATCATGTGGTTTTTGTCTTTGGTTCTGTTTATATGCTGGATTATATTTATTGATTTTCATATGTTGAACCAGCCTTGCATCCCAGGGATGAAGCCCACTTGATCATGGTGGATAAGCTTTTTGATGTGTTGCTGGATTCGGTTTGCCAATATTTTATTGAGGATTTTTGCATCAATGTTCATCAAGGATATTGATCTAAAATTCTCTTTTTCTGTTGTGTCTCTGCCAGGCTTTGGTATCAGGATGATGCTGGCCTCATAAAATGAGTTAGGGAGGATTCCCTCTTTTTCTGTTGATTGGAATAGTTTCAGAAGGAATGGTACCAGCTCCTCCTTGTACCTCTGGTAGAATTTGGCTGTGAACCCGTCTGGTCCTGGAATTTTTTTGGTTGGTAGGCTATTAATTACTGCCTCAATTTCAGAACTTATTATTGGTCTACTCAGGGATTTGATTTCTTCCTGGTTTAGTCTTGGGAGAGTGTACGTGTCCAGGAATTTATCCATTTCTTCTAGATTTTCTAGTTTATTTGCGTAGAGGTGTTTATAGTATTCTCTGATGGTAGTTTGTATTTCTGTGGGATCGGTGGTGATATCCCCTTTGTCATTTTTTATTGCGTCTATTTGATTCTTCTCTCTTTTCTCCTTTATTGGTCTTGCTAGTGGTCTATCAATTTTGTTGATCTTTTCAAAAAACCAGCTCCTGGATTCATTGATTTTTTGAAGGGTTTTTGTGTCTCTATTTCCTTCAGTTATGCTCTGATCTTAGTTATTTCTTGCCTTCTGCTAGCTTTTGAATGTGTTTGCTCTTGCTTCTCTAGCTCTTTTAATTGTGATGTTAGGGGGTCAATTTTAGATCTTTTCTGCTTTCTCTTCTGGGCATTTAGTGCTATAAATTTCCCTCTACACACTGCTTTGAATGTGTCCCAGACATTCTGGTATGTTGTGTCTTTGTTCTCATTGGTTTCAAAGAACATCTTTATTTCTGGCTTCATTGCATGATGTACCCAGTAGTCATTCAGGAGCAGGTTGTTCAGTTTCCAGGTAGTTGAGCGGTATTGAATGAGTTTCTTAATCCTGAGTTCTAGTTTGATTGTACTGTGGTCTGAGAGACAGTTTGTTATAATTTCTGTTCTTTTACATTTGCTGAGGAGTGCTTTACTTCCAACTATGTGGTCAATTTTGGAATAGGTGTGGTGTGGTGCTGAAAAGAATGTCTATTCTGTTGATTTGGGGTGGAGAGTTCTGTAGATGTCTATTAGGTCCGCTTGGTGCGGAGCTGAGTCCAGCGTGAGCGACGCAGAAGACGGGTGATTTCTGCATTTCCAACTGAGGTACCGGGTTCATCTCACAGGGAAGTGCTGGACAGTGGGTGCAGGACAGTGGGTGCAGCACACCGTGTGTGAGCTGAAGCAGGGCGAGGCATCGCCTCACCTGGGAATCGCAAGGGGTCAGGGAATTCCCTTTCCTAGTCAAAGAAAGTGGTGACAGACAGCACCTGGAAAATTGGATCACTCCCACCCTAATACTGCGCTTTTCCCACGGGCTTCACAAACGGCACACCAGAAGATTATATCCCGCACATGGCTCGGAGGGTCCTACACCCAGGGAGCCTCGCTCATTGCTAGCACAGCAGTCTGAGATCAAACTGCAAGGAGGCAGCGAGGCTGGGGGAGGGGGGCCCGCCATTGCTCAGGCTTGAGTAGGTAAACAAAGCGGAAGGGAAGCTCGAATTGGGTGTAGCCCACCACAGCTCAAGGAGGCCTGCCTGCCTCTGTAGGCTCCACCTCTGGGGGCAGGGCACAGACAAACAAAAGACAGCACTAACCTCTGCAGACTTAAATATCTCTGTCTGACAGCTTTGAAGAGAGCAGTGGTTCTCCCAGCACGCAGCTTGAGATCTGAGAACGGGCAGACTGCCTCCTCAAGTGGGTCCCTGACCCTCCGAGTAGCCTAACTGGGAGGCACCCCCCAGTAGGGGCGGACTGACACCTCACATGGCCGGGTACTCCTCTGAGACAAAACTTCCAGAGGAACGATCAGGCAGCAGCATTTGCGGTTCACCAATATCCGCTGTTCTGCAGCCACCGCTGCTGATACCCAGGCAAACAGCGTCTGGAGTGGACCTCCAGTAAATTCCAACAGACCTGCAGCTGAGGGTCCTGGCTGTTAGAAGGGAAACTAACAAACAGAAAGGACATCCACACCAAAAACCCATCTGTACGTCACCATCATCAAAGACCAAAGGTAGATAAAACCACAAAGATATGGAAAAAACAGAACAGAAAAACCGGAAACTCTAAAAATCACAGCGCCTCTCCTCCTCCAAAGGAACACAGCTCCTCACCAGCAGCAGAACAAAGCTGGACGGAGAATGACTTTGACAATTTGAGAGAGGAAGGCTTCAGAAGATCATTTTCTTATAAAACAAAACTTAGCAAAACTGCCACAAAAATAGAAATTATGAATATTACCTCTCAAAAATGAATCATGTTTTCCCATAAAGAAATCTTCTTGCTAAATCAGTGTATTAAATCAAACTTCAACCAATAAATTATATCGAACATTTAAAAATAACATGCATCAGAAACAAAGTATTTCAAAGAATAGGATAAAAAGGAAAATCCATTAACTAATTTTATAATACCAACACAGTCTTGATACCAAAACACAATGAGGGTTTTACAAGAAAGGAAAAATAAAGGTCTGTCCTTCCCAAGAACACAAACACAAAAATCCTACAAGCTGCATTTAAAAATCCAGAAATTTGGCCAGGGCGGTGGTTCATGCCTGTAATCCCAGCACTTTGGGAGGCCGAGGCGGGTGGATCATGAAGTCAAGAGATCGAGACCATCCTGGCCAACATGGTGAAACCCCGTCTCTACTAAAAATACAAAAAATTAGCCAGGGGTGGTAGTGGGCACCTGTAGTCCCAGCTACTTGGGAGGCCGAGGCAGGAGAATGGCACGAACCTGGGAGGCGGAGCTTGCAGTGAGCCCAGATCGGTCCACTGCACTCCAGCCTGGGCGACAGAGGGAGATTCCGTCTGAAAAAAAAAAAAATCCAGATATTCACAAAATAGATAAACCACCACGAACATAACTGTTAGACTGAAAGACTCAGTTCAAGATATTTATTGTCCATCATGTGACTGTATATAATATATTGTATACTTGAAAATTACTAAAGGTAGATTTTAAGTGATATCATTATGAAAAAAATGTTAAGTATATGAGGTATTGTGCATTTCAAATAGCCATTCCACAATGTACCCACTTATTAAAATATGTACACCATACATACATACTATTTTGTCAATTAAAAATTTTAAAGAACATAATGGGATCATAGAAGAATGCCACATTAGTAGTTTAATTAATGTAAGTCACCACATTGAAAGAATAATTACATCATCGTTTTCTCAAAAAATGTAAGAAATGAAAAAATAAATAAATAAACCTCTTGCAGCCCACAAAAAGAGGGACACCTCTGTAATCGGATAAAAGTTGATTTGGGGACGAGCATTATATTTAGTGATACAATGATGAAATATTTTCCTTTGACATAGGGATAAAATGAAAATGCCTGTTAGCACTGCAAGTAGTCAGTTTTATCCTGGAGATCTCCGAGCAATCCAAAAGAAAATAAATGAAACAAAAGTCTTAAGAGCTGGAAAGCAATAAATAAAATACTTGCTATTCAAGACAATATGACTATTTAGAAAAATCCAAAAGAATAGACAGATAAATCACTAGTATACATACATATTTATATTAGAAGATATTTAATATGATTTCAATTTTTTAAATGTATTGATATTTCCTTTGTGAGATGACATATCGTCTGTCTTGGAGAAAGTTCTTCCATGTGCTAAGAAAAAGAATGTGTATTCTGTGGTTGTTGGGTAGAATTTTCTGTAAATATCTGTTAGAGTCATTTGGTCTAAAATCCAATTTAGTCCAATGTTTCTTTGTTGATTTTCTCTTTCGATTATCTGTCTATTGCTATAACTAGGGTGTCGAAGTTCCCCATTATTATTATATTGCTGTCTATCTCTTTTCTTAGTTCTAGTAATATTTGTTTTACATATTTGAATGCTCTGGTGTTCCATGAATATATATGTAGGATTGTTATGTTTTCTCGTTGAATTGATACCTTGATAATTATATAATGGCCTTTTTTTTTTTTTACTGTTGTTGATTTAAAGTCTATTAAAATATAATTCATAAAATTAAAATACAGGTTTGTGAGGTGCTTACATTTACAATTATTAGTAAAAACAATTTTCTAAGCTAATCAGTAGTATTAGATTGGTTTCTGCCATTACTTTTAATGACAAAAAACAGTAATTACCTTTGTACCAACCTAATGTTAAATAAACGAGAGGTATTTAACAAATCAAGAACAAACTATTTTTAAAAAATTTTGTCATCCCTATATAAAATAAACAAAATACTAATTGGAAACTATTCTGATGTAAGTAAATTTGGCACAAGTAAAAAAGTTTACTTGTGACTAGTTACTATGTTTACCTGAAAGTAATAAAGCTTCATTAATTTTAATTATATTTTAGAAATCAGATTTTTCTATGAAATCAAACAAGCCTCTCACATTTACCAGAATTAAATTTTAATGTGTTTGGGTATTTCTACACATCATTAACATGGTGAACGGTACTAACTTTGGCAAAATTTAGACAAATTAATCTATGTATTTTTGATATAAAAGTCACATTAATATTTTTACACTTTGCCCCTGATTTATTCTCGTTCTCTCCTAGACCTTGAGTTATCTTTGTGTGAACATTATTTATATGTAGGAAATGTTTAACTTATCATTTAAAATGTCATCTTCAGATCATACATTATGTTACCTGTTCTTTTTCAACACCACAGCAGTTCATTACAGGAGATAGAAAACTGGACAGAAAAGCCAAGGAACGTGCTCTGCCATTAGGTATCTGAGCGATCTTGGGTGAATCACTTTACCACGTTGGGCCTCAGTGATGTCGTATGTAAAATAAGGAGAGGAAACTTTCACCTGTTAACATTTAAGGAACCTATACATCTATTTTAACTTAAACTTTGGATTTTTGACAGGGAAGATTTGCTAAAAGTCATTATGATTATTCTTTCCTTATTCTATTCCACCCCATCTTGAGTGATCCAACCCAACTCTCCTGCTCGCTTAGATTACTTGGATCTGAAGCCAACTAACTCAGTCTTTCCCCCAGGCTCAGTTCCTAAGGGATTCTCCCAGGAAGCAGAGCCAACAAATGGAGTGGGTAAGACAATATAGATAAACTAAACACTGTTGGAAAACTCCACTGATTTGAGTAGGGTTAAGGGGAGAAGAAGCAGGTCTGCAGTACCTAGAAACTGTATCAGATGTGCTGGTTTATATAAATCTCTTTGTACATGACTCAAATTCTCCAATTTACACCACTTCTCTGCCTCCCCTACAAATCTCTGCAAAAGGTGGTCCTTGACCTTACCATTCATTCAGGTCAAGAAACCTAGATGTCTCTGATGATTAACGATCATGAGAATGTTTTTCATATGTTTGTTGGCCGTGTGTAAGGATTTTTGGAGAAGTGTCTGTTCCTGTCTTTTGCCTATATTTTAATGGGGGTTATTTGTTTTTTTGCATGTTAATTTAAGTTCTGGATAGTAGACCTTCATTGGTTGCATGGTTTGTAAACATTTTCTTTCATTTATTCTATTGATAGTTTCTTTGTGGCTATTGCAAATGGGATTCTGTCAATAAAATACCATCTCACACCAGTCATAATGGCTATTATTAAAAAGTCAAAAAACAACAGATGGCGAGGCTGTGGAGAAAAGGGAATACTTACTTATACACTGTTGGTGGGAATACAAATTAGTTCAGCTACTGTGGAAAACAGTCAGGAGATTTTTTAAAGAACTTAGAACAGAGCTATCACTCAACCCGATAATCCCATTACTGGGTATATACTCAAAGGAAAATAAATCAGTATACTGAAAAGACACTTGTAATAATATTTTCATCCCCACACTATTCTCACTAGCAAAGACATGGAATCAACCTAAGTGCCCATCAGTGGTGGATTGGATAAAGCAAATGTGATATGTACACACCATGAAATACTACACAGCCATAAAAAAGAATTAAATCATGTACTTTGCGGCAACATGCATGAAGCTGGAGCTGGATGCCATAATCCTAATACAGGAATAGAAAACCAAATACCACATGTTCTGACTGATAAGTGGGAGCTAACCATTGAGCACACATAGACATAAACATGGGAATAATAGACACTGTGGACTACTAGAGCAGGGAGGAGGGAGCGTAGATTGAAAAACTACCTATTGGGTACCTTTCTCACTACCTGAGTGCAATATGCCCATGTAACAAACCTGTACTCGTACCCCTATATTTAAAATAAAAGGTGAAGTTTAAAAACAAAATAAAAATGTAGATTGCATTTGTCCTCACCTCTCAAGAAATACCATTTAAATGTGATATTTCCCCTATTATGTTTCCATGGGAGTTTGGGACCTAATGCCACTGTAACAAAATTAGAATGCACACAATTCACCCTCAATTTGGATAATGACTCCACTCAGTTTGACCTTTACTATGTTTTTCACTACTTTCATTATTGTGGCCAAGAGAATGCAAACCATTTCATAGTCTTGCTTGCTTTATTTCTTCTTTCTCTCTTCCTCCTCTCAAAGGTTAGCCTGATCTCTAAAATTTACTTTTTATGTAAAAAGTCACTCCTTTTATTTCTATAAGATAATATTTATACTATTTCTTTCTCCTATACAATAGGTTGCCCTTTTAAATCCTCCCTTATTTCTTCCCATTCAGGATTCCCATTTAATTTCCCACTCAGCACTCTCATTATTAAATTTTTATTTATCTGTATATATTTTTTAAAACTCTGTATTTTGCAGCCCAATGGTTCATCAGAAGTTCAGTGTAGCAATTATCTAATTTGTGTTAATTGACGTATATTTTATAGACACTATTAAAATTCATGCATTATGGTTTATGTATTGCAATTACATTTAACAAGTTCTGAGTGCCCATTCCATTTATAGTATTGACATGAAACCAGGACTTCTTCTAAACTCAATGTTGTAATTAACTTTAATAATTCCATCCCTTTTTAACATGAAATTGTCACTACTTGGTGATTGGCAGCCCTCTTTGTATGCTGGCCACTTTGTCCTTTTAAACACGAATTCATGTTTCTCTTAATGAATCCTGGCTTTCTTGCAATAATAAGATGCTCCAAGCTCATCTTTATTTGTTTCTCCCCCAAACGAGAAATTTTTTCTTTTAGTGGAATATAATGTTGAGTTCAAACACATGGGAACCTAGAAAGCACATTAGGTTGTTCTATTTAATGACCTGAGTAGCCAGGATAGTGCCAGAGATTAGTCACTTTATTGACAAAGAAAGAGTTCCCTTAAAAAGAAAAGAGGGACAGAGGATCAGCAGTTCGTATTTATTTTTCCAATTTAGTTGTATTTTTACTTATCTCCACACTTTACTATGAGAGCTTATTACTTCATTTTTTTCTCTTTTGAGCTATCATTGTACAGTTATCCAACTTTATTTCATGCTATATATTGTATATGTGATTAAATTATGCTGATGCCCTCTCCAGAAAAATTTTTATTCTTCTTTATATGCATTATTTTTGTTCACTTTGACCTGTGGCCAAATGATCCTGAAGTTGGCCCTAAACTGTACAGGTCTAGATGACCTAATGTGTCAACTTTTTCTAAGCCTAGAGAATAAAACCATCCAAACTAATTTCAGAGGAAAACCAAAATATTAAAGTCATGAAGCACTTAGATCAACAAATTAAATCCATGTACTTGGTGTAAAATAACAATAAATAATTGAGTTTCAAGATTTTTACATAAAATCTTTCAGTTTTCATTCCCATGAGCCAAAATATGTGCTTAAAACCCCATATTTGAGATCCACTATTTTAATCTACTTTCTCATTTCCCTTGCCTTTATTATTGCTCATTTAGGGCACAAGAATTCTAGTGAACTCTGATTTTTGCAGAAACCCTTAGGTATATACTCACGACCCCAAATGCCCTAAACCAAAGATATCTGAAAAAATTGAAATGAATATTGAGAATTACCAAAGAATTATGCCAAATATTACAATATGTAAATACTTAATCACCTAATCAGAAAGTTGACGTATTAGCCATATTATTGTCCATACAAAGCACATTCACAAATACTGTTCACCATGACTGTGCTCCACAAGATTCAGCATATAAAATGCAAATGCACAATTGATTATAGCACATTTCAGAATTCTATAGCAGCTCTCAATTCCACTGGCCCATATCCAGAGATTGTTTTAGTCCCATAAAGTAAATACTGAGCATTGAGAAAGCAGTATCTACAGGAAAACTTGCTGCTTACCCTGCTCTGGGTTCCTAGGTTTCCATCAATCAGAAATGAGAATGAATATTAGAACTGGTGAGAAAATGTAGAAAATTTACTACATTATGTGTTACTACTGACCAAAGTAAGTTGGAAATATAGCAGATATGCAGTATCCCAAAATTCTTGTACATGCACCAGTTCACGTAAATCCTTTAATATTTGACTCAAATTATTCCTAATGTCCTCACCAACTTGTTTGCCACACAAATGCCTTCCAAATGTATCTGGAGAATTTCCCACCTGAGGGAGAATTAGCTAGCACAAGTGTGTTCGGGCCTCTCATAAACTTTTATTTCAATTGCATATTAGTGTTCATATTAAAATTCCATACACTTAAGATATGACCCTATTTGGACTAATCACTGTTTTATAAACTAGGCCATTTGAGGGCCAAGAAAAATAAGAAAGTAGGAAAGGAAAAGGAAATACCTCTGTTTTAGTATATCCAAATTTCAGTTCCATAACTATTATGATGGGAGGAGCATTATAAGAAATCAAAACTGTAAACCCTAATTCAAAATTTCTTAAGCTCAAAACTTAAAAACATATACTTTGGATTCCCTGGGCAGGATGATTTTTTGTAATAATTAGTTAATATTGACTATGGTAATTCATAAAGTAACTCACATACTCCATAGTTTCCTGTGCAAGAATATCTTATACATTCTGCGTCACTTGGGATATTTCTTAGGCACACACACACACACACACACACTCACACACACACACAAAATTAGCGCCTCAGCAACTTTAAAAAATACACAGAGATATTACTAATTGCATGCTCAAATTAGTAATTTTATACAATAGCCTCAAGGAACAGTTATTTTGTTGATTTCAATGAGTTGTTAAATTTGTTTTTTTGTTTCTTTCAATTTGGTTTAAACCTGAACCTCACAGAAGTGATTTGAATTTCTCTTTTTCTACATTGTTTAAACTTTGGCTGAAAAAGTTTATAATTTTGCCAGCTGACTATAATTACATAGTCCCCATCCATCTCCATTATTGCCTTTGTTTAGAAGATGAATTCTATACCACTTCTACTGTTCCCCAAGCCACAGCTTCTTTAAAGTAATCAGTACTTGATATCACTATGTAGTTCATCTTCTTTTTCACTTGTTTAATAGCTTTATTGAGATATGATTCACATACCATAAACTACATCTTTTAAAAATGTACAATTCAGTGATCTTTAGTAATATGGTGGTCACTGAGTATATGCAGGGGATTGGTTCCAGGACCCTCATGTATACCAAAATCTGTGCATACTTAAGTCCCACAGTCAGCCCTGTGGAACCCACATATATGAAAAATCCACATTCCATAGATGTGGGTTTCACATCCTGAGAATACTGTCGTTTCCATCTGCGTTTAGTTGAAAAATCTCCACATATAAGTGGATCTGTGCAGTTGAAACCCATGTTGTTCAAGAGTCAATTGTACTTATAGAATTATGCAACCACTGCTGCTATTCTATTTCAGAACATTTTCATCACCCTAACAATGGGAAACTCCTGTTCCCATCAGCAGTCACTCACCATTTTCCCTCAAGCTCTCCCCACCCAGCCCTAGACAACCACCAGTCTATTTTCTGACTCTATGGATTTACCTATTCTGGGTATTTCATATAGATGAAATTAAACACTACATGGTTTTTTCATGTCTGGCTTTTAACCTAGTAAAATGTTTTCAAGATTCATCCATATTATAGCATGTATCAGTACTTAATTCTTTTTTATGACCGAATAATATTCCATTGTATGGATATAAAACATTTTGTTTATCCATTCATCAGTTCATGAGCATTCTTGTTGTTTCATTTTTTTGGCTATTATGAATAATGCTGCTGTGAACATCTATGAACCCCGTTTTTGTTGATATATGTTTTCAGTTCTTTTTGGAGTGGAATTGCTGGGTCATATGGTAACTCTGTGTTTAACATTGAAGAACTACCACACTTTTCCAAAGGGGCTGCATCCTTCTACATTCCCACCAACAATGTATGAGAGTTCTAATCCTTAGTTCATCTTTAATTATCATATTAAAACTGTTTATTTTTCACTAGTAAATGTTTTCATTAAAATCAAAGTATTCAGTTTTATTTTGTCTTGGGTTTTTATTTTTCCCAAGCCCTTTATATGTTTTGATTGCATGAAACTAGACCTCTAATTTTAATGCATAAAATTTAATTTATCTATCCTGACTTGGTGCTTCTCGCTCTTACAATTCATCCTCAGCCCCAGCAAGCTTTCAACCTGCCTATATCCATCTCATTACTATTGTTCTCTTAAAGTAATAAAGAACTATGAAGCTCATGATTCTAAGCAATGTCAGGCTTTTAGAACCTGCATAAATTATGAGACAGAAATGTTGAATGTTTCAGTTAGTGATGAATTTCAAATCACTGGGACTATGCACAGGGAGCCACGGTTTAAATTATATTCTGTCAATATGTCTTGTTTATGACTGCTTCTTTTCACATTTAATATGAGGACTCAGAATCTAGATCTCAGGAACAATTGTTTCTGTTGTTTGAAGCAGCTTGTTTCTTACTATTATAAAAATAATGCTACTTAGAGAAGTAACTGGTGCTTATTTGGTTTCCCCTGTTTCCAATTTAATACAGAAGGTGGAAATGCTCAAAGGCTAATGATATTCATTTTATAGTTGTGCACTCCTGTTCACTTTTAGCCCAACAGCCTGCGTGAGCAAAAATATCAGTGGCACAGTTTTAACCACAAAAATTGGATTACTGCTGTTCTTTGCTCATTCTGCTAGGCAGCAGAATCTGAACTGTTTTTCCGGTGCTTATTATCTATGGAATAGAGGCTAAACAGCACAGTATTTTTTACCCTTTTAGCCACAAATATTTTTTATTCTGAACAAATACTTTAGTTTTCCATCCAGATTTTCAGATTGTTCCCCTCACTTCTAGTGTTGCTGATCAACATCTGGGCCAACAGTGAAATTGTGCTTCATGCATACAAACTAAATCATATTCATTTGTCTACAAAGAATGTGGCTATGTTGATGCCATAGAAATCCTCCACTTATTAAGCAGGTCCCTTTGCACCTGTTCAGTGATCAGCTCAATTTAATCTAGGCACTTCACTAAATATTAATGAGGTTGAACAGGCAAATTTTTTCAAATCCTTGCCACCTCTAAAAAAGGAATTCTCAAAGAATATTATGAACAGTTAACACATTTAGAGTATCCTAATTGTGTATGTGCTTGGTGTCCACATTGTCTGGAAAACACAAGCATAATTACTATAACATCAGTTGCAGATAGATTCTTAACAAGAACAGAAAAACTAAAATGTGAATTCAACGAATAAAGGAAGAAAGCTCTTAAGAACATAAGGATTTTTATTGTTTTCCCCTCTCAATATGGGTACTTAACCCTGGCTGCAAATTACAATCACCTGAGGGAGCTTTTAAACATATCAAGGCTTAAGATGGTATTCAGTATGTATATTGCAAATACATTATGCTTCAATAAAGCATTAAATGAAGAAAAATATCCAAGGCCTGGGTCCCATCTCAAATCAATGGAGAAGTACACAGTTTACATATTTCAAATGTTTTTCCATCCTAGGACACAGCCTTATGAGCCTATCAGGTGATAATAACTGTGTACTGCTGTGACCTCAGGGTTACCCTGAAAGAGGAGGTTTACCTTCCCAAAAGGACATGGGGTTGTGCCTTCATCTGGTGTGGGACTTCCTCATTCTCTCGCTTAAACACATGGGTTTTGAGTCAGCCATTTTTATTACAATCTGAGCTCTACAACTCATTGGCCTTATGGCCTTGGGAGAGACATTTAATCTCTCTGAGCATTATTTTCTTCACCTTTCCATGGGAGGTATTTTATGACCCTCTCCATGTATTGAAGCTGAAATGAGATGCTAAGTATAAAACTTTAGTACAGGTCCTGACACTCAGTATTGTAGGTTTTCTTATTAATCATTGAAATCAAATGTTTTAGATTTAGTGAAAAATATAGGATTTCAAAGCAAGGACAGCAAGCTAAGGCTCATCAACTAAGAGTCACAAATGATTGTCTTAGACCTGTGTGTTAGACCATTTCAACTTTGAAAATAGCCTCTAGTCAAGTATGGATATGTTTTAATTGTCCAAAATGTGTACCTGTAGTCAAAGTTAGGTAGGAGGGAAGGACATGTGAAAGGAAGATTTCAGAATGTTTTTCATTTACATTTTGGAGGAAGAGAAAGAGTGCACTCGTTCCTGGAAATCCTCTCTCTTGTATTCCCCATTGGCCAGGCACATGTGTCTTTCTTTGATATTCTTAAAATATCAAGTTTGTTGGAGTTGGTATTTGGCTCATGGAGCAGATTGTATTCACATGTAGACAGTCACTTAGGTGATGTGATTCCAGGAGCCCCTAGAAGTCCATGAATCTCCACTATCTTCCTCTATTATCTGTACCATTGTGGGCTATTCTGTCATTGACGTTTATTCTTTGTGTTGAGTCTTCACCTGTTAATGCTCTGTCTTGGTCACACTCACACAAATTAATCAATAGAACATGATCTTATATTAACTACTAATTTCTGGAATGCTTTTGAATGCTGATTACAGTATACATCTATAATTTGTCAATTTAAAGAAACACACAGTGCTGATCCGCACTCCCAGAGTTCCCGATGCATTAGATCTGGGGCAGGGCCTAAGAATTTGCATTCCCAGGTGGTGCTGATGAGCCTGGTCAGGGAATGCACTTTGAGAACCACTGCTCTAGGCTATATCTGGACCTTACCATATACAAAAATAAAATCATTTAAGACACAATTATAGTTTTCACAAAGTACAAATACTAAAGCAGTAATTCTCTGAAACATATTAACTCACTCAATATGTATTTTGAACAGGTTGAGTTATCTGCTTTCCTATACACATAAAATGAAAGCTTCAAATCTGAAGCAAAGTTAATGCTCTGGTGGAAACATTCTTTTACAGTTGTCAGAGCACCAGTGAGGAAGGAGCAGATATATTAAAAAGTATAAATGGAACTTACAAAGCACAACAGGTGTCAGGGAACTAACTCTGCCAAAAAAAAAAAAAAAATCTGTGCCTCAGCCTCACTCACTATGCAGCCAGCTGGTTCCTAATTATCAGCAACCTGTGGATAGCTACATCAGGGTTACTCAGAAGTGACTCTCAGTAAGGTTTCGAGGTATGTGTGGCAAACAGGGTCCTCCTTTCTGCTAGAAACTTGCATATGCATTTCTACCTGCCTAAATGCTTAAAAAAAAAAAAAAACAAATTCCTCAAACAGAAGCTACTGGAACAATGTTAGTGATCCTAGTTTCCTAGTTTTTGTTTTTCTGTTGGTTTGTTTGTTTTGAGACAGAGTCTTGCTCCGTCACCGAGGCTGGAGAGTAATGATGCAATCTTGGCTCACTGCAACCTCCACCTCCCAGGTTCAAGCAATTCTCCTGCCTCAGCCTCCCAATTAGCTGAGATTACAGGCATGCACCACCACGCCTGGCTAATTTTTTATTGTTGTTTTTAATTTTTAGTAGAGACGGGGTTTCACCATGTTGGCCAGGCTGGTCTCAAACTCCTGACCTCAGGTGATCCACCCGCCTCAGGTTCCCAAAGTGCTGGAATTACAGGTGTGAGCCACCACGCCCAGTCTCCTAGTTTCTATTATAGATCTACCAAGTGCTGACTGCCTGGGTTTTAAAACTCATTTCTGCACATACACACTGCCCTCCCCAGCTCCCATTCACATATGAATTGTCTTTATTTTAATTTGCCTATCTAGCTAACCCCTAATTGAAGAGATGCTTATATTCAACATGACCATTTTCCCAGCCCTCGCTCCTTCTCTGAACCCTTAATCTGATGCAACCTTTAACCTGGTATGATGCCCATCTGCAGCTAATCTGTGCATGTAGGAATTAGACATATGGTCTACCTACGCCAATGACCACATGCACTTCCCCTAAATTTTAGTAGTAGCCAGATATAGATCAATAGATTGGGATATCAAATATTTTAGTAAGTTGCTAAAGTACATTTTCTAAAATACAGAAAAAAAACAGGAAAACATAGAAGCTAAATATATTAATTATTCTGTATCCCATCACTCAGAGGTAATTTCTATCATATCATATACATATATATGTCTGTGTGTGTGTGTGTGTGTGTGTGTGTGTATACATATATATATTTAAGAGACATGCTCTATGTTTCCCAGGCTGGCCTTGAACCCCTTGACTCAAGTGATCCTCCCATCTCAGCCTCCTGAGTACCTGGGACTACAGCTGTGCATCACCACCATCTCTTTATCTAAGTAAATGATTTGGTATTGTTTATACAACTCTTTAATCTGCATTTTTCTCTTGATTTACCTTGATATTATTGCCATTTTGATATATTAAATACTTCTCTAATCATTATTTTCATTGAGTGCATAATATCCCATCACTTAAATGTGCCTGATTATGTTAGATAGGGTACTCTTTTCTCCCTCCCTTTCCCTAAACATCCCCCTTCTCCAATCCACTCTATGAGGAAATGTCTTTTTTCATCCTCCAGGAAGAAGCATTACCACCATGGAGCTTCTAACTTGTACTGTATCTGATTTTCAGTGATAACATTTTGGAAGAAGAATGGATTACTTGAATGGAGGCTGCTTTAAAGCCTCAAATTGATTGGTCCAAATTACCAGTAGTGTCTAAAAATAAACCAACCCCAGTTAGAATGGCAATAACTAAAAAGTCAGGAAACAACAGATGCTGGAGAGGATGTGGAGAAATAGGAACACTTTTACTCTGTTGGTGGGAGTATAAATTAGTTCAACCATTGTGGAAGATAGTGTGGCGATTCCTCAAGGATCTAGAACCAGAAATACCATTTGACCCAGCGATCCCATTACTGGGTATATACCCAAAGGATTATAAATCATACTACTATAAAGACACATGTACATGTATGTTTATTGCAGCACTGTTCACGATAGCAAAGACTTGGAACCAACCCAAATGTCCATCAATGATAGACTGGATAAAGAAAATGTGGCACATATACACCATGAAATACTATGCAGCCATTAAAAGGATGAGTTCATGTCCTTTGCAGGGACATGGGTGAAGCTGGAAACCGTCATTCTCAGCAAACTAACACAAGAACAGAAAACCAAACACCGTGTGTTCTCACTCATAAGTGGGAGTTGAACAATGAGAACACATGGACATAGGGAGGGGAATGCCACATACTGGAGCCTGTTGGGGGTCAGGCAGCTAGGGGAGGGAGAGCATGAGGAGAAATACCTAATGCAGATAATGGGTTGATGGGTGCAGCAAACCACCATGGCACGTGTATACCTATGTAACAAACCTGCACATTCTGTACATGTATCCCAGAACTTAAAGTATAATCACAAAAATTAAAAAATAAAATAAACCAACCTACAACCCTCTCTCTCTTTTGTCTCTTAAATGACCTCCCCTCAAGCTTCTGACAGGTCCATCCCAGGGGTCTGCCATATTTGTTCCATCCTCTGAATTATTTACACTCAAGAACTTTGCAAGAGCTAAGTTAGGAGCTGAAGGTCAGAGGCCAGATGCATTGGCCTGTTCTCCATTCTAGCTTTAACTACAATAAAGATGAAAACGTGAACCCTTTTAGATTCTCTGTGATTATTTTTTGTTGACTCAAACCGAAGTGTGATAAGAGGATGTCTGAGTGTTTGTATTTACTTGGTTCCTGACTCTTGCATGTGCTTGTTACTCCAAGTATTTACATCTATAAAATTGCTTTAATAAAAATCATTTCACATAAATGTATATCTGATTACCTCTTTGTCATAGAGTATGTTTATACAAATGGTATTACTGAATCAAAAAGTGTGAGCATTATAAGGTCTTTGATATCTACTAACAATGTTTTTCTACAAAGTTTTCAATAACTGACCATCTCACCAGTAATATATAAAATTGCTATCTTATTTTATCCTCATCAGCATTGTGTATTACCACTGTTAAATGTGTCAATATTATAAAAGCAAATCATTTTAATATTTTCTTTTGATTATTAGCTAACTTAAACAATTTAACATATTTATTAATCATTTTTATTTCTTTGGTTACTACTCTACACATTTTGTAATTTTGACATTGGATGTTTAACAGTAAAGACTTTTAAATTATTTCAAGAAACCATTTTCAGATAAGATATATTTGGTGAAAATGGTGAGATTGGTTACCACACCATTAATTTTCTGTGTACAGTCTTCATGGCAGTTACATTGGGGTGACAGGGCAGCTATGTCACCAATGGGCATGTATCACTCCTACTGTGAGTCAGTATAAAGCACTGTGAATTCTCCTTGGCTTGTTCTCTCATTCCTATAGCAAGAAGTAAAGAACTCTTGAGATGGCTAAACTGCAATAAAGAAGCCTGAAGTTGCAATATAGAGGTCTAAATTATCACTATGGAAGCTGTCCTAGATTTCCTTCATTGAGGAAGAACCACAAAGAAGAGCCAACTGACTTTCAAAATACAGTGAAGTGAGTGAAAACAAAAATTTTGTGTTAACTCCCTGTCTATCACAATTAGTGCAACATAGCACAGCCTAACTAATAAAGGGGAAAAGCCAAAAATCAGTTATTCTAAACCGGGGGTGGATTTGGCACCTCAAGGGGATATTGACATTGTATGGAGACCTTTTTTGCTCATCAAAACTGGAAGTATACTAACTGCATCTGATTGGTAGAGACCAGGGATGCTGCTAAGCATCCTCCAATGTGTAGGACTGCCCCTCACAGCAAAAATTTATGTGGCTCGAAATGTTGACAATGTTTAGGTTGGGGCCTGCTTTAAATCTATCATATTTGCAGGAAATATTTTCCCAGTTTACCTTAGACTCTTAAACTTTCTTTATAGAAGGTTTTCTGAAGTACATAAACATTTTCCAATATAGTTTGTGTGTGTGTGTTAATTTGTTTCCATTGTAAGAACAACATATGGTCATAATAGACTATTTGGGAAATAGAGGACATCCTTGCTAGATGAGCCTGCATAATTGGGTGACAAAAGCTGATCTTTATGACCAAATTGGGGAAAATAAGGAAAATCTTTCTGCAGAACTTGAACTAAGAAATAGTTTCAAATAGATGGTATGAATTTCAGACTGATAAAAAGTCACCTAGGGACAACGCCATTCTTACCAAGAGAAATGGTGCTGTGTGGTAGGAAATGAGTAAACGACATCCTGGGAAACACCGTCAATACTTTCTAAGTTGGAAAAAACTGCAGGGGAAAGGGGAAGACTTTGTTAAAGTATTTTTTTTTTCTCTGAAGACAATTTCATTCAGAGGTTGCTTTAGCCAAGGAGTCTCATCAAATTTAAAGTCTCTGGCAGTGCTCTTACTAAGAGCCATGTCCTCATCAGTCATTTAGCATCATCCTGATGTAGAGAAACACTTTGCTGAATTAGATTCTCCCAACCTAGAAGGGCAAGTATTGGAGGTGAGTGCAAGCTACAGGACAGAAAGGAACCATTCCCCAGAGAGCCACTTTTACCTTGCATTTGGAAATAATACAGTAACTGATTAATAAAACACACATAGCAATTACAAGTTGAAAGCATACAGGATGTGTTCTAGATATGTAATGCTAAGTTACAAACCACCCCATTGTTTTTAGCTTAGAACATTTATTCAGCTCATGAATTTGCAATCTGGGCAGGGTTCAGTAGAGAGAGCCTGTCTCTGCTCCATACAGCATTAGCTGGGATTGCTCCAAGGCTAGGGGCTGGAATGAGCTGAAGGTTTGCTCACTCCTGTGTCTGGCAGTTGATGCTGGAAATACAGAAACTGTCAGGGACTGAAACAGGAGTGTCCTGGTATCTATCAGCCCTGAGTGACATCTGGGAGCTGTTTAGTTACAGCTTTCTGGTTTGTTTTCCCCATATTGCCATAATTTCTCCATACACATGTATAGTTTACTCCCATGCAGGTTTCTGAAGCTTTTTCCTCATGCAACTAACTCCCTCCTCTCTCATACTATGCCCTATAAGTCTTAGCCACCTAGACCTCCCTGTCTCTTCAAATCAGAGAAAGTTTCATGCTCTGCCTGTGATTCCTTTCAGTATAGGGCAGGATAGCATGTGCCTCCACACAACAGGCCAGGACAATCACAGGGCACCCATTTGTTTTCCTTTTCACAGAGACCACGGGCCTGAATTTCCTGTTGTGCAATGTCCAAAAATTATACATATATGTCAATGAAAAGAAGTCAAACTCTGTAAAAATTTGCAGAGATTTATTCTAAGCCAAATGTGAGGTCTGTGACCCATGACAGTCCCAGGAGGTCCTGAGAACATGTGCCCAAATCGGTTGGGTTACAGCTTGATTTTTCCACACTTTAGGAAGACAGCAGTTACAGGCAGAGACATAAATCAATATATACGTGTAAGGTGGACATTGATTCAGCCCAAAAAGGAGGGACATCTTGAAGGTGGGGGAGGGGGCTTCCACATCATAGGTGCGTTTAAATATTTCCTGATTGGCAATTGGTTGAAAGGGCTAAGCTCTACCTCAAGAGTAGAAGTCAGCAGAAAGAAATGATTGTAGATAAGGGGGGTTATGGAAGCCAAGGTCCTTGTTATGTAGATGAAGCCCCAGGTAGCAAGCTTCAGAGAGAATAGAAGGTAAATATCTCTTGTGAGATCATGAAAGGTGCCAGACTCTTACTTCAATCTCTCCTGGATCAGGAAAAGACCTGGAAAGGGAAGGGGATTCTTTACAGAATGTAGATCTTCCCCTCAAGAGACAATTTCCAGGGCCATTTCAAAATATGTCAAAGAAATGTATTTTGGTAAAATACTTCAATTTATTTCAGGGCTCGCTGTCTGTCCTATAATGCTACACTAGAGTCAGGTTGAAATTTGGTAACTTATTGCTACAAAGAGTCTGTTTTGTCAGTCTTTTTTTATTTTATTTTATTTTATTTTATTTTTTATTTTATTTTTTTGAGACAGAGTTTCACTCTTGTTGCCCAGGCTGGAATGCAATGGCGCAATCTCAGCTCACTGCAACCTCTACCTCCCACTTCAAGCGATTCTCCTGCCTCAGCCTTCCAAGTAGCTGGCACTACAGGTGCCCGCCACCATGCCAGATTAATTTTTGTATTTTTAGTAAAGATGGGGTTTCACCATGTTCGCCAGGCTGGTCTCGAACTCCTGACCTCAGGTGATCCACTTGCCTTGGCCTTCCAAAATGCTGGGATTACAGGCATGAGCCACCACGCCCGGCCAATATGTCAATTTATTTCAGGGCTCCCTGTCTGTCCTGTGATACTACACTAGAGTCAGGTTGGAATTTGGTATTTTATTGCTACAAAGAGTCTGTTTTGTCAGTCTTAAGATACCTGTTTTAATGTTAATGCTGGACAGTTGTGCCTGAATTCCAAAGGGAGAAGAGTATAATGAGGCATGGCTAACCCTGCCTTCCCATACTGGCCTGAATTTGTTTTTTCAGGTTTACCTTGGAATCCCCTTGGCCAATAGGAGAGGTCCATTCAGTTGGTTAGGGAGCTTAGAATTTTATTTTTGGTTTGCATATATATTGATATGATTTGGATCTGTGCCCCCACCCAAATCTCATGTCGAATTTTAATCCCCAGTGTTGGAGGTGGGGCCTGGTGGGAGGTGACTGGATCATGGGGGTGGATTTCCCCCTTGATGCTGTTCTCATGATAGTAAGTTCTCATGAGATCTGGTTGTTTAAAAGTGTGTGGCACTCTCTCTCTTTCTCCTGCTGCAGTCATATGCCTGCTTCCCCTTCACCTTCCACCATGATTGTAAGTTTCCTGAAGGCTCCCCAGAAGCAGAAGCTACTATGCCTCCCATATAGCCTGCAGAACTGTGAGACAAACTTCTTTTCTTTATAAATTACGCAGTCTCAGGTATTTCTTTATAGCAGTGCAAGAACAGACTAATATATATACACACACATATATATACACACATACACATATATACATATATACACATATACATATATACACATATACACATATATACATATACACACATATACATATATACACACATATATACATACACACATCTATATATACAAATATATATAAATATACATATATATATGGAAGAAAGGAAAGTCTAGTGCCTCTTCCTGTATCATGGCCTGAAGCATCAATTATGTATTGATCATAAATGTTTAAGCTGACTAACGGGTACATCAGGTCCACTCTACTATTATCTCTACTGTGGTATATGATTATTTCCCTGTAGCAAAAAAATATATATATAAAAGAGCTGTTAGATGAGATTTCTAACCAAGTTGCCATTCCCATTTTAGAAGAACAAAAAGACAATTTCAATATCTGGTGTTCAAATCTACAGAGAATAACTACCATAAATTTCCTGTCTGAAAATTGATGCTCCAAAAATAAGCAATCCAATAATTTGAACATAAACCTGTATTTAAACATAAAACTAGAAGTCATAGTGATAACAATTCGAAATATTTAAAAGAGTGATGAATAGAATTTTTAAAGGTCACATTAGCAAAAATTTGTTGAGGCTCTAATGTAAAGATTAAATAAGCTTTCAAATATAAATAATTCTTCAGACATCCAGGAAGAAAAATCAAGTCACCTATCAAGGGGGAAATGTAGACAGGCCTCAGAGTCTGCACATGAGTAGCTAATGTCAGAGGGCAATGGCACACTATGAGTTCTGAGGATCAAGCCTAGGATACCCAGACACATTGTTGTTTAAAAAGATCAGTAACAAGAAGATATTTTTAAACATTAAAGAAGTCAGCTTCTCAAGACACTTTTTGAAAAACTACTCCACATAAAAGATCAGGAAACCAAAAGATGAAACAAAATAAAATAATTGAGGAGTGGAATAACTGTGATAAAAAGGACTGATGGGAAACGTTGAAACTAAATATGCAACCAAGCTTAAAAGACCAGAGTAATTACTATACACACACATATACACACATATACAAACACACACATATGCACATGAATATATATACACATACACACTCATGCATACTTAAACATATTTTCATATATATGTATATATACATATCCATTAAGTGTCATATAGGACTGTGACTTAACTTGGATGCTAATACGTGTGTAAGATAAAAGTCATATTAATGCAAAAATTACTCTCAAAAATCCTTTAAACCTCTAAGAGAGTTCAACACACATGGTTTTGTGTCTGCAACCTTTTATATTAAATATTATAAAGACTAACACTGCCTTGAAAACTACTCCTTTGACAAAAGCAAGGAACTAAAGGAAATCTGTATGCAGATAACTGGGTATGCAAACAATTCTGCCTTTAAGCTACTTATCAAATACTTATTGTGAATAAGGGATTGGTAGAGAATTCAAAAACATTTCTGTTCTCCTGCAGGGTTGATTCCATTCTGTTTTAATATTATACATTTATTCACTATGCAGCTCTCCGGGAATTAAAAAAAAAAAATAAAATCCAGTGGTGAATGGAAAAGTGATAGAAAATTCCAAAGAGTTCTCCCTTGCCTACAGAATTTACTCTAATTTGTTTAAATATCAAGCATCTGTAAACATAATAAATGTTAATAAATGTACTTGTGATTGTGAAGATTAAAGGTTAACTTGTAAAATCAGCGTGTAAGTTAAAAGATTCTACTGTAAATCTTGGCAAAGTTAAAATATATGCACAATTTAAAAATGGAGCAAATTTTAAAAAATAAGTACTTCATCTTTTATAGAAGAGAGTAAACAAATACCATCTAAAATTGAAAGTTAGCTTTTTAAAACGGCACAATGAATGAAAATCCTTTCATTTATGTAACAACCTTTTCTCTCAGTTTCAAATGGATATTTTAGGAACTAATACATCTTGTATTGAAGAATACAGATAGGTTCAGTTTCACTCCATTTTCTTTATCATCAAAATAAATCCAATCAAATTTTAGTATTTTATTTAAATTAGAATGTATAATATAACCCAGTTTTTATACAATCATTTCTATCTCCCTACCCATTTTTCTAACTCTACGCTTGTATAAAAGATGTCTCCGAAAATACTAACACTGAAGATTTTTGGTGACAACTTGGGTGGATTCAATTTTTAAAAATTATTAGTTTCTATATTGCTATAACAACATAAAAACTAAAAAAAAAAAAAAAAAACTCTGAGCAAGTGACAGAAGTGCCACTGTCCTATCCCCTCCATTGCCCTCATTCACCATTTCTATACCAACGGCTACTTTTAGGTGTCAAAAAAGAAAAGCCTCTCTTCTCTTTCAACAACAACAAAAAGAATCTTTCCTCCACATAAACACCTTCTAATAGATACACATAGAGATCTAGTTCAGTATTAGCTATCAGTTTATAAGAATTTTACCCCACAGAACCCTATTACAGCTCTGTCTTCATAAATGTGCTTGATATTTTGACAAAATGCAATAATAAAATGACTAAAAACACACATCTTCCCACACCGGACTACACCAGTGATATAATTCAGAGTGATGGTTTGCTCAATTGCAGATTAATATAGTATATTCACGAATGAATAGCTAATTCTTCCTCAAAGTTACAGTTTTTATTTTGTTGCCTACAACTGATGCTTTTTAACAATGATGGCTTCTAACTTTTTAAGTTTCATTTTTCTTGGCTTTGTCATTTTGATGAGCATTAAAAGCACACTTTAACGATGTCTGTTATATGACGCATGTCTTAAGGAGAATAATTTCTTTTTATAATTAACTCCTCAGCCACTTACTGGTCTGTCAGGATTCTTCTGATTTGGTCTTCAAAACCTGGCTTTAACTTTGGAACATAAGATTAAGATTAACATAGTGAGAAACATTTAAAATAACTAAAGAGTAAAGCTCCATTGTTTTGAATTTGAGACTACCCTTAAAAAATACTTTTTTATCCTCCTCACCCCTTAAGTACAAATGAAACGCTTTGTTTTCCTATCTTTTACTGGAGATGGAGGTGTAGATTTCCTTGTCAGCACTTGCTGTGATTGGTAAACGCTGAGCAAGATAGTTGGCACAGAGAATTTCTGTGGCAAAAATTAAAATAAAGTCACCATATATCTTGTGGATTTAACCCTAACGTTGGCTTTGCTTTTCGACACTGCAATCAAACATAACCTAATATTTCTATATGGTATGTGTATGCATCGCTCACCACAAGATCAGTGTGCTGGGTCTTAAAGGGAAACAATTTATGAACATACAGCACACAAGTAGGACATATATGCACACAGAGTGTTGAAAATTTGGTGGTAAGAGTTGTATTAGACCACACCTAGGATGATAGGTACAGCTCCGTATTCCATGGTTTACCAGAATGTTGAACTATAGAAAGTCTAAAAAGGAAGGTGACCAAATTGACGGATATCTAGAAATTATGCTAGGAAAGGAAAGAGGAGGATGGAAAATGTCCACCTTGAGTAAGAAGAGCCTCAGGAAAACAAGGATAAGCTGGCATGTGGAATACTTTAAGGGAAAACCTGAACCAATAAGTGACTATTTTAGGAAGGTAGATTTCAAGTCAGTAGAGGAAACAACTATCAATGCTAATATTAGAATAAAGTGGTTTTGGGGGGTTTGTTTTGAGACGGAGTTTCGCTCTTGTCGCCCAGGCTGAAGTGCAATGACACAATCTGAGCTCACTGCAACCTCCACCTCCAGGGTTGAAGCGATTCCCCTGCCTCAGCCTCCCGAGTAGTTGGGGTTACAGGGAGCCACCACCACACCTGGCTAATATTTTTTGTATTTTTAGTAGAGACGGGGTTTCACCCTTTTGCCCAGGCTAGTCTCAAACTCCTGACCTCAGGTGATCCGCCCACCTTGGCCTCCCAAAGTGCTGGGATTACAGTCATGAGCCACCGTGCCGGGCCAAAATAAAGTTTTATATTAAAAAAATAAAATTCCCATCTTTGAATTGGTTTAAAAGGAAGTCACAATGACCTATCAAGCTCTCAGAAATGTAGCATGAATGATGACTAAAGTGAACAGAAATTCTTTCTACATGTCCCCCTAATTATGTTACTTTCTAAGAATTTTATCACTGTTAATAAGGAGAGAAAAATCCAGTTTTCAAAAGCATAATGAAAGCGTCGACTTTCAGAGAATTGTCCAACTATGAATAGGGAATATTGAAGCTGGAATCCAGATCTTCTAACTGTAAATATGTTCCACCTAAGCTTTTTACTAAATTGTACAGATAAATAATATTCATTAGTAATATAATATTAAAATATTTAAAATCATGGTCATGGGAATACAAAGAAGAGTTCTTAATCCTTAATCTACCTCCCTGTATCTTAATATTGCATCACTCAACTTTAACTAATATGGCTTTTGAAGATTTCACTAAATCTAGTCTTCCTGAGTGAAATACTTTCTGAATTTATCTCACAGGTAGAGGGCACTTGTATTTTAAAATGTCCACTAACAGACCATTTAGATTATATAAAGGCAGGCACAGTCCACTGGAATGTAAGCTTCATAAGTGCAGGCATTCATTCAAACATTCATTTGAGATGGAGCCTCACTCTGTCACCCAGGCTGGAGTACAGTGGCGTGATCTATGCTCGCTGCAACCTCCGCCTCTCGGGTTCAAGCGATTCTCCTGTCTCAACCTCCCGAGTGGCTGGGATTACAGGTGTGTACCACCACACCTGGCTAATTTTTGTATTTTTAGTAGGGACAGGGTTTCACCATGTTGGTCAGGCTGGTCTCAAACTCCTGACCTCAGGAGTATGTTTTTAATTGTCTCCCGGTATTCAGAGGAAAGGGATAATGGCTTTACCTTCAGAGAAGACAGGAGATAAGAGACAGCGCTTATGGCTGGAAGGAAGAGAGGGTATGATCTGGAGAAAGGACTGGATAGAGGATGGCAGCTTCAGGAAGCAAGATGACAAGAGAGGATAAGAAATCTAATTCAAAGCTCCTACACTTCTTTGAATGAATCTAAGACATAAAGTGATAACTGAACTATAAAGGCATTTTAAAACTAGAATTATAAAAGTGAATGGATTTCTAATGGTACCTGGTAACGTAAGTTTAGAATTTAAAATGTATTAGCAAAATTCAAAAAAAAATATGTTGTTTGCTTGAAAGGATTTTCTTGGAAATTTTTTTCCTTCTAAAAACAAAAATGGGATGGTTAGTCAGCAGATCTAGGGCATTTATAAAAATGTCCTTTCTCTTACCAATGATTTGTTTTCATTAGGTAAGTAGTTTGTTTTCTAAAGCCTTTTTCCCCCTTTTGCTCTTGGCCTTAATAAAATTGGTGGTTCTGGCAAAGTCATTAATTCCACAGTTGCAAAATTCCCTTAGAGAAACATGGTAACTTCAGTTTATTGAAAATACTAGGAGAAGGGTAGTTTATTAGGTATTTGGATGACTGGATGTTGAGAAAGATATCATTTATTATTTATCATTTAAAATATCCTTGGTACAAGAGCACTAAGTGTATGCATATAAAATATTGAACACCTGGATTTAAACAGAAATGGCAATGAGATGTGATGTCTTCATTATGCCAGACAACTAGATATGTGGAGACATATGGGAGAGTGAGTTTTTACATTTCATTGGCATGTTTACAGATCCACAGTAAGAGCCTAGAAGGAATCCATCCAATCCTAGAAGCTTAGTGTTTTTTTCTTCCATTTTAGATATTAGGAACAATCAGGAAAATCATCCCATACCACAACTGTATGAGATTCAGTCAGTAACGGACACAAGCATGTCTAAACAGCCAAATCTGAAATAGGATAGTAATACTGATGCCCAAATTGGATCTATCAATACCTATGCAACTTATCATAAATGTCCTCCAAAATATCAAATCTAAGAATTATATGAGTACAAATTTAAAGCTGGGAAGGATTTTGGAGATTATCTTGCCTGATCCATCAATTTTAGTGAAGATAAAATCAAAATGATGATAGTAACACACATTCCTGTCTTCGGGGGGTTATCGGTTTAATGAGAAGATAATCCCTCAACAGGAAATTACACTATAGTGTGATGGAGGGCAAATGGATACAAACACTGAGTATTATACAGTTACACAGAAATGATATTATCTCTTGCTTTGAGGGCTAGGTGAGGATCAAAAATAACCTCCCAGAACAGATAACTCTGAAGCTAAATCAATAAAGAAAGAGTAAGAGTTATGCAGGTCAAGTGGAGAAAAGGCATTTCAGGAATGGAAATAGAAATAGAACAGAAATAGAAATAGAAATCCCCTAAGGAAAGAAAAGCCATGTTGTATTGAGGGAGCTGCAAGCAGTCCATTTGAGTTGGTTGGCACACAGAAATGGCAGTAAGACAGAGGCTTCTGGGTGTCAGGATAAGAAATAAACTCTACAACTACACTTAGTATGTTTATGTATGTATACGTGTTTATGTATGTATATATACATATGGGTGGATGTGTGAATCAAAATTCCATGCCATAATACTTAGCCACTTAGAGGCAATGCACTCTATTTTCTATTCTTATTGTATTTTATTTAAAAGTATTGGTAAACACTCACTAACATAAAGAACGTGATCCCCTAAAGTGCCATGACCTGCTGTTTGAAAGACACTCGTGAAAGCTGAAGGACAGTAAGCAGGTCATGACAAACTATGGATATCAGACATTATGCATTGGAGAATGGAGAGTCATGGAAGGATTTTGAGCAGGGGAGTGAAGTGATGCCACTTGCATATAGAAAGATCATCTAAATCACTCCAAAAAGGACTGGAAAGGCTTTCATAAAGGAAGTCAGTTTTAGAAGTTTCTAGAGGTAATTTAAACAATTGATAGTGGTGCCAGAATTAAGATATATGTTTTGAGGATGATGAAATGCAATTAAGAAATTATAATTAATCGGACTTCATTATTATTTGGAAGAGAGGGTAAATCAGAGGGAAAGGTGGTGAGATTTTGAGGTCTGTAATAGGAAGTATGTGGATAGTAATACCATTCACTGAAGGAAAAATAGGAAGAACAGTTAAGGGCTAAGAATAATGATTCGGTTTGGGCATTCTGAGTTTTAGGTATCTGTTGGATATCTAAATAGAGATGTCAAGCTAAATGGTAAATACAGATGCTCCTCAACTTACGATAGGGTTGCATTCTGATCAACCCAATTGTAAGCTGAAAATATCTAAGTGGAAAATGCATTTAACACACAAACCTACTGAACATCATAGCCTAGCCTACCTTTGAGGTGCCCAGAACGCTTTCATTAGCCTATAGTTAAGCAAAATCATCTGGGAACACAGTACACTGTAGAATATCAGTTGTTTACCCTCGTGATCACACAGCTGAGTAGGAGCTGTGGTTCAGTACCACTGCTCAGCATCTTGAGAGAGTATAGCACACTTTCTACTCAATGTGTGTAGTTTCAACACCACCATAATACCAAAAAATCTTAAGTTGAGCTATTGTAAATTGAGGACTGTCTGATGTGATTCTAGACAGCAAATGACAGTTGTGGCTGGACAGATTTACAAACTAGTAGTGTACATGAAATAACTGAAGCCACCATTTAAAAGCCCATTTATGGATTGCGAGTATTTGCAATAATATTTTCTGACCCTCTAAATGCATAAAACAGTATTATAACATGTGTGAGGCACATTATTATCACGCCCATGTACAGATCAGGAAACAGGCCCAGAGACTTTAAATAATTTTTAAAGCTTAGTTTTGCCAGAATGTAAGATGGAAGCCCAATTCTGTTTATGCTGCACCTTTCGTTTATTTTCCCCAGTCTACTGGGCTGCTCCTCTTCATCACGCCGTCTGCTTTAGCTCAAGTCAGAATAAACACATCTCTTCTTGTCCAAATAATACCTAGTTTATCTGCATTTAGAAGTCATTAATTATTAGGTTATTTGTTTCACTCTGTTTTGTTTTTTGTGTGCAGCGTTTTGATTAATCCTACTTCATAATTCATAGAACATCATCATCATTCATTCCCGGAAGGCCAGTCTCTTGTTTTATGTATTTCTCTTTTATCCTCATTCAATATTTTTATGTCCTGCTATTGACTACCTTTCTAATACGTTAGATATTCATTCTGTTATTTATGTTGTTAAAGCAAACTAAATATGGCCTGAGAAGGACTCCATACTTCTCTATTTGAGTCCCTGTGGACGAACTGCAACCTAACTTAATAGGTAGACAAGATTGAGAACCTAACTTGGGAGTGTGCATCTGTAACAGTGGCCGGGCCTCAGCCAATCCCACCAGCCATACGTCAACCACTGATACACTGTCGAGTGTTCAAACTGTGTTCGAATAAGGCAAACGCTGAACTGTAACCAACCCAGTTGTTTCTGTACCTCACTTCCGATTTCAGTAGGTAACTTCCCTTTTTTGTCTATAAATCTTCTTCCACCACATGGCTGCACTGGAGTCTCTCTGAATCTGCTGTGATTCTGGGGGCTGCCCGATTCACAAATCGTTCATTGCTCAATTAAACTCCTTTAAATTTAATTTGGCTAAAGTTTTTAACAGATGGTGTCAGAAGCGGGGTCCAAAGTAGAACCCCAGGAATACTGAGTGAACAAACAAGGTACCTGCAGAACCCACTTGTGTCCATTGATCTCTCAGAGCAGCTGGGGATCATGGGTAAGTTCTCTCTCAGATTTCGGACCTCCACGGATTTGTGTTTTGAACTCTCCAAGTTTCTTTGAGCAATTTCTAATCCAAACTGGGTTTGGAAGTCATGACAGAAACTGCACTGGGTCCAGGAATGGATTTGATCTGGTAATTAACTGACTTGGATCCAGTTAGAGGACTCTTACATCTGACTGGGTCAGAAAGCAACTGGTAGTAAATGGTAATATTGCAGGGGTTGTAAAATTTGGCTTTTAAAAATTCGAGGGGATTTTTGTGTTCTACCCCTTTCATTTTTCTTACATACTTAGGTAAGAAAAATCATTGGCTAAGTTAATCAAGGTAATAAGCTCTATAACAGATCTACTGTAAAGGCTATAGTTACACATCAGACTAAGTTCTCTTGTAAAAGTTATGTTAAATAATAGAATTGACTAAACAGAAAAGTATCTGTACAACTACTGACACTTGTGGCCTATGGAAAAATACATCAATTGTAGATTATAAAAATTCAGTTATAGGGGATTAATGAAAAGACCACTTAGTTAAGTGAATAGACTCTTCATCTAACTCATTCTTTGATCTATTTGATTTTAGGTGGTTTGGTTTATGAGGACCCTGAGTAAAGAACATACTCCAAACACTTGGTATTATCCTCCTAATAGTCATAATAATAGTCTCCCTGGTACACTGTATTCTCTCAAAGGTTTTAAATGTTTACATTTAAACAAACATTTCCATTTAAATTTACATTTTCATTTACATTTTTTAAAAATCAAAAGTTTTAAAGGTGTTACACACAGCCATCTCTAGAATGTCAAATGGTCTCTCTTCAACTGGAATGACAAAAACTGAAAAAAAAAAAATATATACAACCATGAGGACACCATAACCTATGAATGACATACTGAGGCCAAAAACCCAAAATGATGGTAACTAAGAGTGACACTAAGGCCCTAAGTTTTAGTCACACTCTCACCTAAATGAAAACCTAGCCAAAAAGGGAGTACTTGTTTAGACAAACTTATGGAAGGCCATTTTTTTAGACTGAGCTCATACACTAGACCCCAACAAACCAAACTAAACCAAAATGGAGTCACTTATACTAAATGTGACATAATCAAACTAAGACTTTAAAGAAACACATAGATCCTAAAACAGGCCAAGTTTTGTTTTTCTCCTGTAAACAGGATGTTCCAACATAAGGAACTACCCTCTACTCAGTCCTTCTTCCTACCTTTACAAAACTGACTGTTCTACTGTTTCCCAGTGTGTTTGAAGACCAAATAAATACATATACAATGGTAATAGTGACATCGATGACTAAAGTTTTGGCCAATCTCCCAAAATTGAGAAAATGACCAAAAAGGGGGAATTGTTAAAACAAACCAAATATGGTCTAAGAAGGACTCCTATATTTGTATAGAACTATGGAAATACTTCTATATTTGAGTCCTTGTGGATGAACTACAACCTGACTTAATAGGTAGACAAGATTGAAAACCTAACTTGCGAGTGTGCACCTGTAACAGTGACTGGGTCTTGGCCTATTCCAACAGCCATACGTTAACCTCTCATACATTGTCAAGTGTTGAAGTGTGTTCAAATGAGACAAATGCTGAACTGTAACCAATCCAGTTGTTTCTGTACCTCACTTCTGATTTCTGTGCCTCACTTCCCTTTTTTTGTCTATAAATCTTCTTCCACCACGTGTCTGCACTAGAGCCTCCCTGAATCTACTATGATTCTGGGGCCTGCCCATTCATTGCTCAATTAAACTCCTTTAAATTTAATTCGACAGAAGTTTTTACTTTAACAATGTGTACTGTATTACAAGCATGCATTTTAATTTGGTTTCTCTTATTGTCTTAACTCAGAACTATTGTTTTTAACAGCTATTCATAACTATGTAGACACATCTAGTCTATTCTTTCCAACTACTCCATAGCAATGCATGGTATGTATCAACCACATTTTGTTTATCACTTCCCTCTGAGGTTGGCATCTAGTTGTCTCTAACTTCTTGTTACTAAAAACAACCCTGTGGCAAATTTCCATATAAATATTTTCTTAATAGACCTCTATGAGAATCATCTGAGCTACATACCCCAAATAGAAATACAAGCTCATAGGATATGCATGCACTGAATTTCATTAAGTGTTATCGGATTTGTTTTTCAGAATGGCTATTAACAGTGTGCTCTCCAAATCACGTTTGTATGTTAGTTTTATTGAAGAAGTTCTTCCCATTCCTAGGTCTCCAAAACACTGCTCTACTTTTCTTCTATTAATTTTATGGTTTTACCTGTCATATTTAGACCTTAACCCACATTAATTATATATATAATCAATTATATATATATTATATATGTATTTATATATTATACATAATTATATTATATATATTTATTATATATAATTATATATAATATATTATATATAATTATATATTATATAGACTATATGTAATTATATATAATATATATTATATTATATTATATATATTATATAGACTATATGTAATTATATACAATATATATTATTATATATATTACATGTGGTGACTATATATAGTTTTTAACAGTCTTATTGAGGTATGATATTGATATATGGAAAAATTGCATGTTTAATATATACAAGTTGGTGAGCTTGAACATATGCCTATACCTGTATATATAAGACATTATATATACCTGTATATATAAGACATTATATATACCTGTATATATAAGACATTATATATACCTGTATATATAAGACATTATATATACCTGTATATATAAGACATTATATATACCTGTATATATAAGACATTATATATACCTGTATATATAAGACATTATATATACCTGTATATATAAGACATTATATATACCTGTATATATAAGACATTATATATACCTGTATATATAAGACATTATATATACCTGTATATATAAGACATTATATATACCTGTATATATAAGACATTATATATACCTGTATATATAAGACATTATATATACCTGTATATATAAGACATTATATATACCTGTATATATAAGACATTATATATACCTGTATATATAAGACATTATATATACCTGTATATATAAGACATTATATATACCTGTATATATAAGACATTATATATACCTGTATATATAAGACATTATATATACAGGTATAGGCATATGTCTTATAATAAATAAATTTTAGTAATGTCATTCACTACCCAATCCATATTTTCTCCATTAATTTTCAGTGTCATTGTTATCATATATTAATTTTCTGTATCAACATACTCTATCTTCTCTAAAGCATGACTCTCCAGCCTTGGAAAGAATCATCTAATAGGTTTTTATTTAATTCAATCAGCTTATCTCAAGCTTTTATAAATGTACATTTTTCTTATTGCAACCCTTCTATGGAAGCGGTGAATCCCTTGATTTTAAGTAATGTTAAATGGGATTCCACCCAGTTGTGCCACACTTCTTTCAACATTTGAATTTGGCAAAAGCCTCTAAAACTGATAGATACAACACACCCCTGAGAAATAACATTGCAAAGGAGTGTGAGAGCTTACACACAGCTTTGGGTTACAATACCCCAATTGTTCCACTGATTCAAGAAATGATTTCAGGGCAGTTATTTTCTTCCTGTGTAAAATAAATATTATACCTGCCACCTGCATACTTCGAAGAAAGGTTCAGATTCACTGACAGGTATTTATGGGATAGTAATGTGAGACATTTACTGATATAAAATCTCCATATTTCCAATTTATAAATTAAGATATTCTGAACAATTAGTAAACATGTCTGATGACTCTTCTTTCCTTCTAAACCAAATCTGAATAAACACATAACTTATTTTTTGTACATTTTGTTACTCAATGTTATCTTTATAATAAAGGTCTCCCTATCTCTCCAAAATAGTTTTAAAAATTCTAATTTAGGCCGGGTGTGGTGGCTCATTCCTGTAATCCCAGCACTTTGGGAGGCCAAGGCGAGTGGATCACGAGGTCAGGAGTTCAAGACCAGCCTGGCCAAGATGGTGAAACCCATCTCTACTAAAAATAAAAGACTGGGTGTGGCGGCTCACATCTGTAATCCCAGCACTTTAGGAGGCCAAGGGGGACAGATCACAAGGTCAGGAGATTGAGACCATCCTGGCAAACATGGTGAAACTCCGTCTCTTCTAAAATATACAAAAAATTAGCGGGGCATGGTGGCGGGCGCCTGTAGTCCCAGCTACTCGGGAGGCTGAGGCAGGAGAATGGCCAGAACCCAGGAGGTGGAGGTTTCAGTAAGCTGAGATTGTGCCACTGCACTCCAGCCTGGGCGACAGAGTGAGACTCCGTCTCAAAATGAATGAATGAATGAATGAATGAATGAAAATTAGCCCAGCGTGGTGGCAGGTGCCTGTAATCCCAGCTACTCGGGAGGCTGAGGCAGGAGAATCGCTTGAACTTGGTAGACAGAGGTTGCAGTGAGCCGATATTGCGCCACTTGCACTCCAGCCTAGGTGGCAGAGTGAGACTCTGTCTCAAAAAAAGAAAAAAAAAAATTCTAATTTAACTAACAAGTTGTCCCTAAGATATGAACAACCTTCAAAAACAAAGTCTTAAATATCATGCTATTAACAGATTCACTGTCCTAAAACTCTCTTCTGGACAAACAGGAAACATTGAATCTTCCTTTTCTCCTCCTCTCACACCACCAGCAATCCCATTAGTTGCTAGTTCTCCTTAGCATCTCTGTTTGTCAAAACTAGTATAATGGCTGTTAATTCACAAACACATGCAGAAGCCTATGCAAATTTATTCCAGATGAGGGCGGCCAGTAGCTACTTCTAATACTTCTGTTCTCCGTTATCATGCTGCCCACCTCAGCTCTAAGTAACAATTTGAACTTTACATTTGCCAAATGATGCTAGAAACATCTGTTGACTGATTCTCCCTAATATAGCTCTGGGTGTCTAACCTTCATCACCCCTATTCCAAAAGGTCAGACCATTTTAGCCTCTACTAATTGCCACGGTATATCTCTCCCTGTAAGCATCCTTAAAACAAATTATCCCTTCCTCTGCTCTTTATCATCATTCTTTGAATAATTTTCATCCAATGTTTTTATCTTTTAAAGTGATTGACAGTATTCATTTGAAGAATAATCTCACCTCTTCTTTTGGATATTTCTTAATACTTCAGTTTCAGGAAAGTAAATGTGAAAGAACACGAGCTGATGAATTTCTCACTTCTTGTACCTTTTTACAAACATTTATGCATTATTTTTCTTAGAGAAACTATTATATGGTAATTAATTCAAAACCATTCTCATTTTCTCTGTTTCACATCCTTATTATAACAGTCTTGAGTTAATATCTCCCCAATCCAACCTTCAAATCTATCAAAATATTTGTAAGTTATTATTAATAGCATAAGAGTTATCTTCCTCTGAGTGATTTTTTTCCTTGTCACAATTCCTTTGGAAGCATTATTTGAAGAGTTTTTCATTTCCATCCTTTTCATGGTGCATGTGTTTTGGTTTTCTTAAGCACTGCTATGTATGAAAGTTACAGCACATCAAAATGCTGAAACAGAGTAAACACACACACAAAAAATCGGCATAGGAAAAGCGAAAAATCACATCTGCTTTTCAGCATTGTGAACAAATTCATTCATCTTCAGAAGACATGGTTTTGAGCAGATAAGAATTAAAGGTTTTGGGTTGCATTTGTTATAAGTAAAGAAAGGGCACTGACTACTGTAATTAATGTCAACATTCAAAAGAAAAAAACCCAGCAAGTTATTTGAAAGAGTGATTCAGCATTTTAGTTATTTCTCCAGTAAGAAAAAAAAATTAAGAAATTTAACTCATAGGAAAAGAAAATGAGCCAGATGATTATAAAGGAAATATTTAGAAGGGAGGAGCATAACAATTCTGATGAGAAAACCTGTAAGAAAAGAAGAGAGAAGAAATGATGTGAGAGGAGAAGAATGGAGATGGCAGAGAATAACAGAGATAGGTAAGAGGAGAACAAAAAGAAGAGAGATAGTGAAAAGAGAAACAATAATGCAGGGTTAAAAGAATATTCTTGGAACCATTGTACAAATCATACAGTCCTGCTCACGAGAGAAATTTACTGCACAAGTCCTTCAAGAATAAAGTCTTAAACAGTCTCAGTCACATTTTGAACATGCATCACTGTGTGTCAGTGCGTGTGTGTGCATGTGTGTGTGCAAGAAAGAGAGAGAAACCAAGACAGAGACAGATCACAAAATCTATTACAATTCCACTTGTCATTATTTTAATCAGAGTGTATATCTAAATGCTTACGAGATTTACTTATTAAAACAATTACTAGCATTATAACCTTGACCAAGTTATGTAACCCCTCTGAATTTCAATGTCCTCATCTATGAAATGGAGATTATAACATCTATCCTGAAGTTTTTGTGAGGATTAAAATAGGTAACATATGGAAATAACTTCTAATAGGGCCTGACATATAGTGAGTACTTAAAAGTATTACCTAAAATTAGTAGCAGAGTTAATAGTAGAAAGAATAGCATTAAAAAAGCTGTGGATGAACTGGTACACAGAATTAGTTAACATTCTTTCCAGAGAATCAAAAGAATGATGTGTACATGAAGAAAACCAAGACCAGGAATTAGAGGATAAGGATTTAAGTTTGCATTACTCAGTATATGAGTGTGTGACCTTTTAATTTAATTTCCCTGATCCTGGCTTTCCTCATATCTGACAGGAATGCATTGGTTTATTGGTTTAATGCATCTGATTTATATCAAAGTTTTTACACACACTAATCTTCAATGGTGGCTTTTATCTATGATTTACATTGTCATGGGATCTAGTGTTTAGAAGATCTGTCACTAAAGAGGGTGCTTGATGCTAAATATAGCCCTTGGCCATGTGGGTTCACATTAGGTAATGGTGCTGATCCAGAGCACAGGATGAGCCACTGTAAACCACTCTTCCTGTGGCCACTTCATGTTATTTCTCTTTTTTTTTTTCTTTCCCAAGTTTTATTATAATACTAATCACCACGGGAACACGGGGAGGAGAAAGGATGCAATATAGCAAACATTGCAATCACATTACAAAAGTTCTAGAATCTCGTTAGGTCATTGGATCTTTGTCTTCGTTCTGAATCTAGAGTGTCTGGCTCTCCCTGAAATGTTACCTGAAAATGAAAGCCTTAAATATTTTTCTCTTTGTTTTTATGCCTGAGGAGGGACCTCTCTAAAAACAATTTCCCTAACCACCACCTGACATGAAGCTCGATCCCCAGGACTCACTTCCTCCCAGATGCTCTCCTTCCCCTCCTCTTGTTCTGAGGATGAAACTGTGGCAGTTACTCAGTTGCCCCCTAGACAAGGCAGTTTCCAAGGGGGGACACACCCAAAACTAGGGAACACTAGCAGAGATGGATCACTTGCATACTTCCTCCCAGCTCACCTGGAATCCAAATGAGTAAGAAGTTCACCTGGCTTCAAGAAAACGGTATCTTCAAACAAATGTCTCTTGAGGCCCTGCTCTGGGCTGAGCATTTCAGTTACCCAGAAGATGAAGGGAGGAGCTTCTTTGCATTATAGTCTAAAATGTGGCTCACATTCACATGGTGTGACTAAATAACAATGACAGTATTTGCTAAATGCTTCCTATGTGCCAAACACCATTCTAAACTCTGTGCATATGTTAAATCAACGAGTCTATGAAGCATAATCTACTCTTCTTCTTCTTCTTCCTAGTTTATAGATGAGGAAATAAAGGCAATGAGAAGTTAATGAAGTGATTCACCCAAGGTCACAGGGTTCATAAGCAAGAGAGCTGGGATCTGAATGCAGGCTTTCTGGCTCCAATACCCACCTGCATGGCCACTCTACTATCTGCCCCTCACTACAACTAGTGAGACTGGTCTTTGAGGCTTATGGGTTCTGGGCCAGTCTAGGTTCTAGCCCCCACCCTGCGACTCTGTCACTTGCTATCTGTGTAAACATGGGAAACACACTTAAATTCTTGAGGCTTCAGTTTCCTCATCTGTAAAATAGAAGGAATAGAATCCACCTCAGATAATTACGACAAATACTAAATAAAATGGTGCTTAGAAAACAGTCAGTTAAAGAGATGCCTATAAAGGATCTGGCAAACACTAAGCACTTAATAAATATTAACTACTCTTTTATTTGATATTTTTTAACTGTACTGAATTCATTTGTTGTTGGAGGAAACCTGAATTTTTACCCTAGGATCTGCCAGTAAGTCACTATATGATTGAGGATTTATCTCTCATTTAGATCATAGCATAGCCTCTTACCTATATTTCTCACATGCCAAACCCAATGAACTACTTTCTCCTTGGACAGCTAGAGTAATCTTTTAAAAATAAATATATCACTTTACTTCCCTGCTTAAAGCTTTCCAGTGGTTTCCCACTGAACAAAGAATGAAACCCAAAACGCTTGGCCTGATTTACAGAGCTATACCTTACACAACCATTGCCCATACCTGACACAGCCACTTGTCTCTCTCCTCCCCATTCCTCACTATGATCCAGGCAAACCGGCTTTCTGATTTGAATTTAGCAACTTATTCCTACCTTGTGATATTTGCCAGAGAAGCAGCCAGAAAATCCTTCACCTTGAACTCTCCAAGCCTGGCTCCTTCTTGTCATTCAGAGCTCAACGCAGATATCATTCCTTGTCGAGGCGTGTTCCCTTATTCTTGTGTCCATCTCTTGCTTTATCTTCTCCACAGTATTCACCACTATCTGAAACTATGCTACTCATTTATTTATTGACTGGTTTTCTCTTCTGTGTCATTCTACCAGAATGCAAACTACATAAGAGCAAAGAGTGTGGTTAGGAGAACCTTTTTAGTTGTGATATTGCAGTCCATGAGTTCAGTGCCTGGCATCTAGGAGAGCTTCAATACATAGATGTTGAATAAATGAAGGAATTTATTAGCTCAAGACTCATTTATGAAACACAGTAACTTGGATACAGTAATATTGAAATTTCTTTCTGGCTCTAAATTCCAAGAATCTTAAGGCATTTTGGGGTCCTAAGCCAACAGAGAGATGAGAGAAAGGTCTGGATTGTGGAATCCTAGGACATGCTATTGATAATATTTACCAGATATGAGAACAAAGCTGTAGTCATCTTCCATGTTACTGAAAAAAGATACACTTTGTCCAAATGTCCCCAAAATTTATCTCACTGTAATATTTCACAAGTCTCTCTTAGGTTTAACTTTCTCACTTCTTTTTTTTTATTATTATTATACTTTAAGTTTTAGGATAAATGTGCACAACATGCAGGTTTGTTACATATGTATACATGTGCCATGTTGGTGTGCTGCACCCATTAACTCGTCATTTAGCATTAGGTATATCTCCTAATGCTATCCCTCCCCACTCCCCGCACCCCACAACAGTCCCCGGTGTGTGATGTTCCCCTTCCTGTGTCCATGTGTTCTCATTGTTCAATTCCCACCTATGAGTGAGAACATGCGGTGTTCGGTTTTTTGTCCTTGTGATAGTTTGCTGAGAATGATGGTTTCCAGCTTCATCCATGTCCCTACAAAGGACATGAACTCATCATTTTTATGGCTGCATAGTATTCCATGGTGTATATGTTATTTCTTACTGCAATCACTGAACCAAAGCCTTTTGAAGAGGGCCACACCTGCACAAGGTATGAAGAGAACTCAGATGGGTGAAGGCCTTTTAGAAACCACCACCTCACACTCCTCACCCTGTTATCTTTGCGTATCACTCTACCTTAGGTTACATCCATTATAAGAATCTGAACAATTTTTCATAAAAGCTAATAATTGAATATTTTGCTAAGTAACTTAGATGTCAGGCTTGATTTGAAGCTCAACTGTCTCACAGTTTTCAGAGACTCCCTGTCTTAAGTTGCCCCGTTGAATATGTGAACTCCCTTTTTCCATCCATTCACCATTCTCTCCGAGGCTATGAAGTATGTGTATGAAGTATGAGGTATGTGCCATATCCTAGGAGTTTCCAATGTGGTGTTATAAATGGCCTGTTAAGGAGCAGAAAAACCTAAATTAATTTTTCGGGTTAGCTGTGAGTAGACAGCTATGAATAGATTGGTTATATTAAAAAGGCCATTTGTAGGGTTTAAAAAAGTATCATAAATGTCTAGATTGAAAATTATACCATTGATGCAATTTTTAGTGACAATAATTTTTAGTGAGAACAGCTTATTGATAAAATCCAGCAGTGCCAAACCTATGGAGAGAAAATTTAAATGCAACTTTGAAAAAAAATAAGAGAACAATCTATCAATCTATAATCCTGGAGTAGCATTAGAGATTTGATTACTATGATCTTATATGCCAGCCAATATCAAATTATATGAAATTTCAATATGTAATTGTAAAGGTAATGGTAATCTGATATGTATATCACTATATATATATACAACCTTAATTTACCTAGGCTATCTATATGTATGTATATATATATTCCCATTTAGCTTGAGAAACTAAAGAATATGTAGAGCCATAATGAAAAACATATTTTATAGCCCCCATTTCCCGAAGTTATTTTCAAATAAGTAATACTAAGTTTTTTATTAACTTACGAAACTGTAAATACTACTACCCTAAATTATATTCCAATGAACTTTGCAAGTATATTTTATTTGTTTTCCTGATAAATATTGTATATTGCAATTCAGCATGAATTATCACTTAATTTTTTACTTTGCACTTCATTATTTTATTCCTTTTCTCCATCATTATGAATTTATGAAGATTTATTATTTCATTCAATGATCATATATTGATTCCTCAGGAGTTACACACATTTCTGTGAATCTTTAAACACCAGACATCTCGGCCTTCTCCATGTTCTTTGCTTGACTGAGTTTGCAATTGGCTTCACCATTTCTTAAACTTCAAAAGCTTAATAAAGTAGAAGAGTGTTTTGTGAACACTCACTGTATCCCTTCAAGATAATCAATATTTGGAAGTGTATTCAACAGTCAGTAAATAACTCTTCAGACAATAATTATAGAGCACAATGGCAGCTTCTCATTCATCAATGTAAAAAATGTCTAGGGGAGGTAAAAGAATGTCTAGGGTAGGGAAAAATTCACCTGAAATTCTGCTCCCGAAACAGTCTCTTTCTCTGACACATACCCATTAGTTGGGCTTGGTTGTGAAGAGTTGGCTTGCTTTGTAACAAAACGTTGATGTCATTACAAAAAAGTGGTGCATTCTGTCAGCTGTTTCCCAGTATAATTACTTCAGCGATGACAAATGGTTGCTCAGACTATTAACACAGCAGTTTATCTTTTGGTGGGGGCAATTCTGACACATTAAAAGAGCAACAGAGCTATTTTTCCCAAAGAGTAGTAATGGAATTTGGGGAAAATATTTATTTAGCAAGCCTATTTATATATCTAATATAGCTCAAAAATATAAACCAAAATGTTTTAAATGAAAAATAGAATAAATGAGAAAGTGTGTTTGGCTCAAGGAATGCTGAACAAATGCACATGTCTACTGCCAAGCAATTCTATGGCCTAACAGCATCATTTTTTGTTCCGAAGGATCACAACTTTCCATGTATTAGTGTTAACAGCAAAAATATTAGCTTTCTTTTCTTTCTAATGCAACTCTTAGGAAGTATATTATGGTTTATATTCTCTTTTCTTTTGAGGATTTGAATTATGAAAAAATAAAATCTTCTTCATCAAAATTGGATGTCACCTTGTAGATTACAGGGAAAATACAGAAAATAGAATAAAAATCATACAATGAACTTTACGAAAAATTACTAAAGGACCTCTCTTAGCTCACTGTCACAGAACCACTTCTTTGTCAACTGAGCTTAACTAAAACTAGGATCTAAATTGTATTTAAGTTCAAGCAAAGTTCTTTGAAGAAACACCGATCAGATGCTTACAATATGCCATGTATTACCCTAAGTACTACTCAGACACAGAGACACAGACACATAATATCTCAATTAATCCTTAGAACAATACCATGCACTAGACATTTTAATTACCAGCCATTTTAATATTGTTTTACCTTTAAATTTTATAATAGACATTTAAATGGAAGCTCAGTGTTGTCGAATAACGTCCTCAAGGACACACAGCTTGAAAGCAAAGAAAATCGAATTAAAATGCAGGTTAACTCCAAAGCATTTGTTCTTTCTGCCTCCATTAACTCCATTATGTTGCCTCCATTAACTCCTCTATTAGTTGTAGTCTAATGGGTTCCCCTAAAATTGATTAGCGTGCATTTCCATTTTAATTCTTGCAATATAATTTATTGTTCTTCCTTCCTCACTTCCCCATCCCTAAATTTGTGGTTTACACTGTCCTTTACCATCATGGAGTAACGAAATGACTCAAAAAAATACTTACGGAGCAACTACTCTGCGCTCAGCACTCTGCTGGGAGACTAAAATAGAGTAAGTTCTGCTCCTGGGATCCATGGAACCCCAGTATGGGAAAGGGTGAAAGCAGAAACAAACACACAATAATAATCATATACTAATTAATCTCTAAATAATATACTAATTAACTTCCATGTGTCAAACACTATGGTAAGTACTTTAAATGTAAAACTACTTCTAATTCTAACAACATTCTTATAGGACAGAAATTACCAATATTCCTAACTTATCAATGATGGTAACCAACCATAGTTTAGGAAGTTAAATAACTTTCCCAAAGAAAACAGTTTGTAAGGGACATAACTCACCTTTAAAGTCATGCTCTTAAGGGAACCCCAAATTAAGCTTGTTATCTTCTTTTCCCAGTTAGGAGAACCACTCCCCATATACACACCAAAAAAATGTATTTCTTCCAACTTGAATATATAAAAACCTTTTTGGAGATAGACTTGATATATTCAAATGTCTAGTTTTAATACTTGATTTATTAATATGGTAATGCACAGGTATAAGGAAAATCACATATTTTATAAAGAATTAAGAAATACAGCATTTCTTTTCCTATCACATTTCGGATAACATTTTTTCTTGCTATACTTTCATATAGTATCATGATGTCACTGGAGCCAGAGTTCAGGCATCTAATGCAGCTTCCTGAGCATTCCAATCTTTTACCAAGATTACCTGAGCCATAGCACCTTTTCATTCTATCTGTAATATTGTCACTGCTAATTATATCACAACCCACCAGCACCAATTCTCATAACTGTAGGACCGTTATTTACTGTGTACTCTTTTTTTTTTTTTTTTTTTTTTTTTTTTTTGAGACAGCATCTAGTTCTGTCACCCAGGCTGGAGTGCAGTGGCACAATCTCAGCTCACTGCAACCTCTGCATCCTGGATTCAAGTGATGCTCCTGCCTCAGCCTCCTGAGTATCTGGGATAACAGGCCCCCACCACTACATCTGGCTAATTTTTGTGTTTTTAGTAGAGACGGGGTTTCACCATGTTGGCCAGGCTGGTCTCGAACTCTTGACCTCAGGTGATCCACCTGCCTTAGCCTCCCAAAGTGGTGGGATTACAGGCATGAGCCACCAGCCTGTACTCATTCTTTAATTATTTGTTGATGTATAACAAAGTATTTCTGATTTTTAGTGTCCCTGAAAAGGCTTGTTTACAATTTCCAATATCTGCAGTTATAAAATTATAAGCCCAGGCAGTCCAAAGGAAGAGATTTGAAAAGGACAAAATAATAGAAATGGTCTCAGGATATAGTTTGCACACAGAAAAATTCATGGCCTTAATCACTGAAAAAAATAGGACTAAAAGAATTAATAAAAATTAATTAATCATCCAAGCAGGAAGGTGAGAAAAAGAACAAAAAGTAAACCAAAAAAGTAGAAAGGAAATAATAAAAAAGCAAAATTTAATAAGGTTGAAAACAGAAAGGTAGTGGAATAAATAAGGTTTTCTTTTTAAACAAAAATTGCAAAAGAGGACAATCACTAGGTAACCAAATCAAGAAATGAAAGCATAACATACACACAATAACAAATGACACGATTGAAATAACCACTAAAAGACTACATTTTTAAAATTGGGATGGGCATCTTCCACTTGTCTCTCCCTGTTTTCTTTTCCCTGCCCTGTGCCCTAGGAGAGCTGCCTCACAAAAGTTTCAAGCCTCCTTATCCTACGGTTTCCATTTGGGTTTGGCCAAATGAAAGATTAGCGAATGTTAGTAAGGAAATCAGATTGAAGCAATTATCCCTACTACCCAAAAGGTTCTCCTACTGGGCTATTTTGGATTGGCTGCATTCCTCTCCGAAAACCACAGCTCCTGCCAGTTGGTCCTCACTATAAAACCACCCTCTCTGTGTTCTAGTAATTATTCCTTCTCTTTGCCCCTTCCCTGGGTTGGTGATGCCGCCCCTAGGTTAAAAGCGCAGGATTCCATACTATTTCTCTTTGATTTCCTTAAGCCTTGTCCGCATTTTATGCATTGTCTTTTTATTTAACTGTTCTCAAAATGCCCAGGTTAAATATACGTTTCCTGCCATGATTTCTGACCAACAGAAGAATCATAATATAGTCATTGCAAATATATCTGAAAAAAATAAGTGAAATTGATAGTTTTATTTATTTTTTAAGTTTATTTTAGGCCAGGCGCAGTGGCTCACGCCTGTAATCCCAACACTTTGGGAGGCCGAGGCGGGCTGATCACCTGAGGTCAGGAGTTTGAGACCAGCCTGGCCAATGCAGTGAAACCCCGTCTGTACTAAAAATACAAAAATTAGCCGGGCATGGTGACAGGTGCCTGTAATCCCAGCTACTCGGGAGGCTGAGGCAGGAGAATCACTTGAACCCGGGAGGCGGAGATTGCAGTGAGCCGAGATTCTGCCACTGCATTTTAGCCTGGGCTACAGAGCAACCGAGATCGCGCCATTGCACTCCAGCCTGGGTGACAAGAGCAAAACTCCGTCTCAAAAAAAAAAAATTATTTTAGGTTCAGGTTCAAACCTACATGTGCAGGTTTGTTATATAGGTAAACTCGTGTCATGGGTTTTTTTTGTATAGATTATTTAGTCACCTGGGTACTAAGCTTAGTACTCAATAGTTCTTTTTTTTCATCCTTTCCCTCTTCCCACTCTCCACCCTCAAGTAGGCCCCAGTGTCTGTTGTTCCCCTTTGTGTTCATGTGTTCTTATGATTTAGCTCCCACTTATAAGTGAGAACATATGGTATTTGATTTTCTGTTCCTCTGTTAGTTTGCTAAGGATAATGGCCTCCTGCTCCATCCATGTTCCTGCAAAGGAACTATAAAGGAGCTATAAAGGTAATTACAATACATGAATTGTGGTTGGATCCTGATTCGAAATAAGTCAGCTATAAAATAGAGGGAGGCAATTAAGGAAATTTGAATATGAACTAGATATTCACTGAATATTAGGATATTATGTTTAATTCTTCTGAGTAATGATATGTTATTATGTAAGGTAATGGCCTAATTTTTAGGAGGTACATGCTTAAGTATTTAGGGTTATACTGCTGTTGCGTTTATAACTTAATTTCAAATGATTCAGAAAAATAGGAAGATGGATGGAAGGATGAAAGGATTGTTGGATAGATGCTAGACAGACAGATGACTGATACATGAAAAGAAATTTGGCAAAATATAAAGTTCAAAGTTGTTGAGTGTAGCTGGTGGCTAAATATGTGCCCATCATATCTTTAATTCAAATTTTATATATATTAGAAAGATTTTATTATTACAAACTAAGAAGACACTAACAAAAACACGTTGTTCTACTTACATTTGAGATCTTACTCACTAAACCATTTTATATAATAATAATAGAAGTTTATATTTAAAGAACATCCAAGTTGGGCACTCTTCTCATTTCAAAACAATCAGTCCTATGATTACCTATCACTTCTCACCTCCTTCTAGAATTACTCCCTGAAGTATCTCTTTCTCCATCATCTTCTATCATATCGTTACTCCAAAAACCAATCTTCTCTTTACTTAATCTTCCCTATCTTAAAACACGTTTCCTTGATGCTGAATATATACACCAGATATTTTCAGTTCATTAAATGTCAAACTTTCCAAAAATACTGCTTAACACCTCAGCATCAATATTCTATATGTGCCTTCAATCTGCAACACTTAACAATTTGACTTTCGCTAATCCGTCTATAAAACTTCACAATTAAAATCCATTCAAGTCACAGCACAGTCATACGACTGACATTTTACATTTTCAAATCTAAACTTTCAAACATTGACCTGGACAAGTCTGGGGAAATCCTTATTTGGATAAGCATTACTAGAGTATGGTAGAGGGAGAAGAGGTGGAGCAAGATGACCAAATAGAACGCTCCAGTAATTGTCCACCCTATAGGAACACCAAATTGAACAACTATCCACACAAGAAAGCACCTTCATAAGAATAAAAAATCAGGTGAGTGATCACAGTACTTAGTTTTTTGTTTGTTTTGTTTTTTTGAGACAGAGTCTTGCACTATTGCCCAGGCTGGAGTGCAGTGGCACGATCTTGGCTCACTGCAACCTCTGCTTCCCAGGTCCATGCAATTCTCATGCCTCAGCCTCCCTAGTAGCTGGGATTACAGGTGAGTGCCACCACACCCAGCTCATTTTTGGATTTTTAGTACAGACGGGGTTTCACCATGTTGGCCAGGCTGGTCTCGAACTCCTGACCTCAAGTGATCCGCCCACATTGGCCTCTCAAAGTGCTGGGATTTACAGGCATGAGCTACCATGCCTGGCCCACAGTACTTAGTTTTAACATCATATCAAGGAAAAAGGCACTGAAGAGGGTAGAAAAGACAGTCTTGAATTGCCAGTGCCACCACTCTCCCATCTCCTGGCACTGGCCACATGGTGTGGAGAATCTGTGGGCTTGGGGGAGAGACAGCATAGTGATTATGGGAATTTCCATTGGAACATAGTGCTGCCCTGTAATAATGGAAAGCAACATGAGGCAGAACTCAGCTGGTGATCATGGAGGGAACATTTAGAATGACCCTAGTCAGAGGCAAATTTCCATCCCAGCTCTTGGAATCTGAGCTCTGGCAAACTCCACCACTGTGGGCTTAAGTGCTCTGGGATCCTAAATAAAATTGAAAGGCAGTCTAGGCCACAAGTACTGGAATTCCTGGGCAGGTCCCAATGCTGAGCTCAGAGCCCATGCACACTGGTTGCATGCGACCTAATGAGATAGCAGCTGAGGTAGCCAACAGAGTGCTTGTATCACCCTTCCCTCAACCCCAGGCAGCATCGCGTCCAAGTCTGGGTGATACTCCTTCCTTCCACTAGAGAAGAGAAGGGAGAGTAAAGAGAACTTTGTCTTGCGACTTGCGATATCAGCTCAGCCTCAGCAGAATAGAGCACCAGGCAGAGCCCTGAGGCCTCCATTCCAGGCCCTAGCTCCCAAACAACATTTCTAGACACACCCTGGGCCAGAAGAGAACCTGCTTTCTTGAAGGAAAGGACTGAGTCCTGGCAGGATTCATCAACTGCTGACTAAAGAGCCCTTGAACTTTGAATAATCAGCAGTGTTAGCCTGGCAATACTTGTCACAGGCCTTGGGTAACGTTCAGTGCTGTGCCAGCTTCAGTTGTAACCCAGCACATTCACAGCCGTTGTGACTATCAGAAGAGACTCCTGCTTGAGAGAAGCAGATGGAAGAGAAAAGGGGACTTTGTCTTGCAGCATGGGGACCAGATTGGCCACAGTGGGGAAGAGCACCAAGCAGCCTCCTGGGGTTCATTATTCCAAGCCTTGACCCATGGATGGCATTTATAAGTCTGTACTTAGCCAGAGGGGAGCCTCCTGCCCTGAAGGCCTGGCAGCATTCACACAAGCTGACTAATCAGCCCTTGGGCCTTGAGTAAACATTGGCAATAGTCAGGCAGTACTTAACATGGGCCTGGGATGGTGGTAGCTATGAGGAGAGAAAGGAAATGGAAGAGTGGGAAAGACTTTGTGTAGGGGCTGAGGTGTAAGCTCAGCCATAGAACAGAACACCAAGCAGATTCCTAAGGTTCTGGACTCCAGGTCCTGGCTCCGAGATGGCATGTATGAACCTGCTCTGGGCTGGGGCGGAGTTCATCACCTGTATTAGTCCATTCTCATGCTGCTAGAAAGAACTGCCAGAGACTAGATAAATTATAAATGAAAGAGGTTTAATTGACTCACAGTTTCACATGGCTGGGAAGGCCTCAGGAAACTTACAATCATGGTGGAAGGCACCTCTTCACAGGGCAGGACGGGAGAGAATGAGTGCCCAGTGAAGGGAGAAGCCCCTTATAAAACCACCAAATCTCATGAAAATTACCTCACTATGAGAACAGGATGGGGGAAACTGCCCCCATGATTCAGTTGTCTCCACCTGGACCCTCCCATGACACGTGGGTATTATGGGACCTACAATTCTAGATGAGATTTGGGTGGGGACACAGGCCAACCTTATCATCACCCTGAAAGGAAGGACATAAACCTGGCTGGATTAGCCACCTGCTGACTGGAGAGCCGTTTGGCCTTCAGTGAACATTAGTGACAGCCAGGCAGTGGTCACTGTGGGGCTTGGGTGTAATCCAGTGCTCTGCTGGCTTTAGTTGTGACCAAGCACAGTGCCAGTAGTGGTGACCACAGAGGTGCTTGTATCACCCCTCTCCCAGCCCAAGAGGCTGAGCACACAGAGAGAGAGAGACACCATTTGTATAGGGGAAAGTAAGAGAAGAGATCAAGAGGGTCTGCCTGATAATCCTGGGAATGCTCCTGAATCTTACCCAAGATCAGCAAGGTAGTATCTCTATGACTCTTCAAGAATTACAGCATTACTGGGTTTGGGGTGCCCCTTAATTCAGATACAGGTGAAGTAACTAAAGATTTAGATCACAACACTGAATTCTCCTTGAATACTTGGAAAGCCTCCCCAAGAAGGATGGGTCCAAACAAGCCCAGATGGCAAATACTATAATAAATACCTAATGATTCAATGCCTAGGCAATAACTAATATTCACAACCATCAAGACCATTCAAGAAAACATGACCTCACTGAACAAACTAAATAAGACACCAGGGGCAAATGCTGGAGAGACACAGATATGTGACCTTTCAAACAGACAATTCAAAGTAGCTGTTTTGAGGAAACTCAAAGAAATTCAAGATAAACACAGAGAAGGAATTCAGAATTATATCAGATAAATTTAACCAAGAGTTTGAAATAATGAAAAAGAGTCAAACAGAAATTCTAGAGTAGAAAAATGCAATAGACATACTAAAGAAGGCATCAGAGTATTTTAATAGAACAATTAATAAAGCAGAAGAAAGCATTAGTGAGCTTGAAGACAGGCTATTTGAAAATATACAGTCAGAGGAGATAAAAGAAAAAAGAATGAAGCAAATCTACAAGATGCAGAAAATAGTGTTAAAAGGGCAAATCTAAGAATTACTGGCCTTAAAGAGGAGATCGAGAGAGAGACGGGGTAGAAAGCTTATTCAAAGGGATAATATCCAAGAACTTTCCAAACCTAGAGAAAGATCAATATTCAAGTACAAGAGGATTATACATAACCAAGCAGATTTAACCCACAGAAGACTATCTCAAGGCATTTAATAATCAAACTCCCAAAGGTCAAGGATAAAGAACACATCCTAAAAGCTGCAAAAGAAAAGAAACAAATCACATACAAAGAAGCTCCAATACACCTGGCAGCAGACTTCTCATTGGACACCTTACTGATCAGGAAAAATGTTAAACGGTTGAGGGGGATAGTGGGAATGGTTAATGGGTACAAAGTCATAGATACATAGAATGAATAAGATCCAGTATTTGATAGAACAACAGGGTGAGTTAAGTCAACAATAATTTGCTGTACATTTTAAAATGAAGAGTATAATTGGAACATTCATAACACAAAGAAATGATAAATGCTTGAGGTGATGGATGCCCCACTTACCCTGTTGTCATTACACACTGTTTGCCTGTATCAAAATATCTTGTGTACCCCATATACTTGCCTATCATATACCTAAGAAAATTAAAAATTAAAATAAAGAATATTTTTAAAATATGGTAGATTACCTAGTATAGAGGTGCTAAAAATTTTGTTTAGTGGACCAATAAATAAATACATAAAAGACTTATTTTGCCCTGTCTTCTCTGAGCTCATACAAATGCCTATTTGCATCTCTACTTAAAGCTTTCAAAAGTGTTTCAGATCCAAAATTCTCAAATCTTTTAGTCCTTATTCCCACCTTGGTATTCTACCTTAGTGAATGATGTGTCTCCAATCCATTCTCCACATTACAGCCATGATCAATAATTGATAGAAAATGGTATATAATAAAGTATATTGGTATCTAACACCTCTGAGAGTTAATGTTTTAGGAAGGGGAAAGAACAAATGAGAGGAGAATCTGTCATGCTGGACAGCTTAACATGGCCATTTCCTTTTTCTTCCAAATGGCTATTCAACTCCAATGGCTCTCTATATCCCTATTGTTCTAGCATTTACCACAAGTCTTGCCCCACTCCTTGCAAGAGCTCTTGAATCCAGCTTTCAATTTTCTTTAAATTTCCACAAGCAGGAAAGACAAGGAAAACTACTAAGGAATTCCTTGTAAGTTCAGGTTTCTGAGACTATTCTAACAGAATCAGAATGGCAAAACTAGGGTTTAGGGTAGAAATAGATGCCAGCTGTCACCAGAATTTATCATTAAGTAGCTAAGCAGCCAAATAAAAATTCAAAATAAATTTTGGGTAACCCTTTTATCTTCAAAAATAAATAATGAACAATCAGATTTGTGTGTTGTTTTAGAATAGCTGTGTGTTAGAGTATTTGGCTGTTAATACTTAAAGTCTATAGTAATAGCACCAAAGAGATGAACACAAATTTTTAACAAAATAAGTTTGAAAACTAGAAATGTTTGAAATAGCTGCAAGACCTTCAAAATGATCAGCCAGCCCAGTGTGGATATATATCCAAAAGAACTCAAAACAGGATCTCAGAGAAATACTTGCATACCCATATTTATAGCAGGATTATTTACAATAGCCAAGAGGTGGAAGTAACTCGAATGTCCATCTATAGATGAATGGATTTTTTAAAATGTGGTATATATGTAAAATAAGAGTATTGATCAACCTTAAAAAAAATAAGAAAATCCTGTCACATGCTATAAAATGAATGAACCTTGAAGGACACTACGCTAAGTGAAGTAAGCCAGTCACAAAAAGACAAATCCTGTGTGATTCCATCTATAGGAAGTATCTAACTTAGTTAAACTCATCAAAACAGAAAGTAGAATGGGGGTTAACAGGAACTGGGGAGGGAGAGGAGAGGAGAGTTGGTGGTCAATGGGTATACGGTCTCAGTTTTGCAAGATGAAAAAGTTCAAGAGATCTGTTGCATAATAATGTGCATACACTTAACTTACTAAACTGTAACTTACAAATGATTATTGTGATAGTAAATTTTATGCTGTATGTTTTTTACCACAATACTAAAAAAAAAAAAAGAACAATCAGACATGGATTTGGTTTACCACAGTTACTACAGTGATTAAAAATAACAACTTTATAATCAATCAAAATTCTATTTGAACCCTAGCTCTACTACATTCTAGTACTGTGATGTTTAAAGGTCGCAGCAAAGATGTGTGCCTGTTATACTACCTATAAAATAGAGACATATAAGAGCCTAGACTCGGGAGACAGATTACCTAGATTTGAGAGCCCACTCTGCCACTAACTTTTTATAACTTTGTGAAAATTACTTAACTTCTTTAAGCCTCAATTTTCTAATCTGTAAAATGTAGATAACAACATATTTTCTTTGTGAGGATAAAATGAAATTATGTATTAATAGCACTTTACAGGCAGGCACATAATATTCCTTAAACAAATGAAAACAAACATTTATTAAATATCCAATATGTGTCAGGCACTATTCCAGTTGCTGGGGATATAGCAGCGACTTACAATACCTCCTAGAGTTTGTCATGAAATTAATATAGTTTAAAAGAAAATATATTACTTCCCTGAAGCACTCAATGTCACCTATTTGTATTTGAGCCTCTTATTTTAGGCAGATAACTATTTTTTCCCTTGATTTCGTGTCGCTAATTAACTTTTAGTTACTATTTCCCAGCATTCTGCTTCTGTATTGCCTCGAATGGAAGGAAAACAAGGGAAGAATATTACAGTACTAGTTGATAAGATGTGGTCCATTGGTAAGACATTCAGCATCTAAATAGCTGAATACCGAAAGTTTAAATGTTAACATGAAGTTCCATGTATAAAAGAGTGTTCAATCTCTGAAACTTATTGCACACTTAACAATATTAAGGTAGTTTTCCAAAAAAACTCTTTAAAAGGCAAATAATTCAATAATAAGAGCTCAAGTTTCTATTAATGGCAATGTACATAGTTCATGCTTCAGGTGGGCACCACTGGTGACATCATTAATCAAAGTAAAATCCATTAAGACATCCTCTATACAGCCTCTGTATGCCTAATATCAGACACGACTGCCATCCCCTTGAAAAAATAACCATTCAATTCAGGCACCAAGTCCTGATTCTGGCAACAGATTATCACAGAGGGTTGTTACTCCTGCCTCAACATACTTCAGTATGAGTTGTAATTATTTCTTCTCTAAATCTAAATTCAATATAAGGAGAAAAAATAATGCAGTAGGTATTTGTAAATGTCATTTTTAAAATATATTTTGCCAATATGGATTATTGGTGTATTATTATGAAATGCTAAAATATCCTACTGAGGCTTTCTGGGTTGGTTTGTTGTTTTTTTTTTTTTTTTTTTCCCCTGCAGAAGCAGCAGCAGCAGCGCCATCTTCTGGAATAAATAGAATGAGAACTATGGTGAATTCATTATCTACATGCATACAGCAAAATAAAAAGCCAGCAAATAATTTTAGTTGTCAGTTACCACGTAAGAAATTATGGGAAGGGTAGTGGGGGAGGTCTGGGGAAAGTGAGGATGGTTAATGGGTACCAAAAATAGAAAGAATGAATAAGATACAGCATTTGATAGCATAACAGGGTGACTAGAGTCAATAATAATTTAATTGTACATTTTAAAATAACTACAAGAGTATATTTGGATTATTTGTAACACAAAGGATACAATCTTGAGGTGATGGATATCCCATTTACCCTGATGCAATTATTCATTGTATGCCTGTTTCAAAGTATCTCATGTACTCCATAAATATATACACCTACTATGTACCCACAAAAATTAAAAGTAAAAAAAAAAATCAAAAAAGAAATTAACACAACAAACTTCTGACACTAGACAGCAACTGCATAAGAGCAGCAAACCTCTCTCCCACCATCAAGATTGTGTGGGTAGCTCATGCCATCATGAAATTTTTTAACATATACAATATGCCTGGAAATGACACACAATTAGCCAAAAAGTATGTTTCATGAATTAATTGAAAAAAGTGAATCATGAGATCTTTTGCTATGGGAAAGTGGGATAGATAAAAATATAAATAAAATATTCTTCTTGTCTATCAGTGAAGACACATATAACATCAAAAGGAATAAAGAAGTTCACAAAAGAAAATTACTGCAGCAAACCACACAGAGTCAATAAATGGTGGACCAGGATTCCATCTGGGATAGGTCAACCTAGGGCACTAGTTAAAAGAGGCACTGAAACTATCCCTGGGAAATTAAGGTTATGAAAAAGGAAATTATCAGCCGGGCACGGTGGCTCATGCCTGTAATCCCGGCACTTTGGGAGGCTGAGGGGACTGGATGACCTGAGGTCAGGAATTTGAGACCAGCCTGGCCAACACAGTGCAACTCCGTCTCTACTAAAAATACAAAAGTTAGCTGGGCGGGGTGGTACACGCCTGTAATCCCAGCTACTCGGGAGGCTGAGGCAGGAGAACTGCTTGAACCCAGGAGGCGGACGTTGCAGTGAGCCAAGATTGTGCCACTACACTCCAGCCTGGGTGACAGAGCGAGACTCCGTCTCAATAAAACAAACAAAAAAAAAAAATAGAAAAAGAAAATTTCCAACAGAGTTCTTGCTAACATGGCTAAACAGAATACTTAGAATTGTGGGATGGAAGCGGAGCCTCCTGCAGTGGCGAAGAGGCTAGGAAGCACCTGCAAAGGGCACATTCAGCATGGTAGGCAGAAGAAAGAATTCTTTTTTTTTTTTTTTAAAGACAGAGTCTTGCTCTGTTGCCCAGGCCAGAGTGCAGAGTGGCATGATCTTGGCTCACTGTAATCTCCGCCTCCCAGGTTCAAGCTATTCTCCTGTCTCAGCCTCCTGAGTAGCTGGAATTATAGGCACCTGCCACTATGCCGGGCTGATTTTTCTATTTTTAGTAGAGACCGGGTTTCACCATGTTGGTCAGGCTGGTCTCGAATTCTTGACCTCAGGTGATCCACCTGCCTCAGCCTCCCAAAGTGCTGGGATTACAGGCGTGAGCCACAGCACCAGGCCGTGGTAGGCAGAATTCTAAGATATCCATCCAATATTCCCTGTCCCTCATATTTACTCATCTTCTCCAGTTATTCAAACACTAACCTAAAAAATTATGTGAAGAAACTTTGCAGTGAATTGACTTTAAGATACAGAATGTCAGCTGGGTGTGGTGGCTCATCCCTGTAATCCCAGCACTTTGAAAGACTGAGACGGGAGGGTCCCTGGAGTCCAGGAGTTCAAGACTGCAGTGAGCTATGATCATGCCACAGTGCTCTACCCCGAGCAGCAGAATGAGACTCTGTTTCTTAAAACAACAACAACAACAACAAAAATACGAAGTGCACCAAGGTAGAGCTGATTTAATCAGTAGTCCTTTAAGAGCATCATGTTTTTCCCTGGCTGGTTGCAAAAGGGGAAGGGGCCACATGGAAAGGAATGTGGGTGGCCTCTAGAGGTGAGAAGCAGCCCCTGCTGACAGCTAGCAAGGGAATGAGGACCTCAGTCCTACAACTGCAAGGAAATTAATTCTGTCAACAAAAAAAAAAAATGCACTTGGACGCAAATTTTCCCCAGAGTCTCCAAATAGAAATTCCACCTGCGTGACAACTTGATTTCAGCTCTTGATACGTGATATTCTGAGCTGAGAACCTGGCTATGCTATACTATACTTTTAACCCATAGGATTGTGAGCTAATAAATAAGTGGTTGTTTTAAACCACTACATTTGTGGCAATCTGTTACGCAGCAATAGAAAATTCAGAGGTAGAAAAAAAAACAGGCTTAAAACTGCTTTCTAAAGTAAAGTTCTTCCTGTAACCATCCTGCTTTCGTATTTGCTCAGGAGGTTGTACAATCTACCTTGTCCTCTCACAATGCTTAGTCTCATCTTTAAATAAATATTTTGGGACACAATAAAAGATTAATGCTGTGTCCAGCAACAAATTATCAGTTTTCTCAGTGGACCTACATCATTATCTCACACTCAGGTGACTTCATGTTTGCCAGTAACAAGGGGTTAGAATCGAAATATTGAATTAATAGTGCATGGACACGAACCAATCACTCAGATGCCCAATCTATCAGAAAGACTGCCAGCTGGTTATTATACTGCCATTGGCCAAATGTTGCCCCTGCCAACAAGCCATGTTCCTAAAGACAAACAGGTGAGAACAAAGGTTTGAAAGTGGTAGAACATCTTCTTGGGAGGCAGGGAATAAGACAGTTTTACAAAGCTTATTTTCTCTATGCATCATTCCTTCTTGGCTTCTTGAAGGTGTAGTTCTCACTCCCAGTGACTTCATCATTAGGATTGCCAGATTTAAGTCAAAAAAAAAAAAATAACATGACACTGAATTAGATTTAGATTTAGATTTCAGATAAATAATGATTTCTTTTTGTATAACATGTACCAAATTTTTCATGAACCCAATGTAGACGAGTTTACCCCCAGGCAATCCAATCACCAAATACTGCATGAGACATAATTATACTGTCAAAAGTTATTGTTTATCTGAAATTCACATTTAACCAAGCATCCTGTATCTTACTGGGCAACTGTCATTTTTGTCTTCTCTTCCTACACAAGTCATTTTTACTTAAAATTGATCTAAGTTTCAGGTCTTTGTCTCTTCCAAAATATGTTACATTAATAACCCAAATGTTTACCGTTGCTGTATTTGGGCACGGTAACTTTTCAGTTCATCTTCATTAAGAGTTGGAGTATATTTCCCCAACCCACTGACTTTGGGTTCAGTCACGTTGCTTGCTTTGACCCATAGAACAAGGTGGACATGACATTATGCCATTCCCAAGCTTGAACGTCACAAAAGCTTGGGTGTTTCCACTTGCCCACTTGTACATCTGCATCACCTTGAGTGTAAGGAGGAGGATGACAGGCACATGCAGCCATCCTAGCTGAGTTCAATATAGACCTGTTTACTCCCAATTACCAGACTCATGATTGGAATAAATGTGTATCGATTTGTTGTTTGCCAGGGAGATTTTGTGGTGGCTTGTTACATAGCACTATTGTTATCCTATGTAACTCACACTTCCCTTCTCACTCATAATTAAGGTATTAAAAGAGAAGTTCAATGACCACAGTGCTGGCTGGTTTAAAAGTCCACAGAAAGAGAGAAAGAAAATCAGCCCCTGTACATGCAAGAATAAATTATACTACCTCTATGGCTCCCTCGGTGCTCTGAGAGAATCCCAGTGAGAGCACTAAGGGAAGAAAGGAAACTTACTGTACCTGACTCTAATGCCCCAAGAGTTATTGTCTTGTCATAGCCCTGTTTTATTTTGAACTGTCGTGCTGAGTTTTATTGAGAATTACAGTGCTGGTAGAGAGGACTTGATAAAGCTTGCGGAACATTACCTTTCCTTGTGTCCTAAACTTTTTTTTCTTTTCATTTTACCTGGTATCTATGTGAATCAAGCACTTATGATTTTATTATCCACCTAAGGATTAGCGCTAAATAACTTTATTAAAGCCCAATGAACTGTAGTTCAATTTTCCCACACTCAGATATATTTCCTGCATATGTAAGGCTTTCACATGCATAAACATCTCCAGAGTTTGATTTCTTTTCCAGTACACTTTCTTAGAGTGTGTGTAGTTGAGCATTTATTTTTAATATGATTGATACTGTAGCAGATACCCAGTAAATCTCTATGCCACATAACCTTTCAAATACGGATTGAGGTAGTACTCATACTTGTTAATTTGGCTTCTATGATGGTTCAAAGACTGAGAATGGAATACTGGTCCATGTATTTCTGGTGCATCATCTCTCCAAATTCATCTGGATATCATCACCAAAAGTATCATGAAAGCTGGTATGTGCAGCATTCTATCAAGTGGACATCTCTATTAACTAGCACTGCTTCTTTTTGCTAGGGTAATGATTGTAGTATATCTACAAGAACTTGAAATGCCTCCTGGCTTGTAACGTTAAATTGTATCCAGTGCCACTTTTGTGCTACATGAATATTACTGAACCTCAGTGCTCCTAACACTGGAAGATCACACATGGTACATGTAGAAGAATTCAACTTGTTTAATTAGAGCAAGCTGATCTTTCTCTCACTATGTGGATAACACTTTACTGAGACCACATTGTCTCAAAGGATCATTCATATTTGCTTCCAGGAAAGAAAGAACTGCTACCCTTTTAGGGAGTCCTTATAAGCATAACTGCAGCTGGTATGCCAGATATACTTTAGAAACCTTACGATGATCTTAAAGGAATGCTTTCCTCGTCAGGTGCGATCTGCAGGGCAGAAGTATCAGCATCACCTGGAAGTTGTTAGAGAATGCAGAATCTCAAGCCTGCATCAGACCTCCTAAGTCACAATCTGTACTTTATCAAGATCCCCAGGTGATTTTTATGAATATGAAAGTTCAAGAAGTGCAGCTCGGCACTTGTTACCACTAGGCTATTACTCCTAGCAGCAAGATACGCTCTCAAGTTTCCAGCCAGGCACTTTAGATATGCCACCAAGTCTTAGAAGGCTGAATTTTCTGACTAAATGGGTTTCCCATGGCCTATATGTCTCAAGTATTAAATATCATACATTTGAAAGCAATAAAGAGCCTATACAAATGGTAGCTGTTGCTACTTTTCAATGAGTGTTCCCTCATCTTTTCATTCCTGGTGGAGTGTTCAAAAATAATTACAATGATAGTCGATATTTATTAAGTGCATATCATGTGCCAGATACTCATCTAGGGCTTTACACAACAACCTCAAGAAGTAGAGTCTGCTGGCCCCATGTTATAGGAGGTAGAACTGAGGCACAGATTCAAACCCAGGCAGTCTTCTCCAGAGCTATCTTCTTAGGCCGTACTCCAAACTGTTGCTCATTCTGATACACTAAGAAATCTTTTGTATGTGAGGTCAAATTATTCTTAGCCTCTCTTTTCCTTAAGAGCCATGTAACATGCTCATGACAAAATATAAATCTGAAGCCTCTCCCCTGGAGATACTAACGCAATAGGTCTGGAGTCTGGCCTAGGAATGGATATTTTTAAGATGTGCTCAGGGGAATTTTGTCATCAGTAAGGTTAGTGAAATACTAGTCTGCACTGGGGTACCCACTTCAGACCCAGCTGTGGCCATGAGCTTGCAGCACCTTGGTAGTCTTGTAAATATTGATATCATCTCCACACATATTCTAAGAGCCTGGCCCACAAAGTACAGAGCCCAGCTCTCCTCGGGCTTGTATCAGAGCTTCATTACCTCTCATGCTTCTCATGGTGACACAGGCCAGGATGCACCTGCCTTTGTCTTGTAAATGAACTGAAGCCACCAAGACAGGTCTTCTCTCACTCACATACTTAGAGCAGATGTGTACACACTAATGAGACCTCTCTCCCACTTTCTTTGTCATTGCCTCTGCCCTTACCCCTGCCATGCCCTAAAATAAATCTAAATCAGGTGGCATGTCTAGCTTTATTCCTGACATATACTTTGGTGCTCAGGTCCCCAAACTATGTTTGTAGCTGAGCAGGTAGCAATATCATTCCACCAACAAGAATTTCTATGCCTGAACCTACATTATATTTTGAATTCCAAGTCTGCCATTACATAGAAATTGAAATGCTGTACAATTCCCCAAAGTTGGGTGGCCTGCACAGTGACAACGTGTTGGGGTGGTTGGAATACTCTTGCACACTGGTTTCCACTGTGGCATCCACACTGCCATCCATTTTTGTTGTGGTTTGTCCATGGAGATCACTGTTTGAACCTCTATTAGTCCTCCAAACAATGGGACCTCTTCAGATGCATCAGCTACGTGTGCCAGGTTTGTGGCACTGTCAGAGACATGGAATAAATTCTGCCCTGCACTGAACACCAGGAAACTTTGTGACAGGGTCTCAAACCCACTATTCTTCCTGTACAGTCATGTCTCATGATTTCCTGTGTTTTTCCAGGAAAGGGAAGTGATAGGCAAGAATTAGAAGTATCCTTTGTTCTTGGATTCCACAGAGCTACCTGGGATTTTAGTGGAAAGGGGGTAACAGTAGGTCCCAAGGCTCCTTCCCTAGGATCCTCAAACCAAGTTTTTAATCACTTCTCTTACTCTCCCTGCCTCATTTTGGGCATCTATTTAAACTTGAGGGGAGAAAATATTTGCTCTATGATATTAATTTTTCCAAAGTGATGGCTTATGCTTTGGGCTTTTGCATCCCCTCCAAAGCTTAAGCTTTTGAAATCCAAACATCAAGAACTGACTTCTGCTTTCTGCTGTGAATACAGATTTAATCATTTAACCTAACTGTCCAAACACAGGGAAGTGTAAGAACAGGAGGAAATACAGGGGAAAGATGCATAGGTTGACATTTCAAAAATAATATTCTTATACACAATTATTTTTGAAGCGTAATGGCATTGCACACCCTCCCATCTCAGTAGCAGCCACAGTGAAAGAAGCAGCAGAGACATAACATGGGTTATCAACACTGCACCATCAGAAAGAATGAGGAAGCAGCATTCACAAGTCAAAATTAACTCTATCAAGCCACTCAGCATTTAATTTTTCCTTCTAATAAAATGGACAAAGCATCCCTCTCGGTGCACTTAGTTAGGGTTCCGCCAAGGAAGAAATTCTAATTAGACCCAAATTGGAGAAGCACATACACATGGAACAGTGGAGGGAACTGGAAGGGAAGTGTTAACTCCCTGTCTGGCTTGTCAAATTAACCTTGGCAATAACAAAAGTTAACGTCTACTGATAATGTATTATGTGGTATCAGGTACTCTACAGAGCCCTTTGCACTCACTTCCTTTTTACTTCAAATTCTATGATTGTATTATGTCTACTTTTTCAGATGAGAAACACAACTTGTTGGTAGAAGTTGTATGTCTCAAACACAAGTGTTTCTGAATCCCAAAACTAAATTCACAACCACCACATTGTACTGCAAATGAAGGAGAAACAGATGTCACAACCAGACTGTACTCTCATTTAATTGGGTATTGGATCTTATTTGGTGCCCCTAAGAGCAAAGCCTGTATGAATCAACCATATAAGCAAACCCGGTATGTTTAGAGTATTATCACCTGACCTACCGCTTCCATAACCTGGAGATACCTATTCAATCTTGGAATGATGTATGTAGGAGGCTCCTTTTTCTTCTGAGGACAGTAGAGTATTATGTAGACGTTAGTAGGTACAAAACATGGATTTCAGACTAAAATGTACTGTGGCATAATCAATAATCTTTAAGTTGCAATCTGAAGATATCTAACCTATTTAAGGTACCTCCTCTAAGTAAGTTTCTGGCCTGTAAATATAAAGTAAAACCCAGAAAGACAAACTTACATGAACTGAACAAATAAAAGGCTAACAGAAAATTAATTCCAATATGAAATGTGTATGCTATATATTTGCTCATTTCATTTATGCTTAATTATATGGTTTTGTAGAAGTTTTAATGGATTATATTTTAACTCTTTAATCATCATTTCATTCATAATATCTTGCCAGCTTCCTCTTGTATTGACAACTATTTTCACTCCAAAAGCTATCACTATTATATCACAATTAGCTATCTATAGAGTTGAGTCCTGTCAGAATGGAGGGAGGCCTATAATCCAGTTGCAGGCTTCTTTGTCTCTGGCTATAATCGCTCCTTTTGATAAAATGCTCCTTATGGGGACTAAATGACTAACTCTTTTGAAGCACATAAAGAAACACAACTTACGCTTAATTGGCAAATATGAACTAATGCTTAAGCGTCATCTACCCCAGCCCATGGGGCCCATGGTGCTCCATAATGGCAGTGCTTCAGCCCCACATACAGCATGAGCTTCTTTCATTGCTCTGTTTTCCTACATTTCAATTCTACTTGCTGAGCAGAAAAGATCTCACTAAGAACACTTCATTCCCGCAGCCAAAACGAATTTATAATTATAAAGTAACCAGTTGCATTGTGTTGTACTTAAAGTGCTTTAAGAACCTGTGTTGCACTGAAAATGAGCCCTTTTAATTTTGATGTGAACTTGTTTGGTCTTAATCACCCAGCTTCAACTGTCTCCAACCTTCTTTTCCGTGGTCTCTCCCCTTCTGATGTCTTTCCCACAGGAGAAATGTAACAGTAGCATATTTAATTACTTAATAACATTTCAAATAAATTTTAGGATAATCTAACCATCACTGGGAGCCAAACAAAATAACATCTTACAGCTCAACAAGACCCAAGGAATTAACCTCCTTAATTATTTTATGGGCTTTCAAATTTCCTCCAAGAAGAAAACATTTTTCCCTCCTTTTCGTTGGTCTTTAATTTCTTCAATTATTTAATTAGAATAATTCCTTTTAAAAAGCCATTTTTCATCTTTCTTCTTATTGCAAGGATAAACTGCTTACAATGTCACAGCTAGAGATATAGGGATTTCAAAGATTCAATAACATATTCCTCTCATTTTACAAACAAGAGGCTTGATGTCTAAGGAAGTCAAATGACTTTATCAAGGTAACTTGGCAAGCCACACCCCTTACTTTTTTCTTTCCTCCATTCAAATAATTAATATTATTTTCGTATTTCCAACATTCCGTATCAAACTCTCAAATGACATTTCACAAATTTATCGAACATGGGTAAGTATTAGTTTAATGGGATTTGAACCCCACAGTGAAACATGCACAAAATACCCGCTCACTGGAATTGACAACACATTCTCATTGGGATAAACAAGTTGCAATGACATTCATTAAGGCAGATATTTATTGTTTAAAAGTCCTTAGAGGCAAAGTGACTTTGCAACCTGCAACATTCAGTAGCTTAGCTACAACTCCATGTAGTCTGATAAATTACTGCTCCTGGTTCTTAAAAGGAAGTGTCAGAATTAGTCCCTTGCCTCCATCAATACCTACTTTCTCAGTTCTGTAACAATTCCATATAGATGTGGGGTATTTCTATGGTTCATGGGTTACATTGAAGAAAATGAAAAGTATTATTTTTTCCAAAAGTATAGCCCTTCAGAACTGAAGGGCACTGTGTGTAGAGATGGCTGCTGAAAAGGGCTTGAACTATGGTTGGGTAGAAAGGCAATGCTTTGGTCAAAAGTTGAAAAAATGCTAGCTGCTTTAACCTCTATGTCATGTGGAAGTAGTCTGGCTCCAATTGTAGATCATTTAAAACTATAAAAACTTCTTCAATAATACCAGCAAGGCTCATTAGCCCCTCCAAAAGTCTCAACTATTCCATTTTTTCCACAATATTTCAGTGGCGAGCTGAACAGATATTATTTCAAGAAATGAAAGTACTTCCTTTCCTTAGAAGATTAAATATGATAGGATACTCAAAAATTCAATAGCTATTCCAATGTATTAACAAAATAATGTGTTCATTTATTTTTAACTATTTATTAAGTGTCTATTATTTGCCAGACTCTGTTCTTACTGTTAGGGAACAATTTATAGTAGTAAACTGGATGAAGCTCTTGCCCTCATTTGCCTTGCAATTTGACAAAGAATTCCCACCCACTCCCCCATTACAGGCAGAAATCCCTATTATAAAAGTAGCCCCAATCAATAAGTATTGTGTCAGAACACACTATGTTTTCATCTGAATATGTGATATAGTTCCCAGTCTCCACACTGATCCTTCTCCTTTGACTGTAAATTTGGCTGACAATTAGGTTCTCCTTATTCAGAATTCTAAAGCGCAATTGCCCCTACAGAGCTCATTAGGACTCTTGCTCAAGTTACATGCATTCTGGTTCACAGTTGGCATATTTTCTAACATTATGAGTGTGCCTTATTAAGCAGAATCTTGCTGAATGAGGCAGACACCCATGCTTGCCCTCATTTTTATAAGAGAAAAAAATATATACTATTGAATTCCAGAAATATAGGCTTTAAGCACTCCAAGAAAATGCAAAACCAGCCTATAAAAGTAACCATAATTTCCGACTCTTGTAGCAAGTGCACTATGAAATACTTAAAAAGTTTTCTTCATCAACATTAAACATTTATATCAACTGTGTACAACAAAAAATCTATCTGATATCTTTTATAAACATGAATATAGGTTCATTAATTGATAAAAATTAGTGATTTATATGAAGTTAGGGACTGGCAAAATTTATCTATGGTGATAAAAATTAGAACAATGGCCACTATGGGTTGTGGGGGAAGACTAGATGTGGGCATGAGGGAACTTTTAGGAGTGATGTAATGTTTTATATCTTGATTGGGCTGTTGGATAATTAGGTGCATACATTTGTCAAAACTCATCTAATAGGATCTGTGTATTTCACTACATGTAAATTTTATTTCCATTAAAAAATAATAGGTAGAGATAACTAAATATATGAGGGGAAAATATAACCAAAATTACTCTATAAGGAAGAAAAAATTCAGATGTTCAGGATAGATTCAGGAACAGTTGGAACAGTTTCCAGGAGAATTAGCAGCCAATAATAGATTTGAAGAATGATATGAATTAGTCATATAATGAAAGAGAGGCAGGGAAGGCTATCCTAGATGTTAAGGGAGAAACAGACATAAACGTGGGGCTTAGGTGAGGAATGATGACAAAAGAGGGTGAGAGTTACACAAGAGCCAAGTCATGGAGAATTTTAATGTCCTACTAAAGACATCATGAAAGATATTTGGAGGGGGCTTAGAGAATTTTAAACTGAGGAATGATACACACACACATACACATACTCAATTTGCAACAATGTGAAGAATAGATTAAAGGAGGTCAAGACAGAAGGTCAATAACTACTTGAATAGGCTGTTTTCTAATTGGGGAATGAAATTGAGAGCCTCAACTCAAGCGCAACAGGCATGGAGACCATGGAGTCAGTGGACAGATTCAGAATTCATTATTAAGGAAAACATGTTGATGGAATTTACAGACCTATGGAGCAGAAGGTAAGGGATTAGGAGCAGTTAGGGATACTGACCATATTTCTGACTTGGGCAACTGTGGGAAATGATAATGTGGCAGTAGAGAACGTAAGATGGGAAGATATGGAAGAAAAAGAAGCTGATCTCCCTCAGGCCACTGTATTTTAAGTGCCTAAAAGACATCCAAGTAGAGCTATCAGATGGGCTATTGGTTACATGTAGGGTGATCACATCTAAGATTTGCCCAAGACAATTCTTATTTATTATTGTTATCCCAGAAAAAAGTATTAATAGTACCACCTTTCACTTCTCCAAAATGTTCCAGTTTTGTCAATAAATTATAAAGTAACCCTGGTCATGTGGAACCAGATTTTAGGGCACATGTGTTCAATTTAGAGAAAGATTTGTTTGTGTTGTAATTATATGGGTAGTAAGTAAAGCCCAGTTAAAAGATGAGATCATGCAAACAGAGATTTTAATGGAAACTTGGAAATGTCAACACTAAGAAAGGTGAAAGAAAAGGTACCAAAAAAGGAGAACAGCAAAACTAACTAAAGTGCTAGGGGGAGGAAAAAAACTAAAAAAAAAATATCATTCTGGAAACCAAGAATGTTTTGTTCAAGTAATCCTTTCTAGAAAACTATAAACTCTTCAAGAGGAGGAGCAACTTTACTGCACTTAAAGAGTGCTAATGTCTACTGCAGAACCTTATATGTAGAAAATACTCAGTAGATGTCTGACGATTAATTAGTGGAAGGACACAATTTCTGTTCCTAAGTGGCAAAAAAATCATATTGAAGCTGCTTTAATCAGTTCAGGCTGCCACAACAAAAATATCACAGACTTGGTGGCATAAACCATACAAATTTATTCCTCACAGTTCTACAGGCTAGGAAGTCCAAGATCAAGGTGCCAGCTGTTTCAGCGCCCAGTGAGGGTCCTCTTCCTGGTTTGCAGATAGATACCTTCTTGCTGTATCCTCCACATGGGTGAGAGATCATCTTTCTTGTGTCTGTTCTTTTTGGGGTACTAATCTCATCATGGAGGCTCCACCCTCGTGACTTAATTACTTCCCAAAGACACTAACTCCAAATACCGTCACACAGAGGATTAAGGCTTCAACATATGAATTTCAGGGGGCAACAAAAATAGTCCATAGCAGAGGCCCAGTTTCAAAAATGTGAAATTCTTATAAAATAAACCTTTGGTTTCAGGAACTGTGATACAAATCAATTCTTCCTTTGAAATAGAGTATACATTATAGCTCTAACATTATATACTTTATGTGATTCTTCTTCCTTGCTTCAAATGATATACAAGGAGATATGTCTTTGTCCATAACTCTCTCAAATACTGTATTCTCTTAGCTTTTACTGCTGTGTATTATCTTTGAGTGTAGAGATTTCAATTTTAAAAGTATTGCCCTTCCTACTATTTATATGTACCTAACAACTAGAATTATTTTCCCCTATCACTCTTACATTTTTCAGCCATATCCACTGAATCTTGCCAAAAACAAAAACAGTAACCAAAATCTTCTACAAAGAAATTGCTCATCTCTTGGCACATCTAGAAGTTAACTGTTTGATATCCATCAGTAAATATAGAATATGCATAATTATAGCAAAAAAGTTATAAAGGGTGGAATAGCTACCTAAGATGTCTTTTCTTATTCCCAGAAATATAAAAAGTCAAAGTTTTACTTGACCAGGTTTATTTATACAAATCTAAACACTCCTATGAATAATTTACATAAATCTTCTAAGAGTTGGAGCTTATCATAATTCAGAAAATAAACTGGCATTCTACAACCTAAATCTCAAGTAATTTTATCTTAAAATAAACAGCTTATCTGTACTGATGGTACCCAAAAGATAAAAAATAAAAGAGAGAAAAAAAAAGAACAGGCCCCTTATTACTAACAAGAGGTATAATGGGCATAGCTGCTGACAAATCGGTCAGGTTGAAACTGGCATACAGTAAATTCTCAAAAAAAAAGTAACTTTCCTTTCTTTTTAGAATAAATAATAATGCTTCTGAAAATAATGAGAAGAATCTGGTTGGTTTGCAGGGCTCATGTGGATCATGTGGATGATCCAGAGTAAATAAGTGCCCAGCATGATACTTGGAAGTGGTACTTCAAAGTATGATACTCTTCAGTGCCTCACCAGTGGTGAGGCACTGAAGAGAAGGTCTACCCATATGCATTTGGCTGAATGACTATAAAACACTGTAATACGCATTCCTTCCTTGTATCAATTTTGATTGGCTTTATCATAGAATACGACTCTAGAGTCTTCCCTCTGCTGGTATGACATCCTTTGCTAGATTTAATACCATATTATCTAACCATGACCCACTTCACATCTACATCATAGACTGAGTTTTAGCTTACTGTTTCACAGACAGCTTTCGTAACATAGTAGACAGCTTTTAAGAACAATACATCTGTACTGTTGCACAGGAGTGGTAAAAACAGAATATAAAGTATGAAAATGTATTTGGACTTGTAGCAACTTTGAACCTGTAGTAAATCTTGAACACCAAAAGAAGAAATCTGGACTGTATCTAATGGGTAACAATGAGTTACATATAGTTTTTAACCAGTGGCCTTATAGTATGTAAGGCTGGGGAAAGGTAGTCTGACATCCTTGAAAACAGATCAGAAAAGAAAAATAAAGTAGAAAGAACAACCTTGATAATGACTTAATAATTCTTGGGCTAAATTTTGGGAAACTTGGTACATAGGTAATCTAAGCTATTCTTCAGGCATACCTGGGCTTATTTTAACATAGTTATTTATATTTTCTCAGTAATTCATACTGGTGCTTTCTTCCATAAATGTTAATGAAGCTTTACAAAGAGATCATTAAAAACAGCAACAACACAAGTTTGTAATTTTGACACTCAACTTAGTACAATCTTACCTATCATGAAATAGTTTAGACATGACATTCTTGCCTGAAATTCTGAAAAACAAAATTTATTCAATGAAATTCCATGGCTCAGCTAAACTTTCAGTCTTCTGAGTAACCACCACAATGAGAATCAGCTAGAAATGGCAACGTTTTAACTTATGAAGCTAAATAATATTTTGAGATATTAATTGAGGGTTTTTCCCTCTATAAGTTTCCTTGAGACCTTTTCTTTTCACCATTCAGCATCCTCAAGGGGAGGATGAACACAGTCAAAAAGTTAATTGAGCTTCTGCAAGAAATAAAAATGAAAACAGACAAATAGTACACATAATATTTCTGAAAGCCATGGTTTTCAATCTCAAGAGCTATGAACTTGGAAGAGAGACAAATTATTTTGCTTTTTTTAATTACAGAGGCTTGTCATGTGTATTAAGACCTGGCAGCTTAGAGAACTGTATTAGTTTGTTTTCATACTACTATAAAGAACCCTTGACACTGGGTAGTTTATAAAGGAAAGAGGTTTAATTGACTCACAGTTCCATATGGCTGCGGAGGCCTCAGGAAACTTACAATCACAGCAGAAGGGAAAGCAGGCACCTTCTTCACAAGGCAGCAGGAGAGGCTGCGTGTGTGAGTGCAGGAAAAACTACCATTTATGAAACCATCAGATCAAATGAGAATTCACTCCCTATCATGAAAACAGCAAGGAGAAAACTGTTCCCATAATCCAATCACTTCTTTCTCTCTACATGGGGGGATTACAGGTCCCTCCCTTGACCTTTGGGGATTAAAATTCAAGATGAGATTTGGGTAAGGATAAAGAACCAAACCATATCATTCCAACAATGGCCCCTCCGAGATTTCACATCCTTACATTTCAAAACCAACCATGCCTTCCCAACAATCCTTCAAAGTCTTAACTCATTACAGCATTAACTTAAAGGTCCAAGTCCAAAGTCTCATGTGAGACAAGTCAAGTCCCTTCCCTTCCATCTATGAGCCTGTAAAACCAAAAGCAAGTTAGTTACTTCCAAGATACGATGGGGGTACAGGCACTGGGAAAATGGTCCCATTCCAAATGGGAGAAATTGGCAAAAACAAAGGGATTACAAGCCCCATGCAAGTCTGAAATCCAACAGAAGAGTCACTAAATCTTAAAGCTCCAAAATGATCTCCTTCAACTCCAGGTCTCACATCCAGGTCACACTGATGCAAGAGGTGGGCTCCCATGGTCTTGGGCAGCTCCTCCCCTGTGGCTTTGCAGGGTACAACCTGCCTCCAGGCTGCTTTTCCTTACTGGCATTGAGTGTGTGCGGCTTTTCTAGGCACATGGCACAAGCTGTCAGTAGATCTACCATTCTGGGGTCTGGAGAATGGTGTCCCTCTTCTCACAGCTCCACTAGGCAGTACCCCAGTGGGGACTCTGTGTCGGGGCTTCGACCCCACATTTCCCTTCCACACTGCCGTAGCAGAGGTTCTCTATGAGGGCTCTGCCCCTGCAACATACTTCTGCCTGGACATCCAGGTGTTTCCAAACATCCTCTGAAATCTAGGCAAAGATTCCCAAACCTCAATTCATGACTTCTATGCACCTGTAGGCCCAGCAACACGTGGAACCTGCCAAGGCTTGGGGCTTGCACCCTCTGAAGCAACCACCTGAGCTGTACCTTGGCCCCTTTTAGCCACGACTGGAGCTGAAGCAGCTTGGAAGCAGGGTGCCATGTCCTGAGGCAGTACAGAGCAGCAGGGGCCCTGGGCCCAGCCCAGGAAGCCATTTTTCCTCCTAGTCCTCTGGGCCTGTGATGGCAGGGGCTGCTGCCAAGGTCTCTGACATGCCCTGGAGACATTTTCCCCATTGTCTTGGGGATTAGCATTCAGTTTCTCGTTACTTATGCAAATTTCTGCAGCCTGCTTGAATTTCCCCTCAGAAAATGAGATTTTCTTTTCTATCACATTGTCAGGCTGCAAATTTTCTGAACATTTATGCTCTGCTTCCCTTTTAAACATAAGTTCCAATTTCAAACCATCTCTTTGTGAATGCATAAAACTGAATGCTTTTAGAATAATCCAGGTCACATCTTCAATGCTTTGCTGCTTAGACATTTCTTCCACCAGATACCCTAAATCATCTCTCTCAAGTTCAAAGTTCTACAGATCTCTAGCGCAGGGGCAAAATGCCACCGGTCTCTTTGATAAAGCATAGCACGAGTGACCTTTACTCCAGTTTTCAATAAGTTCCTCATCTCTATCTGAGACCACCTCAGCCTGGACTTCATTGTTCACATCACTATCAGCATTTTGGTCAAAACCATTCAACAAGTCTCTAGGAAGCTCCAAACTTTCTCGCATCTTCCTGTCTTCTTCTACGCCCTCCAAACTTCTGGGCAGAGGTTCCAACCTCTTCCCATTACCCAGTTCCAAAGTCACTTCCACATTTTCAAGTATCTTTATAGCAGTGCCCCACTTTTCATGGTACCAATTTACTGTATTAATTTGTTTTTACACTGCTATAAAAAACACTCAACACTGGGTAATTTATAAAGAGGTTTAATTGACTCATAGTTCCACATGGCTAGGGAAGCCTGAGAATACTTGTAATCATGGTGGAAGGGGAAGCAGGCACCTTCTTCACAAGGTGGCAGGAGAGAGCATGTGTGAGCACAGGAAAAAATACCATTTAGAAAACCATCAGCTCCATGAGTGAACAGCATGGGGGGAACCACCCCCATAGTTTAATAGCTTCCCTCCCTCCACATCTGGGGATTACAATTTGAGATGAGATTTGGGTGGGGACACAGAGCCAAACCATATAAAGTACTGAGAATTCAGTAGTAGAGAATCCAAACATTAGGGAGTCTGTGGGCAGATGGACATGGAGGAGAACTCACTAAGTCCTCTCATTCAATCATTTATTCATTCAACTAATTTCTCCAGGGGACTATCATGTTCTAGTCACTGGTTTTGGTGCTGAGGATATAATAATAATTAAAACAGGCAAAAGCCAGTCTCTCCTAATTGGTGCAGACAGATAAAAAATCACATAACTCAGTAAAATGTATAATGTGCTATGTAGTAACAGGTCTGAAGGTAATAAATGTAGTGTGGGAGTAGCTCCAAATTGACTAAGAAATAAAATGGACACCCAAAGGAATCTGGTATAAGGATGAAGAGAACACAAAGTACATAGACACCATGAGCAAAGACCATCATAGAAAACTGAGACACTTAGTTGTGGATCCAAGCAAAGAGCTTGATGTCGAACAGCCTCATGGACTAAAGCAAAGGTTAGCAAGGACAGGGGTTTTCAGACAAAGCTGATGCTTCTCTTCTAATGCCTGTGTAGTAGATTCCTTGCAAAAACGGTTATAACTTTACCCCTATTTGGGTTGACATTCTTTGAAATGTGACTTTGTGGCAATTCCCGTCAAGAAGTCGAATCTATTTCCGCAACTCTTGAAACTCATTTAGCCTTTTGACATACTTTGGCCAACAGAGTGAAGTACAGTTGTGGTGTGCCAGTTCTGAGCCTGAGTCTCAAGAGACCATTTGTCTTTTCACATACTCTTTTGGAATCCTGGCAGCACCACCACATGAACAAGCTTGGGCTACCCTGCCAGAGGATAACAGATCACTTTCAGGAAAGTTCAGTTATCTCAGTAAAAGCCATCGTAGACCAGACTGTTGACACATGACCACCAGATGCGTAAATGAACCCCAGAAAAATCAGTAGGGCAGCAGATACCTAAATGAACACAGCTGAGACCATAAGAAACACCCAGCTGAAAACTTGTGAGCAATAATTCGTGTTTATTATTTAAAGCCACTGAGTTCTGTAGTGTCTTGTTACACAGCAATAAATAACTGATACAGCCAGGAAAATGTATGAATTCCACATAAATTCTGCAGGACCTTATAATACCCCTAGGTAAAGTGAAGAAGCATAGAAAAATATTGAATTGATTGAGTTTAAATCCTGAACTGACATTTAAATCTGGAAGTAATCAAGTAACTTTTGATTGGTAGACATGGGGGTTTGTGAACTAACAAGTTCAGTATGAAAGAAAAAAGTTACACACACATGAGATGCAATTGTAAATTGTAAACTGGTTGTGCTTCTGCTAAAATAATTTCAGTTATTCCAGTGAGGCAGCTACTCCAGAGAAATCAATGTTGTCATTAGGCAGCCATGTCCTTCAGAGACCACAGCACCTAGTATACCTCATAGTTTCGGAATAAAAAATTATTTTAACCAAACACCGCATATTCTCACTCATAGGTGGGAATTGAACAATGAGATCACATGGACACAGGAAGGGGAATATCACACTCTGGGGACTGTTGTGGGGTGGGGGGAGGGGGGAGGGATAGCACTGGGAGATATACCTAATGCTAGATGATGAGTTAGTGGGTGCAGTGCACCAGCATGGCACATGTATACATATGTAACTAACCTGCACAATGTGCACATGTACCCTAAAACTTAAAAGTATAATAATAATTAAAAAAAATAGTAAAAAATAAAAAAAAAATCTGTAACTCTTGTTTCCCTGGTACATTATTTAACTTTTTAAAATGAGAGTATTATCTCTGTGTACAATGGGTAGCTTCTGAAAGAAAAATGTGAAATTAACCCTAGGCTATAGCCAAAATCATGCAGGCTGTAATACTACCAAAAAGACTACAGATTTCCTTATCCTCTGTTACTTATGTGACCTAAAATAGGGATTGAAATAAAGCCCCTCTATATGTTTGCTATTGCTTATGCAATAATATTTAATCACCTACTATCCTCAACCAATAACTTTGATAAGAGAATAAGAGCTGGGAACCAGGCTGGTGAGGACACTGGGGGATTGGGTTTCAGATAGTATCATCCAATGCTAGAAGTCAATGAGTTAACAAAACTAGGATCCAATTCAGGAATGATAATTCAAAACAATACAGATGGAAGCAAGAACAGTTGAAAAGATTAGGAAGACCTTTCTAAATAATATTGTTTCTCTTTTGTTTTTGAGACCATTCAGGGCCACTGTATTTCACAACTCCAAGAGTCAATTTCATATATTGATCTACGTAATTGACATGCTCTGTAGTTGTGCTGTGTACAGCCCAACTGTAGTTGTAATTGACACTCTCTGTAGTTGTGCTGTGTACAACCCAATGAACACAGGACTGATCTTGGTAGTGTGTTACTCCAAGAGAAAATGTGGGCAGATCAAGGATTTATGGATGAATTATTTGTAGCTACTATGTGCTGGGAAGTTTGCTCATGTTATGTCACTTGATTGTGCAATCATTAGCCATTATAATTATTAACAATTATGATATATTCAATGATAATATGTAGCTACCCAAAGCTCCAAAACAGAATAGGGGGAAACATTTATGTTCTTGCTGCTCAAAGTGTGGTTGACCACAGACCAGCAGTATCAGCATCACTGGAAAAGTTGTTAGAAATACGTATTTCTCAAACAACTAAAAATGGAACTACTATTGGACCCAGCAATCCCACTAATGGGTATCTACCCAAAGGAAAAGAAATCATTCCATCAAAAACAAATCTATACTCGTACATTTATCACAACACTATTCACAATAGCAAAGTCATAGAATCAATCTAAGTGCTCATCAATGATTGATTGAATGAAGAAAATGTGGTACACATACACCATGGAATACTATGCAGCCATAAGAAAAAACAAAATCATGCCCTTTGCAGCAACATGGATGCAGCTGGAAGCCATTATCCTAAGCAAATTAATGAAGAACAGAAAATCAAATATCACATGTTCTCACTTATAAGTAGGAGCTAAATACTGGGTACACATGGACATAAAGAGGGGAACGATAGACACTGGAGACTCCAAAAGAGGGGATAAGGGGAATAAGGGTTAGAAAAGTACCTATTAAGTACTTGTTCACTATTTGGGTGATGGGTTCAATAGAAGCCAAAACCTCAGCATTATACAATATACTCGTGTAACAAACCCACACATGTATCCCCTGAATCTAAAATTAAAAAATGAAATACAGAATCTCAAGACCAACTTAGACATGCTCCACCCCCAGACCTATTAAATAAGAATCTGCATTTTTAATAAGATCCCCATGTGATTTGTATGCACACTAAAGCTTGAGAAACACTGACCTATACAACATTAAGCAGTGTCACATGCCATACTATTCTTTAACTTCCAAGACTGTGACCTAAGTTGGATAATAAAGAAGCCTGCATTTCCCATTAGATCATAAAAAATTTTATAAATTGATGTTAGTTTGAAAATCATATCAAGTCACGTTGCTATCCACAGAAAAATGCACATTTAAAAAGAGCCTATAAATTCAAGGTGCCCCAAAGCATTCGTCCTTATCTCATAAGCAGGTGGGATCTATGTCCCTCCCTTTGAATCTGGGTTGATCTGTGACTATCACAAAAGTGATGTTAGATGACTGGCAAAGCTAAGTCATAAAAGGCGATAACAGCTTCTGCCTGGAGTCCTTGTCTTGCTTTGGAAGCTAGCTGCCATACTGAGAGAAAGCCAAACAGCCACATAAAGGAGACACATGGAGATGTTCTCGCTAATAGCCAGCATCCACCACCAAACATGAAAAATTCGCCTTCTTATGATTTCAGACTCCCAACCTCTGAGTCACCTCCAGACTTCCATCTGCCCCAACTTATATCACATGGAGCAGAGATGAGCGGTCATCACTGAACAGTGTCCAAACTGCAGATTTGTGAGACAAATAAATAACTATTGTTTTATGCCACTAAATTTGGGGTGGTTTGGTATGCAGTGATAGATATCAGAACCAATTTGGTCCATAAGCCCCAAGTAAAGACAACTACCTAAAAATGTCCTCTCAGTGTTGTCATGGGGGGTGCAACCTCCTCTTCTAGCAAGATTCAAATCTGGAAAACAAGAAACTTCATAAAAACAGGCTTTATTTCCTTTTGTTTCCCACTGGGCCCTGACAAATCTACAAAACTGAAATGTCAAGAGCAGCCCTTGGTATCTGATATGGTTTGGCTCTGTGTCCCCCACTCCAAATTTCATCTTGTAGCTCTCATAATCCCCATGTGTTGTGGGAGGGACCCGGTGGGAGGATCTTTTCTGTGCTGTTCTAGTGATAGTAAATAAGTCTCACAAGATCATGAGTTTGAACAAGTGGGAGTTTGCCTGCACAACTCTCCCTGCCCGTTGCCATCCGCACAAGATGCGACTTGCTCCTCCTTGACTTCTGCCATGATTGTGAGGCCTCCCCAGCCACGTGGAACTGTAAGTCGATTAAACCTTTTTCTTTTGTAAATTGTCCAGTCTCGGGTATGTCTTTATCCACAGCGTGAAAACAGAATAATGCAGTATCTCACCATCCCTCAGGTTAAAAACCTGCTATCTAGCCAGGCATGGTGGCTCATGCCTGTAACCCCAGCACTTTGGGAGGCAGAGGCAGTAGGAGCTCTTGAACCCAGGAGTGTGAGACCAGCCTGGGCGACACAGTGAGACCACGTTTCTACAAAAAATCTAGATTTTTTTTAAAAAACCAGGCATGGTGCCCTGCACCTGTAGTCCCAGTTACTCCAGAGACTGGGGTGAGATGATCATTTGAGCCTGGGAGGTCAAGGCTGCAGTGAGCTGTGATCGCGCCAATGCACTCCAGCCTCAGTGACAGAGCAAGACCTTATCTCAAAAAAAAAAGTAAAAATAAATTTCAAAATAAAAACCCACTATCTCTAGAACCCTAGGTGATAAAATATGTCTTTGTAGAATCCTACATAGCTTGGAAGTTTCTAAGGTTAAAATACTGATTATAAAGAAACCCTTATCTCCTGCAATTAGAAGGTGGGTACAGAGCCCAGTTAGCATGTCTCCTTTTGTCTCCTTATGGATACTGGATACTATGGATACTCTGAGACTCTCCCCCCAACTGATGAGATGCCCCGTATGGTTGCTCGTATCAACAAAGGGACTCTAAATGTGATTTTTTTTAAAAAAAAAAATCTTTTGCCAGAAAGGTGCATGTGAGTTCTGAATAAGGAAGTCTGGTCAAGATTGTTCACTGACATACTTAGGGGATGTGGTGTTCTCAATAATTCAGTACTCTAATTCCCTGTTGTCCACTAGTACCCATGTGTGGCCACCTATATTTAAAATAAAATGAATTAAATAAAACTAAATTATGAATTCGATACATCGAATTCAATTGAATTTATCAAATTATAAATTCAATTCAATTCAGTAGCCACATTTCAAATGCTCATAGCCACATGTGTATTACATTGCACAGATAAAGGACGTTTTCATATTTACAGAAGTTTCTACTGAACAGCACTGACCAAATTAATAACAACCAGAAAAATGCTCTTTTTTTAACTTCAATACACTTTTCATATACCCTTTGATGGGAGCTGATCCTGGCTTGTTTGACAATTACTAATTTAAAAGTAAGCTAAAATTTCAAGGTTAAAGTAGATTGAGGTTTGCATTGAATCCAGTCCAGGTCTTGGAATTTTCTCTTTTGAAACAACAACAAGAATAACAAAATCCTGTCCTCCAAAACCAACGAAAGACAAGTACTGTCTCTGCCTTGTTCTACAAAACTAATTTACATAATAAATGTAATGATTCCAAAAAGTGGTATGATTAGCTGGGATTTGGATAATAAAAATTTTACCAATTGTATCTCACAGCAATTTACTGATATTTAAGGAAGAAGGAATTTTAACACATAATCAAATGCCTTCAAAGTAAACTGACTTGATTTATGAGAATTTCATCTACAAATTATTATTTGAAAAAATAAAATTCTTCTAGAAACAAAGAAAAGCATCTTTCTCAGAAAACATCTCTTCAAAGCCAAAGAAGGACTTAAGAAAAAATATCTCTTCCCTTTCCCAAAAAAATCATAGTTCTTAGTTCATTGCTATCAAAAGCACATAAAGATCAAAATGCACAATATATGTAAGTCACATTATCACCACTAAACAAATTTGCAAGTCATCTTAAAAGCTAACCAGAGTGCATCAGATACATCTTATTCCTGCATTTTAAGGATGAGTTAGGAATTTTCTTATTGGTTAAATCTATATAAAAGAGATGATCCTGTACTTGACCCTTGTAATAGTGATCTCTTTTGATCTCAGTTCTTAAAACATAAGATCAGAAAGTAAGCAGGAACAAATTGTTTACTCCTTGTCTTTTCTGTTATTTTTCGGGGTTGGGGGATTATATTTGTAAGTAAGCTCCCAGAACTCTTTTTCCAAATTACAGTCTCTTAGCCTAGCAAAAAGGAAGTAGTTTGGTAATATATGTGGAAGCAATGCAAATATTATGAAATTATTTTTTGTAAGAATGGAAGTTTTTCTTTACAATCTCATTGCAATACTGCAGTAGTCATTCCACTCATAATTTAAAAGCTTGCTGTTCTAAATCTAAAACCTACAACGGTACACAGATCATAAGGCTATAGAAAGTAGGGACCACATTTTAAACAGATTTAGAGTATATTGTGTACATAAAGGAGAGTTTTTTAAGGGCATCTAAAGTGACTGAATAATATTATAAAAACTAAAAGTCAGAAATGTCACTAAGATGTAAAGCAGCATTATAATATTATTTACACTAGGAATATATCTGTATTCTGGGTAAGCATTTGCTTCAGAAAAGTCTATGTAATTAATCATGTCTGTGTTTATACATTAAAAACTAAGACAGAAAAATTTCCTCTTGGTGGTTGCCAATAGAGGTCCTTCAATTTTTCATATTTGAAGAATGTAAAGAGGACTTACAGCAAAGAAATAAAAATGATTAAAGATATAGAAATAGGACTTAAGAATAAAGCTGAAATGATTTGACATTATTTAAACCTAAGAAGGACAGGAGGTGTTTTAATAATGATCTCTAAAACATAAAGGCTTATTACAAAAAGACTGGGTCTCCATCTCTGGCATTGACAGAATAAAAGGAATTATTGAAAGATAAGTAGACCTGCTATTTTCTAGTGGAATGCTGTGATACATTCTGTCACAAGCTTAGAAAGCATTGCTTTCAGGCTGTAGAATGAATTTTTAGTTACATAAAAATCACAATCCAAGAAGAGAGGCAAGTTCCCCCTATGTAGTCCCTTACCTTACCTCGTAGATTCATATTTGTCACTAGGAAAGGAGATAACAGTCACACCCTTCATTCTCCCATCTTAAAACCATGTAAACAAAACACCTTAGCAAACCACGTCCTGTCACCACCGCAACCACCAATCCATTTTTATCCAGTCAAAACTTATTAAGGCACACGAGAAAGAAGGAAACAGACAAGTCATTAGGCAAAGAGCTAAAAGATTTGAGTCTTCAATATAAAAAAATTGAACACTAGAAAAGTGATTTTTAAAAAAGGAATGCCATTGAAGTTAGATCAAACAGGGTTTAAATTCCATCTCAGCTATTTACTAACTGAATAACCTTTCACCCCATGTTGCTTTCATTTCTTCAATCAACAGATACTTAGTGAGCACCTACTGTGGTATTGAGCACTGTTCAGGCTCCTGTGGAAATATCAGTGAGCAAAGCATAATAACCCTTGTCCTTTTGGAACATATTGTGTAGGGCCTTATATGCCATTGCAAAAGAACTTTGGCTTTTATTCTGAGAATGTATTCGACAAAAGAGTGACATGATCTAACAAACATTTTTTAGGAGATTGCTCTAGTTTCTACATGGAGAATCAATTGCAGAAGGTCATGAGTGGAGTAAACAGATTAAAGACTAATGCAATAATCCAGGCAAGAGATGATAGTGGTTTGGACCATGATGATAGCAGTGGATATGGTCTGCTTCTGTAAATACGCTGGATGTAGAGTAAATAGGATTTATTGATAAATTGGATTTGAGGTATGATAGAGAAATCAAATACAGCCCCAAGGTGTTGCACTAGAGCAACTGGAAAGATAGGCTTGCCATTAACTGAGATGGAAAAGACTGTGGGTTAAACAGATTGTGGGGAGAAGATAAGATACTAAGTTTTAAACAAATGTTTGAGATGCCTATTAGAACACTAAGTTGAGGTGTCAAGAAAGTTATTAGGTAGGGAAGAGGAGGTGGAGCAAGATGATGGAATAGAAAGTACCACCGATCGTCGCCCCCCCCCCCACCCCCCCGCCCAGCAAGGACACTAAGTTAACAACTATCTACACAGGAAAAAAAAACACCTTCATAAGAACCAAAAGTCAGCAGGCAAGCAGTCATAGTACCTGGTTTTAACTTCGTATCACTGGAAGAGGCACTAGAGAGATAGAAAAAAAAGTACAGAATCCCCAATCCCATCCCTCCCTCACCCCTGGCAGTGGCAGCATGGTGCCTAGAGCATCTCTGAGGGCTAGGGGCTGGGGGCAGGAGAACACAGCAATTGGGAGGCATTGAACTCAGTGCTGTCCTGTTAGAGCAGAAAAGAAACCAGAACGAACTCAGCTGATGCCCAACCACCGAGGAAGCATTCAAACCAGCCCTAGCCAGAGGGGAATCATTGATCCCAGTGGTCAGAGCTAGAGTGCCTGCAAGCCTCCCCACAGAGGGCTACAGTGCTCTGAGTCTCCAAGTAAACTTGAAAGGAAGTCTAGATCCTAAGGACTGCAACTCTTAAGTGAGTCCTAGTGCTGAACTAGGCCCAAGACTTTGGACCGGGGAAGCATGTGACATATTTAGACTCCAGCTGGGGTGGCTAGGGGAGTGCTGGCATCACCCCTCCCCTAAACCCAGGCTACACAGCTCCAGGCTCCAAAAGAGACCCCCTCCTTCCACTTAAGGAGAGGAGAGGGAAGAGCGAGGAAGACTTTGTCTTGCATCTTGGATACCAGGCTCAGCCACAGGAGGATAGGGCACCAGTCAGTCGTGAGGCCCCCATTTCAGGTTCTAGCTCCCAGACAACATTTCTAGATATACCCTGGGCCAGAGGGCAACCCAATGCCTTGAAGAAAAAGACCTGGTCCTGGCAGCACTCATCACCTGCTAACTGAAGAACACTTGGGCCCTGAATGAGCAGCAGTGATGCCCAAGTACTACGTCAAGGGCCTCGGCTGAGCATCTGAGACTTGCTGGCTTCAGGTACCATCATGGCCACAGGGCAGCAGAGCACCAAGCAGGCACTTGGGGTCCCAGATTCCAGGACTTGACTCTTGGACAGCATTTCTGGACCTGCCCTGGGCCAGAGGGGAGTCCACTGCCCTGAAGGGTGAGTCCCAGGCCAGACAGCATTCACTACAAGCTGACTTAAGAGCCCTTGGGCCTTAAGGGAACATCTACTGATAGTGTGTAGTGTGGCAGTATTCCTTAGGGCCTAGGGTGGTGGTGGCTACTGGATTAAGCTCCTCTATCTTTGAAAAGGGAGGGAAGAGTGGGAAGGACTGTGTCTTGGGGTTTGAGTACCAGCCCAGCCGCAATACAAGAGGTGGGAGGACGGAGAGGATCAGGAAAAATAACTAATGGGTACTAGGCTTAATACCTTGGTGATGAAATAATCTGTACAATAAACCCCCATGACACAAGTTTACCTATGTAACAAGCCTGCACATGTACCACTGAACTTAAAGGTTAAATTAAAAAATAAAAATAAATTTAAAAATAATACAAGGTAGACCTCTAATGATTTTGACTCTAGTCTCTGACTCCTGGACAGCACCTCTGGATGCACTTGGGGCCTGGGGGACCTCACTGTCCTGAAGGGAAGGACATAGGCCTGTCTGGCTTTGCCACCTGCTGACTGTAGAACTCCAGGACCCTGAGCAAATATAGGCACTAGCCAGGGAGCAGTTACAGTAGGCCTTGCGCAAGATCCAGTGCTGTGCTGGTTTCAGCGCTGACCCAGCACAGTCATAGTGGTGGTGGCCACAGGGGAGCCTGTGTCACTAAACCCACCAGATTTAGGTGGCTCAGAACAGAGAAAGATTCTGTTTGTTTGGGAGAAAGTAAGGAAAGAGAACAAGAGCCTCTGCCTAGTAATACAGAGAATTCTTTCAGATCTTGTCCAAGACCATCAAGGTGGTACCTCTATGAGTCTGCAAGAACCACAGCATTACTGGGCTTGGGGTGCCCCATAAAGTAGAAACAGCTAAGATCAGAACACCTCATTCTTTCAAATATCTGGAAAGCCTTCCCAAGGAGGATGGCTACAAATAAGACCAGACAGTGAAGACTAGAATAAATATCCCCCGACTTTTTTTTTTGAGACAAAGTCTCACTCTGTCGCCCAGGCTGGAATGCAGTGGCACGATCTCGGCTCACTGCAACCTCTGCCTCCCGGGTTCAAGTGATTCTCATGCTTCAGCCTCCTGAGTAGCTAGGATTACAGGCGCCTGTCAGCATGCCCAGCTAATTTTTGTATTTTTAGTAGAGACGGGGTTTCACCATGTTGGCCAGGCTGGTCTCAAACTCCTGACCTCAGGTGATCCACCCACCTAGGCCTCACAAAGTGTTGGGATTACAGGCATGAGCCACTGCACCTGGCCAATACCTAACTCTTTAATGCCCAGACATTGAAGGACATCTATTAGCATCAATACCATCCAGAAAATCATAACCTCACCAGATGGACTAAACAAGGCATCGAGGACCAAATGAACTAAATAAGGCACCAGGCATCCTGGAGAAACAGAGATATGGAACCTTTCAGACAGAGAATTCAACTTAGTTGTGTTGAAGAAAGTCAAAGAAATTCAAGATAATACAGAGAAGGAATTCAGAATTCTATAAGATAAATTTAACAAAGAGACTAAAATAATCTCTAAAAGTCAAGCAGAAATTCTGGAGCTGAAAAATGCAATTGACATAATGAAGAATGCATTGGAGTCCCTTAATGGCAGAATTGATGAAGCAGAAGAAAGAATTAGTGAGCTAGAAGATAAGGTATTGAAAATACAGTCAGAGGACACAAAAGAAAAAAGAGTAAAAAACAATGAAGGACACCTACAGGATCTAGAAAATAGCCTCAAAGGGCAAATCTAAGAATTATTGGCCTTAAAGAGGAGGTAGAGAAAGAGATAGGGATAGAACATTTACCCAAAAGGATAATAACAGAGAACTTCCCAAACCTAGAGAAAGATACCAATATCCAAGTACAAGAAGGTTACAGAATACCAAGAAGATTTAATCCAAAGAAGACTACTTCAAGCATTTAATAATCAAACTCCCCAAGGTCAAGGATAAAGAAAGGATCCTAAAAGAGAAAAGAAACAAATAATATACAATGGAGCTCCAATATGTCTGGCAGCAGACTTCTCAGTGGAAACCTTACAGGCCAGGAGAAAGTGACATGACATATTTGAAGAGCTGAAGCAAAAAAACTTTTACACTAGAATAGTATATCTGGTGAAAATATCCTTCAAACATGAAGGAAAAATACTTTCCCAGACAAACAAAAGCTGAGGAATTTCATCAATACCAGGCCTGCCCTACAAGAAACGCTACAAAGAGTACTTCAATCAGGAAAAAAGGACATTGATGAGCAGTAAATAATCACCTGAAGGTACAAAACTCACTGGTAATAGTCAAACACAGAATATTCTAACACTGTAACTGTGGTGTATAAACTACTCTTCTCCTAAGTGGAAAGACTAACTGATGAGCCAATCAAAAATAATAACCGCAACAACTTTCCAAGACATAGTCAGTAAAATAAGATGTAAATAGCAACAACAAAAAGTTAAAAAGTGGAGGATGAAGTTAAAGCACAGAGTTTTATTAGTTTTCTTTTTGCTTGTTTGTTATGCAAACAGGGTTAAGTTGTTATCAGGTTAAAATAACGGACTATAAGATAGTATTTGCAAGCCTCATGGTAACCTCAAACAAACATACAATGAACACACAAAAAATAAAACGCAAGAAACTAAATCATATCACCAGAGAAAATCACCTTCACTAGAGGAAGATAGGAAGGAAAAAAGAGAACAAAGAGAAGACCTCAATACAACCAGAAAACAAATAACAAAATGGCAGGAGTAAGTCCATACTTATCAGAAATAACATTGAATGTAAATAAACTCTCCAATTAAAAGACATAGACTGGCTTAATGAATGAAAAAACAAGACACACTGATCTATTACCTACAAGAAATGCACTTCACCTATAAAGATATACATAGACAAAATAGAGGGATGAAAAAAAGATATTCCATGTCAATGGAAACCAAAAAAGAGCAGGAGTCAATATATTTATATCAGGCAAAAAAGATTACATAACAAAACCGTAAGAAGAGACAAAGAAGGTCACTATGTAACGATAAAGGGGTCAATTCAGCAAGAGAATATAACAATTTTAATATGTATGCACCCAACACTGGAGCACCAGATATACAAAGAAAATATTATTCGAGCTAAAGAGAGAGATAGGCCTGAATACAATATTAGCTGGAGTCTTCAACACCCCACTTTCAGCATTGGAAAGATCTCCCAGACAGAAAATCAACAAAGAAACATTAGACTTAATCTGCACTATAGACCAAATAGATCTAATAGATATTTACAGAATATTTCATCCAAGAGCTGGAGAATACACATTCTTATCCTCAGCACATGTATCATTCTCAAGGATAGACCATATGTTAGGTCATGAAACAAGTCTAAAAACATTCATAAAACTGAAATAATATCAAGCAGATTCTTTGACCACAATGGGATAAAACTAGAAATTAATAAGAAGAAAAATTTTGGAAACTATACAATACATAGAAATTAAACAATATGCTTCTGAATGACCAGTGGGTCAACAATGAAAATAAGAAGGAAATAAAAAAATTTCTTAAAACAAATAACGGAAACACAACATTCCAAAACCTATGGGATGCAGCAAAAGCAGTTTTGAGAGGGAAGTTTAAGGCTATAAAAGCCTGCATCAAAAAAGAGAAAAAAAACTTCAAATGAACAATCTAATGATGCATCTTAAAGAACAAGAAAAGCAAGAGCAAGCCAAACCCAAAATTAGGAAAAGAAAACAAAGATCAGAGCAGAAATAAATGAAATTGAAGTGAAATAAACAATACAATAGATCAATGAAACAAAAGTTGAAAAGTTAAACAAAATTGTTAAAACTTTAGCCAGACTAAGAAAACAAGAGAGAAGATGCAAATAAATAAAATCAGAAATGAAAATGAAGATATTACAATGAATATGCAGAAATTGAAAGTATCATTAAGTGGCTACTATAAGCAACTATATGCCAAAAAACTGGAAAATCAAGAAGAAATGAACAAATTCCTAGACACATACAACCTATCAAGATAGAACCAGGAAGAAATTCAAAATCTGAACAGACCAGTCAATCTATTAATCCGATCAAAACATGGGCAAAAGATTTGAATAGACATTTCTCAAAAGAAGACACACAAATGGCAAACAGGCATGTGAAAAGGTGCTCAATATCATTGATCATCAGAGAAATGCGAAAGAAAGCTAACATGAGATATCATCTCACCCCAGTTAAAATGGCTTATATCCAAAAGACTGGCAATAATGAATGCTGGGGAGAATGTGGAGAAGAGAGAACCCCTGTACACAGTTGGTGGGAATGTAAATTAGCACAACCACTATGGAGAACAGTTTGGATATTTCTCAAAAAAATGAAAACTTGAGTTACCATATGATCCAGCAATTTCACTGCTGGGTATATATCTAAAAGAAAGAAAATCAGTATATTAAGGAGCTATCTGCACTCCCATATTTGTTGTGGTACTGTTTCAACAGCTAAGATTTAGAAGCAACCTAAATGTCCATTAACAGATAGATGAATAAAGCAAATGTGGCACATACTCACAATAGAGTACTATTTGGCCATAAAAAAGAATGAGATCTAGTCATCTGCAACAACATGGATAGAACTGGAGATCACTATGTTAAGTGAAATAAACCAGTCACAGAAAGACAAACGTCGCATGTTCTCACTTATTTGTGGGACCTAAAAACCGAAACAATTGAACTCGAACTCATGGACATAGAGAGTAGAAGGATGGTTACCAGAGGCTGGAAAGGATAGTGGGAGGGTGAGGGGAGGTGGGGATGGTTAATGGGTACAAAAATAGTTAGAAAGAATGAAAAAGACCTACTATTTGATAGCACAACAGGGTGACTACAGTCAATAATAACCTAATTGTATATTTTTAAATAACTTAGAGTTTAATTGGATTGTTACTAATGGTAATGGATATCCCATTCTCCATGATGTATTTAACTCGCATTACATGCCTGTATCAAAACATCTGATATAACCCATAAATATATATATACCTACTATGTACCCATAAAAGTTAAAATTTTTAAAAAGGATTAGATGAACTTCACACCTCTGAACTTCATTCTACTTATCTATAAAAGTGGGTAATAATAGCTATCTTTAAGAAATGAAAGAATCAAAGAGATGTAAAAGCACCTGGCATATACTAGGCAATCAGTAGAGTGAAGGGTAACCACTATTATTCTTCAACAAGACTATGCTAATGTCAGCAGGGTAGACTAAGGCAAGAAACTGATAATTATGTTTCTGTCATTCTGCAAAACAGCCATAAAATCTCAAAGGCACACAACAGTAAACATTTATTTAGCTGACTGTCCGCTGATTTAGGCTGGTCTAGGCTGGGCACACTCATGTATCTGCTGCCAGCCAGAAACTCAATTGACTTAGGCCAGTGTCAGCTTAGAGTGGCTCTACTCCATGTGGCTTTCATCATCCTCTTTGGACCAGTATATTGGTTCCACAGTGATAAGTGATGCTCAAGAGATCAATACTGAATTGTTAAGAAAAGTAATTTTGTTGGAATATATCACTTAATTTCATACTAACTAAACTAACTTAGGCATCCATCTCTAAACCCCTTTGGTCAGCTCAGAACTGCCAATACTGCACTATTGCCCCTTAGTGACAGGGATTCATCCTGGAAGCACTTGATTAAGGGCCATCTTGCTCAAAAGCTGATTTAAATTGCACATGACATAACAGATTGTCACAGATCTGCGTACCATCATAAATCTAACCACATTATTGCAGGAGATACTAGTTTAACAGTGAAAGATTTTTTCCACTTTAAATACAGAGAAAAATGTGTATCTCTTGATTCTATAACACAAATGGCCAATTTTTTTCTGAGTTACCAAAAGATTTCTAGCTGCTTGCTAATAATGACTAGGATTCAGGTTCAATCTCAAAAGCGATCAGTTCACTTTCACTTATTACTCACTCTCTTTCTTACCCTTAGCCTGATTTCTTAAAAATCCAAGCATTACGATATATTAGTGGGTGGGCTGGGGGGGAATCATTAAGAATTGGGCTATGTTTCCAATTAAATTGTTTTTATGAGCTGATGTTTTCACTGATGGAGTAAATGTACCAACTAGTACAAGTTAATACTAGGATATGAAATGTAAATGAACTTATCTGAGATACAAAAGGCTCCATTATCTATGTTTAGTCCTGCTTGTGTTATGTATACATACATATAGCATATAGATTTAAATATAGTTTATAAGGATGGAATTATGGTTTAATTATTAATTAAGCAATATGTAGCAAGGCAATAGTTCTGACATTTATGAGAAAATTAAATTTCCAACATAGAAAGCATAAGACACAGTCGGGTGCATCCAATCCCCCAAGGATGTGATTATCTAATGATAAACCATGTTTTCTGCAGCTGCATGATTGCCGGTACAAAAAAAATGTTTATTATAAGTAAGATTGTGTTCTTTTTGCATAGAGAATAGATGAAGTTGGTTGCACAGAATATCAAACAGATGTTTCAACCAAATTGTGTACCTTCAATGGATTAATTCTTGCTATTTAAACTGGACTACATCTGAAAGCAGATATAGTCTATATGAGGAAAATGTAAATACTTCTCAAGCAAATTTCACATCACTGTAAAATAACAAACAGCTAGTAAAGGTACAGATGCAGGCAGTTTTGAGCTCTCCAGCCTCATTTTGTATGTACATATACACAAAAGCTCATGAGAATAATACTGACTCAGGATGATTTGTGAAATTTTTCCATTAGTAGGACTAGTTTTGCTGTGTTTCCACCATCTGTGAGAAGACTGTCAAGGAATAGGCACAAGATCTTTTTTTTTTTTTTACTTAGAAGAGATTAAATCTAACTTTTAAAAAATTTTCCCGATGTCTTGATCTCAATCTGGGTAGGCCCACTATGTGCTAAACAATTTATAAGACATGTATATACACCATTTCATCTTAATCATAACCTTGAGAAGGTGTTTTTACTATTACTACAAACTGAGATCAAGGTATGTAAATCATCTTATATATTATCACACAACTAGAGAATAGAAACACTTGGATTTGGAAATAAGATCTGTCAGATTTCAAAACCCACACTTCTTTTCATTATGTCATTGGGCTGGATATATTCCATTTGACCCATCCAGATGTACTTTCCATCCTTCTCCATTCTGTTTTTGCTACATGGGACCTGATCTGTATGGACTACATGGATACATTCCCTTGCCTTCTCACTTGTGATTGGGTTTGGCCAAAGGTGTCACAGGAGGAGATCTAAAAGCTACTGTCTGGAAGCCTTCTCTCTCTCTTCTCTCTCTCTCTCTCACCCCTGCCCCACCCTCCCTCCATAAGTCCACTAACAGCTCCCTACCTGGCTACCTCACTTGTTTAGGCCATGGTGGCAATACCTACCTGATATGACTAATGCCAATTCACTGCATTTTCTCCCTGTTTTCTACCCCTATGTAAAGATTTCCTTTATTACATTATCTTCAAATTATTTAACCTTAGTGTTCTGTTTCCTGCTGACACTCTAATATGGCCATGTGGTTTTTTTTAACTTATTAGGTAATATTCTAAAAATTTTAGTTTGACCTTAAACTTTTAAAAACAGTTTTTAAGTACAGTTATCATGTTCTACACACTGCTAGGTACTAGGGACACTTAAAGCACAGCTTTGCCTTGAAGAAGCTCAAAATCTAGGAAGTCAAAACATTTTTTAATGGTATTATATAGTCCCGGGTACTTGGGAAGCAGAGGTGGGAGGATCACTTGACCCCTGGAGTTTGAGGTTATAATGACCTATGATCATGCCACTGCACTCCAGCCTGGATGACAGAGTGAGACCCTGTCTCAATCAATCAATCAATCAATAAAAAAGTGTTATAGAGGAAGTTACAGAAGATGAGGTCTTAATCCAAACACAAGGGTCAGGGAGGAAAGCTTCCTAAGTAGGTGATGTCTGAGCTGGACCTTAACAAGATGCACGGAAATTCATGCTTATGGCATTGGAGTTGCTGAAGGGGAATTTCAATCAGAGGGCTCAGGGTGTCAAAGGCACAGAGGCTTGAGAAAGCAAGGGATGGAGGTGGAGGAGGTAATCCTGAAGAGGTGGACTACTGGTTTCTAATGATGAACTTTCTGGTCTGTCCCTGGCAGTTTTATTTCAGTCTTGAAATACTACAAATAGAATAGGTATATCCTTCACCTTGTATTTCAGGAAAAATTTTGAAAACAAAAAAGGGAGTGGATAGAAGAAGCAAGTCATGAATACCAGTTCAGAAGATATTATAAAAGTTTGAGGCAGAAGTTATTTTGGCTTGAAATGGCCATTTCCATTAGAGTACTTCTCTACTTTCCATTAAAGTAGAGAAGAGGTACACAGAAAATTTTCTCTTGGTGAATTGGTCTCTCTCTATATATACGGTCTATATATAAGGACATTGGAGAAGGTATCAAGGATGCCTCCAAGATTTCTGGTTTAGGCTACCAGGTGAAAATCTCCTAAATATCAAGGTTTCTCAACTGCAGCACTATTGACATTTGGGGCCAGACAATTCTTTGTCATGGGGAGTGGGGAATGTTTTTCCTGAGAATTATAGGATGGTTAGCAGTATCCTTGGCCTCTACCCACTAGATACTAGTAGCAACTGCCTTCCCCCAAGTTGTGACAACAAAAAGTATCTCCAGGCATTGTCAAATGTTCACTGGGGAATGGCAGCAAAATGATTCCCAATCGGGAACCACTGTCTGATGTGGTAGCACTAAGGAATGACTTGTGTAGCAAAACAATGAATGCCACCTGGGACAAAGGAAATTTGAAGTTTTTATGATAAAGGAGTTATTTGTACAAACAAGAAGGGGATCTATGGCTGGATAATTCCATTTGAGGACATTAGTACATAGACAGTTGAAACCCTTGGAGAAACTGAGATCACCTCGGGATGCATGGGTAGTTGTCTGACATATTTCAATCATGAAATTTATAAAGGCCATCTGAACTTTAATGAAAATAAAACAATCATATACACTAGAAATAGCATTTTGTTTCTGAGTTCCCAGAATCTATAACATATTATAAACAAATTTAAATATGCAGAATCAAACAGCTTTTGGTTTATCTGGGAATAAATAGTTTATCAAACAAATCTTATGTGGGTATCCATGTGTGTGGACAGTTTCCACCTTCACTGCCTTCCCGCAGCTATCTTAGAAAGTGAGGGGAAACAGCATTTATTGCTAAAATATCTCTGTTTTGAATATATAGAGTTAATATATTGTCTATAGTCACTTGAGTGGAAAGCAGCAGAGCAGGAAGTAGAGCTTAATGGTATATGACTTTTTGTCAGGTACTTTTTTTTGTCAACACAATATGCACGTTTCTGTATTTTATAAAGAGCCCAACAGCACTTGCAATCTTGTCTACCATCCTGATAATGATAGCTAATACCATTGAGAACTCACCAAGTGCCAGAAACCCTGAAACTTTTATAGGCACTTCTCATTTAATATTCCCCCAAACCCTGGGAGTCAGACCCCGTTATTATCCTCTTTCACCAAAAAAAAAAAAAAGAAAAGAAAAAAAAAAAGAAGAGAAAGGTTTAGAGAGATAATGAACTTGCCCAAGAAGACACAGCTGGTTGATAGCATAGAGCTGGAACTGGAATGCTGGTTGGTACCATTACAAGCCTCCCTCTTAAACACCATTCCACAGTTTCTCTGTCTCATATACCTACAGGTACCTGGCAAATAAAAAAGTAGGGTTTGCATTTGACTTAGTAATATAAAATGACTGTTCAAAAATTGTCAAGCTTTTCAAATACTTAATGCATGTGTATACTCAGAACTGAAACTAAAAATTGCGTTTCAAAAAAACCTTGAGTTTTTTTTTAGTTCTTATTTTACTCAGATTTGTATTTCCTTTAGTCGTTTACAAGATTGTCTTTCCCATTAGATTTTAAACCCCTTGAGAGCAGAGACTGTGTCTTTGTAACTCTTCTAACACAAGGTTGTATTGATTGACACATGGTAAGTGCCCCCAAACTGTTTTCTGATTGCTTAATTATAAATCAGGGAATGGATTAGATTCTAAATGTCTGATGGTGAACTTATTCCTGCATATTGTAGTATTATCCCATTTTATAAAACTGTGCTTCTGGCTGTTTCTTTTAAACGGCAAATAGATCCTGTTCAACTCTCACAGACAAAGATTGTCCCCTAAAATTTAATTATTTGACCTGCTAAAATATTCCCTGTAGAGAGGTAAATTACTATTTTTCTTATTTTGAGTATGGCTCTTTGTTGAATAAATTCCTTCAGGGAAAAAAAAAAGATTTAGGCAGCTATTTAACTTTGTCCCCAGTTTACATAGTTCAAGAGAACAGAATATCAAGTAGTCAAGTAGTAACGCATTCATGTTTTGGTGTCAGACAAATATGGGTTCAAATACTACAACTGTAATTCAATAGCTGTTTGATCTTGGGCAAGTGATTTATCCAAACTAACTGAGTCTCAGGATATTTTTTTCCTTCTATCTAAAATGGAGATATGAGCAACTTTATTAGGATGCTGTGCAAATCAAATAAAATAACACATCCAAAGAGTTCTCCACAGCTTGCCATTCTTTCACATAGGTTTCCAGTTCTGGGGACACTGCTGAACCAGGTGGAAGACAGCTTCTGCCTTCATGGAGCTTACCCTACATTAGATGAGGGGAAGAATATATAATAAAGATACTTAAAATACTGCACACAGGTTTAAAAAGGAAACAGATGAGCTACTGAGATGGGGAGTAATGGGGGAACATATTATCTGATTCTTCTTCATGGACGGTGATGTTCAAGCATTTTGAATACCATGAGACTTTTGGTTCCCATGGAAGTGGGGGGTTTCTACATGGTTGAAAATTCTTTGTTGGGAAACCAGACCATCAGTGAAGGGTTCAAGATTCAGTTAACACAGATAATCAAAGCTCCAACCAATGTAGATGCTAATTTCACCATACATCAAAAAATTACTTATTAATGTCAACTAATAGAACTTACTACAATCATGGAAATATTATTTATCTGTTCTCCTCCATATGGTTGACACTAGGAATATATGATTACTTAAGAATATGAAATGTGGCTAGTGCAGCTGAGAAACTGAACCTTGAAATTTATTTAATTTTAGTTTCTTTAATTATAGTCATATATCACTTAATGATAGATATACATTCTGAGAAATATGTCATTGGGTGATTCATCATTGTGGAAACATTATAGAGTGTACTTACAGAAACCTAGATGGTATAGCCTACTGCACACCTAGGCTACATGGTATAGCCTATGTTGCCAAGGATACAAACCTGTACAGCATGTGACCGTACTGAAAACTGTAGGCAGCTATAAAAAATGGTTAAGTACTTGTGTATCTAAACACAGAAAAAATACTGTAAAAATACAGTACTATAATATTATGGGACCACTGTCCTATATGTAGTCAGTCATTGACCAAAAGTTCATTATGCAGCACATAATTGTAATTACATGCATCTGGGGGCTACCATATTGGATTGCTCAGTTTTACACTGTTCAGCCCAATGATCTTGATTTCTTTGGGTGTTGAGGATACTGTCACTCATTTCCTTTCTCTGGTCACCTGACTTTAAATAGAATAAACCTCAATATCTTTTTCAGACAAAGACCTGGCTCTAAGCTTTCTTCTACAGGTGAGACCAAGATATAGAGCTTTTGCACGTAGTTTCCAAATAATAAACTAAAATGTCTTCTTCTCTATAGACCATCTAGTTTCTCTTTAGAAATGTCTGTCTCAGTTTCCCTCTCTTCTGTTGCAGATCTTTGAGACCTGGTGCCAGCAGCAATCCCTGGTAGGTGGTACTAAGTCTATGGTGGAAATAATATTGGTAGACATTAAACTGATATATTTTCCTCTTCATTAATCCCAGTCTTGAAGGTGTGAGTTCAAGAGCTAGGATAGAGCTCCTTTCACAGGGTAAAAAAAAATCCACTTCTATTCATGACCTAAAGTTTACTGTCATGTAATACAAGGATGTGATAGAGGTTATAAAGCAAAACCCTACCTATTAATGGGCTGGATTGTGCCACTCTGCAAATTCTTTACTGAAGCTATAATCCCCAGTATCTCAGAATGTGACTGTATTTGGAGATAAGGCCTTTAAAGAGGTTATTAAGAGTAAATTTGGACATACAGAGAGACATCAGGGTTGTACCTTTGCAGAGGAAATATCATGTGAAGATACAGCAGGAAAGTGGCCATCTACTACCCAAGAAGAGAAGCCTCAGGAGAAACCAATCCTGCAGACGCTTTGATTGTAGACTTACAGCCACCAAACTTGTAAGACATCTGTTTAAGTCACTCAGTCTGTGGCATTTTGTTATGACAGCCCTAATAAACTAATGTGCCACCCCTTCAGGTCTTGGTATATTGTAAGGGAAAAGGAGAGGGAAGAAAACAAGGGAAGTCTCTTATCCACACCCACCTCAGCCTCTCCCCCAACCCAATCCAAACTCAAAGAAATAAGGAGAAAGAGGGGCCTTAGAAATATCAGGAGGGATGATTTGCTGCTCTAAGTATGGGATGAGATATGTTGGAAGCATTAAACCTATATGAGAATGTCAGTTATTGCCTAGGATCCACTCCCTTGATGGTGAAGTAGAAAGAAACATCTAGAGCCTGAGTCAGCTGCACTGATTTTCCACTACGTCTTTGCATAATTCATGAGAACCAGAAAGGATCATCTACATTATACCCCTACTCTAAAGCAGCAAGTCTCACAACCAACATCCCAAGCCTGGAATATCTTCTATATCCAATGTTTTCCAACAGGAAAAACATTATCACCTTGGACCGTTAAGTGGGGCTTACTGTCCTTGAAGCTGTAGGACGATTTGGAACTAAAGGTTATGGAAACAGAAAATATATTGGTTCAATATCTCCCAAACAGTATCTTATCTCAAGCTATTAATAGAAAGTATGTATTAAGAGTTCCAGGAAATTTATTAGTAGGGAAACAATTTATGTTAGTTAATTAAAACTTTTGGCTTCCATTGTTTAAATTATACTAAATGGGCAGAGTTGAGATTGTTTAAAATGTTAAGGGCATTAACCAAATCGTTAAAGGCAGACTCCTTCTGTGATTGGAATCTGGGCATGAAATTTCTCTGTAGATAAGCCCTGGAAAATGTATAAAACCAGAACCAAAAAGGAATAGTGTAGCCATCTGAACCTGAAGTGTGCATCCTGTGCATCATGAGAGGACCCCTTGAACCCAGCAGAAAGATGTGAACTGTAAACTGACTGCTAATGAGAGGCAGAAAGCCATTCAAACAAACCTTTCAAACCCCACAGGTGGGGTAGATCCTTCTGGTCTCAAGTATTTTAATATATGATTAACCTCATGATTTTCAGACATTGTGTTTCTCCCAACACACTGAAAAACATACACCCTTTCCTCATTTCTGGGCCTTAATTCTTTCCCCTAATCCACAAAACAAATACTTTGACCGGGCCGTTCTGACAATGCTGGATTTTGTTTGTGCATGTTTGCTTGTTTCTGACTTTCAACTCATTTTGTTATCAGGTGGAACATATTCACTCATGGCATAATCAGATGGGTTTTAATATTTTGAAGTGTTTATTCATGTCCCAACCCTTGGGTGACCCCCAAGGTCTTAGCCTGGATGTATCTCAGACCTTGTGAGTGTGAGGAGAAAGCACTGTATTTGGGCCCTCAGCTTCTCCAATAGTCTCTGTTCATCACCTGGATGTAGCAGAGCAGCAAATATCTACAAATCCAATTCCCTATTTGAGATAACAACATGGCAGAAGATAGAAAATGAAACTAAGAAATCTTATATAGTAGAAGCATCAGTAGTATATCAGTATATTATCACATAAAATAATAAGGATTATTATTATATATTACTGATGTGGGACTTGTGTTAGGCATGTTCTCATTTGATCGTTACAAGTACTCCATGAACTAGGTCCTATTATCATCCCCATCTACAGATCAGGAAACAGAGGAGCAGAGTAGTTAAGTGACTTGCCAAAGTCACACAACTAGGAAGTGGCAGAACAGGATTCAACCCCATGGAATCTGGCTCTGGCAGCCATCCCCATAGCCCCTATCCTCCCTTGCTGATGCCCCAGGTGGCTTAATCTTTCCATCCCCCAATGGAAAAGTGTACTCTGCCAGATCATTAAGTATCTAATGTGATGTAGGTGTGTCTAGTCAAGCCTTTGAAGAAAACATGCAAAGACCTGCCCTAGCCTCAATCAGCCACATAGTGAACACACGAACACATGAACAACACCATGTGCTGCTACTGTGCTATGGCTGTTCATGACCAGTCACCAGGGGACACTGCTGGTGACTAAAGGACACCAATAGTCATTGACAATCAAAGGTAGTCAAAGCCAGTTGAACCCAGTCATGGCAAAACTCATTGCAACCAGCCAAAATGAACAGAAACAAGTCACAGCCAGTCAAAGCCAGTAGAAGCTGATCAAAGCCAGTTAAAAATGAAACTGGTTAAAACAAGTCACAACCAGCCAAAACCAGTAGAAACCATTATAGACAAAACCATTCATAACTAGTTGTAAACATTAGAAACCAGTTATGGACAGCCAAAGCCAGCTGAAGCTGGTCAAAACTGGTCTAAGCCAGTCTAAACTGGTACTGACCAGTCAAAAGAAGTTTATCTGGTGGTTTCCAGATAAAACTAGTTTAGATCAATTGTGATGAGTATAAAGCTGCTGTGGCCATAGAAACCAGTCAGAACCTGTGATGACTAGCCAAAACAAGTCTAAATAGACTGAAGCCAATCTAGACCATCTAAACCAGTCCTGGCCAGTCAAAACCAGTCTAAAATGGTTATGGCTGGTCAAATCCTGAAACAACCAGTCCTTGCCAACCAAAATCATTATAAATTTGTCATGGGAGTTGAAACCAGTTGAAGTCAGTCCAAACCAATTGTGGGCCATCAAAAACAGTTGAATTTGGTGGCCGCTGGGCAAAACAAAGACTAAGCTGGCTACACCAAATTTAGACTAAACCAGTTGTGGCTGCTTGAAACCAGTTGAAGCTAGTCTAAACCAGTTGTGGCTGGTCTAAACCAGTTGTGGCCATTCAAAACCAGTTGTGGCAAGTTGAACCCAGCCCAAATCAGTTGCGGCTAGTCAAAAAACAGTTTAAACTGGTCCAGGCCAATCTAAACTTGTCATGACTGGTCAAAAAAGGTTAGGCCCTGTTGTGGCTTGTGGACACTCAAAACTGGCCTAAAATGATGGCAGCAAGTCTAAACTGGTATAGACATTCAAAACTGGTGTAAAGTGGCCAAGGTCAGTTACAACCAAACTAAAACTAGCCTGGAGGGATTAGAACTAGCCATGACCAGTCGAAACTGGTCTAATCTGGTCATGTAAAGTCCAGAGTTATTTATGAAAACTCAAAATATGTCTGATCTATTTGTAGCTGGTCTATACCAGTCAAAGCCAGTCTAAACAAGTCATGGCCAGTCCAAACTGGCCAAATCTGGTATAGCCAGTTAAACCAATTGAGTCTGATTGTGGCCAGCCTAAACTGATTGAGGCCAGTCTGAAGAAGCCAGTGCCATCTGAATGGGTTATGGCCAGTCAAAATTTATTAAATCCCACTGTGGCTGGTCTAAACCAGTCATGGCCAGGATAAACCAGTTGTAACCACTTGAAACTGACCTAAACTGATTGTAGCTGGTCAAAGCCAGTTATGCCAGACAAAACTGGTCTAAACTGGATGCAGCTAGTCAAACCAGTCTAAACTGGTAGAGGCCTACTTTAAACAGATATTGCCAGTCAAAAAGTCAAATCCAGTTGTGTCCAGGTGAAATTGGCTAAATCAAGTTGCAGACAGTCTAAACCAGTCTAATCAGGTTGTGACCAGTCACAACCAGTCTAAACCAGTAGAGACTGGTCAAAAACACTCAAAACAAGTCAAGGCCAGTTACAACAGTTTTAAACCAATTGTGGCCAGTCTAAACCAGCCTAGACTGGTCACAACAACCTAAGTGGACCTGGTAGGAACTGGTCAAAACTGGCCTGAACTGGTCAGGTCCAGTCTAAACTCATCTAAACTGGTCGCTCCTGGAAAAACCTGTTCAAATCTCATTGTGGCCAGTCTCACCAAATCACGGCCAGTCAAAAACAGCCAAAACCAGTTTCAGCTGGTCACAACCAGTTCAAGCTGGTCAAGACCTGCTAAAACCAGTTGTGGCAGGTCCAAACCAGTTCAAGATGGTTGAGATATACCCAAACATCTTCTGCCTTGTGTAAACTGGTCAAATGTGGTTGCAGCTGGTCTAAACTGGTCAAAACTGGTTTTAACCACTTGATGCTTCTCTGAACTGGTAGTGGGCATTCAAAACCAGTCACATCATAATGCAACCAATCTAAACCCCTTGTGGCTAGTAGAAATGATTGTAGCCAGACAAAACTGGTCAAAACCAGCTGACACATGACTCAACCAGTTGTTGCCAGTGACAGTCAAAACCAGCCAAATCCAATTGTTGATGGTGTAAACCTATATAAAACAGTGTGGCTGGGCTTGCTGAAACCGGCCTAAGCTTGTTGAGGGCTGGAAAAAAACCACCCGAAGCCAGTTGAGCCCAGTCATAACCTGCCTAAGCCATTTATGACCAGTCCAAACCAGCCTAGACTGGTCAGAACTAACCCTGATTGGTCAAAACTGGCCTAAACCAGTCATGTCCAGTCTAGGCTGATCTAAACTTCCCAGGGCTAGTCAAGACAGGTCTAACAGTCATTGCCAGCTGAAACCAGTCAATGCCAGTAATGGCCAATCAAGGCCAGTCAGTTCCTGTTGTAGTCATCAGAGTGTGTTTGAGGCTGATCCAAACAAGTCACAGCCAGTTGAATCCATTTACATCTGGGCAAAACTCATCTAAACTGGTTGTACCTGGTCTAAACTGGTCACGGCCAGTGAAAATCAGCTTAAACTGGTTGCCGCCAGGCACAACTGGCCTACGCCATTTGCAACAAGTCTAACCCAGTTTAGGCCAGGTGCAGTGGTTCAAGCCTGTAATTCCAGCACTTCCGGAGGCCAAGGCAGGAGGATTGCTTGAGCCCAGGAGTTGGAGACCAGCCTGGGCAACATGGCAAAACCCTGTCTCCACAAAAAAATACAAAAAATTAGCCAGGCATGGTGTTACATGCCCGTAGCCCCGGTTACTCAGGAGGCTGAGGTGGGAGGATCACTTGAGCCCAGGAGGTTGAGGCTGCAGTGAGCCATGATCGCACCACTGCACTTCAGCCTTGGCAACAGAGTGAGATCCTGTCTCAAAAACAAAATCAACAAACAAAAACAGTTGAGTCCAACCTAAGTTGATTGAAGCTGATCTAGACCAATCAATGCTGGTCTGAACTGGTCGTGGAAAGTCTAATCCAGTTGTGGCCAGCCAAAACTGGTCTAAACAAGTTGCATCCAACCAAGAATGGTTCAAACCAGTCAAAGCCTAAGTCAGTCATGGCTAGTCAAAACCATTCAAATCTGGTTGCAGCTTGTCTAAACCAGTGTAAACTGGCTGTGGCCAGTCACAACCGGACTAAACCAGTTGTGGCTAAACAGGTCAGTGCTGTTCAAAATCTCTCTAAACCAGTTGAGGCCAGTCACAGTCAGTCTAACCCATGACAGTCCAAACCAGCCTGGACTGGTTGGAACCAGCCATGACCAGTCAAAACTGGCCAAAACCTATTGCATCCATTCTAGACTCATCTAAACCACCCATTGCTGGTCAAGAGAGGTCTAAAATGGTTGTGGTAGGCAGAAAGCCTTACCAGTACCTCCTTAAATAACAATTACATCCAAATAAGTAGAAAACTGGTACTTTTGGGCATTCGTTTTGCTTTCTAGGCCAGCACTGACCTACAGATGATGGAGGCATCTATAATTTGGTCCTCATATTCAAATAGCTTTACTATTAACAATTTAAGCCACTTTGTCAAATTATCTTCATGGCAGCTGAATTTCACAGCAGATTAAGTGTCTGGCAGGAGATTAATTAGATGTAATATCTAGTGAATGCTTTTTAAATATTGCTCACAATTCAGCCAGAGTAAATACAGGCTAAAAAATTTCACTGCACAATTCTTCCCGAGGTCTCAAGTTTAAAAGTATATCAAAATTCGGTCGTAAATATGGGAAGTTGGTGAATTCCATGAAAAAACTACGCGCTAATGTTTCTCTTCCTTTTTGTCAGTTCTGCATATATATCCTTTAAAAGTTAACGAAGTGTCCTTTGTCTATTTCAAAATAATTTCAAACTCAGAGAAGGATTGCAAGAATGAAACAAGATAAAAAACTCCTGTACAGTCCTCAGCTAAATATATGAATTGCTAACATTTCCCCCCTAACCAATTTGGGTGAATGTTACAGACATCAGGCCTCTATATTCATAAATACTTCAGTGTGTATTTCCTAAGAGCCAGGACATATAATTATATAACTATAGTACAATTAGAAAATTCAAAAAATTCAACATCACCAAACATTAAAAATTATTGACTGTAGCTTCAAATTTGGCTGTTTGTCCTAACAACCCTGTTCCCACCCGCCACCTATAACTAAACAGTTCTATTAATTTCTGGTTTCTTTCCTGGGTAAATTTTTGAAAAATGAACAAATATTTTTGTTATTTCTTTTTGTTGTTATATATGAAATGCTTTATTTTCCCCCATATTATTCCAATTTTAGAATAAATATTACCAAAGGGAGCACTAAGCAAGTATGTGAAGTCAATAATTTTCTAAGATACAGCTGCTTAATGTGGCTTTGTGGATAAGCAGACAAGTATATGTCCTCCAACTATACCAGTCCTCAAGAAGATAGATGGAGAAATAGAAAGTAAGTGTGCTTGCAAATTTTTCTTAGCAAACTGGAGAAGTAATTTTATGTCTATTGAGTCTAGTCATTAAAAAAACTTGGATTGCATTTTATACCACTGTTAATTTTTCCAATGTTTAATTTTTATTGTATTTTACAAAAACATGTGTCCACAATGAATCTGAAATTTAACTTCTTGTTATCTTGTTACCATTCAAGAGGAACTGCTCTGTGTGTTTTTTAAAATTTTGAAATTACAAAGTCTTAAAGAAGTATGCTTAGTAGAAAGTAGTCAAAGTATTAACTCAGCTGGGATACTGAAAATACAAATATTCAATTTAATAAACAGCTGCTGAACATCTTATACAAGATACCTATGTTGATTTTTAAAGGAAGCTAGGAATAAGCAATGAAAAGAATATGGATTTTAGAGTCAAAGAGGTAGTCCCAAGTTAAAATTCCAGTCTCACCACTTTCACGAGCTAAGAACTAATGCTTACCTCCTTTAATGTTTAGATCCTTCTTCAACAAAACAGGAAAAATAATATTAATTCTGCGTATTTGTGAAGAAAAAGGTAAAGTTTAAGTTAGAGATTAATATCTATAGATATTGTTTGACACACATAGATTTATTGTTTTGTTTTAAGTGTCTTTAAAAGAAGTATATACTGTTGAGATTGGGCTACCAGTTTCCACTGAGTTATATCTTACCTTCACTAAAATATATTAAGATCCCATTTTAACTTCTAGATTAATACTTGGGTGCACACAAGCCTGAATATGAAGGTGCCTGGCTTCAGAGGGTGCCAAATGAAGGTCTGATTCTAAATATGCATTGAAAACACACTGAACTAGAAATCAAGTAGGTAATTTATCTTCAAATGAGCTGATCATGTGTGCTCTTCTAAATATCCATTTAGGCGTAACTTATAAAACTTTTAAATCAAAGCTTGTGTGTTATCTAGTAAAAAAGAATAGACTGTAGTAGGGGGAAAAAAGCATCCTAGAATAAGAGTCACTCATGAAATTCTTATTACAGTTCCTCATCTGCCCATTTTTTATATAAATATAATGTCTTCGTTTCCTTGCCTCTTCAAAAAATGCTTTTCTGGCATCCAAACTGATTTTAAGATTGAGTTTCCATTTTAAAAGCCTAAATTGGAAGTTAACACTGAAGCAAAGCACAAATAGAAACTAAGACTTGAAAGCTGCATGGGAACCCTGTTGAACAGCTATTGAAGCAAGGTTGGCAAGGCAATTTGGTATGCTGCTCTTTTCCGGCAGTGTCTCACTGCTCGAGCTGCTGTGTTCAGCAGTTCTTTGTTGATGGCTAGTCCACAGTCAGTTTTTGTTCCCTTTAAAAAGCTAAATTTAAGAATTTTATTTTTGATAGCAATCTAGTTGCATGGTCGCCAATACCCACCTACTAGTGTTTCAGAGAGCTAGGATAGGACAAGAAATAAAAAAATATTGTCTCCATTCTGAAGCATGCTATTGACTTATACGTTCTCCATCAAGGATATACGATTTCTGTTAGGAGATGGAAAGTGTATGAGTGTGTGTGTGTGTGTGTGTGTGTGTGTAATGGCAAAAGCAAGAGATGAGAGAGTGATGAGATGAGATATATGAGATGCTAATTTGAGGCTAGAGAAAACTCAGAAAAGGAAATATTCTCGAAAGTAAAATTTTAGTTTTAGATTACTGCAATGATGGCCCACAGTTTGTTCACATTTCCCTATATTCATACCTTTCAGAAGTCCCGTCCCATGCTGACTCTGGCCAGGGCCGTATGAATTGCTTTGGTCCTTGGGAGATTTGAAAAATTCTTATGGACCGAGACTCTCTTCCTTCTCTTGGAAACTGCTGCCATGTGAAAAAGCCTGTGCTAGTTTGCTGGATGAGGAGAGTCACATAGGCCATTTGTCCCCTAATGCTATGTCTGACAGCCAGCCAGCCCCAGAAGCAAGGCAAGATTGCTAACTTGCATCTGAATGTAGATGCATGAGTGGGTTCAACTAAGACTAAAAGAAAGTACCCACTTGAGTCTTGCCCACATTGCCAACCTACAGAATCATGAACCTAATTAATGGTTGTTGTCTTGAACCACTAAGTTTTGGGGTGGTTTGTTACACAGTAATAGATAACCGATACAAGCCAGTTGGAGTTTTATTTCTTAAAACTGTTAGATAAATGCAAAATGATAATGTTCTTATCATGCTTCCAATTTCTGTATTATTGCCTGTAATAGATGTGTTCAAAAGAAAAATCAGTTCTATTCATACATAACAGTAAGTAAATATTATTGCCACCTATTTTCATTTTCTCAAGACTTTATTTTAATAACATATTATCTTAAAGGTCGCAAGCATTGAATCTATAATTTTATACTGAAGTTACTTTTGAAAAACACTTAGCATAGGGCTCTCAGAGAACATGCTTTTAAAAAGAAAAACACTGAACAAAAATGGTAAAATATTTGGGCAACTCAAAAATTAACAACCAAAGCTGCCTCTAGAAAAAAAAAAGCCTTTCAAATGTAAAATCTTATATTAAATTAAACATATTGCAATGTTTCTAGCTCTCAATCATAAGCAGTTAATGAAGAAGCCACTGAAAAAATGATTTAAAAGAACTAAGAGGAAAAGCCCTGGGAAGGAATGGTTTAACCGCAGGCCTTTAATTTACTCCCTACCTACTGGGTGAATGACTTTGTCCAGACCGCCTTGTAAACACTCTAATGGTATTTACCAGCAGATTTTTAAAGTGTAAACAAACCTGGAATTTGTGCATTTATGAAGTATGGCTACCTGGAGATGAAGGATAGCCAAATAAGCTATGTAATTAATGAAATTAAAAAATGAAAATATTACAAACCCAAATGGATTCTTTTTGTTGGTAGTGTTTCTACATACATTGCCTAAGCCACATCTGTTAACCCAGCACCAAAAAGTGGCTAATGAAAAAACAAGGGCATGTTTGGAGGCTGGAACTGACTGTGTTGGTATCCTCCAGGGATAGAATGTTTTAATTGTGTCTAACGCTTTTCTGTATCCTGTGAATTATTTAGTTTCGTTCTGGGTAAGATTATTTTATGATTCTGTATTTTGTGTTATCATGAGCAATTTATACCTTTGCGACAGATTTCTTCATAAGCCATTAGTTAATAAGTGTTAGTGTAACCATAGTTAATAACAATATATTGTATTCTTTCTTGAACATTGTTGAGTAGATTTTAAGTGTCCTCACTACGAAAGAATGATAAATATTTGAGGTTATGCATATGTTATTTAGTTCAATTTAGCCATTCTGCAATGTAGAAATATTTCCAAACATCATGTTATCCTAGTTTATACAATATATAGTTTTTCCCCCAAATAACCAATTAATCAATTAAAAATAAATGCTATTGACTGACCAACCCTTTCAGATCTCCAGCAAAATTGTCTCCAAATTCTGTGTTCCTATAACAGTTCTAGTACAGATTTATCATGTTTCATATAGTTATGGCTTACAAATCTGGACGCCCCCCGCCCCCCACCAGAGACTATGAATTTCTTAATGTTAGGAAATGTATTCACTTTTATGTCTTCATCAAAATACCTGGTATCTAGGAGACATTTAATAAATGTCTGTTAATTCAATTAAATAACAGGAAACTCTCTTCAGGTTGAAACTTTAGAAGAAACACTTCTAAAATGATCACAAACATGGTAAAAAGTATTTTAAAGGAGTAACATGGGCATTTTTATGTAATCTTGGGGATTGGGGATGGGCCCTTCTAAGAATGAATCCCAAAGAATAGGTCATATTGGAAAAATATTCAGATTTGTCTAAAAATTTAGAAATTATTATGGAAAATATTAACACATAAATAAAAATAAAAGCAAATAATAATCTAGGAAAATATTTACAATATATACAATAGACCAAGGGAAAAATAATTCTCATATAGATAATTCTTGTAAATTAAATTTCAAAATAAACAATTCAATAGAAGAATGGACAAATAAATGAGCAATTCATAAAAGAAATATAAATAGGCATAAAATATATGAAAAAGTTCAAACAAACCTGTAATCAAATAAGAACATAGTGAGAAACTTTTGTCCAGCCAGATTAGCAAAGATAAAACAGAACGATAAACTTCAGCAGACATCTGGAAACACAGCAGATGTGAAAAAATGACAGAGGATATATGAAACAAATTTAAAAGAATGTCTAAACCAGAAAAATACAACTTCACCTCACTTCTATTCATCTAAGGTGGTTAAGTACTTTTCCCGAAATCTCTTCTATTAAGGGAACATTATTAGACAAGATGATATTTGGAAGGTAGAAGAGAAGCAGCAGACAGAACTCTCAGAAGATTTTAAGTAGATCTACACGGCGCCAAACAAACATAGCTTCCAGCTTGTATTTCCCAGCTTCTGGCCCAGCTGACCAACGCTGGCCCCAATTCTACCTCACAGTAGTACTGGCTTGCACAGACCTCTCCAGTAGCCCATTTGTGTTACCACTTCAGCAGTCAGACATCCATGGCTTCTTGGATTTTATCACAACCTTTCCATGATTGTGCTTTAGGCTGTCATGGTTAGTAAATTACTTTAATCCTCTGATTTCTGCCTTTCAGAGTTTCAGTTCTCCCTCGCTCCTTCCACTTTTATGTAAATTATAATTATTTTGGTCCATCCCACGTACACACACATGCACACAAACACACACATTAAGAACTCAATACTAAATGGATGAGTTTAACTGCAGGATAACGGAGAATTCATGAATTGTAACATAGGTCAGATAAAGGCCATGCAACACTCACACATCAGCACATATTAATAAAATGGTAAAACCACTCTGGAAGACTCTTTGGCAGTTTCTTGTAACATTAAACATATAGCTACCTTACAAATCTGCAACTCTACACCTAAGCATTTACCTAAGAGAAATAAAGTATATGTCCACAAAAAGATATTCATGATAATGTTCATAAAGCTCTATTTTTAATAGCCTCAAACTAGAAAAAATGCAAATGTCAAAGGTGAAGGGATAAACAGATATTCATACATTGGAAACCTACGTAGCAATGAAAAGGAATAAATCATTGATACAGGCAACATGTGAATCTCGAAAACATTGTTTTGAGTAAAAGAAGCCAGAAATCAAAGAGTATATATAATTTTATTTATAGGAAGTCAAAGAGCAGGATAACTATCCAGGGAGATAGATGTCAGAAAAGTGGTTGCTTCAGGAGAAGGGGATTGACTGGAAAGGGGTACAAGAATATTTACTGGAGTGATAGAAATATTCTACACCTTGACTGCAGTTGTAGCTACATGGACATAGATACTTGTCAAAGCTTATTAAATTCTACACTTAAAACTCTGTACATTTTATTGTATATAAATTATACCTTCAGCCAGGCATGGTGGCTCACCCCTGTAATCCCAGCACTTTGGGAGGCCAAGGTGGGTAGATCACCTGAGGTCAGTCCCAGCTACTCTGGAGGCTAAGGCAGGAGAATTGCTTGACCTGGGAGGCAGAGGTTGCAATGAGCCAAGATGGCGCCGTTGCACTCCAGCCTGGGTGACAAGAGTGAAACTCCGTCTCAAAAAAAAACAAAATTATACCTTAATAAAAAATGTTAAATAGAGTGGAAAAAGAATGAGAATTTAATATCTGTTTATTCAAAGACTCAAAAAGAAAGCAGAAATGGTACAGAAACAACATTTGAAGAGATAATGATAACGTTCTCTAAAACAGAAGGATGAAGTGTTAGGTTAACATAAAAAAATGAGTATTTCCTGAAGAAAACACAGATACTGACTTTTGCATGAAGTGCTCTGAATTTTCATAAACATTTGGCAGGTATACAGTTAAACTAGTAATTTTCCTCCTTAATGAGAAGATACTAAAATATTTTTACATAACTTTATCCCTAAAATCTCAACTATCTCTTATACATTTACTTTAATGAAGGCTCAGATCCAATCAGGAAAGAAAAGGCTTGTCTCCACACTTTTTAATTCCAGCAAGCTGTTCCTAATTATCTCTTTTGATAGGCCTTTAAACGCCCTCATTCTAGAGAGCTACCAGCTCAAATAGGAAAACTCCAGAAAGTGAAGTAAAATGTAGAGATTGGCCTTAAAATTCTATTACCTTGTTTACTGTTTGTCATTAAAAAAAAAAAACTAATGTTCATTGACTTCTGTACCCCTCACTGTCTAAGCCAGCATCTAGCATAGAGTAGGCACTCCAAATTTTTTGGCAAATAAATTTATTAAAGGCTTATTATTTTTCAAGTTTTGTGCTACTAATTTTACAATCAATATCTCACTGAATGCTTATAATAATCCCATAAGGTAGGTATTGTCAACCCATTTTACACATAAGAAAAAATATGTGAACTTTCCTATGTGACAGAGTTGGATTTGAGTCTAGGTGTATGACCCCTCTTTTGCTTTCTGGCTTCTGTTTTATAGCTTCAGGCTAATCACTCTTTACCTAAACCTCAGTCCTAGGTGCAGTCACCCAGTTGATTGCCAGAGTTTAGGATCAATTAATCTCTCCACCAAACCATGTTCCACCTCAGTTTTTGAACTCATGGCTACCGTGCCTAGGTTACAGACTGGGTTTTTGACTTCTCTAAAGCCTTTGTCTTTGCTGTAGCACACATAGCTAACTACCACTCATACCTAGATCTGTACTGTTCAGTACAGTAGCCATCAGCCACATGTGACTACTGAGCACTTGAAATAGGGCTACCAGAAATTGAGATGTGCTACAGGTACAAAATACACATTGGATTTCAAAGGTTTAGTGCGATAAAAAGAATGTAAAATATCTCAGTACTTTTATGTTGGTTGTATGTTAAAATAGTACTATTTTAGATATATTGGGTTAAAGTAAATATATTAAAATTAATTTCACCTATTTTTATTACCCTGTTAAGTGGCTACTAGAAAACCTAAAATTAGATAAGTAGCTCAAATTTGTGGCTTATGTTATATTTTTATTGGACAGAGATGGCCTAGACAGATACCAACACCATTTTTAAAACATTTTTATTGTGAAAATAATATGTGCATAGAAAACTTCACAATATATAATATATAATTTAATGAATAATTATAAATAGAACATCTGTAGCCACCACCCAGGTCAAGAAGTAAAACATTTGTAGGATTCCAGAAATCTACCATATGCCCATTCTCATTCATAAGACTGTTTCATTTTCTCCTGAAAGTAACTATTTGTTTATTGTAGTCATAATTTTTTTTACAGTTTTACCACCCATATATGTAACCCTATAGAATACAGTTTAGTTTTTGTCTTTTTTTATACCTTTACATAAGTTAAATCAAACTATATGTAGTCCTTTTGGTCTTATTTTAAATGTGTTTTCAATATTTATTTATGGCAATACATGTATCTGTACATTTCTATGGTTGCATAGTGTTCCACTGTATGACTATACCATAGAACTCATATTCATTTTCCTGTTGATAGACATGAGTTGCTTTCAGGGCTATTATTATTGTTTTGGCATTATGAATAATGCTATTATAAACAGTTATGTACATATACCCTGAAGGATATTCTGGAAGTACATAAATATGAGAGAGCTGACTGGATCATAGATCAGGCATATTTTCAATTACTAAATATAAATTTTTCCAAAGCAGTTATATGCAAATTATACTTCCACCAATAAACTTTACATCCCATTGCTCATCATCCTTGCCAACAGTTTATATCATTATAAATTTTACTATTTGTTATTTGAGTGAGTATATACTAGTATCTCTTTGTAGTTTTAAATTGCCTTTTACTAGTCACCAATGAAATAGAGCAGGTTTTCAAATGCTTAATGGCTATTTGAATTTCCTCTTTCTTGAAGTACCTATTAAGTCTTTTGCTCATATTCTATTAACTATTGATTTATATTTTGATTCTCTCGTATGACCACCAAAACTGCACTCAATTTAACAGCTAATTATTCCACACTGGCCAATGCTGTCAGTAAGAAAATATCATCGTCAGAATGTCCTCGGTTAGAAAGTTGGTCTGATTTACTATTGCATCATTCTAAAGATCAGAAATTCAGACAATTTTTATGATTTATACTGATTTATTATCATACAAAACTTTGTTGTTTGTGATTTTCATGTATATATTGATCTTCTGTTTAAAAATTCGCTATGTGGATTTTTGCTGCCTAAGAAGAAATAACTGCTGTAAGAAGTACCCTTTCACTATAAACAATCAGAAAACAACAAAAATTATGAAATAACTGCTTTGTGACATTAGACAGCTGGCAGCATGGGACCGTGATCCCTTAGGGAAGGAAAATAAATGAGATCTATGCCTGACTCAGCTCTTTGCTGGGAGGAAATTTCTGAACCATGGCAAAGGGAGAGGGAATCAAACAATCCTTGAAAATCTCACTGAATTGGGGAAACAAAAATGAAATTTGAGGAGGCCAAGGTGGCTAGAATTTTGGAGGCAGAGTACCACAGCAGAGTGAGCTACACAGAGAGCATCCTCTGGAAAATATTTTGTTTGTTTTCTTGAATATTTATATGAATACCAATCTGCAAATGCACAGGGTGAAACTCCCTGAGGCCAGGCAAAGCAGAACTGGTGGGCAAAAAACAATTACTAGGGAGCACAAAGTTGAGACTTACTCAGTTATTCACTGGCCTGAGAGGAGAAACCTTGTTAAATACATGAAGTATTTGGAAAAAACCCCAAAGGACAGTGTCTTCATAGTGAGGCTAAACCAATCCCAGAATAAAGACTACTGTAGACCTACCCAAAGGAAAGCTTTAAAACAAGCCTGGAAAAGGAGCAAGCTGATCTGTAAATACCTAAACTGACTGCCAGAACAAGTCTGATTTAACAACAAATTTAAAATGACAGAAATTCCGTAGAAAATTAGTAGATATATGCAGAAACAGAAAAATATAATCCATAAGCAGGAAAAAAATAAGTCAAAATAAGCAGACCTAGAAATGACAGAGATGAGGAAATTAACAAGGATTTTAAAACAGTTATTACATGCCCAAAAGTTTGAAAGAAAGCATGAACACAATGAAAATAGAAATAAAAGATAACAATGAATAAGATGGAACTTCAGAAGATGGAAAAGGCAATATCTAAATTGCAAATTTCACTGGAGAGAACTGACAGCAAATTAGATGCTATAGAATTTTTTTAAATCTGTAAACATGAAGCCCTGGCAACAGAAACCATTCAAAATGAAGCAAAAAATGAATAAAAATAGTGAAAAATAAACCTAGCTTCAGTGCTCTGCAGCACAGTATCAATCAGTATGTAACATATGTAATCATAGTCCTGGAAAGAATGTGGGTGAGGAGGGTGAGTCAAAAATAATATCTAAAATAATGATGGTCAAAAATTTTTTAGTTGATGAAAACTATAAACCCACAGTTGCAAGAAGCTTAACAAACCCAGTGAAAAGCACAAAGACAATCACGCCAAGGCATTTCACAAATTGATGAAAACATTAGTGAAGAGAAAGTAAAAAAGCAGCTAGAGAAGACAGATACATTATATGCAAAGGAACAAAGATACAAAATATTATATACTTCTCATCTGAAATTATGCAAAGTGGAAGAAAATTGAACATTTTTTAAATGCTGAAGAAATGTCAATCTTGAATTCTATCCACTATGAAAATACCCTTCAGAAATGAAGGTGAAATAAACAATTTTTGTCAGACAAGAGTTGAAAGACTTTATTGCCGACAGACCTGTACTATAGGAAATGTTACAGTAAGTTCTACAGGCAGAAGGAAAATAACAGATGAACTCGGACGTACATAAAGAAATGAAGACTATTGGAAATGGTACATATATGGGTAAATGTTAAGTATTTTCTCATGTTTTTAAATGAGAAAATGAATACCTAGAGAAAAATGGTAATAATGTATTTATTGTCAGGTTTTAAATATATACACAATAAAGTGTATGACAGCAATAGCACATAGTACGAGAAATCAAAGTATACTATTCATAAGGGTCTTACATTATTTGCAAGATCATATAATATTATTCGAAGGTAAATTGTGATGAACTGATAAATTAAAATACATATTACATACCCTAGAGGAACCCCTGAGAAAATAAGCCAAAACATTATAGCTAGTAAACCAATAGAGGAAATATATAATGGAAAAAAAATCAATTTATCTAAAAGAAAATGGGAAAAGTGGGCAAAAAGGACGAAGAACAGATGGGACCAATGGATTCGAACAGCAAGATGGCAGATTTAAACCCAGCTGAATCTGTAATTAAATTTTAAAAACTGATCTGACGATTCCAATTAAAAGGCACAGATTGGCAAACTGGATTTTAAAAAACGCAAGATCTAACTATGTATGTGCTTTCTATAAGAAACCCACTTTAAAGATAGATTGTTTAAAAAGATGAAAAATGTGTACCATGCAAACAAAACTAGGAATTTATCCAAGAGAAATGTAAACATATGATGTCCACCCAACGACTTGTATGAAAATGTTAATAGAAGCTTTATTTATAATGGTCAGAAACTGGAAAGAGCCCAAATTTCTCTCAACGATTAAATGCACAGTTTGTAGTATATCCATAAAACAAAATTCTACTCAGTAATAAAAATAGTGAACCACTGATACAATATGATTGAAATTCATTATGCTGTCCAAAATAAATCAGGCAAAAAATAGTACATACCATGAAATTCTAGGAAACGTAAAACTAACGTATATATAGTGATAGAAAGCAGATCATTGGTTGCCTGGGGCTGAGGATTGAATGGAGGTGTTCAAGGCATGCTCAAGGGAATTTTCTCAGATGACAGAAAATGTTCTATATTTTGACTGTTGTGGTTACACAAATGTTTACATCTGTCAAAAGTCATGCAACTGTACCTTTAAAATTGACGCATTTTATTAAATGTGATTTTTCACCAATAAAATTGATTTTTATTGAAATGCTTTCTAAGTTGTGAGCCAAAGCTTTGGGCCTTATCTCCCTATTCCCCTTCATTCATTCTGGACTCCAGGCTTCTTGAACTCCTAGCAATTTCCAGAAAGAACAATGCTTTTTTCAGTTATATGAGTTATATGAGTCAGGATCTTGAATGTCCTTCATTCGTTATGTACCTGGAAAACTCTTATTTATCCTTCATGACATTGCTCAAATAGAATGGCATCATTTCCTAGAAACAGACAGATCTGGAGAGAATGTGTTCTGCCATATTTTTGCTCTGCAACATAGAAAAAATTAGCTAATCATCTTCAAGCTAATATCCTCATTAGTAGCCTTAGGATATAAATTCATTGTTCATATAAATTTTTGTAAGGGTTAAATAAAATAGGATACATAAAGAGCACTTGGAATACATCAGACACATGACAAAGGCTCATTTTCATTCCTCTATCCTAGCTCTCATCATATCATAATATAATTATCTCCAACATCTACCAGAGTGTCTGACAAATAATAAACACTAACTGAATATGTGTTAGTGATATTAACATGAATGAACAAGGATGAATAAGGAGACATGAGGGCTAGATTTTAGTTCTAATTTCCTTACTATTTTTGCATATTTTCTTATTTTTATGGAACCTTGAACTCCTTTATTCCCTTTTTTCCTTCAGCACATTTTCCATATAAAAGATTTGGTAAAGCTTATGCAACCTAGATTGATATATAATTGGCATCTTCCAAGAGGTATCTCTATTGAATAACAAGATTCTCATAAAATTGTATGACTCTATAATGAGTATGTTGCTATTATAAGAAAATTAATAATAAATATTATTTTATTTGATTAGTTCAAAAAAAGATTAGTAGTGATATTTGTCACCTTCCATTCAGAATGAAAACAAGTAATGTTTTATAGGTATAAGCCACCATCTTTTAAAAATATTAGTCAGATCTCTTAATTTTAAAAAATATAAAATATTCATGTTTTTCTACCTTATGAAGAATGATTAAAGCCAGTCGACAGATTTTTCTAGCACCTTTATACTAATGTCAACAACCTTGTCTCTTCTTTCCTTCATCTTCCTTAAAAGCAGCCTATTTTGGTTTTGATAAAACCCAAGATTTCTGTATTCAAGGCTGACACCATAAAACGGGGGCAAAAACATCTGGTGGGTGTAGAATTGAGTCGTCATTTTGTGCAGGGCGATGGCAGTTGTAAGAGAGAAGCAAAACGACAGCTGTGAGGAGGTTCTGAGCAGTTCCTATTTTCAGGATGTGCTGAACTCATAATTCAGGCCTAATGAATATGTCTTTGAGATGTAACAGCCTGTTTAGATTCCTGCTTCCGCCACTGCAGAAGAACTGAATACAAAAATGGTAATGATTTCATGTAAAATTCATAAATAAAATGCAAAGACAAGGGGAATGGTGTGCCCCAGTGATATACAATGGATTGCCATGCAGTATGAAGGCTAAGTCAATGGAGCTGTTTTTAAAGCCTTAACTACAGTTTATTTTACTTGGTTGGAATATATGTAGAGCCAAAATATTTATAAAGGCCTCTGACACCATGCTGTGCAATAAACAGATATGCTCTGTTCTTCCTACAAAACTACTTGGTCCATGTCATCATCAGTATAAAAACCTAGCTAAGTTACAGGAGACATAGGCCAGGGATCAAAGTTTACAATGGAGGATTGGATGGAGAGTGTATTATACAAGTCTTTATTTAGGCAAATATTTTTTATATTATGAGTTCAGTTCAAATCAAGCACATATATGTGTCAGCATTCAGATGACTGTAAATAGTTATTTTCTATAATATCTATAAATGGTTTAGAAGAAAATATTAATATTCTAGGATGTTGGTTGATAAGTGCTAGTAAATAATGAAAAAGCAAGATAATGTAAAGCTTACGAAATTCTTACTAGTCCAGCTAGCTAGGTATAGATATAGACATGATATAGACATAATATAGTTGTAGATAAAGAAAGTCTAATACTGGGAAACCTTGTCATATACATTTTTTGTTTATTCTAATATTCTGCACAAATTAAAAAAAAAAACAAAAACAGAAAAAATCAAGTAGGAAAAGGACATAACCAATCATGGATAATGATTGGGTTCATAGAACAAGAAAATGTTCCTCATTTGAATTTTAAATAACAGAATGTAGCAATCTTTGACCTTTCTCCTTTCTTGAAAGTGAGAAAGTAGACAGACTGAGGCAATATACAGTATCTGCCTGAATATTGTCACAGAATTCCTAAGTTATATACTGATTTCTGCATTGCAGCTGGCATCAGGACTGAGTGAAAGGTCATTTCCAAATGCAAATATGAGAATAAACACATTTATGCAAAGTGGAGCATAACTTTATTCAAGGTAATGAAATTGAGATGTCTAGCTAGTTTAATACGAAAATTGTCACTTTAAAATCTTTGCATTCACACTGTTGTCTAGCTTAATAAAAAATTTGTATACTCACAGCATATTTAATCCTGGAGCATGTCTTTTTCTGCCAATTTCCAGTGAGCAAATATGAAAGGAAAGTAAGCGTGACACCATTGAAAGGGAAATTGGAGATCCCTTTGGTTTGGAAAACCAAACATTGATATGTGGTTAAAAGTGGTCCTCCTTATAATATAAGAATATTTGAGCCCTATTGACAGGGTCATCTTGTATTTACATTGTAGTGAATTGTCTCAAATTACTCCTTCAGTGAATTTGCTCCCACAGAATGCTTTAACCCCTTCCAACCACAGGTAGACAAATAAATAGTTACAGGAATTTGGGGCAGCCATTTTAGGACTTGAAGTTGGTAAATTCCTACCCAAAGGCCTGTCTTTTTAATTAGGTCTTAACAATATATTATGAGAAGATTATGATTATAAACTTTGAGGATCTTATGGTGATTTAGGTTTTAAGCCTAAAAACCGCCAACCAACCAACATTCAAAATCTATGTATTTTGCCATAGTTCCCAAATTGTGGCCTCCAAATTCTATCTTCCATTAAAAGGTTCCAAGGATTCCTTGGAGAAATGGCTGAATTCAGGAATGTGACAGAAAATGTACAAGATGAGCTTAGGACATTATTATTGTGCCAGAAATCAAGAAAGCTATTAAAGACTGAGTTAACGTCAAGGTGGAAGAACTTCCAATGAACTAAGACAATTTGAGCATCAATAAGAATAATGACTTCAATGGATTTAAATATATCAAGTTCATACAAATCCATAAATTCATAATGATAAAAAATAATGAAAGCCAGGTGCAGTGGCTCACGTCTGCAATCCCAGCACTTTGGGAGGCTGAGGGGGGCAGATCACTTGAGGTCAGGAGTTCGAGACCAGCCTGGCCAACATGGTGAAACTCTGTCTCTACTAAAAATACAAAACAACAAAAAAAAAATAGCATGGTGGCAGGCACCTGTAATCCCAGCTACTCAGGAGGCTGAGGCAGGAGAATCGCTTGAACCCTGGAGGTGGAGGTTGCAGTGAGCTGAGATCACACCACTGCACTCCAGCCTGGGAGACAAAGTGAGACCCCGTCTCAAATGAATGAATGAATGAATAAATAAATAAATAAAAATAATAATCATCAGTCTCAATTATAAGTTTCCAGGGTATTAACTGACTACTCTGAAAATTGACAGATAAAGGAAAGATTCAAATGCTTGTCCTGCCTTTCCTGGGCTAAATATATTTTAGAGTAACTAAAAAGTTGATAAAGGAAAGTCTTTCTGTATATAAACCTTCTGGCTAATGAATGCAAAATAAATCCTAAAATCAGAATATCACCATTGTGCAATCCTTAATAAAATAATGAATCTAAAGAAACAGCATCAATGACTGCTAATGCCAATAGAAAAAAGATTGATGGGGAACTTTATAATGGTTGGATATAGCTGAAAACTCCCACTGATCAAACATAGCAGCACCTAAACTAGGACAACCAAAGTATTAGGTCCTTGACATAATGCTTAGAAAGTAGCCTGCAAAGTTGCCTACCCAAAATGTAAACCCAAATCCAATCAAGATCTAATCACCTTTTCACAAGATATATGAGAGATATAAGAACAATTTTAATGACACCATTAGGGAACAAATCAGCCCAAAGCAGAATGTGGGATACTTTAATGGAGAAATGACCTGGTCTCCCTGATGATTAGTGATGTTGAGCATTATTTCATATACCTGTTAATCATTTGTATGTCGTCTTTCGAGAAATGTCTATTCAGATCTTTTGCCCATTTTAAAATTAGACTATTTGTTTTTTTGCTTTTGAGGTGAGTTCCTTGTATATTCTAAAATACATAATAATTCTAATATGGGTTATTAATCCGATATTTGGTCATTATACACTGTATGTTTGTATCAAAATATCACATGTCCCATAAATATGTAAAACTATTATGTATCCATAAAAATTAAAAATAATTTTAAAAGAAATTTTTAAAAAAGAAATGTTGCTGAACAACTGGATATCCAATTTCCAAAGAAAAGAACTTTGACCTATGATTCAAACCTTACACAAAATTAACTCAAAATATATCATACACACAAATATAAGTTTTAAAATTAACCAAATTTTTAGTAGAGAACAAATGAGAATATCTTTATGATCATGGGTTAGGCAAAGAGATCTAATCCATGAAAGGAAAAAAAAATAAATTGGACTTTCTCAAAATATTTTAAAAAATGCTCTTTTTAACATTTTGTTTTTAATTAGCAAATAATAATTATATATATTTATGGGGTATGATTTGGTATTTTAATCTATATATACACTGTAGGAAGAGTCAGTCAAGCTAACTAACATATCCACCGTTATTTTTTTGTGGCAAGAACTTTAAAAATCTATTCTTTTGGCAATTTTGAAATACACATTATTATTAACTGTAGTCACCGTGTAGTGCAATAGATCACGAAAACGTATTCCTCCAGTCTACCTGAAACTTAACATCCTTTGATCAACATCTAACCTTTCCCCACCACTCTGCCCATTCCCCAGCATCTGGTAGCCATCCTTCTACTCACTGTTTTGCTCTTCTAAAGATCACAATAAGAGAATAAATTGACAATGTACAGACCGGGATAAAATATGTGCATATCACTTATCCAATGAAGAACTTATATATAAAACATATAAAGAATCCTCAAAATTCAACAATAAGGAAATAAACCAATTATTTTTAATGGACAAAAGTTTTGAACAGAAAATTCACCAAAGAAGATAAACTAAATGCAAGTAAGCATATGAAGATACTTTATTAGTCATTAGGAAGTGCAAATTAAAATCACAAGATACAACTATACACCTATTAGAATGGCTAATATAAACAGCCTGACAATATAAAGTGCAGGGGAAAATAAGGTGCAACTGGATTTCTCATATTTTATGGAAATGTAAAATGGTACAGCCACTCTGGAAAACAGTTTGGCAATTTCTTAAAATGTTAAATACATACCTACCATATGGCCAAACTCCTATGTATTTACTCTACAGAAACTAAAACTTATGTTCACATAAAAACCCGTACATAAATATTTATTGTAGCATAATTTATAATCTCCCAAAACCAGAAAAATCCAACGTCATTCACCTGATGAATGAAAAAGATTAATGGAAAAATAAATTCTGGTATATTTTTACAATGAAATATGACTCAGCAAAAAAGGGGCACATTATTGATTCACACACAATATGGATAAATCTCAAATGCATTATGCTAAGTGCAAAACACAACCTAAAAAGATTACATTCTATATTAATCCATTTATATGGCATTCTAAAGGCAAAGCTATAGAGACTGGTAACAAATTAGCAGTTTCTAAGGCTTAGGAAAGGGTCTCCAACCCCTGGGCCACAGACGGGTACCAGTCTGTGGCCTGTTAGGAACCAGGTGGTACAGAAGGAGATGAGCTGCAGGCGACTGACTGAAGCTTCATCTGTATCTGCAGCCACTCCCCATTGCTCACATTACTGCCTGAGCTCTGCCTCCTGTCCGATCAGTGGCAGCATTAGATTCTCATAGGAGTGTGAACCCTATTGTCAACTGCACATGTGAGGGATCTAGCTGTATGCTCCTTATGAGAATCTAATGCCTAATGATCTGAGGTGGAGCTGAGGCGGTGATTCTAGCACCAGGGAGTGGCTGTAAATGGAGATTAACATTAGCAGAGAGGTTTGACTGCACAGGTACCATAATAAATCACTTGCTTGCAGATTCATATCAAGACCCTATCGGTGAGTGGCAAGTGACAATTATGCTGTATCTGGTGGCAGGCTTAGTGGCAAGTGAGTTGATGTACTTTGATTGTACAGCTGCATCTGGTGACAGGCTCTAAGTCAGAATCTGACACTTATTTTAATCTATGTGTCGCCCGCCTATTATTTCACTTACTTCCATCTGCACCTCTTTCCTGGACTGAGCTCTAGTCTCAGTCACAGTTTTGGTAAGCCCTCAAGCTAACCCTAGCCAAAATGAGTAAAAAACAAATGTCGCTGGAGAGCTTCTTTGAAAAGGGGGAAAGGCCCAAGACAGCAGAAGACTCTAAGACTGCCAAGAAAAAGAAAGCTGCATTTACAAGAAAATACCAAGAGTCTTACTTGAATTATGGGTTCACTGCAACAGGTGACTGACAGTCTCCAAGCGTGCTTTGTATGTGGCAACTGGGTATCCCATGAAGCCATCAAACCTTCAAAACTGCTTCACCAGGCCAGGCGCAGTGGCTCACACCTGTAATCCCAGGACTTTGGGAGGCTGAGGCGGATGGATCACCTGAGGTCAGGAGTTCGAGACCAGCCTGGCCAACATGGAGAAACCCCGTCTCTACTAAAAATACAAAAATTAGCCGGGCGTGGTGGTGCATGCCTGTTGTCCTAGCTATTCGGGAGGCTGAGGCAGGAGAATTGCTTGAACCCGAGGGGTTGGGGGAGTGGAGGTTGCAGTGAGCTGAGATTGTGCACTCCAGCCTGGGTGATACAGTGAGACTCTGTCTCAAAAAAAAAAAAAAAAACACTGCTTCACCACATGGAGACCAAGCACCCTGAATTAAAAGACAAGCCTTTGGAGTTTTTCAAAAGAACAAAATAGCACAAAGAACAGAAGCAATTATTGAAGACCACCACTTCCTCAAATGTGTCTGCACTGAGAGCATCATTTTTAGTGGCTAACCACATTGACAAAGCTAAGGATCCCTTTACTGTTGTTGAAGAGTTGATCCTGCCTGCTGCTACGGACATTTGTCATGACCTTTTCGGAGAGGCTGCAGTTCAAAAGGTGGCACTTGTTCTTCTTTCGGCTAGCACCATAACTAGACGAATTGATAAAATAGCAGAGGATATTGAGGAACAATTGTTAGAGAGGATTAACGAGTCACCATGGTACATGATCCAGGTTTGTGTACCGATGTTAAGAACAAGGCAGCAATGCTTGTTTTTATGTAATATACTTTTCAGGAGGATGTGCACGAAGATATGTTATGTACACTTTTGTTCCCAACTAACAATACAGCTGCAGAACTATTCAAGTCTTTGAATGATTACATATCAGAAGAACTGAATTGGTCATTTTGTGTTGGTATATGCACAGACGGAACAGCTGCCATGACTGGATGGCTTTCTGGTTTCACTACTCAAGTCAAAGAGGTTGCTTCTGAATGTGAATCCACACACTGGTTCATCCATAAAGAAATGCTGGCTAGCCGAAAAATGTCACCCGAACTTAACAATGTTATGCAGGATATGATTAAAATTATCAACTACTTTAAAGTACATGCCTTTAACTTTTATCTGTTTGCGCAGCTCTGTGAGGAGATGGACGCACAGCACACGTCTTCTCTTGTACACAGAAGTGAAATGGCTTTCTAAAGGTTTCTAAACTCACTGGCTAGAGTTTCTGAGTTACAAGAGCTGCTCCAGAGATTTCTTTTAGGAAAACAGTCACCACTGGCAGCACATTTCAGTGACACAGAATGGGTCACAAAACTTGCTTACTTGTGTGACACAGTCAACCTGCTCAATGAACTCAATCTGTCATTTCAAAGGGGAATGACAACTATGTTCCAGTCCAGCAGATAAAGTGGGGGCATTCAAAGCCAGACTGGAATTATGGGGACAATGAGTGAACATTGGGATTTCTGACACGTTTCAAACATTAGTAGAGATTTTGAAAGACACTGACCAAGGCCTTCTTTTTTCCAGCTGGTGCATGATTACCTACCTCAGCTTTCAAAAGAGTTTGAGCATTACTTTCCAACCACAAAGACTCCCCAAATTGGGAAAGAACAGATACGCCACCCATTTGTGAATAAAGCAGGGTGAATTGACTTTGTCCATGCTAGAAGAGAATCAACTGCTTGAGATTGCAAATGACAGTGCCCTTAAAAGTACGTTTGAGACAACTTCAAATCTCCATACGTTCTGGATTAAAGTCAAGGCAGACTATCCCAAGACTGTCACAAAAGTACTGAAAAGCCAGCTTCCATTTCCAACTTCCTATCATTGTGAAGCAGGGTTTTCTGCAGTGACAGCAACTAAAACAAAATTACAGAGTAGATTGGACATAAGCAACATACTTTGGGTGATAATGTCTCCCATCACCCCTAGATGGAACCGATCAGTTGCAAGAAAAAAAAAAAAAAAACTCAGGCCTCCCACAGATTCCACATTGTGGTGACTTGTATAATTATTTCATTATATATTACAACGTAACAATAATAAAGTGGACAATAAATGTAACACACTTGAATTATCCTGAAACCATCCCAACCTTGGTCGGTGGAAAAACTATCTTCCATGAAACTGGTCCCTGGTGCCTAAAAGGTTGGGGATCACTGGGTTAGGAGGTGGAGGAGGGTTTGATTACAAGTGGGAAGCTCAAGGGACTTTTGGTTGCTGAGGGAATTTTCTGTATTCTAACCATGGTGGTTGTTAGAGAACTCTATGCATTTGTCGAATCTCACAGCAGTATACACATACACACTTCCCCACAGACCCTGGTTCCAGGGCCACCCCAATGCCAAATTAACCTCTATGGACCAAGGCTCCAGGCCTGAGCCCACATAAAAGACATACAAATTACCAACAGGTATATGAAAAGGTGCTCACCATCATTATTCATCAGATAAATGCAAATGAAAACCACAAAAAATGAAACATAAAAAGTATACGCACAAAAAATTTCTGTATGTAAATTTAAAAATGACAAAATTTAAAAATTAATCTTAAAAAGGAAATATTGTTAAATTTGTTAACTCTGTTAGTGGCATGATGATATTAAAAGCCAGAAGATCAGTTAGATGTGCTTGTAAAAATGGCAACAACAATTCCTCCCATTCCCCACACTCCTCTGTGCAATGTGACCTTGCCCCTTCTTCCATACAGAAGTAGAGTCTATTTCCTCCCCTCAGAATCTGGGCTGGCCATGTGACTTGCTGAGACCAATAGAATGCAGCAGGAAGTGGTGGTATGTGACTTCCAAGGCTAGTGCTTATGAAACTTTTTTTTCTCTCTTGGAACCCTGAGACCTTGCTGTGAAAAAAAGCCAGGTCTAGCATATCAGAGGGTTAGAGGCCATATGGAAAAAAATCAAGATGCTCCATCCTACAGCCATCAACAAATGTCAGACATTTGAGCGGAGACATTTTGGATCTTCCAGTCTAGTTTAGTTGACAGTCAACTGAAAATGCATGAGTAAGCCCAAATAACATCATGTGAATCAGAGATAAGCCACACAGCTGAGTCCAGACCGTATTGCCGAATCATGTACTCAGTATTGGGGTGGTTTACTTAGCGATCAATACGTGTAACAGAAATATGCTGAGGTATTCAAAGGGTGAAATGACACAATATCTAAAACTTAAAATACTCTAGAAAAGGAGAGAATGAGTGAAAAAAAAGGCAAGACAGGGGAAATTGTTAAGGCAGTTAGACTGAATTTTATCACATTATTTTATCTATTTTTGTGTAAGTTTTAAAAATTCCACAATAAAAAAGTTTTTAAAATATCATACTTTTGAAATGATTAAAATAACTTATTATTATTTGGAACTATCAAATTTTAGACAAATTTGGTCAGTAGGAAAAGTGTATTGGTTTCAAATGTGATAAGAGTACAGCTTTTCTTAAAGCACACCAACCCTGCCTATCAGGAAACATGAGAAGATCTGAGATAAATGAGTAGCTCTTTGTTATTTTATGCATCTCCATATTAAACCAAATAACAAATAAGAGAATAACTCAATTTCATTGGCACAAAACATGGTTTGATGGGAAAATTTATTTTCTGTGGGCAGGTAGTTGAGGAGGTTTATAGGTGATCACTATAGAGCTAAAGGGACTCCCAACAACCCATGAAAATGCAGAAACTGAGGCTCGAAGACGCTAAGTGAGTAGCCCCAGGACACACAGATTGTAAATGCTGGATCTAACACTTCTGGTATTTGATCTGCTACAAAGTTTATAGAATGGAAAACATTTTCTAACAAATAATATGCCAATGCTGAAAAAGAGCAAAAAACACAGAAAAAAAGCCAGAAGAAAAGTGAAAAGATATAAAGTATCCAGCTCAGACCTCAGCCATACTGATAAATAAAGCATCCTTTTATTCTGTCATTCAACAAATACTTTAAAGAGTACAATATTTGCTACATAATAAAGATTCAGAGAAGGGTGGGGAGGAAGAAAAAAACCACAGTTCGTGCCCCCTAAGATCTCACAGTTTAGGGCTGGACTTCTTAAACTAAAATGCTTTGATGGACATCAGGAAATCCTTGAACCCACTAAAATTTTTGGAAATTTTTATGGGGGCATGTTTTTTCTCAGAAGAGAATCTTAGTTTTCATTATATTTTCAAGGAATACAATGATATGAGATTCACAATAAATTAAGAACCATTGATTTGAAAACAACTCAGTAGCAGGTAGTGTCAGGAATCTTACATATAATTCTCCTACATAAATTTTTAAAAGATCAATTTTTCAAAATCAATTGCACAACAATTTGTTGGTTACTATTTTTAAAGCATAAGAAAACTGTGTAAATCCTTGCAAAGACAGAAGAAAAAATGATATATCAAAAAGCAAATTATATTCTTGTATTTAATAGAGCCAATTTAAGTAATTGAAGTCATTCAAATGATAAGATTGTATAAAATGATCTCAAATATCATTAAAAAAATTAAAGATGACTTATCTTTTTTTTTTTGGTTTTGAGTTGAGGTCCATTATGTTGCCTAGTCTGGTCTTGAATTCCTAGGCTCAAGTGATCCTCCCACGTTAGCCTCTCGAGTAGCTAGGAAAGATGATTTATCTTTCTGAGACAAAGATAAAAAAATTGTTACGGTGAACTGAATTACCTTAAGAAATGAGTGGGAAATCAACTTAGTATCTTCAAACATAGGGTACACTTATATTCCACTGTGTAACTATATACTTTTTCATCCAAACAAGAACATTTTTAAAAATTAATAATATTGTGCATAGTTAAGGTATATAACATGATGTTATGGGATAGATACAGATAGTAAAATGGTTACTGTGGTGAAGCAAGTTAACATATCCAACATTTCACATAGTTACCAATTTTTCTATGTGGCAAAAGCAGATAAAATCTAATCATTTAGCAGAAATCCTCAATGCAGTACCTTTGTATTAACTATAGTCCTTCATGTTGTTGTACATTAGATCTCTAGATTTGTTCATCCTACATATTTGATCCTCAATTTGCATCCTCTGACCTACATCCCCCCCTGCCTCTACCTTTGGTACCCACTGTTTTATTCTCTTTCTCTGTATATCTGCCTTTAAAAAAAAAAACAAAAGATTGACAACAAATGTTGGCAAGGGTGTGGCAAAAAGGAAACCCTTGTATATTGTTGGTGGAAATGTAGACTGGTGCAGCCATTATGGAAAACAGTATGGAGATTCCTAATGATATTAAAAACAAAACTATTTTAAGCCAGAAAACTGGTGGTAATGTGCTATGGTAACTATAGAAAACTGATACATTTGTGTTAATCTGCTATTAAACCTGACTACTGCTTTTCAAAAAAAAAAAAAAAAAAGAACTATCATATGACCCAGCAATTCCTCTTCTGGGTATATACCCAAAGGAAATTAAATCCCCACTTCAAAAAGATATCTGCACTTCTATGTTCACTGCAGCATTATTCACAATAGCGAAGATCTGGAAACGACCTATGTGTCCATTAACAAATGAACGGATAAAGAAACGGTGGCATACGCATGTATTGAATAGAATATTATTCAGCCTTAAAAATGGAGATTCTGCCATTTTCCACAACATAGATGAACTCGGAAAACATTAAGCAAACAAGAATATTATTGATATTAAAAAGGAATACAAAAAATAATTAACAGTCATAAACCAGGGTATATGGTCAAACCAACGTTACTGAATATATCAAAATATTAAACTTGAGTATTTTATTGTTGTTGTATGTTTTTTTCATTTCATTTGCTTTGTTTTGCTTTTTTCTTTTTGATTGAAGATCCCAGGCCTAGAGCCCTATAATCATATATCAACCAACTTTATGTATGGACAAATTTATGCAAATTTGTAAATGCAATTTTCATGAGACTGTGATTTTTTTTTCCTAAAGTCCTTACCTGCTAACTTAATTTTCTCATCAATAACAGAGCTCTTTAAAACAGAGCCATCATTTGAACCAGCAATCCCATTACTGGATATATAACCAAAACAACACAAATCATTGTACCAAAAAGACACACGCACTTGCATATTCATCACAGCACTACTCACAATAGCAAAGACATGGAATCAATCTAGATGCCCATCAACAGTGGACTGGATGAAGAGAATGTTGTACATATACACCATGGACTACCATGCAGCCATAAAAAATGAAATCATGTTCTTTGTGGCAACATGGATGGAGCTGGAGGCCATTACACCAAGTAAATTAATGCAGTGACAGAAAACCAAACATTGCATATCCTTACTCATAAGTGAGAGCTAAACATTGGGTACTCACGGACAATAAAGATGGCAACAATAGAAACTGGGGACTACTAGACAGGGGAGGGAGTGAGGGGGCAGGGGATGAAAAACTAGCTATTGGGTACTATGCTTAATACCTGGGTGATAGGATCATTTGTCCCCCAAACCTCAGCACCATACAATATACCCAGAAAATAAACCTGCACATGTACCCCCTGAATCTATAATAAAAGTTGAAGAAAAACAAAAGAACAGAATTCAGTCTATAAAATATAATTGCATGCAAGAACCAAGATTCTTATAGGATGCAATATACCAGATGAGCTAACTTTTCTCATAAACCTCACAAACCCTTCTATAGCAGAAACCCAAAGAAAATCATGCTGTGTTTTCAACTAATCCCACCTCTAAACTAGAAAATCTCAAGTCCCTAATATGATGCCTCCATGAAACAAATAAATCAATTAAAAATCATATTATTATGTTTAACTTTTCTTTAGTTCTTTTTGGCCGTGGTACCAATAGTTTTATCATAACCAGGGACTAATGACTTGATTCCAAGTAGACTCTATCTGTTGTCTTCTACGTCTAATGAGTTCTTAGAGTTTCCTTACAGCCTAAACTACTGGCATGAAGTGTCTGTCTACTAACAAAATCCACTGAAAAAAATATTTTTGTTGACATACCATAGTTTGTCCCTTGTTAATTCATTAACAATTCATTTTTTTAAATTTTACGATTGACAATTAATCAGTCTTAATAAAGGCAAAAATCTATTAGAGCTGTAGAGTTCTGGGTTGAGCTATGCATTCTGACTAGTACTGCCTTCTACACATACTTTTGGTATTACTGTTTTTTTAGAAAATAGTCAATTTCATAAATGCCTGATAAATTTAAGAACAAAATGTTACCACTTGGGAGGTGTGAGGAGAGATGGAGAACAAGAAAAAAACTCTAAATCAGAATCAGTGGTTGGAAATATGTCAGTGTAAACTCAACCAGAAATAATGTTTTGCATACTAAAAAAACAACCTGAAGTACACTGATGCTCGCAAAAATAAATGCACACCCTATAATGATTACTTTGGCATTCAACTGATTCTCTCTCTCTCTCTCTCACACACACACGTGCACACACACACACATATCCATTTATAGATCAATGCTCCAAAGCGACCTAAAGATTTTTTGCTTTGCTTTAGGACCAAAATGAGTTTTTTCTGATAGTATTTCTCTAAATTGACTCAGGAAGAGCCTTTCTGAAATTATTTATAATGGGAATTCTAAAAAAACATATTATTTGCTGAGTTCATGATGTAATTAATAATAATTTCCAAAGCAGGTTTAAAGTAATAAAAAGCGGATGGGACTGGTACCATAAAACTTGTCACACAAATGCAAAGAGTACATAAACCGCTCCCCCCCGCCCACCACCGCATAATTTTCACATAAAATCTTGCCACCAGATAAAATATAGCTTTTGGGCTAAAAAGGAGAGAGCAAGTGACTTCTATCTCTAGCAATATCCATAAATAATTTACTGCTAGCCTATAAACAATAGAGCAGCACAGTATGAATGCCAAAGAGGGTCTTTATATGTCATCAAGCTACTCAAAAGTGTACTTGCTGCAGCAAGTCTGACTGTGAGCTTTGATGTGCTGGAAAAGAAACTGCTAAACTGAGGTCATCAGTTAGTAGAAAACAATTTCCCTCGTACAGAGAAGCAGACTTACTGCTGTGCATCTGACACAGAGACTGGAATTTTAAAACAGGGTTGCATAATGTGAGTTAGCTGGGAAAATGAATCATGGGTTCTCTTTCTGAATGACTAGAACTAAAGCCAAAGGTGTGGCACCTCCTCTACAGCAAGGTTTCTTAATTCGGCACTATTGCTATTTTGAGCCCCAAGAACTCTCTGTGGTAGGGAGCTGTCCTGTGTATTGTAAGATGTTTAGTGACCTCTACCCACTAGATGCCAGTAATGTCCTCACCCCTACACATCAGTTGTGTCAACCAAAAATGTCTCCAGATACTGTCAAATGTCCCTTAGGGAAGTAAAATTGCCCCTTGTTAAGAATTACTGGTCAAATGGAAGGCAGAACTTTACAGAAACATTGCAAGTTTACATGAAGCCTTTACTTAAATTTCTAAGTTGATTCTGGTAAGATTTACTTCCTTTCCTAAATCAAAAAATGCACTGAAAGAAACGCCATTTGTTAACTGTGACACCCTTCCCCCAAAACCATCAACAATCAAAGTTAGTGAAATAAGTCTGTATCCTATTTCAGATCATATAAAGAGTTGAAAAATAAGGCATAAATGTAAAATGATCAAAAAGAATTACAGAGAAGTGTCTAACTGCTGGTCATTTTTTTCCTTTAGTTTCTTAACAAATACAATACAAAAAGTAGTATTTTCTGGGATGCAAAGGGAAAGAAACCTAATAAACACCAACTCTTTATTAATATTGAATGCATGAAACTATTCAAATAACAAAGCCCTGCTTGCAAGAATGCATATTCATAATCATAAACAATGCATAAAGGAGGTGGATTCAGGAGAAACAAAAATAAAAATTGTGATTAACAAGTATCAGAAGCAAACAAAAAGGCACAAAAATATAATTGAATGCAAATGTCTTTACTATGTCAGTTTTCCCAAAATGTATGTGTAACTCCCCACTATTTTAAAATGCTGGTCTGTGGATACTTATCCATTCTGTGGCTTGCAATGCTTGATATCAAAAATCCTGCCAGAATATCTTTGAATTTGACTTGATTTCTAAAACTTTACTTAAGTCTGCTTCAACCTTCTACTTACCCAAGGCCAGAACCTCCAAGTTAAGTGAATGACAGAACTAATGTAGCTAAGAAGATATTACCTTGCATTGCTTCATAAAGCTTTCAATCTAATAAGTCTTCAATGTCTGTATATAAATTTATTGACTTCCATTGAGATTAACAGCAGGTTGATCATATTGACTGAATTCAAATGAGTCCACTGGACCACATTAGTCAATAAATGTTGATCCAAATTATAAATAGCAGCCAGGGTTGAGTGTAATGAAGCTTATAATAATCTATACAATATGTCTTTTGTTAAGGAACATTGCCACTAAGAATGAAAACCAAGCTTAAGGTAACAGCATATTAATGTTGACATCCAACCCCAAATAAAACAGTTGAACGCATGTTCAGGTACAACCAGGAATATGCTGATGTAGCATTCTGAAGCAATGTCATTAACATGTCTTAGAATGTTTTCCATTCTCAAAGTTATAAAATTGTGGGAACTTCCAGTTCCAAAACGGCAATATAGAAGCAAGCTGACTTCCTCCCTTTCAACAAAATATAACCATAAACAAATATACAGTGCTGAGGTTATTACCAGAAATATCCCAGAACTCAAATGTGAAGATGAGACAGTTCCAGGGGCCACAAAGAAGTTAAAAAAAACTCCAAGCAGACAATAAGATACTCAGACTCCCACATCTGTGACACCCCTTCCGCTCTTCTACCTAGCACCAAGCATTCAGAAAATTTTCCCTTAACTCAATGTTTATATACTGGGAAAAGTGAAATCAAGGTAGGCAAACAGCTTCCTCAGCGTCTTGGGTTCCCTGACAGTAGATCTGGCCCTGTCTTAACCCACAGGAAGCATCATGAATGCCTGAAGGGAGAAATACCCCTTAGGATTGGCAAAGACCAAGGGAAGGGTGGGAATACTATCCCCACCCCTGGAAACTCCTTTCTATAACTCTGTCAAAAAAGATGTTAAATCAGAGTGGCTCTTCAGCAGCACCACGCTGTGTAAGGTTTGTCCCATAGGACCCCTGGGCATGAACCCATAGCCAGCCTTCCCACACTGACAGGATATTCCCATTTGGACCTCCCCGCCATTTGGGAAGGGAAATACTCCAATTGTTTACTAGAGTTGAGGCAAACCTGGACTTAAGGTGCCACCTAGAGCTGAAAAGGAATCAGTAACCTAGCAGTAAAGAACCTCTAAACAAATATATCCAATAAAAAAAAAACAAAAACAAGCCAGAAAGAGACGACTGGAATAACTAATACTCTAAGGCAAATACATAGATGTACATCCACAAGAAACAAGAGTAAAGAGGGAACCATGATCTTCCCAAACAGATAAAGCAAGGAACAAGTAACAGACCCTAACAAGATGGTGATATGGGAACTCTCTGACCAAGAATTCAAAATAGTAGTTCTTTAAAAACTCAAATCAGAGAAATTTAACAAAGAGATCGAAATGATTTTTTAAAAACCAAACAGAAATCTTGGAACTGAGAAATATATTTGCTGAACTGAAAAATTTATTAGAGGCTCTCAATCAACAGCAAAGTGGATCAAGCATAGGAAACAATCAGAGAGCATGAAGACAGACTACTTGAAAATACATAGAGGAGAAAAAATAAAAATGAAATGAAAATCACCTACAATACACAGAAAATTACCTCAAAAAAACAAATCTAAGAATTATTGATGTTTAAGAGGGAGTTGAGCAAGAACAAGGGGGTAGAAAGCTTATTCAAATAAATAATAAAAGAAAACTTTCCAAAGCTTGAGAAAGATATAAGTATCCAGGTACAGGAAGGTCAGACAATACCAAAGATATTAGGCCCAAGTAAGACTAACCCAAGGCATATAATATTCAAACTTTAAGGTCAAGGAAAAAGAATTCTAAAATCAGCAAGAGAAAAGAAGCAAATAAAATATGAAGGATCTCCAATTCATCTGGCAATAGACATCTCAACAGAAACCGTACAGGCCAGGAGGGAATGGAACAGCATTCTCAGAGGGCTGAAAGAAAAGAAAACACTGTCATATAAGAATTCTTTATCAAGTAAAGTTATCTTTCAAATATGAAGGAGAAATAAAGTCTTTCTCAGACAAACAAAAGCTGAGAAAATTCATGACAAGATCTATCTTACTAGAAATGCTAAAGGAAGTTCTTTGATCTGAAACACACACACACATGCACACACGCACGCATGCAAATTTGGAAAAATACCCTTTGAAGGTATAAAACCCACTGGTAAAATTAAGTACATGGACAAACTGAGAATACTCTAATACTATAATTATGGTGTGCAATCCACTCATAACTCTACTATGAAGGCCAAAATATAAGTCTGTCAAAAATAAAAAAAAAAAAAGCAACATCAACCTGTTAAGAGACAGGTAATATAAATACATGTAAATAGAGACAACTAAAATTTAAAATGTGGGGTGGATGGAGTTAATGTGTAGAAGCCTTTTTCTTTGTTTCTATTATTTCCTTTGTGATCTAAGATAAATTCTTATCTCATTAAAATAACTTGTTACATCTATGTTTTTTGTAAGCCTCATGGTAACCACAATGAAAAAAATCTAAAATAGATTCAATAAAAATAAAAAGCAACAAATTAAAATATACTACCAGAGAAAATCACTTAACCCACCAAGGAAGAAAGAAGACAAGAGAAAGAAAGAGAGAGAGAGAAGGAGGGAGAGAGAGAAGGAAGGAAGGGAGGGAGTGAGGGAGGTTACAAAACAACAAGATAAAAAAAAATGACAGTAATAAGACATTCCCTATTAGTAATAACACTGCATATAAATTGAGTTGAGTCTCCAATTAAAAGGCATAGAGTGGTTGAATGGATAGAGAAGCAATACCTAACTATATCCAACTACATGCTGCCTATCAGAAACCCTCTTCACCTATGAAGATACACTAGGCTGAAAGTGAAGGGGTAGAAAATGATATTCCGCCAGACATGGAGGGAAGGAGCTACGAGTAGCCGCCGAGAGGCCGCGGAGCCAGCGACGACGGAGCCAGCGACCACCGACCCAGCTGAGCCGCCGCCCCCGCCGCGCCCCCATGGCGGCCACCAAGGACACTCATGAGGACCATGATACTTCCACTGAGAATACAGACGAGTTGAACCATGACCCTCAGTTTGAGCCAATAGTTTCTCTTCCTGAGCAAGAAATTAAAACGCTGGAAGAAGATGAAGAGGAACTTTTTAAAATGCGGGCAAAATGGTTGCGATTTGCCTCCGAGAACGATCTCCCAGAATGGAAGGAGCGAGGCACTGGTGACGTCAAGCTCCTGAAGCACAAGGAGAAAGGGGCCATCCGCCTCCTCATGCAGAGGGACAAAACCCTGAAGATCTGTGCCAACCACTACACCACGCCGATGATGGAGCTGAAGCCCAACGCAGGTAGCGACCGTGCCTGGGTCTGGAACACCCACGCTGACTTCGCCGACGAGTGCCCCAAGCCAGAGCTGCTGGCCATCCGCTTCCTGAATGCTGAGAATGCACAGAAATTCAAAACAAAGTTTGAAGAATGCAGGAAAGAGATCGAAGAGAGAGAAAAGAAAGCAGGATCAGGCAAAAACGATCATGCCGAAAAAGTGGCGGAAAAGCTAGAAGCTCTCTCGGTGAAGGAAGACACCAAGGAGGATGCTGAGGAGAAGCAATAAATCGTCTTATTTTATTTTCTTTTCCTCTCTTTCCTTTCCTTTTTTTAAAAAAATTTTACCCTGCCCCTCTTTTTCGGTTTTTATTCTTTCATTTTTACAAGGGACGTTATATAAATAACTGAATTCAAAAAAAAAAAAAAAGAAAATGATATTCCATGTAACTGGAAATCAAAAAAGAGCAGAAGTCGCTAAACTTACATCATATAAAATAGTGAACAAATCAAAGACTGTAAAAAGAGACAAAGAAGGTCACTGTATAATGATAAATGGGTCAATTCAGGAAGAGGATATAATAATTATACCAATGCACCCAACACTGGAAGTCCCAAGTATATAAAACAAAAATTTATAGACCTAAAGAGAGAGATGGACTGTAATTCAGGAGACTTTAACACACCATTCTCAGTACTGAACAGATCATTTAGACAAAAAATACAATCAAGAAACAAACAGCAGAGTTAAGCTATACACTAGACCTACTAGGCATAACTGACATTTACAGAACATTTTATCCAACTGCTGCAGAATATACAATCTTTTCTTCTCTTTTTTTTTGAGACAGGCTCTCACTCTGTCACCCAGGCTGGAGTGTAATGGTGTTATTTCAGCTCACCGTAACCTCCACCTCCCAGGCTCAAGCAATTCTCCCACCTCAGCCTCCTGAGTAGCTGGGGCTACAGGTGCTCAATACCATGCCAAGCTAATTTTTGTATATTTTGTAGAGATGAGGTTTTACCATGTTGCCCAGGCTGGTTTCCAACTCCTGAGCTCAAGCGACCTGCCCCCCTAGGCCTCCCAAAGTGCTGAAATTATAGGCATGAGCCACTGCACACAGCCCACAATCTTCATCAGCACATGCAACATTCTCAGGAATAGACCAAATCTTAGGCCAAAAACAGTACGAGCAAATTCAAAATAGTAGAAATAATATCAAGTATCTTTTTTGACCACAATGAAATAACACTAGAAATCAGTAACAAGAGAAACCTCAGACCTTTACAAACACATGGAAATTAAAAAAAAAAAAAAGACCCTAAATGACTGATGGGTCATTGAAGATATTAATAAGGAAATCTAAACATTTATTGAAACAAAATAACATTGAAATGCAATAAACAAAAATCTATGAGATACAGCAAAAGCAGTACTAAGAGGGAAGTTTATAGAAATAAATGCTTATATTTAAAAAGTAGGCAAACTTCAAATAAATAACCTAATGATGCACCTCAAGGAATTATAAAAGCAAAAGCAAACCAAACCCAAAATTGGTAGAAGGAAAACATAAAAATAGTAGCAGAAATAAATGAAATTGATACTAAAAAAGCAAGACAGAAAATCAATAAAATGAAAAGTTGGTTTTTTGAAAAGATAAATAAAATCAACAAATCTTTAGCTAGAATAAGAAACAGAATACCCAAAGAAATCAAATCAGAAAAAAAAGGGAGACATAACAACTGAGACCACAGAAATATGAAGAATCATTACAGACTATTATGAATAACTATACTCCAAGTCAGAAAACCAAAAAGAAATGCATAAACTCCTGGAAGCATACAGCCTGTCAAGAGTGAACCATTAAGAAACAGAAAACCTCAATAAACAAATAACTAGTAACAAGGTCACAGGTATAATAAAAGCTTCCCATTTAAAAAAGCCCAGGAATTTATGGCTTCATTACTGAATTTTATCAAACATTTAAAGAAGAGCTAATATCAATTCTACTCAAACTCTTCAAAAAATTGAGGAGGAGGAAATATTTCCAGACCTATTTCTCAAGGCCAGCATTATTCTGATACCAAAAGCAGACAAGAATACAACAATGACAAAAATACAGGCTAATATCACTGATGAATATAGATGCAACATTTTTTAACAAAATGCTTGAAAACTAAATTCAACAACACATTAAAAAGATCATTCATCATAATTAAGTAGGACTAATCCCAGGGATGCCAGGATGGTTCAACATATGCTAATAAAAACATGTGATTTATCACATTAACAGAACCAAGAACAAAAACCACCTGATTATATCAATAGGTGGCAAAAATTCAATAAAATTTTACATCCCTCTATGATTAAAATCCCAACAAACTGGACATAGAAAGAATATACTTCAACATAATGAAGGCCATATATAACAAACCGATAGCTAAAACATCATACTAAATGGGAACAAATTTAAGGTCTTCCCTCTAAGATCTGGAATAAGACAAGAATGCCTGTTTTCACCACTTTTATTCAATTAGTACTGGAGTTCCTGGCCAGAGCAATTAGGCAAGAAAAGGAAACAAAGGACATTCAAATTGGAAAGGAAGAAGTCAAATTAGCCTTTTTTGCAGATAATGTGATCTTACATTAAAAAAACCTAATGATGTCACCCGAAAACTGTTAGAACTGATAAAAGAACTTAGTAAGGTTGCAGAATACAAAATTAACATACAAAAATCAGTAGCTCTTCTATAAGCCAACAGTGAATAATCTAAAAAACAAATCAAGAAAGCAATCTCATTAACAATAGCCATGATGAATATAAAATATCTCAAAATCAATTTAACCAAGGAAGTGAAAGATTTACATAAGGAAAACTATAAAACACTGATGAAAAAAATAGAAGAGGACACCCCAAAAAATTGAAAGATATTCCATGCTCATGGACTGTAAGAATTAATGTTGTTAAAAATGACAATACTACCTGAATAAATGTATAGATTCAGTGCAATCCCTATCAAATTACCAATGACAAGCATCACAGTAATAGGAAAAAAATCCTAAAATTTATATGGGACCACAGAAGATCCTGAACAACCAAAGCAATCCTAAACAAAAAGAACAGAGCTGGAGGCATCACAGTACATGACTTCACAATTACTACAAAGATATAATAACTGTATAATCATGGTACTGGCATAAAACACACATAGACAAATGGAACAAAATAGGGAACTCAGAAACAAATTCATATATTTACTGTGATCAGCTAAGTGATCTTCAACAAAGATGCCAAGAACATGCAATGGTGAAAGGCCAGTCTCTTCAATAAATGGTGTGAGAAGGACAGGATAATTATATGCAGAGGAATGAAACCAGATCCCTATCTCTCACCATATACAAAATAAAATCAAAATAGATTAAATTACTTAAATCTAAGGTCTGAAACCATGAACCTGCTAGAAGAGAACATTGGAAAAATGCTCTAGGACATTGGTCTGGGCAAAGATTTTTAAAGAAAGACCTCAGAAGCACTGGCAACCAAAGCAGAAATAGACAAATGTGATTACATCAAGCTAAAGCTTTTGCACAGCAAAGGAAACAATCAACAAAGTGAAGAGACAACCCACAGAATGGAAGAAAGTATTTGCAAACTATCCACCTGACAAGAAATTAATAACCAGAATATATAAGGAGCTCAAACAACCCTATAGGAAAAAGTCTAATAATCCTATTAAAGAATGAGTAGATTATCTGAACAGACATTTCTCAAAAGAAGACACAGAAATAGCCAAGAGGTTTATGGAAAAATGCTCAACACCACTAATCATCAAAAAATGTAAATAATACAATGAGATATCATCTCACCCCAGTTAAAATGGCTTTTACGAAAAAAATGGGCAATAATGGATGCTGGCAAGGATGCAGAGAAAGGGGAACCCTGGTACACTGTTGGTGGGAATGTAAATTAGGGAAGCCACTATGGAGAACGTTATGGAGATGCCTCAAAAAAACTGTAATAGAACTACCATACGATCCAGCAATTCTACTACTGGGTATATATCCAAAAGAAAGGACATCAGTGTGATACATGCACTCATGTTTATTGCACCACTATTCATAATAGCCAAAATACAGTATAAATCTAAGTTCCCAGCAGCAGATGAACAGGTAAAGAATGTGTGGCATATATACGCAATGGAATATTATTCAGCCATAAAAAATGAAATCATGTCATTTGCAGCAACATAGATGGAACTAGAGGTCATTATATTAAGTGAAATAAGACAAGCAAAGGAAAACAAATATCACATGTTGTCAGTGATGCATGGGAACTAAAAAATGTTGATCTCGTGGAGGTAGAAAGTAAGTTGGTGGTTACCAGAGTTTGAGAAGGGTAGTGGGGTTGGAAGGATGCAGACAAGTTGATTAATGGGTACAATTATAAGGTTTGATAGAACAAGACCTTGTGTTAAATAAGTAAGTAGGGTGACTATAGTTTACAATAATTTTGTATAATTCAAAACAGCTAGGAGAAGAATTTGAATGAATCAAACATAAAGAAAGAAAAATATTTAAGGTGACATATATCCCAAGCACACTGATTTAATCTTTAAAAATTATATGAACGTATTATCACACATACCCAAAAACTGTGTAGCTCTATTATGCATCAATTACAAAATGAAATTGTGTGAGTATGATGGACATCAATATCCCATCAATTTGGTGACCACTGACAACAGTGAGGTCAGTTAATTTTCAAATTGAAGAAACATAGAAAATAATTCATAGAAATATAAATATTTGAATATTTAAATTACACAGTGAATGAGAAAGATAATGAACGAATAATGATGACATGAATGACAACAATGACTAATAATTATTATTACCCACATATTATGAGTTGACTCATTTAATTTTCGCAACTGTAGGAGGTAGCCATATTTTACATGTGGCTAAATTATTGGTGGAGGTGGGTTTTGAACCCACGCAATCTGTCTTCAGAATCTGCAGTCTTAATATATTACACTGTCATTTACAATAAACATTAAATATCTGATGATTTGGGAGGAGAATGTTTCAGTTAGAGGGACCAGGCAATGCAATGTCTAAGGTAGAGAATAAACTTGGCATATTTAAAAAATAAACATTAGGCCACGGTTGCATGAGGGCAGGGAGTAAGAGAAAGAATGAGATTAGAAGGAACAGGTATTTTAACCTTTTCTATCATTGTTGAGAATGAATTCATATCCTTAGTAGTCTGCATTCTTCCTTTATTCCTGCTTTCAACTTGTTTTTTTAAACACTTAGAATTTTATTTCCAGATTTTAAACATGTCCCCTTTGTTTATTTGAAATTGTTTTTGAACAATTAGGAGGGCAAATATAAATAGCTTGTTTGAATCCCATCCCCATTTTCCTAGGGAAAAAAAAAAAAAAACAAAAAAATCTGGCCAAATCTCCTTGTACTTTGATGGTATATGCTAACAGAGTGTGGAATGCTTTTGGCAGGATACACCTGGTCTGTGTTGGTTACTTAGGGTAAACAAATCTGTAATTTATGTAATTTTCCCATGGCCTACAGGAAAACATAACAAGGAGATAAGTTGCTATCAGAGAATAAAATCAAGATTCTTTGTGACCGAAATAGGCTTCTTGTGTAAGTATTTTTGAATAGGTGTTTTAATAGATGTTGAAAAGGTTTAGTCTTCAAAACATAAATTGTCAAATTAACGGTTATTGTTTACAAAATTTTACTGTATCACCAAAAACTCACTAAAGCCTTACAAAAGTAGAAACTATGCAGGACTCATTCTCTAAGAGCAAGTAGTAAAACAAGAAATTCACAAAACAAAAGATAAAGAGGTCTATACATGTTGACATTTTTTAATTTAATTGATACATAATATTTTATATATTTACAGAGTAGATGTGATATTTTGTTACATGCATAGAATGTGTAATAATCAAGTCAGAGTATTTGGGGTATCCATCTCCTTGAGTATTTATTATAACTAAGCATTGAAAACATTTCATGTACTCTCTTCTATCTACTTTGAAATATATAATTCATTCATGCTAACTATAGGCACCCTACTCTGCTCTTGAACATTAAAACTTATACTTTCTATATAACCATGTTTGTACCTTGACCAACCTCTTTTCATCCCCTTCCTACCCACACACCCTTCCCAACCTCTAGTACCTACTATTGTACTCTCTACCTCTATAAGATCAACTTTTTAAGCTCCCACACATGAGGGAATAAGAACTTACTCACTAACATGAGTAAGAACAGGTGATATTTGTCGTTCTGTGCCTGGCTTATTTCATTCAACATGATAACCTCGAGTTTTATCCATGTTGTTGCAAATGACATGATTTTATTTTTTTCTATGGCCAAATAGTATTCCATTGTGTATATATACCACATTTTCTTTATTCATTTGTCCATTAATGGACACTTAGGCTGATTCTATATATTTGTTATTGTGCAGAGTGCTGCAATAAACACGTAAGTGCAGACATATCTTTGATATATTGATTTCTTTTCCTTCAGATAAATAGCCAGTAGTGGGAATGCTGGGCCAAATGGTAATTCTACATTTAGTTTTTTGAGAAATCTCCATTATGTTTTCCATAGTGGCTTACTAATTTACATTTCCACCAACAGAGTCTAAGAGTTCCCTTTTCTCCACATCCTCGCTAGAATCTGTCACTATTGTCTTTTTAATAATAGCCATTGTAACTGGTGCAAGATGATATCTAATTGTGGTTTTGATTTGCATTTCCCTGATAATCAGTGATGTTGGGCATTTTTTCATGTATCTGTTGGCCATTTGTATCTCTTCTGAGAATTATGTATTCATATCCTCTTCTCACTTTGTAATGGTAGTATTTGTTTTCTTACTATTGAGTTGTTTCAATTCATTGTATATTCTAGATTTTATTCCCTTGTCAGATGAGTGGTTTCAAATATTGTCTCCCATCCAACAGGTTGTGTCTTCACTTGGTTGATTTCTACCCTCTCTGTGCAGAGATTTTTCATTTAATATAGTCCCATTTGTCTAATTTTTTATTGTCTGTGCTTTTGAAGTCTTAGCCATAAAATTTTGACCAATTTCCTAAAGTATTGTCCAAAAGTTTTTTCTAGTAGTTTTATAGCTTCAGGTCATATATTTAAGATTTAATCCATCTTGAGTTGATTTTTGTAAATGGTGAGAGATAAAGCGTCCAGTTTCATTCTTTTGCATATGGATATTCAATTTTCCCAGCATCATTTATTGAAGAGACTATTATTTCCCCAATGTATGTTCTTCATGCCTTTGTGGAAGATCAGTTGGTTGTAAATACATGAATTTACTTTGGAATTCTCTATTCTGTTCCATTGGTTTATTTGTCTGTTTTTATACCAATATCATGCTCTTTTGGTTAATATTACCTTGTAATATGTTTTGAAGTCAGGTAGTGTAATAGCTCCAGCTTCATTGTTTCTGCTCAGAATTGCTTTGGCTGTTGAGGGTCTTTTATGGTTCCATACAAATGTTAGGAATTTTTTTTGTATTTCTGTGAAAAATGATATTAGTACTTTTATAGGGATTGCATTGAGTCTGTAGGTTGCTCTGAGCAGGATGGCCATGTTAAGTATATTAATTCGTCCAGTCATTATTATGGAATATCTTTTCATTTTTGTGTCCTCTTCAATTTATTTTGTAAGTGTTTTACAGTTTTCCTTGTAGAGATCTTTCATCTCTTTGGTTAAATTTAATCCTAGGTATTTTATTTTTTGTAACTATTGTAAATGGGATGGCCTTATTGATTTCTGTCACAGTTAGTTCATTATTGGTATATGGAATCCCTACTGATTTTTATAGTTAATTTTGTAATCTGCAATGTTACTGAATTTTTGTATGAGATCTAAGAGTTTTTTAGTGGAGTCTTTAGGTTTTTCTGGGTATAAGATGATATCATTAGCAAACAGGAACAATTGTCTTCTTGTCCAATTTGGAGGCTTTTCTTTCTTTTGCGTGATTGCTTTGGCTAGGACTTGCAGTGTTATGTTGAAGAGTGGTAAAAGTGGGCATCTTTGCCTGGTTCTAGTTCTTAGGAGAAAAGTTTTCAGCTTTTCCCCATTCACTGTGATGTGAGCTGTGGGTTTGTCATAAATGGCCTTTATTATGTTGAGGTATGTTTCTTCGAGGCCTAGTTCATTGAGAGTTTTTATCATAAAGTGATGTTGAATTTTATAAAATAGTTTTTTTGCATCTATTGAGATGATCATTTGTTATTTGTCTTTCATTCTGGTTTTGTATGTTTTTGTTTTTTCAATACAGGTCCTCACTCCTGTCACTGAGGCTGGAGTGCAGTGGCACAATCACGGAATCACAGGTCACTGCAGTCTCAACTTCCTGGGCTCAAGCAATCCTCCCACAGCAGCTCTCCTGAGTAGCTGGGACCACAAGCTCCTGCTACCACGCCCAGAGTTTGTTGTTGTTGTTGTTGTTGTTGTTTTGTTTTGTTTTTTAGTAAAGATGGGGTTTTGTCAAGTCGCCCAGGCTGGTCAAATTCCTGGGATCAAGCGATCCACCTTCCTCGGCCAAAGTGCTAGGATTACAGGTGTGAGCTACTGCACCTGGTCTGTCCTTCATTCTGTTGATATGATGTATCCCCATTTATTGATTTGCGTACATCAACCATCCTTTTATTTCTGGGATAAATCTCACTTGAATATGGTGTATTCCTTTGTTAATACGCTGTTGGATTCAGTTTTCTAGAATTTTGCTGAGAATGTTTACATTCATGTTTATTAGGGATACTGCCCTGTAGTTTTGTTGTTATTGTTGTTGTTGCATCTTTGTCTGGTTTTGGCACGTTTCATGCTGGCCTCATAGAATGAGTTAGGAAAAATTTCCCTCTCTTCAATCTTTTGGAATGGTTTGAAGATAATTTGTGTTACTTCTTTGAAAGTTTGTTAGAATTCGGTTTGGATTCCATCTGGTCCTGGGCTTTTCTTTGTTGGGAGACATTTTATTACCGACTCAATCTCAATATTCATTATTGGTCTGTTCAAGTATTTTATTTCTTTCTTAATCTTGGTAGGTTGTATGTTTCCAGGAATTTACCCCTTTTTTCTAGGTTTTCTAACTGGTTGGTGTACAGTTCATAGTAGTCTCTGATAATCTTTTGTATTTCTATGGTATTAGTTGTAACGTCTCCCTTTTCATTTCTGATTTTGTTAATTTGTGTCATTTGTCTTTTTTTCCTTCGTTAGTCTAGCTAGTGGTTTATTGATTTTTTTTATCTTTTCAAAAAACCAGGTTTTTGTTTCATTGATCCCTTGCACCTGTTTTCTGTTTTGTTTTGCTTAGTCTCTACTTTGTTTAGTTCTGCTGTGATCTCTAATATTTCTTTTCCGCTACTAATTTTGGCTTTGGTTTGTTTTTGCTTTTCTCATTCCTTGATGTGCATTATTAGATTGTTCAAAACCTTTCCACTTTTTTGATGTAGGCATTTATTTCTATAAACTTCCTTCTTAGTACTGCTTTTGCTGTATCAAATATGTTTTGGTATACTGTGTTTTAATTTTTATTGGTTTCAAGAATTTTTTTATTTCTGCCTTAGTTTCTTCCTTGACCCAATCATCATTCAAAGATATGTTATTTAATTTCCATGTATTTGTACAGTTTCCAAAGGTTATTAATTTCTAGTTTTATCCATTGTAGTTTGAGAAGATACTCGATATGCTTTTGATTTTTTAAAAAAAGTATTGAGACTTTTTTTGTGTTCTAACATATTGTCCACTCTGGGGACTGTTCCATGTGCTAATGAGAAGAATGTATATTCTGCAGCTGTTAGATAAATGTTCTATAAATGTCTTTTAGGTCCATTTGTCAAATGTGCAGTTTAAATCTTACATTTCTCTGTAAATTTTCTATTTAGATGATCTGCCTAATGCTGAGAGTGGAGTGTTGAAGTCTTAAACTATTCTTATATTGAAGTCTTTCTCTCTCTTTAGATCTAATAATATCTGCTTTATATATCTGCATGCTACAGTTTTGGGTGCATATATGTTTAGAACTGTTATATCCTCTTGCTGAATTCATCACTTTATCATTACATAAAAACCTTGTTTCTTTTTACTGTTTTTCACTTAAAGCCGGTTTTATCTGATACATATACAGCTACTCCTGCTCACTTTTGATTTCCATTTGCACAGAGTATCTTTTTCCACTCCTTTACTTTCAGTCTGTATGTGTCTACTGTTAAGGTGAGTTTCTTATAAGCAGCGTATTGTTGGGTCATGTTATTATTTTGATGCATTCAGCCATTCTATATCTCTTAGGTGGAGAATTTAATCAATTTATTTTCAAAGTTATTACTGACATGTGAAGGCTTATTCCTGTCATTTCATTAACTGATTTGTTTTTTGTGTATTTTTGGTCGTTATTTCTCTCTTATTGTTTATCATTGTGGTTTGGTGGTATCCTGTAGTGGTAACATTTGAGTTTTTTCTCTTCCTTATGTTTTTGCTCTACCACTAGCTTTTATGCTTTGTGTATTTTCATGATGGTATCATAGCTATCATTTTTTTCACTTCCAGGTGTAGGACTCCCATAAGCATTTTTTATAGGGCCAATCTAGTGGTGATGAATTCCCTGAACTTTTACTTATATGGGAAATACTTCATTTCTCCTTCATTTATTAATAACTTTGCTATGTATAGTATCCTTGTCTGGAAGGTTTTTTTTCTTTCAGCCATTTGAATATATCATCCCATTCTCCTCTGCCCTGTAAGTTTTCTACTGACTAACATGCTGTTAGTCTGATGGTGATTCCTTCGCAAGTGACTAGATGCTTTTCTCTTACTGTGTTTAGAATTTTCACTTTCTCTTGACTTTTGACAGTTGGGCTATAATGGGCCCTTTTAATGTACCTTTTAAAGTTGTATCTACTTAGGGATCTTTGAGCCTTCTGTATCTGGATGTCTAAGTCTCTTGCTAGACTTGGAAATTTTTCATCTATTATTTTTAAAATAGGTTTTCCTGACCTTTCATTTTCTCTTTGCCTTCTGGGACACCAAATATTTAATATTTGCTCACTTTATGGTGTCTCATAAGTCACATAGGCTTTGTTCATTTTTTTATTCTTTTTTATTTTTTGTGTCTGGGTTATTACAGAAGACCTGTCTTCAAGTTCTTAAATTCTTTCTTCTGCTTGAAGTCTGCTTCTAGTCTATTGTTGAACTTTTTGAGTATATTTTGTATTTTATTAAATGAATTATTCAGTTCCAGAGTTCCTGTTTGGTTCTTTTTTATGATATCTCTTTGGTGAATTTCTCATTTATATCCTAAATTGTTTTTCTGAATTATTTGTATTGTTTTTCGGTATTCTCTTATATCTCACTGAGCTTCTTTAGTATCAATATTTTGAGTTTTCTTTGTGATTTTATAAATTTTTTCTTGACTGATATTTTTGCTGCAAAATTATTTATTTGGAGGTTTCATATTTCCTTGCTTTTTCATGTTTCTTGTGTCCTTACATTTATATCTGCACATCTGGTGTAACAGTTGCTTCTTCCAATTTTTTTGAATTTGGCTTCACAGGGGAGAATTTTTTCCTGAGGACGTACCTATGGTATTGGCTGTGCAGGGGACTTTGGCTTTGATTCTTGGTGCATGTAGTAGGGTATTCTCTTTATGATTTATTTGGCTGTAAACAGCATCAGTGGTATCTGATTTCCTCTATATCTTATGATTCAGTTGTTAGTGGAGGCTGTGGTGAAGTTTTATTGGGGACTGGGGCACCAGGTGAGCCAGTTTTTGGACCCAGTGGTAGCAATGGTGGGCTGAGCATGCCTGTCCTTGGATCCCAGGGTGGTATACACTGGCACCATTTTTGGTGGGTCCATGAAGAACATTTACAGACCCTTCAGCTGGCTTTCTTGGGTTTTAGAAATGGCAGAGGTTGGCTGGGTGGGTGGGCAGGTTCATGAGCCAGTGGGAAGTGGGCATAGTGTGGGCAATGGCAGTAGCAGTGGTGGAACAACCCTCTGGGATCTACACAGACTGTGCTCATGTTGGTAGTACCTGCAGTGGGCTGCTGAGCCAGTCCTCAGGCCTACAGCTGGCACCTGTGGGTGGGAGCGTGCTGTGTTGGTAGCATCAGGTGGAGTAGGCCCTAACTCAGACCCTGGGAGGAGTGCTTAGGTGCTAACAGTGGTTTACTAGGCTGGACAATCCCTAGGCCCCTAGATGGCATACTCTGGTTTTAGGAAGGATGGAGCTTGGCTGGGCAGACCGGCCCTCAGGCCTCAGCGTGGTGCATGCAAGTGCTGGCTGTTGTAGGCAGGGGCAGGGTGAGTCGCAGACCTCCAGCAGAATCCTCCTTTGGAGTAGCAGTGGTTGAACTGCTTCCCTATTACTGATGAGGCTGTGGTTGCTTTCAGTGAGAACAGCCATATGCAAGTGGCTGGTGGACATGAGCTTTGCTCATACCTTGGTACCACAGCAGCCCATAGTGGTAGCAGTTGCAGTCAGTGCAATTTGTCTTAGGCATGTGTGAAAATGAGCAGCCACCCCTCTGCTTAAGGGGCAAAGTTGCTGTCAGTTGTCTCACGGTGGGCCTCAGTGGTGGCAGCTGTGGCTGAGGAATTTCAATGGGTCTCCAGTGATATAAAGATGCAGGAGCTGTTGAGCCCAAGGGCAGGCCAAAGTCTGGTGAGGACTGGGCTCTCAAAAGGGTGCTATGCAGCAGCTGCTTAGAACTTGGAGGTTTGTGGGAGTCAGCATGAGCTCTGTCTCTGGAGCAATGCCTTTATGCGATCTCTAGACAGTGCTCTGTGATACTCTGTGGGCCCATGAGGGTTGAAGCCCTCTCCCATAACTAAGATTACAAGAGTCTGTGGCAATACCGGGGGCTCTCTCACTTACCTCTCATTTGGGATCTCTTACAATGCCCCTCTATTATGGAGCCTCTCCAGACACTCAGTGAATCCCAGCTGAACAGATTGCCTCACTTCCCTCTCCTTCTTTGCTTTCAGTGTTTCCCATCAATTCTCTGTTGAATTCAAGTGTTCTCTCTCAGATTATCTGCTTGAAGTGTGATTATCTACTAACTATTTTGGTTCTTCTACATGGAGGAGGCAAGTACCAGATGCATCTATTCAGCCATTTTGAAGCCCTTAGTGTTTGGAAATTTAAAGCAGTCTTCTAAATAACCTTTGGGTTAAAGAAAATATCAAAATAAGCCACTGTCTCTTTAGCTAGAAATGCTAATGAGATTAAAGCACACATTATATAGACGGCAACCAAAGTCGAATTTAGAGGAAAATACACATATGAGTAAACAAAAATGATTAAAAACAAAGGACCAAAAGTCCATTCAAGGAACAAGAAATGGAACAATAAAATGTGCATGAAAGAAAGGAGTTGCTAATGATAAAGAAAATGGTAAAATAAAAAGTATATTCTTTAAAAAGAAAAATAAAGGAGATCTTATAAAACAAAAAAATTAAATCAATTTTAATGCCAAAGAATTACTTCAACAACCTGGCCCTGTATCAGACAATTTTATAGTTATGTTCATTCTATATTACAAGGGACAGATAATTCCTATACTGTATCAACTATATCCAATCAGAGAAAAGGAGTCAAATCTTCTCAATTCACCTTATGAGTCTAACACATTTCTGATTCCACAACATTGCAATAGTAGCATGTACACACATACACACAAATCAATAATATATCCAATAAAAATTATCAGCAAGTTTTTAGCAAATCAAATCTAAAATGCACTCTTTCTTAAAATGAGCATTTTAAAAGATCCTCCAAAACAAACTTTTATTCCAGGAATTCAATAGTTATTTAATATGAAATTTCTCTTCCATAAGAAACTACATGCACATCCACATAAATATCAAGTCAATACTGTGTTAAATCTATTTAATAAAAACCAAAATAATTTTAAGTAAACCAAGAGAAAGAAGACAAATTTATACTTATTTCCAGGATATTCTACCCAGAAAACTCAAAAAAAATAAAATGAGTTATGCTATCATTTATATCATAAACATATAAAAATTAATAGTTTATCTTCATACTAGCAGTAACCAGTTATAAAATACAAACAGTAAAAATTCCATGTATGACAGCACCAACAAACATATGTGTATATATGTATATATATACACATAGATATATGTGTGTATGCATATATGTGTATGCACACACAAACACAGAGAGATATAACATATATATACATGTGTACGTGTCTGTGTGTGTCATACCTAGAAGTAACACAAACCCTCAGTATCAGTTTGAAGTCTTCCACTTAATCTGTTCTTCATCCTTGTGCAGAGTGCTCAACTCTTCTCCTTGTCCATACAAAGATGACCCTTCCCTTCAAGCCTATCCCAAGTTGCAAGCCAAGACCCACCTCCACATGTTATCTCCTGACTCTACACATTTATTCAATTCTACTTATTTTCATTTCTGGCCATGGGATCCTTCCCAATTACCAGAAGTAATGAAACCTCCTTGGGTCCACTAAATAAACTCTTACATAGGATGGACTTTTTAAGCATTAACTGATATGCTCATGAACTCTTCTACACACTCTCACTTCATCCTGTACTTCCTTTTAACCACATGACCCCCATGCCATCATGAGTTAAGGCTGTAAGACATGCAACATATGAGACTATCATTAATCTTCAAGAATGAATATCATGATAGAACCAGTACCCATGAGATACACAGTATAATACAACCCAGAGACAAGGTTCTCAGAGCTGAGTAAAGAAGAAAACTGGTCCAAAGAGCCCCTGAGAGCTCCCTGAGCCACTACTACATGAAGTGAAATGGGCCCAAATCACCCTTGCAGCTTTGTAGCTTCTCCCTCCCACCTTTGCACATCTTGGGAAAAAGCCAACTATCTTCCCAAGTTGCACTCATGAGACCCAGAGTGCCAGGGGGAACTTGTCACCTTGCCAAATGCCATTGAGGAGGACAGACAGCACAGTCCACCTCAGTAGATACCAGTGTAATTCACATGACCACAGCTGAGGCCTGGTGCCACCTCCCCACCAATGGCCACCTCAAAGTCACGCCCAGCCACCATAGAGACATAATGCTACATAAACTCCAGAACTTAGCTTCCATCTTGAAAAGAAAGATTTAGAAGGGGGGAAATTCTTAATTAAGTGCGTTTAAACCTTAAATAACTGCTTGTCCAGAACTTACTACATTTAAGTTTTCTGCCACTAGAAAGATTGGGGGCTTAAAAGAGAAATAAGGTGAACTAGAGAAAAATAGTCACAATTTTGTACACATAAAAACAGCACTTGAAAATATTACATCCACTGCATCATAAAATACAAAGAAAAATTTCAATCAATGCAGGGGACAGCCATGTGATGGCTCAAAGTTGGCTCAAAGGGGTATATTTTGGCTTAGATTTATGAAAACCTACAGACACTTCTCCCAGAAGGAACAGCAGAAGAGAGGGCTTTATCGTCCATCTTTTAGGGCTAGTGGAAGGGGTGGGATGGAGTGATCACTTTTGCAAGCTATCATTGTATACAGTATGACCAAGTGCAGTTCTGAACCACAACATTTCAAATTTGCTGATCCTGGGTTATCCACATTTATAGATAAAGTAGATTTGGGAAAGTAAAAGCATTCTAAAATCAATAGCTGGAAAAACAGAAGGAATAAGAGAAAAATATATTTACGCAGATGCCTGGCAATCAGGACATTCTGCTTAAGATGGTATCTGATCCCTGACAGATACCGAGGCTGTTCTAAAATTTTCCTTCCAGGCAGCTTAATTTCCATAAATTTCTGTTTGAATATTAAACCCTTGTTACCTTACACAAAAATTGAGTTTACTTAAAACCAATTATGGATACGGAAACTCAATCACATTGTCCCTCAAATTATTTCTTGCATCAAATAGATTCTAAATAGAGCTTTGATATCTTTCTTTCCAGTCATCCTCAAATGAGTTTATTGTAGTCACTTCTCTTCAAGAAATAGAAATTTAACTCAAGAGATCGAATACTAACACCTTCACAACTAAGTAAGAAGAGGATCACTTCACCTGTATGTGGAGTTCTGAGAGGAGACTAGAATAAGTGATTAAATTAAATGTGAGTGGTTGTGTTGGCCAATATTCTACTTCAGTAGGTTATTCCTACTGAACACAGGTGGTTTATTACAACTTGGAGAGGATCCCTGGAAAGCTAACTATTTCTATGGGAATTTTAACTCACAGATAAAAATTTTGGACAATTTTTTCCTATTTATTCAACAAACACTGCCAGATAAATTGGAAGCTTCACAGCTAACTGAATGTGAGAAGTCAAACAGCTGTTAGACTTGCTTCATTCCCCCAACTGATTCAGTTCCAGTTTCACTTGTTAGGGTCCAGCCAGAACCAGGGTCTCCCAGATAGCCAGTCCCATTATCATAAGGTCCAATAAATTCAAAACAATGCCTGAAGTGACTACTTTCCAGAACTATGTCCAAAGAATAAATCTGATTAAAAGTTTCCAGCAAGGCCAGGCACAGTGGTTCACACCTATATTCCCAGCATTTTGGGAAGCCAAGGCAGGAGTGTCATTTGAGGCTAGGAGTTCAAGACCAGCCTGGGCAATGCAGCAAGATCCTGTTTCTACAAAAAAATAAGTTTTAAAAAAATTAGCCTAGTGTGGTGGTATGCACATGTAGTCCCAGCTACTTGAGAGACTGAGGTGGGAGGACTGCTTGAGCCCAGGAGTTCACGGCTGCAGTGAGCTATGATTGTGCCACTGCGCTCTGGCCTGGGCAACAGAGCAAGACCCTGTCTCTCTTTAAAAAAAAAAAGTTTCCAGCAATCTCCAGAGCCACTCTTCAACAGAACCATAATGATGCCAGAAGACTCAGTGACAAACACTGGTCATCTGCTATTCCAAAAATAACTCACTAGGCCCAGAAGAGGCAAAAGTCCAGGTATACAACTGTCTCCCTCCCTAGAGGAGTACTCTGTCATTGGTAAGTTCTTCCAGTGCCAAGCATGGCAGAAATATGAAACCAATTTACAGGCTGGGCTCCATTCTAGTAAAACCACACATTACTTTTACAGAAAACTACCGGGCTCTGAAATTCTACATGCACACACAACAAGAAGAAGAACAAAGCCATCCTTTCAGTCCTTAGGTTCACATCAGTTAACAAGGTTAAAGAACTCTGGATGTTACTTCGAAATATAATACAAGGCTATAGTAACCAAAACAGCAAGGTACATATAAAAATAGAAACATAGATGAATGGAAAAGAAGAGAAAACCCAGAGATAAAGCCACATACCTACAGCCAACTGATCTTCAAAAAAACATACTGGGGAAAAGATACCCTCTTGAATAAATGGGGCAGGTGAAATTGGGCAGCCATTTACAGAAGAATGAAACTGGGCCCCTATCTCTCACAATACACAAAAATTAACCCAATGTGGATTAAAGATTTATATGTAAGACCTTAAACTATAAAAATTCAAGAAGAAAACCTAAGAAAACTTCTTCTGGACATTGGCCTAGACAAAGTATTCATGAATAAAGCCTCAAAAGTAAATACAACCAAAACAAAAACAGACAAATGGAACTAACTTAAACTAAAAGCTTCTGTATAGAAAAAGATATGATCAACAGAGTGAACAGACCACCAGACAACCTACAAAATGGGAGAAAATATTTGCAAACTACGCATCCAACAAAGGACTCCAGAATCTACCAGGAATTCAAACTCAACAACAACAACAAAAGCCCACAAATAGCCCCATAAAAAGTGGGCAAAGGCATTATCCTAAGCGAATTAATGCAAAAACAGAAAATCAAATACTTCATGTTCTCACTTATAAGTGGAAGCTAAACATTGGGTACACACCAACATGAAGATGAGGACAATAGACACTGGGGAATACAAGAGTAGAAAAGGAGAAAGGGGAACAAGAGTTGAAAAACTTCCTATTGGGTACTATGCTCACCACCTGGATGATGCAGTCAATTGTACTCCAACCCTCAGAATCATGCAATACACCTCTCTAAGAATTCTGGACATGTACCCCCTGAATCTAAAATAAAAGTTAAAAAATAAAATAACAATTATGGTTATTTTTTAAAGTGGGAAAAAGACATGAGCAGATATTTTTCAAAAGAAAACATACAAATGGCCAAAAGATATATGAAAAAATGCTCAACATCACTAATCACCAGGGAAATGCAAATTACACATACATATGCCACAGTAAGAACAGCACAGCACCTGACAAAGGTACCCAAGCTTCAAATGTATTAGTTTGCTAGGGTTGCCAAACTAAGTACCATAAACTGAGTGGCTTGAACAACAGATTTTTATTGTCTCACTGTTATGGAGGCTAGAAATCTGAGATCAAGGTGTCAGCACCTGAGATCAACGTTTCAAGGCTTCCCCTGAAGGTGCTCAGGAAGGATATCTTCCAGGCTTCTCCCCTAGTTCCTGGTAGTTCCTTGACTTGTAGCAGCTTAACTCCAATCTTTACATGGTATTTTCCTTGTGTGTGTGTGCGTGTGCGTGTGTGTGTGCCTGTTTGTCTCTAAGTCCAAATTTCCCCTTTTTATAAGGACACAGTCATACTGGATTAGGGCCTGCTTTAAAGACTTCATCTTAACTTGACCATCTGCAAAGACTCCATATCCAAATAAGGTCACATTCACAGGTGTTGGGAGTTAGGACCTCAACATATTTTGATGGAACACAATTCAACCCACAACAGCAAAGTGCATATGTCTACATTCTCAATCTGAATACATGTCTTCTCTTCCTCTGATATTCTCATTCATTATTCCTCAAAAATCAGCATTAAGAACAACCATTAAGGATGAATTCACAAAGTTTAGAAAAATGAAAAAGTTTTTAGTGGGAAAACTGGAAAAATCATATAAATGCCTGTAGATTAGTTAATAGCATTTTAGCAACATTAACCGTATGGTTTTGATGAGATGGTAGCATTAGGGAAAACTGGGTGAAGGGCATATGAGAACTCTACTGTATTTGCAACTTTTCTATAAATCTAATATTTTTTCAAAATAAAAACTAAAGAAAAAGTTGTATGATCCCAAATCCAGAAATTTGATAATGATTCAAGCTGAACTACTCCATGATTTTGAGGAATAAGCTATTTAGATGCATATAGTTTGGTAGAGTTTAATCCTTTATACTCAGTATATTCCTTTGTGAGGATGGATGGATGGATGGATGGATGGATGGATGGATGGATGGATGGATGGATAGATAGGGCTTTCTTAGGGAAAAAAATCCATGTGGCAGTTTTCCCATTGCTTATATTGATTTAAATGCAAAATATTTTGTCAACAATTTAAAGAGAAAGAGTAAATGACCTTTAAATGAGCTCCAGTTACATACATATATAGACATGCATCTACATCCATCCAACCTTCCTTGGCTGACCAACTCTACTTCCTAAAATACTAGTTAATGTTAAATTTACAACTGATAAAGTGTGAATGGAATTACTGAATTGTGTGTGTGTGTGTATAAATATATATATATTTTATATATATATTTTATATCTATATGTATAAATATAGATATATTTTATATATATATTTTATATCTATATATATAAATATATATAGATATATATATAGCTGTTCAAATATGTAATTCCTTTCTAAATAACACTGTAAAACTTTGTTTTCCTAGGCCATATCAGCACTGGGTGGGGGGAGCAAGGGCGTGCATGACCATCAAAATGTGTTTGGTTCCTGCGTCCCCCAAAATAATGCTACTTGGTTCTCAAGATATTCTCCCTTCATGAAGGGTCTTAATTTACTCCTAAATACTCCTCTGTGGTTGTAGGAGTTTTTTCACTGCTGTTAACCCAGTCTCTCTCTGCTTTCAAGCCAGACAGCCTATGTTTGAATCTCTACGCAACTCAACTCTGGGTAAATCATTTTCCCTCTCTGGATATCAGTTTCTCCATCTCCAATAGCATTGATTCCTCTCTCAAACGCTGGATTTTATTAAATGTTCCTGACACATAGTAAGCCCTTAGAAAACGGCTGAAAGAATAGGTAAGGTAGTCATATAATCCTGATTTGAATCCTTAGCAGTTGTGTGTGATCTTGACACATCACTGACACATCCTGACGCAAATTCAAGTTTGAATCCCAAGTAGTTGTGTGTGATCCTAACATCCCCTAAGTTCATTTCCTCATTTATAAACTGTAGATAATAATGGTACCTCTTTCAAAGGGAGGATGTGAGGACTAAAACGAAACACCCACGGAAAGCATTAGCACAATGCTTGGCCAGTGAGCCCCATATACACGTTTATTATTACGGTTGTTATTATTATTATTAATCAGCCTGTGAGAGAGCCCAATTGTACAACTGTAAGAGTTGCTGGCTTAAATTTTGTCATTGCTTCTGCGCTCTTTTCAGCAGTCGTAAGGGTGCCTGAGAAGGGAAAATCATTTCTCTTCAGCCAGAAAATGACACTATGGCTTCAGAACACAAATGCCAGCTGGTTCTTTCAGTGCCTATAGACCTCTTTCCTGAGGGGTTGGAAAGTGCTCCCTGGACCTTGGCTGCTCAAAGTTGGTTCAAGGACCAGCATCATCATCATCATATGGGAGCTGGTTAGAAATGCATACCCTCAAGCTCCATCTAGACCTATTGAATCAGAAGTTGCATTTTAACCAGATCCCCAGGTGACTCATACGCACAATAAAGTTGGAGGGACCTCTAGTCTGGAGCTTGCTCAGGGTCCTTTGAGAGATACAACCCAATGCTGGATTTCAAGATACCTTCCCCAAATTTACACTTAACTGTATCCACCCCAGCTTTCTTAGATGTCGGAGTGGAGTTCATGCCCTCTGGCCTCTTGGTACCTTCCCACCATCCACTTCCGCCTTCCAGATTATTTCAGCTTCCATTCATTTTTATTTCTTAGTGTTTCTAATTATATCCCCTTACTACAATTGGGTAAGATTTCTAATATATAAACCAAGTTTATGTTCCCCATCCACATTCTGAGTATTGCAGTGTTTTAAGTTTCAGAACAATTCCATTGCTTCATCTAAACAACACATAAAAGGCCCTGAAACTAATAAACTGTCCAAGAAAACTCAAACATTTTTTACCCTGAAAAATGTTTTTAATGTACTTTCAGACATTACAATCTGCCCAGTCACACTTTATTAATACCTGTATTGTTAATATAGCAATAAACATTTTGTGTTATAGCTCCCCAAAACAATCTTCCACAATCCAAATCACTTTAATTTCTATTAAGTATAAACACATCTCCGCTTTGGAAACGTATTTTTGACTATACATCTCATAAGGATTTTCAGTGCTTATGTACATAATAATGTAATTAAATTGGAAGGTTAGATATAATAGTTTAATATCTAAGCCATCCTTGTTCAAAGGAGCTTCATAATAAAGATTTATTTTTGCAAATATTTATCAGAGGGTAAATAAGGGTATTTTTCCTACCCTTTCCATCCCTGTCAAGTATATTTATTGGAATAATGGGCAAGGTATAAGGAGAGATTACTTATAGTCATTTAAATAAAGTAGACTAAATAAAGACATAAAACCCATTATGTTTCACTGGCAGCAGAATCTCATCCTGGAAGGTTACCCAAAGCTCAATGACAATTTCAAGGACATTCTGCTACAAAAGCATGGAAATCTCATGCTTGTGGAATTGCTAAGATTATTCTGCGCATTTCTTTACCTGTGTTTATGTATCTACATTATAACCACACTGACCTTCCATGTAGAGTTGGAAGAGAAAAGCATAATGAAAAAAAGCTTTCCATGTTATATACCCCAATGCAAAATGGGTTATATTGAAACGCCAATGTTAAACCAACAACTTTAAAGATAAAATGAATAAATAAATTTATAGAGCAAAATGTATACCTTCTCCTCTCACACATGAAGACAGACATGAATAATGATGATGGAGATGAATAAGGAGGGGCAAGGACAAAGCCTCTTCCTACTCTCATAACATCAGTGAAGTCAGGCAGTAATCAGGAAGTAAGGGGTTGGGGGAGTGGGAGAGATGAGTGGACAAGGGATGGTTCCATTTTCTGAGTTATTAGTCCTTTCAAGGAGTAAGATATACACTTATCACCTTGAAGTGGCTTCTTATGTTTTAACCTAGACTCCAGAGACAATGTGTGGAAATTCTACCTTACAATCTGAAATGTTCAGACTCAGTGTGGTAAGAATAAAAGGAAAACATCAGCATTCTGAAAGTCAGGTGCAGTAAATTTAAAAGTCTTACTCAGAATACTCACTGACATATTGTAATCTGTCCACAGTGGTCAGGCAAATAGAAACTATTTACTTCTGGGTCTGGCACTTAAAACTAGTAACTGGGGAGTACAGGTGAGAAAGTTTTTCAATTTGTTTCAGCTTCTTTTTCTCCATCTGAATAAATGATTTTTTCTGACTAAATTATAACAATCTACATATTTTATCAGTATCTATATTCGCTATCTCTGCATTTAGTACTATGACTACTCTCTCCCATATCTCTGAATCCTTCACAATATTTTAATAAGTAACAATTCCTAAAATGCTTTTACCACTAGATTTACTATATGTGAAATATAGATATTTAAAAATATATACTTCCCTCTTTACCTAATGAATTAAACATTGTTTCTAAACCCAATATCCTATCCAAAGCAAGCTTATGTTTTTCATTGATACTTCTGCCAATTCAACTTAATTCAAGAAATATATCTTGAGATATACTGTAAGCATGCACTTGGTGAATAAAGCTGTGTAAGATATGCCCCCATCTTGAAGATGATAATGGTCTATATAGTCCTCTGGTGATTGAAAAATAAAAAATTATCATGATAGATAAGTCATGAAAATTTTGAAATCAAAACTTTCGAATTAACATGTGTGTATAGGCCAAGAAATTTACAACAAGCCTAAAGCATCATGCAATAAACCCTGTAACACATACACATGTGCCCCCTGTATCTAAAATATAAGTTGAAATTATAAAAAGAATAAATTGATCAATATATATAATTAAAATAATAGCTAAAACTTTATTCTATTTTACATCTGGTTAGATTTTAAACACTTGGAAAATAGCAATTAAGTTTTATATCATCTTTGTATACCCCCACAGAATTTGGTACAGTACTGGTCACAAAGTATTTGACAAATAATTAAAAATTGAGAATTCAGGGAACTTTGTTGTTTCAAGCAGAAAGAGGAGTATCCGAAAGCATTTTCTGCCAGCAAATAAAAGCATTCTTTTAACCTTACAGAAGGAAACGGTGAACATGCCAGGCAGGAGGAAAGGATGGCCAATGGAAAAATTTCATGATGTTGAAAATATCTGAGTAGATAAAATTGGTTGACTTCCATTTTCTGAGGTTAATTTAAGCTTGTCATAAAATCCATTTATATGACTATACATCTCTCTTTTCACTGTCTGCATGATTGGTCACTCTACCTTACCTTTGTATTTGTTTAAATAAATGTGAAACTAGTGAATGGATAAGAGAAAAAGTTATTAAAAGTCAAATAGGAAAAATATGGTCTATCTCCTAAAGGATACGAAAAATCAAATAGATCTTCCTTTCAAGAGAAAATGTTACCTCTTCAACCCAACCCTGATTTAGACTTGACAGAATTCTTCTTGGGATGAATATTTCAGACCCAAACTCACCATTAGCAAGATTTTCAGTTTGTAATAGGTGCTGTGAATAAATCACCAAAAGGGAAATAGCAACTTCCTGCTACTGAGACAAAGTTCTAATGCATATGACCCGAAGACTGAAGCGAAAATCTCCCTTCACTATAGTACGAAGTGGCAGCAGAATGATAAAAGGCAAAGCTACCCAAATCCCTCTGAACTCTTCTAAGACCAACCCAGAAGGACTGTCTAGTATTGATGTTAATTCTTATCACTTCTCATAAATTCTGCATTACAAAATATCTAACACTTTTTAAACTACTCAAGATATATCAAGGTCATTCTGAGGACACTCAGCCTTCCTTTTCTTAGCTCTCACCATTGCCAATTTTCATTTGTTTGCCAGAATTCAGTCCAGAGTAGCATTTCCCCTCAAGGTGCGGTATCTAACTTTTGAAGGTGATGTTATTCGCAGAGGTACTACTTCCCATAAAATGAATTTGTAATAGTTCTCTAAATCAGGGGTTAGCTAAATCTGGTCCATTACATGTTTTTATAAATAAATCTTTATTCGAATTCAGGAGTACATTGTCTATGGCTGCTTTTTTTTTTTCTTTTTGATGGAATCTCACTCTGTCACCCAGGCTGGAGTGCAGTGGTGCAGTCTCGGCTCACTGCAACCTCTCCCTCCCGGGTTCAAGTGATTCTCCTGCCTCAGCCTCTCAAGTAGCTGGGACTACAGGCACCCGCCACTACGCCCGGCTAATTTTTGTAGTTTTAGCAGAGACGGGGTTTCACCATGTTGGCCAGGCTGGTCTCGAACTCCTGACCTTGTGATCTGCCTCCCTCGGCCTCTCAAAGTGCTGGGATACCAGGCGTGAGCGCAACCACGCCCGGCCTATGGCTGCTTTTATACTACAATCACAGAGTTGAATATTTGAGACAGACTGAACCTCAAAGCTGGAAATATTTACTATCTGGCTCTTTACAGAAAAAGTCGGCTGACTCTGCACTAGATAATAAAGGTGCTGTATCACTGCTATGCCTTGTTCTGTGCAAGCTACATTAGAAAGAGACTGGTACAAGTTCATGAAAGAAAACATACAAATGGCCAATAAGCACATGAAAGATTCACATTATTATCCACTGGGAAAATCCAAGCTAAAACCACAATGATATGCTACTGCACACCAATTAGAATGGATGAAATTAAGAAGACTGACCATACCAAGGGTCAGCAAGGTCATGAAAAAGCTAGAACTCTCTTACACTACTGGTGCAAATGTAAAATGGTAAAACCACTTTTGAAAATAGTTTGGCATTTCCTTATAAAATTAAATCTACTCTTCTCTATGACTCAGAAATACCACTTCTAGGTATTTACTCAAAAGGAATGAAAACATATATCCATAAAAAGACATCAATGTTCATAGAAGCTTTATTCATAATAGCCCAAAACTGGAAACAACCTAAATTCCCATTCAAGTGAAGAAACAAATTGCAGTATATGCCTACAATGGAATACTACTCAGCAATAAAAGGGAATAAAACCATTGATACGCAAAGTAGTATGTGCAAATCTCAAAAGCAATGCAGCATGGGTACAAAAAACAGAATGAATATGACCTACTATTTGATAGCACAACAGGGTGACTATAGTCAATAGTAACCTAACTGTGCATTTTAGATAACTAAAAAAAATAATCAAATTGTTTGTAATACAAAGGATAAATGCTTGAAGAGATGGATACCCCATCTTACATGATTTGGTTATTATGCATTGCATGCCTGTATCAAAACATCGCATGTACCCCATAAATATATACACCTACAATGCACCCACATAAATTAAAAATAAAATTTTTTAAAAGCAATGCAGGGTAAAAGACACAAGACAGGACCTAAAGTGGGATTTGAATGGGAAGGTGCACAAAGAAGCTTTTGGGGGCATATGTGGAAATCTCCTATATCTTGAGTATTGTGATGCTTATATAAGTACATAAGGCTGTCAGAACATCAAAGTGTAAACTTAAAAATAGCCTATTTTATTGTATATAAATTATACAACAATAAAGTTGACTTTAAAAAAATTATTGCTACAGCCTTTCACGAACCACCTCACCTATCCTAAATACCCCAAATTATGTTGATTCTTCTCTTCTTTTAGCTTTATCTAACAGATTTCCATTATGCTCCCATCTTCATAACCCCTCATATTCCAATAACCATATAGTATATCTTCTAAATATATTATTTTTTCATATTCCTGCTAAATATCAGACTAGTAAGGATTTAATAACTCATAAAATTCAACTATCTAATCTTAAATGCTCTCCTAATGTGAAATAGGCCATGTCCTAAGGTATTCATTCTATTTTTATCACTTGGTTAATCCAGAATCTGCCTACTTCTAATTCTAGCCACTGGATCCAATCATGCCTTTTAGAGCCATATTCAAAAAACTTAGTTACACCTTCCAACAGAATCATTCAAGTATTTGACACATGAATACATGAAACTGATCACAGTTCCCTCACTCCTTACACTCTTTAAGCTGATTAACTTCAATCGTTTCTTCTTTTAAAAGAGCCACAATTCTCCAATACTAAATTCTTGTTGAGCTCTTGATATCCTCACTGTGTCAAGGTATGTGTTCACATCCTTAATTATGCATCCATGTGAGATTATTCTGTTAGTCCAGAAAACAAAACTATAATCAATGAGTGAAATTTGTAGGCAAAACTATTTTTGCTTAATAAAAGAAAAATTTTTTTCTAACAACCTAAACCACCCCTAAATGTAACATTCAAGCAAAGACTAGGTCATTATCAGATACAAAGAATATAACTTTATATTTCATTAAAGTTGTATGATATGGATTGACTTTGTGTCCCCACCCAAATCTCACCTTGAATTGTAATCCCATAATCCCCACATGTCATGGGAGGGACCCAGTGGGAGGTAACTGAATCATGGGGGTAGTTTCCCTCATGCTGTTCTCACGATAGTGAGCTCCCACGAGATATGATAGTTTTATAAGTGCCTGGCATTCTGCCTGCTGACATTCTCTCTCCTGCCACCCTGTGGAGAGGTGCCTTCTGCCATGATTGTAAGTTTCCCAAGGTCTCTCCAGTCATGTGGAACTGTGAGTCAATTAAACCTTTTTCTTTTATAAATTACCCAGTCTTGGGTATTTCTTCACAGCAGCATGAGAACGGACTAATATAGTAAATTGGTACCAAGAGTGGGCACTGCTATAAGGATACCCAAAAATGTAGAAGCAACTTTGGAACTGGGTAACAGGCAGAGGTTGGAACAGTTTGGAGGGCTCAGAAGAAGACAGGAAAATGTGGGAAAGTTTGGAACTTCTTAGAGACTTGTTGAATGGCTTTGACTAAAATGCTGATAGTGATATGAGCAATCAATCCAGGCTGAGGTGGTCTCAGATGGAGATGAATAACTTGTTGGGAACTGGAGTAAAGGTCACTCTTGCTATCCTTTTGCAAAGAGACTGGTGGCAATTTGCCACTGCCCTAGAGATCTGTGGAACTTTGAGAGAGATGGTTTAGGGTATCTGGTGAAAGAAATTTCTAAGCCACAAAGCATTCAAGTGGAAGCACAGCATAAAAGTTTGGAAAATTTGCAGCCTGATGATGCAATAGAAAAGAGAAATCCATTTTCTGAGGAGAAATTCAGGGTGGCTGCAGAAATTTGCACAAGAAACAAGGAGCCAAATGTTAATTGCCAACACCATGGGGAATAATACGTCTCCAGGGCACGTCAGAGGTCTTTAGGGTAGCCCCTCTCGTCACAGGCCCGGAGGCCTAGGAGGGAAAAATGGCTTCCTGGGCTGGGCCCAGGGCACCCCTGCTCTGTGCAGCCTCAGGACATGGTACCCTGTATCCCAGCCACTCAAGCTCCAGTTGTGGCTAAAAGAGGCCAAGGTACAGTTCAGGCCATTGCTTCAAAGAGTGCAAGCCCCAAACCTTGGCAGCTTCCATGTGGTGTTGGGCCTGCAGGTGCATAGAAGACAATAATTTAAGTTTGGGAACTTCTGCCTAGATTTCAGGGGATGTACAGAAACTCCTCCATGTCCAGTCAGAAGTCTGCTGCAGGGGTGAAGCCCTCATGGAGAACCTCTGCTGGGACAATGTGGAAGGGAAATGTGGGGCTGGAGCCTCCACACAGTCCCCACTAGGACACTGCCTAGTGGAGCTGTGAGAAGAGGGCCACTGTCCTCCAGACCCCAGAATTGCAGATCCACCAATAGCTTGCACCATACACCTGGAAAACCCACAGACACTCAATGCCAGCCTGTGAAAGCAGCAGAATAGGGTTGTACCCTGCAAAGCCCCAGGGACAGAGCTGTCCAAAGCTGTGGGAGCCCACCTCTTGCATCAGCACGACTTGGATGTGAGACTTGGAGTCAAAGGAGATCATTTTGGAACTTTAAGGTTTAATGACTGCCTTGTTGGACCCTATTGGATTTCAGACTTGCATGGAGCCTGTAGCCCCTTTGTTTTGGTCAATTTCTCCCATTTGGAATGAGTGCTTACCCAATGCCTGTACCCTCATTCTATCTAGGAAGCAGTTAACTTGCTTTTGATTTTACAGGCTCATAGGTGGAAGGGACTTGCTTTGTCTCATATGAGACTTTGGACTTGGACTTTTGGGTTAATGCTGGAATGAGTTAAAACTTTGGGGAACACTTTGTGTTTTGAAATGTGAGGACATGAGATTTGGGAGGTGCCAGCAGCAGAATGATATGGTTTTGCTTTGTGTTCCCACCCAAATCTCACCTTGAATTGTAATCCCATAATCCCCATGTGTCATGGGAGGGACCCAGTGGGAGGTAATTGAATCATGGGGGCAGTTCCCCCCATGCTGTTCTCGTGATAATGAGTGAGTTGTCATGAGATCTGATGGTTTTTCAAGCATCTGGCATTTCCCCCACTGGCACTCATTCTCTCTCCTGCCCCCCTGTGAAGAGGTGCCTTCTGCCATGGTTGTAAGTTTCCTGAGGCCTCCCCAGCCATGTGGAACTCTGAGTCAATTAAACCTCTTTTCTTTATAAATTACCCAGTCTCGGGAGTTTCTTTATAGCAGCATGAGAAAGGACTAATACATTGGACTAGGAATACCTTTAAAATACTCTCCAATGCTCTAATTCTATAACTTTCAAAGGCCCCCGAGCTTGGAAGTTTGTAAAATGAAACAAGGAACTGGTTAGTTTGTAAAGACAACACAAATTAGAAGAAATCAGAATGTAGTTGACTGGGTCTCTTGGGTCTGGTATTGAGCTCCTGAATACAACTATAAGCAATTCTAGAATTGAGTGGAATGAAGAAGGGGTTATAATACTAAAGAGAAAATTTCTCACGGTTTTTTCCCTAAGGCCAGAGTTGTATAGTCCTATTGGACACTAGAGTTCATGCTTTCTTTTACCCTTGTGTTTAAACAATGCCTGAAGTATCACACGAAATAAAGAGAAGAATGATGTCCAAGACTGCTTTGGCCAGCATATCACAAATGACAAATAAACCCATGAGAAATAGTATATTCCTACAAACAAACAAAAGAGCAGTTATGAAAATAGCACTCAGTCCCACACTAAGCCACTCCCAAAAAAGGACTAAAAGAATGCAATCAGTGCATTTTCAGAGTTTAAAATTGTTATCCACAGATTAGGGACTCAGAATTCCAATGTGCTTTATGTTTTTCTCCCTCCCTCATATAAATGAGCTTAGCCTAGGCTCTCACTAAGGTTGTGGGCTTTTAGAATTCTGCTTTTGCTTGCAATTGATAGGATTTTTCCCTTTTTTCAAAAGAAAAAAATGCATTAAAGATTTCATTCTGTATAGTTTTCCAAACAACATGAGCTCAGCAAACAGATTTAGTTTTAAAAGTAACTTATCAACATTGACAGCGTTCTCTTAAGAACAGCTGTTGCCTCATAGACTACAGCATGAACATACCCCTGAATTTAGAAACAATTCTGCTTAGAAGGAATATTGCACATTTAGCACCACCCTCCCCTTAATTACCAAAGACATTTGCATGAAAGCCTGATCTTTGTTTGGCAACTTCACCTTAATATTCTCTTCTAGGTTTTTAAGTCATGAAAGGTATCATTCTGTAATGAGGCGTTTAGCTCGCAAAGAAAGAGTTATCTTCTCTTTGCATGCCTCAGTCTAACAGGCCATTTTGGACTTTTAGAATTGCTTTTTCCTTTCTTTTACAGAGTTGACTATCAAAACTAGTTCTTTTGTGATCCTAATTGTGAGCTGCAAGGTCACATGAGTTTTGGCTGTGACAGTATCAAATGAATTTATAAAGGAAGATACTATTCTTCATTCTTTTAATGTTTGAGATGCTAAGGAGAATTTGCATAATATGTGTTTTGCAATTTTTGTAAAATGCCATGCCACACTTTTACAACTGACATTAGTCTTAAGGGTACTGGGTGCGTAAAGCTACGCATCATAATGTATGAGAGGAGATAGGTTGGTGAAGGAGTTAGAGAAAAGCAAAATAAAAAATATTGATGTAATAAACATTAAAATTCTCTCACTGTTCGTTCACAGTAATTGCTTATGATATAGAGTGGTTTCTGCACACTATTTGCCTCCTACATATGTCTCAAAATAAATTCCTACTGATTATTGGGAGCTTACTGTTCAAATGAGCAAAGTTAACAGTCACAAATGATTATTTCAAAGCCTTACAAACTTTATCATTTCCTATATTAATGTACTGTGTGCGCACACAAAAAGAGAACTATGCAAGTAACATTTTTAGCCTTTCATTTTATTATGAAATGTTTTAGGCTTTTCTTAGAAACAGCCTTAAGTAGGTAAGTATAATGAGAGTAAAAGAAGTAGATGAAGGCAACACAAAGGAGAGGCTCAGAGTGCAACAAACCACTTGCTCTTTGATTTAGTTTGGAGTAAACCCTAAGTACAGTATTGCTGAAGACACATCAATATTAATAACAAACTAGCATAAAAGAATAAAAGGAATAAGGTTCTCCATATAAGATCTAGCTCATTTTTATTGCTTATGAAAATCAGAATTATTTCCAGCATTTAAAAAATTTAGGTAAGTTGGCATAGCTTATACAAAAAGACAAGTGCATAAAAATGCATTGCACACATACAGTGTGGTGTCATGAGTAGTCTTCCTTTTCTCCTTCTTGCTTTCTGCATCTTCCAAAAATTGTAAAATGAATATTCAATTATTCAGGATGGACCAGATTATGCAACCCTGGCAAACAACCCCCCAAATCTCTATAGTTTAGCACAACAGACTATTTCTCACTCGTGACACATCCAACATGGGTCAACAGGAGTGTTTCTGTTCGTTGGTCACTCAGAAACTTGGCTAATGAAGGTATCATCTGAGCAAATGCCTCCATAACAATAGCAGCAGTAGAAAGGGAATGCAAATCTCAAATTTTCTCTTGAAGTACCACTTGGCAGTAACATTTACATATTCCATCCACATGTCATAGGGCAAAACAAGCCACACTATCACACTTAACCACCAAATGAAATGAGGAAGAACAATCCTACCATGGACCCAGAGAACCAGAAATATTTTCTAAAAAGCATTAACGTCTGCTAAAAAACATGTATTACCCACGAATTATATTTTTAAATATTATTTTTATATTTTTGAAAGCATATATATTTTATATTTTTATAAAATTGAGACAATATTTGCACACTATTTTATCAACTGAATTTTTTCTTTTAGCACCGATAAATATTTGCAGTATGAAACCATTCCAATACACATTATTAAATCCTATAGATGACACATATTTTACTTAAACAATCCTCTACTACTGGACTTTTAGTTCTTTCTAGTGTTCTTGAAAAGAATAATAAAGGAATAATGAATAGGATGACTGAAAAGAAAATATATGTAGAAGAAAAGCAACTTGAACTTGATGGTAAAGTCTCTAATAGGAAGTCAGGAGAGAGAAAACCAGGCCTGCAAAGAAGCAGCAGTCACACTGATGCTTTCATTGAAGCCTTGGGCGATAGACCTCACACACATAGATTCACAATATGAGGTTAACAGAAAGAAACATTGAGAGGATTTCATGTAGAATCCAAAAACACTAGCAAAAGGAAGTACAGAGTGATTCAATTTTGGATTGATGATACTCCACACTCCATACAATACATCGAAAATTAGAGGTCAACCATGTTATACAGACCACAGCTAAAAGTCATAATCTAAAATCTATTCGAAGATAACCAAAACATCATAACAAGAAAACAGAAATTATGAATAATTCAAACGAATAATATAATTCTTTGTCTTTCAAACAAAATTATGCCCCTCAATTGGTAGAGCATCTCCTTTGAGTTATTTTTCCAATAACAGTGGCATATTTGGCCTGGTACCTTCACACAAGGCTCTCAATTAAGTATTTATTGAACTCAACACATTCCTAGGTTCTGAAGGAGATACAGAGTAAATGATAGACATGTGTATAACATACCTGTGGAATCAAAATTAGCACATGGAAGACATCTAAAAAATAATTAAGTTCACCATGGAACTGGCTATTAGGGCCAGCAAAACTAGGCAAGTTGTTTGTGAGTTAAAACATTATGAAAGTTATAATCACAGAAGGTGGGATTTGAGCACAATGTTGAATGATAAGCAGCAGGAGGTTAAAAGTTTCTTAAATTGGGGAGGAAGAGAGGTTGGCATTACACAATCATCATAGAAATTATTGCAAAATGCCAGTAGGGATAGGTAGACCTGCTGATCTCACATGGAGGGTGCTGGGAAATGCAACTGGAAAGTCAGGATGGAAAATAAAAGTTTTAAAAAGAGGAAAGTGAGGATGGTACCAAAGGAGTGAGGTCTCTGAAAAGCAAGAAGCAGCTTTTGAGAATTCTTGTAAAACATTCTCAAAAAAAAAAAGTGATCTAATGAAAGTGATGTTTTAATTAAGTTAGTCAGATAGTGATAAGCCTGATTGATTGAAATTGCATTCCTTCCCCTCAAGCAACCTTCACACACACGCATGCACACACACACACACAGACACATTAAGCACATATAAAACACATACAGGCAAATAATAGTGTCGTTTATTCTTCAGCCTACCATAGGACTTCAGATACGAAATAGTAAACATAATAATAATAAACCTAACAGTGGTGTCTATATATTCCTTAAATCTATCTCTATCACTACATATTGCATCTCTAAGGTGGGGACCATGTCTTATGTATCTTTATATATCCAGTCCTTAACACAGTATCTATCACATAGACAGCAAGCTTTGAATACATGATTGAAGAAACTAAAGTATGAAAGATCAGATGGTCCTCATCCTAAGCATACCGAGTGTTTGAAACAGGATTTGATTTAGAAAAAGAAATAAAATGTTAGTTCCCTTTCTCCACGTGCCTGATATCTTCCATTTGGCCCTCCAGCCTCCAGAGCCATACTCCACCGTTCAAAACACCCTGCTCTGTACCTTGAAAAGCTAACTTGTACGTATCACAACAGAATTTCTTTCCATTTGAGTTTAGTCAGTTGGAGAATGGACAGAAGAAGGAAAGTAAAATATTTATACTCTACACCTCCAAAACCAGCATGGCTAGATGATATCCCTTAACCAAAGGTCATGGCGCTTCCCAAGGTTGCCAGCTTGACAGGAATGTCTATCCTTGTGGATAGAACTGCATCCTCTCCTCATCCTTTTATACCTAAAGATGGTAAAAGCTGAGCTGTTACTAGCAATTTCCCTTATAGCTCTACTACGCTTAGATATACATTTGTAAATAGCCCCTTTCTAAATAAACTGTCTTCAAATTATCGTTCTTAGAATGTGTCATTTGCTTGCTGCTGGGCCCTTGACTGTTTAACTTGATTTTCTTCTAGGATAAGAAAAGGCAAGAAAAGCTACTCAGTGAGGAAAGACATTTCTATAAAGAACCTTTTTAGAGGTTGGTCCAATTTCGCATCTAGAATTGGATGAAAAATTATTGAATTAAATTATCATTTCCTCTAACATTCTCCACAGATTGGAAACTAAATTACAGCATATTGATAAGAGATTCACAATAAACAATATTTTTAAATTTTAGATAAATAGCAGAAACATTTATAAACATTTATAAGAAATAATTTTTAGTTGCTGTACTTTGGGCTCATTAAGAACACAAATTCATTGACCTTTTTACTTTTTCCCAATCCATTAGCCTTCTTACTTTTTCATCTTCCTCCTTGGCCACCACAGAGCACACAAAACCAGCATTAAAAAAAAAAAAGAAGAAAGAAAGAAAGAAAAGAAAAAAGAAAAAAAACTTAGGCAAATACCTTAACTCTATAGCCCATCTGTGTTTTCATTACACCCATCAAGGTAAACCTCCAATCTGGATGAAACCAGGTATTTGCTTTGTCTAAGCCAGCACCAGGTCAGCTAGGTGCCACTGAAGAAGGTCATACAATGGGGCAAACTGGACTCCAATAAATTCACAATGGTAATCTCAGTGGGAACAACCCACACTTAGCAGAATTTTTCTTGTGTTTCTTTGCTCAACTCCTGGGCTCAAAAAAGTTTTCCAACTACGGATCTCTACTTTTCCTTCCAGTTTAAAATATGACCATGCCTAATAATTCACATAAGTGCTGCAATTATCAACAAAATATGAACATTCTAGCACCTACCACAACTAAACAGTGTCCTTCTTCTTTCCTCATGTTTCAACAGAAAAGGTAAACCATGCCACCTGTATCTTGAACATCATCCCCTTCCTCATATTCAGGAATATCACTCCCAGAGAATCTCTTCCTCTGTATGTTCATCTCTTCCCCTTAACAACATCCTCATCATCAAGATTTAACCATACACGTCTCATCTGTCTTTTGCAAATACATGTTTCATATATTTCTAACTATTGATTATAATCTCATATCTCTCCAACACTACCTTATCATGTAAGAATTATACCATGCAGCTCCAGGATCTTTGAATTTCTAAGAACAAGTGATACATTATTCCCATCATCTTGGCCTTTAGCATGCCTCACAACTGTATGAAAAATGGCTGGAAGGCCAGGCGCAGTGGCTCATGCCTATAATCCCAGCACTTTGGGAGGCTGAGGCGGGCAGATCACGAGGTCAGGAGATCCAGACCATCCTGGCTAACACGGTGAAACCCTGTCTCTACTAAAAATACAAAAAATTAGCCGGGCATGGTAGCACGCCCCTGTAGTCCCAGCTACTCAGGAGGCTGAGGCAGGAGAATCGCTTGAACCCGGGAGGCAGAAGTTGCATGGGCCAAGATCGCGCCACTGCACTCCAGCCTGGGGAACAGAGCAAGACTCCATCTCAAAAAAAAAGTGGCCAGAGATGCCAGGTGCAGTCACACATACCTGTAGTCCCAGCTACTCAGGAAGCTGAGGCAGGAGGATGCCTTGAGCCCAGGAGTTCAAGGTCAGCCTGGGCAACACAGTGAGCCCCACATTCCCACATTTCTTAAAAAAAAGGAGAGCCAACCAAAATTTCTACATAGAGTAAAAGAAGTGGAAGTAGTGATATATGGCAATAATGAGGCAAGATGTAGGAATCCTGAGACACAATAGTTGCAAGGCTAAGAAGACAAATTTTTAAGAAAAGGCAAAGAAAAGACTTCCCTGGGGATGGCTTCCCTTAGAGAATAACAAAAGCTGAGATACAAATATGGGAAACAATTGGCTATGGAAATAAGGGAGGGAAGAACGTTCCAGGCAGAGAGATACAGAAGGAAGATGAAAAAGTAAGAGGGCTAATGGTCAGAAAAATCATTTGACAGAAGAAAGGACCATGGGGCTAGATCCCTGAGATCATGGGAGAAACAGGTGGAAAAGATATGTAGAAACCACATCATACAGGGCTTACAGGTCAAGGTAAAACAAACAAACAAAAACTTTTGCCTTTCTTTTAAACGAATTTTAAAAATATTGAAGATTTTTAGACAGAGATATTAAGTATCACTTTTTATAACTGGAAAAAAATACATACTTTCAATGTAAAGAACAATTCGGACAGGAACAAATTTCTGTCTGGGATGAATAAAACCAGACAGACTCAAAAGACACTGGGAAAGTAAAATCAATAAGACGTGGTAAAGGATTGCATATGCAGTTGAGAGAGAGAAGAGAGAAAAGAGAGACAGAGAGGAAGCATGACTCTGGGTATCTTGCTTGCACAACTGGGTAGACACCAAAATAAAGACAGATTTGGGAGGAAGATCAGAATTCAAGTCTGGTTGGACATTAGATATTTGCAATGTCTTTGAGTCATCAGCAAGAAAATGTGGAGTAAAGGTTTGTATTTTAGAAGAGGTATCTAGCTACATTTAGATTTGTACATCATCTGTTTTATAGACTTCAACAGATTATAAAGGGAGAAAGCATAGGGTGAGAAAAGGAGATGGCCTAGATTTGAGCATTAAAGAACTGCAACGTTTAAAATCTGGGAAGAGGATGATGAACTGGAAGAGAAAGAGAAATGACCAAGAAAATATGAAGAATAGAACACAAGAGAAGAGAGGGTTCCAAGAAGTGTTTCGTTCTAAGAGAATAAGGAAAGTGAGAACAGGAACATATCAGTTGCATTTAGCAACCTGCTTTTAAGGACATTTCTGTTCCCAGAAAACTAAAAATATTATAAAGGCACTAATTACATTTTATCACTTCAACATAGTTTTCTAACATATTGTATATATTCCTTACTTCTATTTTTTATTCATAAATCATCTACTGGCATAAGCCCATGAGCAAGCAGTCAGAGCTAAAGAATCACTATTTTCAGCCCATTTCCATTGCTGTCTCAATTATACTAAGTTTATGAGACAAAAGCACCTTTTCAATAGTATTAGCATTTTTTAAATTTTTTTCTCATTTTAAAATACTAGCAGCATAAATGCAATGAAGACTAATATTGAAACAATTACTTAAAATAATAGACAAAGATGGTGTGATGCAAACTTCCACAAGATGAGTTATAATTCAACAGCTTGAAATGTTTATCAATTCATGAATAAAAATGTGAATTTCATTAGTGGCACATGGTGAAGTGGTCAATATCTAATGTACAAAATATAAGTGGTTAAAAAGACAAATGTTTGAAAGTTGAGGTTTACCTGTATCTTACGCATAAAATTTAAATTCACAGAAATGTCTTCAAGGGATAATTTAAAGAAACAGAGAATTTAAATACTTTCAATTCTAACTTTAATTTAAAATTAATTAGCATACAGTTTTGAGAATTCCCTTCTTTCCTATACCACATTCACAGTAAAAGTCAAGAATCCTTTTATTACACATAGGGAAATAATATTCAACGTATGGATATGGCTTTGGATCAACTGTAATCATGTACAGATACTGTTAAGGTAAGTTTTAGATATACTTTCCCAAGTTTTAGATATACTTTCCCACCTGTAGGACATGTAAGTACAAACACACTTTTACAATTCAAAATACTAATTTATTAATCTACATGTGACAAAGATCCTCTCCTTAACCAAACTTTAGTCAGATCCTTCTGAGTCCTCTGCTCAGCTAGGTCTCACCTTGGGCTTCCCTTTCTGTCCTTGTAGAGTAAGGTTTTAGCAAGAATACTGTCAGTCAGTTCAGAGAGAATCCCCACCCTCAATATTTGATAACTCTCAATATCTATCCAATTCCTCATCCTCCACCCTTTATATCTGATCACTATGGCCTGCTTTCAGTAAGAATGCTTTTTGGTCTGTTAAGGAAAGAATTACCCTACCCTCAGTAATTTTCCATCCACCACCCCCTCCATTCTGCCCCTTGGATATAAATCCCTACTTTTTCTTGTATTCAGAATTGAGCCAAGCTCAATACTGAGGTCTTTTCCTCCAATTTCAATAATATCTGATTTTTTATTGTAAATTTACAATTTATAATTTAAAATCTATTTTTACAGCTTTAACTTCTGTAAGGCTCTATTTTTTTTCTTTTGACACATGTAGAAGTTCAATCAGTACTGAGGGAGATATATGAAGGGAAATGAATCTTTACAATGCAAATTAATTAGGAAATGATAATGGCATACATAAAAATTCGTAAACAAAAAATGATTAATTACATTAGGATAAGTGGTCAACATTTTAAGGAAAATTTAAATTGGATCCTTATCTCCCACCATATATAAAAATAAATTTCCAGATCCATTCAAAATCATAAATATAAAAATATAAACATGGTAAATTTAAAAAATGTAAAAAAAGTAAATGTAAATAATTTTTTAAATAGAAATAATGAAATGAGTATTTGTATAATATTTTGATGGAAAACACATACTAAGAACTATGCCAAAGCCATAAACTATATTTAAAATGATATATTTAAGTAATTTAACATTTAAAATCTATTTACAGCCAAACAGCCCACCAGTATCAAAGTTAAACTTCAAATTGCATTATGGAAAAGAAATATTTGTATAATTTGTAACAGACTAAGGTAGCAAATAAATGTGTTTGAGAGAGAGAAAGAACTTATAAATCAGTGAAAAATGTACACTCCATAGTACCAAAATTAATAAAAGATATAAGCAATCCACAACATACATGGTCAAGAAACATTTTAAAAGATGTTCAATCTCACTTTCAATTGAGGAAGTCCAGGTTAAGATGACAGTATGTTTGTTCATCACAACGCCAAATATTAACAAGTTTAATAATGTTCAGTGTTATCAAGCTCATTATGGGGGAAAACACTCTCATATTCAATCGGTGAGTCCTATCTTTTTGAATGAGAATAGTATAATATTCATCCAAGGCCCTTAAACGTGCATACCCTTCTAGAAATATATGCTTAAGAAAGTATGCTAAGAAAATACTGGGTAAGTGCACAAAGATGAATGAACAAGAATGATTATCAGAAGGGAGGGCAAGATGACGAACTAGACATAGCCAGGAAGAGCCTGTCCCACTGAGAGAGACTAAAATATTGAGTAAACCAAATTAAGTATACTTCAAACTGATCTTTTCAGAGAAAGCACTCAGAGTTAATGGAGAGATTACACAGACACTGGGCCTGAAGAGGGAGGCAGGAAGCTGGGAACCCTGTATCCCATATAGCTTATGGAGTTCCTGAGCACCAGGACTCATTCTTGGCCCTGATTAGCTCCTAAGGAAGGGGTGAGTGAAGTAACTGCAGAGCAGCCCAATCTTACCATGGACCTCCAGGATCCTAACTGTGGGAGATTCCATGACCTACATGGACATTTGAGTTGGCAGGGGAAACTGCCCAGAGAGTCGGCAGAGACAGTGCTTGAGCCCGCGTGGAGCTCAGGCAGTTTTGCATGAGGACATTTGCAACAAAACACAGTCATAAGCACCCATTCCCCAAGGCTCTCCGTATTCCTCTAAGAGGCTCTAACTTCAGTGGATTGTCGAACCTGGAGAGAGCAGGGCTGTCTTTCTCATGGGACTGGGGCATGTCTGATTTGCATGCCCTCTTGCTCACTTCCCCCTCCCAGGGTCCCTGCTTGGCCGTTCCATAGGAGCAGACACACAGTGCAGCCTCCACTGAGTGCTTTTGCCGGCAGCCCCCACCAGAGCACTTTGTTGGTTACCTGGGAGAAGCTTGGCTCACCCAGTACAGCTAGTACTTAACTTCAGGGTGGGGGGAAGCTCTCACTCTCAGAGCACTAGGAAGAGTAAGGTGCAGGTTCATGGGCCAGTTCGGGGGCTGAGTGTGCATTCCTCCACAGGGCCAGTCTGAAAGGGGTGTGGCCAGCTTCTCCCTGAGGGAGGTAAGCCCCACAACCTGAAACACCTAACAGCCCAGCAGTCTAGGTACAGAACGCTTAGGACAAAACTAGTTGGTTGGGCCAGTTTGGGGGGCAATCACTGGAAGGAGAGACCCAGTTGAGGGAGCACTAGCTGGGTAATTCCTACAGCCATCTGCTGGGCAAAAAGCCCCAGACTGCAGGTGCCACACCAGCTGCACACCCACAGTAACACCATCCTGCCCAAAGATCCCCGGCTCTTGACCTACTGCATCAACAGACCACCTGCAGACATACCTCACAACCTGCTCTGACTCTACCAAACACACAGGACCAGTGTGCCTCCAGAGAGCTGTGAGTCTTCTGGTGAACTAAACTTCAGCTAGGGCTGCCCCCATGGGAGGGGGCACAGCTCACCAGGGTCCTTCTTGGAGCTAAGGAAAGGCAGGTGTGGGACCAGTGATTGGAGAAGGCTCAACTAAAACCCGGGAATGGACTCGGCGAGGGGATCTCTCCACCAACCCCACCTCCTCCATCACAGAGCACTGCTGTCAACGTGTTGAAATACAAAAGAAGCACATGGCTGAGCAAGAGTCTGTCAGCCCTTAATCTTAAGCACCATCTAAAGGATTGCATCCTGAATTACACCACCAAAAATTCTTCCAACAGGCATTGCCTGCTAAACACAATGCAGGATTCTGGCTACAAATAAGGGATTGCATACAGAGCCTTGGCCCTCTGAAAGCATCCAGAAATGAAGACAATTGACTATACTCAACTTACACCACAGTCAAATCCTCAAGGGAAGTAAAGAACATGAAAAAAAAGGCCCATCCAAACAAAAGCAACTTCAAAAGACAGAGTAACACCAGCCCTCACAGATGAGAAAGAACCAGCACAAGAACTCCAGCAATTCTAAAAGTCAGAGTGTCTTCTTACCTCCAAATGATTGCACTAGCTCCCCAGCAATGGTTTTTAACCAGACTGAAATGACTAAAATGATAGCCATGGAATTTAGATTCTGGATGGCAAGGAAGGTCAATGAGATACAGAAGAAAGTTCAAGCCCAATCCAAGGAAAACAGTAAAATCATCCAAGAGCTGAAAGATAACATAGCCATTTTTAAAAAGAACCAAACTGAACTTCTGAAATTGAAAAATCCAATACAGAAATTTCATAATACAATTGGAAGCATTAACAACAGAATAGACCAAGTTGAGGGAAGAATCTCTGAGCGCAAAGACCACTCCTTCAAATCAACTCAAGCAGAAAAATTAAAGAAAAAAACATTAAAAAATAAACAAAACCTCTAAGAAAAGTGTAATTATGTAAAGAGAACAAACCTATAACTCACTGGCATTCCTGAGAGAGAAGGAGAGAGGAAGCAAGTTGGAAAACATATTTGAGAATATAGCCCGTGAAAATTTTCCCAATCTTGCTAGAGAGATCAACATGAAAATTCAAGAAATTCAGAGAACCCCTACAAGATACCAGACAAGGCGACCATCTCTAAGAAACATAGTCATAGTCATCAGATTGTCCAAGGTCAATGTGAAAGAAAAATCTTAAAGGCAGCTACAGAGAAGAAACAGGTCACTTACAAAGAGAACCCCATCAGGCTAATAGCAGACCTCTTATCAGAAACCTTATAAGCCAGAAGAGATTGGGGGCCTATTTTCAGCACCCTTAAAGAAAAAAAATTCCAGCCAAAAATTTCATATCCCACCAAACTAAGCTTCATAAGCTAAGGGGAAATAAAATTATTTTCAGAAAAGCAAATGCTAAAGGAATTCGTTGCCACTAGACCAGCTTTACAAGAGGTCCTTAATGGAGTGGTAAACATATAAATGAAAGAATGATACCTGCCACCAAATACAAACACTTAAGCACATAGCCCAGAGACACTAAAAAGCAACTACACAATCAAGTCTACATAACAACCAGCTAACAACATGATGACAGGACCAAATCCTCACATATCAATATTAATCTTGAATGTAAATGGGCTAAATACTTCATTTTAAAGTTACAGAATGGCAAGTTGAATTGAAATAAACAAGACTCAACTGTCTGTTGCCTTCAAGCGACCAATCTAACATGTAACAATACCCATAGGCTCAAAGTAAAGGGATGGAGAAAGCTCTATCATGCAAATGGTAAACAAAGAGCAGGGGTTACTATTCCTATATCACATAATATAGACTTTAAACAAACAATGACAATGATTTTTAAAAAGACAAAGAAGGGCATTACATAACAATAAAGAGCGCAATTTGTAAACCAAAAAGTATCTGAGACAGCTCTCAATCAATTTAGAAGTTATTTTGCCAACATTGAGGATCGGGATCTGTGACACAACCTCAGGAGATTCTGAGAACATGTGCCCAAGGTGGTTAGGTTACAGCCTGGTTTTATATATTTTATGGAGATATAAGACATCAACCAATACATATGAGGTATACATTGGTTCAGTCTAGAAAGATGGGATAACTCAGAGGAGGCTTGCAGGTCATAGGGGGATTCAAAGATTTTCTGATTGGTAATTGGTTGAAAGAGTTCAGTTATTATCTAAAGACCTGCAATCAATAGAAAGGAGTGATGCTAGTCTCTCAGCTAATGTCTTTAGGATCAGAAAAAAAGGCCAAGAAAGGGAAGGGGATCTCTATAGAATGTGAATTTCCACCATAAAAGACAGCTTTGCAGGGCCATTTCAAAATATGTCAAAGAAATATATTTGGGGGTAAAATACTTTGATTTCTTTCATGGCCCTGCTACCTGTCAAGTGATGCTATACTAGAGTCAGTTGGGAATTTGGTATCTTATTGCTACAAAGAGTCTATTCTGTCAGTCTTAGGATGACTGACTGACTGATTGATTGATTGATTGATTGATAGAAACAAGGTCTCACTCTGTCACCCAGGCTGGAGTGCAGTGGTGCTAGCACAGCTCAATGCAGCCTCCAACTCCTTGGCTCAAACAATCTTCCCTTCTCAGCCTCCCAAGTAGATGTGACTACAGGCATGCACCGCCACACCCAGCTAATTTTTTAAATTTTTTGTAGAGACAGGGTCTCACTACTTTTCCAAGATTGGTCTCAAACGCCTGGCCTTAAGCAATCCTCCTGCCTTGGCCTCCCAAAGTGCTGGGATTACAGGCATGAGCCACTGTGCCTTGCCAATCTCTATTTTAATGTTAATGCTGGTCAGCTGTATGCCTGAACTCCAAAGGGAGGAGAGAATAATGATGCATGTCTGACCCCCCTCTTTCTGTGATGACCTGAACTAGCGTTTCAGGTTTTGATGTGTCCTGTTGGCCAAGAGGAGGATCCATTCAGTCAGTTGGGGGTCGGGGTGAGGCGGGGGAGGGGGGGCTTAGAATGTAATTTTTGGTTTACAAATTCAGTAAGACTTAACTATCCTAAATATATATGCACCCAACATTGTAGTGCCCAGATTTATAAAACAAGTTCTTATAGACCTGCAAAAAGACTTTGACATCCATATGCAGAAGAATGAAACTGGACCCTTGTTTTTCACCATATACAAAAATAACTCAAGGTGGATTCATAACTTAAATGTTAGACCTCAAAGTATAAAAATCTTAGATGAAAACCTAGGAAATATCCTTCTCAATAGCAGCCTGGTTAAAGAATTTATGACTAAGTATTCAAAAGCAATTCCAACAAAAACAAAAATTGACAAGGGGGACCTAATTAAACTGAAGAGCTTCTGCACAGCAAGAGAGATTATCAAGGGAGTAAATAGACAACCGACAGAATGGGAGAAAATATTTGCAAACTATGCATCTGACAAAGACCTAATATCCAGAATTTATGAGGAACTTAAAAAAAATTAACAAGCAAAAAACAACCCCATTAACAAATGGGCCAAATACACGAACAGATACTTCTCAAAAGACGACATACAAGCAGCCAACAAATATATGAAAAAATGCTCATCATCACTAATCATCAGAGAAATGTAAATCAAAACCACAATGAGATGCCATTCTGACTGGTGTATAAAAATTTCTAAAAACAGATGCTGTCAAGGCTGCAGAGAAAAGCACTTATACACTGCTGGTGGGAATGTAAATTAGTCTAGTCACTGTGGAGAATAGTTTGGAGATTTCCTGAAGAACTAAGAGTTGAACTACCATTTGATCTAGCAATTTCATTACCAGGTATATACCCAAAGGAAAATAAGTCGTTCTACCAAAAGGACACATGCACCCATATGTTCACTGCAGCATTATGCACAATAGCAAAGACATGGAATCAACCTAGGTGCCCATCAACAGTGGATTGGATAAAGAAAATGTCATACATTTAAACCATGGAATACTATGCAGCCGTAAAAAAGAATAAAATCATATCCTTTGCAGCAACATGGATGCAGCTAGAGTCTATTATCCTAAGCAAATACACACAGAAACAGAAAACCAAATATTGCATATTTTCAGTTACCAATGGGAGCTAAACAATGCATACACATGGACATAAACATGAGAACCACAGACACTGGGGAATACAACAGGGAGGAGGGAGGAAGGGAGGCAAGGGCTGAAAAACTACCTTTCAGGTACTATGCCCAATACCTGAAAGACAAATTCATTCATACTCCAAACCTCACCATCAGATAATATACCTTTGTAACAAACTTGTACATGTGCTCCCTGAACCTATAATAAAAGTTGAATAAAGAGGATGATTACCAATAACTATTTATAATTGTTCAAAAAATGGCAGAGAAGTGGAGAGTATAACTCAAAGGCAGAGACCAGGATAAATTATGACATAAAAAATGAGTATATAAACTCGTTAAAATGATCATGTAGATATGTCTATTACCATGAAGAGGAAAAGGAAATTTCAAAGAGCATATCTCATGACTTCATTTTTGAAAATGTTTGCATGTCCTTGTGTACGTGTGTTTTTATGGGAAACATCTAGAGAAATGAACAACAGTTTTAACATGATTGTGCTGAGGTAGCAATTTTATGCGTGGTTTTCACTTTTTTAATTCCTTCTTTATTGAGTGAATATTTCTATAAGTTTGTGTTTTTCATAATAAAAAGTAAATAAAACTCCATTTTGAGAAAAATAGCAAAAATGTTCTTTGGCCACTTTCCAAAAATGCATAAGGAAACTGCATAAAATTTTCTCTATAGATGATGACCCTAACTTTTGTTACTAGCTATGAATCTGAAAAACCACAAAGCTTCTAGTGAACTATCCTCTACTGAATACTAAATAAAAAAGGACTGATTTAAAACCACACTATGCTCATTTAAGTGGACTATATTAGCCATCTATTGCTGTGTAAGAAATCACCCCAAAACTTAGTGGCCAAAAACAATATTTATTATCTCACATCTTGGTGTCAGGAATCCAAGAGGAGTTTAGCTGGGTGGTTTGAGTTCAGAGTCTCTTATTACACTGTAATGAAGGTGTCAGCCTGAGCTGCAGTCATCTCAAGACTCAACTCAGAAAGAATCCACTTCTGTACTCCTTTTTGTGGCTTTTGGCAAGGTCTCAGCAGATTATCTTCCAAGCTTACTCATGTAGGCCTCTCCCTAGGGTTACCTCATGATATGAAAGCTGGCTTTCCTCAGAGTTAGAAGGCCGAGAGTGAGAGACAGCACCCAATCTCAGCAGTGGCATCTCATCACTTCTACTGTATTCCATTCATTGGAATTGAGTCAGTCAATCCAACTGACACTCAAGAAGATGAATACCAGAAGATAGGGATCTTTGGGGGTCACCTTAGAGACCACCTACCAAAATGAACCAAAAGCAAAAGTAAAAAAGAAAGAAACTAAAACTAGAGCTTATATAGGAATATTCATAGCAGCTTTATATGTAATAGCCAAAAGTTGGAAACAACCCAAATATCAATAGGAGAATGGATAAACAAATTATGATATATCCATACAGTAGAATACTACTCGGCAATAAAAAGGAAAAAAACTGATTGAGGTGGTGGCATGAAATCTCACAGATCTTATACTGAGCAAAAGAAGCTGGACTCAAAGGGGATGCTGTATAATTCATTTTAAATGAAATTCCACATAGTAAGAATTAATCTATGATGAAAAAAATCAGAAAAGTAGCTGCTTCTTTTGATAAAGATTAACTGAAAAGACCCATGAATAACCTTTTTGGAGTGATAGAAATATTCCACATTTCTATAAGTGATTGTTAATTACACAGTTGCATGCATTTGTCAAAACTCACCAAACCATGCACTTGGGATCTGCACATCTCTTTGCATATAAGTGTTGCCTTAAAATGTAAATACTCAAAAACAGAAATTAAAAAACCTAGGTTTTGTTGAATATTGGAATGAGTTTAAAAGGGAGAACAAATTATCACTTCTTTTGAAGTCTTGCAAAAATAAATGAAAATTCTAATCTGTCTAAAGACAAAGTGTCAGGAACATCTACTAGGAAACAGCAAGATGAATAGCAATTTTTCAACACTGGGAATTAAATTTGGTTCAAGTTAAGGGCAAAGTAAAAGATCAGGAAACTTCTCAATGTCCAGTGCCATCCTGAAAATAAGTCACGTAGTGAAAAGAAATTCTGGCACAGGAGATGGAAGAAAAAGATCTTAAAAAGAGGAAAGAAGGTCATAAATTTAGTTAAGAGATTGAAGTCAAAAGATGAATAATATTTGCCCCAAAGTCATTAAACAAATCATAGACTGAGTCAGAGCTCCTACCCTGATGTTCTAACTCAGGTCCCATTGCTCTGGGTATTTACTTATCTTACCTACAAATATTGCTATAATTAAAGTATTGTTTTCACTTGAAACCTACAAAGGAAATCTGGATTTTTATCTTTTCTTTCCACGCACTAAATCTAAACTCTTAATGATATGACTCCTGGTTTCAAAAGTTTTATCTCCAAACCAATTTTAATAAAGAAGAAAAAGATTTGTCTCTAAAGCTGGGGGGAAAGTTTTAATTGAAACCACTCTCCAGAGTCAGCAAAGAGTTGAAGTAATCAAGACCAGCTTTTTTCTCCTGCAAGGAAATCTGCAGCAACACTGCAGCCTACCTGTTCCAGTTTGTGCTGCTTAAGCACTGAATATCCATTTGAATAAAACTACACACTGTTCTTTTCCTTCTGAAGCGTACTGTTTTTATTGCAATAATTTTATTGTGCTTTCCCTAGTAAGAAAGTGATATCCTGAGTATGATTCAGCCTCACAAGAAATGTTCCTAACGGAGTCACCAAAAACCTCAAAACCATAAAAAATATAACCCCATATTAAGGGCTTTGGGGGTGAAAACCACAGTGCAATCAACATTCTTCAAGAACAGCAGCAATAATTTAATGACAGGCTTCTCACCACCAAGTTTCGGAAACTTATTTTCCACACCAGAAAGCAAAGCAGGACCACAAAAACTATAGACATGATATAAACACACACACACACACACACACACACACACACACACACACACACCTTTCTCTATATTTTGTCAAGAAGACCTGAAAAACTTGAATTAAAAAAAATGCTACATTTAATAAGACAGTGTACCATACTGAGGGTTTCTTTACTTCCAGTATTCCTCAATACTTATTAGAAAGGATGATTACAAATACAGTCTGTAAAATGAAGAAACTAGCCTGGATCATCTCTCCAGTCCTTTGCAGTTTGTACTTGACGTATTTGGCCCATAACCCATAAACTGCCTTAAAATGCCTCCACATTCAAAAAAGCCCCTTCAAGAGCTAACCTTTTCCACACAGTTTTCCCTCTATTATTTTGCAATGGTAGCATCCTTTCCCTTTCCATTTCCTCTGAATATCTTAATTAAGCAAATCTAAGTGTGGCTTTACAATAAAGATTGATATGTTTTACAGAGAGACCAGAATTACTACATTTTTCACAACTAAATCAAGATCAGAATGTAATTAACTAGTGACGGGAAAAAAAATTCATTCTGCCCTTTTACCTCTCCTCTGCCATTTGTCTCATGTTATTTTTGTCTACTAGCTTTGATAATGTACAAGCATTTTTTAGAGTTCAAATGAAAACCCCAAACAGAATAACATAAAAAAAATCAGACAGACCGACACACACACACAATTTCATTGTCTTATAAAAAAATTCTGCCTGTTAATTGGTCTTAGTATTATATGAAAAAATAAGCATAGAAGACTGAATTCTCACACATAATCAAGGGTGCAATAATGAATACTTCAACAGGCACACATTTTGAAGTTTTAATTAAAATCAGTAGTTCTATTGATATTGTAATGTCTTAGATTAACACCTAGGCAAGTAATCACCTGCCTCCCAAGTGAATGGCAATACTCATGCAATTAATTATAAAAGACTTTGCAGCTGGAACCACCTCGGAATCGCCAAGATATAGAGCAAGTGTTCACACATTTAAGTACTGAAAGCAACTCCACTGGTGCAGCCAGGTGACAGCTATTTTCACTTAACCTGGATGCAGTATCTCTCCTTATTAGGCCTGGTGCCTGAAAGCCTGCCATAAATTTTGTTCTTCTCTGGCATCACAAACAATCCTGTTTTCTTTACTCAATGCTTAGTTTTCTATTGCAGAGATTTACCAACAGAGGTTGGTCAGGCCATTTCGGGAGATAATCTTATTTTTGAAATTCACTCCTCTTTATCTTCTTGGCTTATAAGTGAACAGAAGGTTTCACTAGAGCTAAAATAGTGTTACTGTTTCTTCTATGATTCATCACTCTTAAGTTCTTACTCTGAAGATCCTCTGAAGGCCCTTTTTCCCACAAAAATGGATTCTTAGGATAAGAAAATGAGAGAATTTGGGAAGTAGCCAGACTAAAGCAGAATGCTTAAAGATATATTCAGCTGCCAAAAGTTTCATTCAGGGTCCTGCGGATACCAAGAAACCAAACCAAAGATACTTTAAAAATAAAGTTGTGAGCAAGTCACAATTTATTTAATGACTTTTTTAATGATTTTAATGAAAAATAATTTTACTTCATAAAGTAAAAGCCAGCACAGAAAGATTCTTGCCTAAGTTTTTACAGAGGTGAGGTGAGGAAAAGAGAAAGAGAGACAAAGAGAGAGAAGGAGAAAGAGGGAGAGAAAGAGAAAAAGAAAAAAAAATAAGAAATTGCCCAACGTTTTAGGCTGTCTGAAAAACATGAGGATTTTTCTTGAAAGTTGGAGAAGCTGGTGATAAATTTGCTTCAACATCAAGCACAAGAAGTTCCAACCTCTCATCATAAGCACTCATCTTTGGAATATCTTAATGTCCACCACTCTTAGGGGATCACCATAGCCCCAGGAACTTGGACTTTTGCTGACCCGTCTGGGTTCCCTAAGATTCACAGAAATATTTCACAATATTGAGGAAATGACAGGCTTTGAGACGTTAATGCTGCACTGATTTTTCTGAGCAGGGTTAAGAAAGTCTAGCATTATTGTATTCAAGCCAATTCTAATGATACAAGTAAACAGTTATTAGCAAGTTTACAGAACCCTTTCCTTTTACCATAGCATTGGTTAGTCTGGCCTGGAATGAAACTGGGTAACTGGGATGTTGACACAAGAAGTTCTAACACAAAACAATGATATTTAGAAATCTAAAAACATGCAACATGAAGTTCACACACCTAAGCAATGTCATTACGTAGTAACCCTTCAAAGCAATCAGCTAGAAATTGTTGTATACTTACCGTTAGGTCCTGAGTCACAAACTAAAAAGATATAGTTGGCCACAGTTAGCTATGTTTTATTCAAAACCCATTTCCTTAGCAAATGTAAGGAATATGCATTTAGTTTATTCTAATTTTAATAAGTTTAAACATAACATTTTTAATAAACTGTTTCAATGCTGAGTACATCAGCTGAATGTGGCATATTTCTATGTAATATAACACCAACAAATCATTGAAAATAATGTGGTTGATTAAAAAAAAGAAAATTATCCGATTAGATACTAATTGTAAACCAGTATTTACAATCAACAAATGACGCTAACAGATTTCGGTCCATTTTGAAAACAACAACAAAAAAATGACCAAGTCAACTGAATCTAATCAGAAGTTCTGGTTCTCCCAGCTTCTCTCCATGACTCCACTTACTGCTTTTAAATACCTTGGATAACAGTAACACCGCATCTTCACTGAATACTCACTAAGTTGCAGCACTATGCTAATCATTGTATAACCATTAATTCATTTAACATACTGGAGACCAGAATCACTGCCATTCTCTCTTTTTAACATATTAAAAAGTATGGAGGTTGAAGGTTATCAATTCCCCCCAAATTTACACAGCTGATGATGAGGAAGGCCATTCACCTTCCTTTATTGTGCTGTATTGCCCCACATGCCTGTACCCCCACATATGAACCATAACTCCTGTGCTATTTTCAATGCCATATGCTCCCTATAATCTTCAATTATCAAAATATGTAAATGTTCATGCTCCCAAAGTTTCTCCTCCATTTGTTCCAAGTCTTTATTTATGTAAATAGGCCTTGTGCCCCTCTGCAGTCCAGCCATTGCAGTCACAAGCACATTCCATACCTCTAAAGTAGACTCTATAGCTTTTCCTTTCCCCAGTCATCTGAGAAATGAAAAGATGTGGTAATGTATGAGGTTTGTTAACATTATTATTAAGCCTGCCTGAAGCATGCTCTGGGATTGTAAGAAGGTATAACACAGGAGCTAAAACAAGGGGCACATTTGGAGGGGCAACTGATATGTGCAGTGTACAGCATACTGGGAGCAGGTTAAACAGGGCTGGTTTCAGCCCACCAAAGACATCCTGAAGGGCACAAAGCATGGGCAGAGTTTATACACCTCGGCAACTGAAGCCAAAGAGTGGACCAATCCAAAAGGAAATACATGAGATGTTATCTCAATGATCTAACATAAAAGTTTAGGGTGTATGGAAAGGAAAAAGTGAAGAAGGAAAAAAAATAAAAATTTGGTTTAGTTGTTGTGTCCTAAGTACAGTGTTGTTTATTTCATGGATGTTACCTCATATAATTTTACATCAGCAACCCTACAAAATAGGTATTATTATCCATATTTTACTGGTGAGGAAACTAAAGTCCAGGGAGGTCTCATAACTAGAATAATACAGCTAGCTAGCCATAGAGCTGGGATGAAAAACGCAGACTTTTCTCTTCCGAAGCCTGTGCCCTTTCCTTTACAAAAAGCTGGAATATCAAAGGATATCTGAATGGCATGTCTGTCTTTGAAGGCATCCAGGAATTGTGGGTTAGGTAGCACAGAGAAGACCAGAGCAGGTGCGACTATGCTTGTTAATATGTCAGAGTGGGATTGTAACACTGCAGGGAAGTGTGTGTTGTCCATTTGATTCATTGTCACAGTTGGGGTAGTTCCACCCCAATAAGCCTGGTTTTACAGGCTTATTGGATCATCTGCATGCTCATATGAGGTAATTTCTCTTCCATTCATTTTTCACCCGCGTGGTTAGAATATTGTTTTCCTGAATATCATTTCTAATTATTAAGTGAATGTGACACAGTGGAATCCCATAATCCTCCAGCGTACAGAACAGGGTCAGGAGCAATTTGTGCTCAATAAATGTTAGGTAGTTTTTTTCCTCAACACAAGAGGTATATGCTCACTGAAACTGAATAAAGCAAAAATTATGTTTAAACCCACCCAAAATAAACTTTACAGGCAACTTACAATGGTTACATGGTAACTTGAATGAATAGTCTCCATACACTAGCATTTTGGTAACAGGGTTTAACCTCAGATTAGGCAAATGAGTCGTTTAGAGCATTCGGGATGCCTGGCAGGACATCACAGCAAACTGGCACAACCACAAAAAGTCAAAAATGTCCAAACTGTACTTGTGCCCAATTGTCTTCAAGGACTGAATATCTGGAATGGCCATTGTTGTAAAACAAAACAAAAAAACAAAACAAAAAAAACAAAGCCAGTTACAGAGATAATGCAGCAGTCTAACAGCATCAAATGGCTAAGATTCCCTGCTTTAAATCTTTGATCATAATCTGACCTTTTTATGAAAACTATAGCAATTCAAAGTCCATTCCGCCCAACAAGCCCATGAGAAAAATGAATAATTATTGCATTCCTTTATAACTCCTTTAAAGTTAACTGGCTAAGTCTATATCCCCCAGAGCTAGCAAAAGAGACACTTCCAGAACATAATGTAGAAAACTCTGGAGTGAAGCCACATGGCTATAGCAAGTGGAGAAACTAGCAAAGTGTACAGAGATACCAGACACTACGTATTGGTGAGGGGTGGTCCAATTTGCCTATAAAACTAATATAATAACTTGGATCAAAATCTGACCTTTTATGAAAACTATAGCAATTCAAAGATATAATATATATGTACATTATTTCTCAATTCACAAAGCAAAGATATAACCAGAATCAATACCTCAGGAAAAGGCAATAAATAGCATTAATCTTTGCTTTTAGGGCACATATAACTGCAGAAAATGACTATTACTGGCCATCTTTCTCAAAGAAAATACTGTCTTGCCGCATAAAGGATCACTACTATTTGCTATTCAACATCCAAGTTCTTACAAAAGCCATTAAAAATCAGGACATCATATTGTTGAAAGAGAACTTAGTGATCTAAAATTTTCTATGTATTAGATTATCAAAGACCAATGACAGTAATTAGCATGATAATTCAGAAAGATGAATGATTTTGACTATCTTTGGGTCACATCCTCCTAAATTTATTCTCCTTCTTTAGTGGATTGGCAGTATAAAATGATGGTTACTTCAAATTCAAGTGCCAGGACACTCTAGATTTTAAAACTCACACTGCGTATTGCCAAAGTAGAACATAAATTTTGCATAGCAGATAATATTATACATCGTGGTATTTTTCAGTGAATTGGTTGTGATTGTGGTTGTTTTTTAAAGTGGTCAGGGAGTATGAAGTGTAATAACTTTAAAAGAAAACATAAGTCATAAGTAATCTTTAAGAGCAGTACATCTTTTTCTGGGAGGCTCTTTGTTCGCTGGTTGACCATGCATATCTGACAGTAAAAGCTCGGGTTGAATTGTTCTTCATGAAAAAGGAGAGATGGCATAATTAAGAGTCAATAGGAAAAAGAAGCACAATAGGGGCAAAGGGTACATCTAAACAGAAGTAAAGGAGCCAGATAGACTGGGCATTATATAGGGAAGAGCAGAAAGAAAGAAACCTCAGTTGGCAATAGAGGCTGGAAAATTCTGAGAGAAGGGACAAGAGTAATAGCAATGATTGTTTTTCAAAGTAAATGCTTGTGCAATGTGACCCTACTTCATGACCAGCAAATCTCCATGATATTCTTAACATAATTGGCCTTATTGTGGAAGCCAGATCAATTTCTGCATCACGGCTGGCACAAAACCAAATAATATTAGCCCCCTCTAACAAAGGCTCAAAACATACAGGCAGGTTATAGTTGAAGGCCCAGTCAGGATTTATGAACTAAGGCCAGTACACAGCTGCATCTTTGATTGTATCATCAACCTGGAGTCTAGAGACTTGAGCCAAAAGTACATTGTACTGTGACTGCTGCAGTGTTGAGCAAAAACAAGATGCCAGAGTAAAGGCTTATCCAAGGTGAGTTGTGATGGTGATGGTACTAAGAATATCATTCAAAAGTCAGAACCACAAACTTTCAAGAGCTAGAATTCTCTCAGCAAGAGGTTAAAAATGTAAAATTGAAGAGTGATATAGGTGAAGTAGAAAGTTAAGAGCTATACCATTAACAACTCTATTAAGTATACCAATGCTGCTTTGAATTTATAGTGAACAAGAAACTCATAACTTACAGTGAACAAGCAGCTCATAAGGTGACAATAATATGGCTTTCATTATATAGATGAAGAAAACTGAGATTAGTAGACCAAGCAACTACTATTTATTTCTATATAAATGATAGTTTTTTCACTAAATTCTCAAATGGTTATCCTCTCACATGATTACTTCTACCATGTTGGAAAAATCAACATGAAGCTCATTTTATAATAGTCCAAATATGGTGTCTATGTTGTCTTCATAAGAATATATAGACTCTGACTTTGGTCTTGAAGGAAAAGTTTTTAAAAAACCAATGAGATGGTAGAGAATTCTCACTAAAAAACATCCAATACACAATATAGAAAGTTACAATAATAAATGAGAAGGATTCTTGGACCAAAAAAAAAAGAATGTGGCCCTACTTAAGTAGGCTTTGCTTCTTTTTCAATTAGCAGCGCTTCTTCTTTTTTTTTTTTTAAAAAAGAAGCCTATGTTACATTTTTGTTCAATAACTTACTGATATCTGAATTAAATGGGAAATTGATTTTGATATGTATAATTTTCAGCATCAATACCTACTCAGGGATACTATTTCCTTTAGCTTTAGACATGGACTTTTTAGTATAGTATTTCACATTCTCTTGGCAGACTAGTTTCATCCAAAATTAACAAGTACAACAACAACAACTGAATGTTATTAATCTTTTGACTTGGAGTCTATATTTCCTAGGACTACCACAATTAATAACCACAAACTGGCTGCAGAGTTTAAGTTAAGGAGAGCCAGCTTACCTACAGTAACCCAGTGCGGGTTGTGAGAGGGTCCTAGCCATGTGCTGGCCAGAAAGAAATCCAACTTTGTCCACAAATAATGTTGCTAACATTTCACGGAGATGTACTGTCACAATTACAGAGTTTGTGCTGCCCACTAACATATGATACAAATATTGACGAAAATAAAACTGTTACTCTCCTATCAAATGGAAAATTAATTTTATCACTGGATAAAGACATGTATGAAAAAAGTTAGACTTCAAAGTCATCCATTTATTGATTCTACTGATTCGATGAGTTTATCGTTTGACCCAGATTCTAAGAACTATGAAAAAGCATCTTGGTTCTTCAAAGAAAATAAGCCATTAAAATATGATTTATTTTGGTTTGGCATCATACAGGTGCAGAATAATCAATGATTATGTCATACTTTTCCAATGACCAGATTATGCACATCAGCCCAAGCAGCGCTGAGCCTATTGGCAGATTCACAGATCCAGGCACTGTTGTGCAAGGAGGCAAGAGGAGACCTAAGGTATCTTCCCTGCTCAGAATCCCTCTATCAGCTCCTTCAGTAATACTGACCTGTGTGGATCTGAACTCCCTGAATCTTGTAGGCATTACAAGAAGTCCCAGCATCTTCACAGCACAAGCCTGTCCCCAAGAGCCTCCCCAGAGAAAAGGGCCACCCAGACCATCTTGCCATTGATCCAGGCTTCAAGATGGCTGACTAGAAGCATTTCATGCCCACTTCGTCCCCTTAGAAGAACCAGAATAGTGCATAGACAAGCACACTTTGAATATATTATCTAAAAGAGAACATTGGAGTTCAACAGAAAAGTGACAGGAAACATCAAAAGCAAGGAAGGAAAATGAAGAGAGGCAGTCTGTTTGGCTGGGATTGGCTGAGAGCTGGGAGTGGTTTCCCAATGTGGGGAAAAGGTAAGTGAGAGACTTTCAGCGGCCCACATCCCTACCATGAAATTACGCAGTTCTGGCCACTAGAGAGCCCTGTGACCTTCTCAATTGAAGCTAACATAGGAAGCTTCCAGGAGACCATGGGGCAGAATTGCGTCAAGGAAGAAGATCGTGCTGGGTCCCACACACTTTCTGAGACATAAGCAGCTACAGCAAGGTGCATTTTCAACCTTTGCCTTTAACAGACTGCATGCTATCCTGGGACCCAGAAGCACAGCGTCTGAGGTGTGAAGGAAACTCCGGTTGCTGCTGCTGAGCTGGGAGCACTCCCACAGCCAGGGCTAAAAAGCAGGTGAAGTGGGGGCTGCAGCTGCTGGTGCTGGGAAGAGAGAGCCTGCAAAACTGAAACTGGGACATTAGCAGAGCATGAATTGCCTGTGGGACTTAGTCAAAAACTGGGTGGGGGCTCCTGTAGCCAGGGCTGGAGCACAAGCTAGGTATGGGCTACCACTGCCAGGACTGGGTGTTGAACTATGCCACGACTAGAGCATGAGAGAGATGTGAGTTACCTACTTGTAGATCCAGGCTATGGCCACTGAGGCAGGCCCCACCCACTCCAGCGACAGAGTCTCAATGTAGTTGCTACTGCCCTTCACCCAAGCAATCTGCCTGGGGCCTAAGGATCACCCTACCCCCACCAACCAAGGCTGATGCCTGTTCTCACCACTGGGGGACCTGAGCACAAGCCCATCAAGCCTGGCTTCACTCCTCATTCCAAGACAGAGCACATAGCCTGGGTTTCTAGGGATTTCCCAACCCAATCCACCACTTTGGGAATCTAAGCACTCCTCCTGGAGGCCTGAGGTTGGGCATAAATTCACCTATGACCACCTCAGCTGGCACGTATATGCAAGTGCCATATGTGAGCCTGGAGACTTTCCCACCCAGCCCATCACAGCCACCAATATAAATGCCAGTGGCTCAGGACCCAAAGAATCATCCTGCCACTGCTACTTTCATCACCCTTGTCATGCTGGCTGTCCAGGGACCCAAGAACCCACCCACCCACCCAGTCTACCACTGCCACAGCTGGCATTCAAGCAGCTCACCTGTAGGCCTAAAAATTGGTGCACTAGTAACCACTAACATCAATGCCAGCATAAACTACCCTGGAGCACAAGGATAGACACACTCAGCACACTGCTGCCACCACTGGGTCCTAAAAACCAGCCCACCTGGCATCCCGGTCCAGAGCACATCACCACAGCCTCCACTAATAAACACACCTTAACTCACCAAAGAAATGACAAATACTAATGCTCCTTACAGCCAAATAAATCATACAGTGATTACAAAACTTCATGCGCCCATAATCAAAGCCAAAGAGCCCTACACAACTAATGCCACGCATATATCTTTAGAAAAATGTCCTCCCCAATGAAAGTAAATTCAAAAATGGAAGTAAGTGACTGTTACACCACATGTGCAGATATCAACACTATTAAAGAGGAAGGAATATGACACCTCCAAAGGAACACAATAATTTCTGACCAACAGATCTTAATCAAAAAGAAATTTCCAAATTCCAGATAAAGAATTCAAAATATTGATTTTAAAGAAGCTCAGTGAGACATAAGATAATTCTGAAAAACAATAGAAAGAAATCAGAAAAACAACTGAGGATATGAATGAGAAGTTTAACAAAGGGATAGACATTTTTTCTAAAAGAAGCAAGTAGAAATTCTGGAAGTGAAGAATTCCTTGAAGGAAATATAAAATATATTTGAAAGCTTCATTAACAGACTAGATCAAGCACGAGAAAGGCTCTCAGAACTTAAAGGCAGGTCTTTTGGAATGATTCAGTCAGACAAAAATAAACAAAATATTTAAAAAGAATGAGCAAAGCCTTTGTGACATTTGGGACCATATAAAGTAACTGAATATTTGAATTATCAGTATCCCCAAGAGCAAAAAGAAAATGAAAGGATTAGAAAACCAATTTAATGAAATAATAAATGAAAACTTCCCAAGTCTAGCAAGAGATTTAGACTTACAGACAAGGAAGGTTCAGTGATCCTCAAGAAGATACAATGTAAAAAGGTCCTCTCCATGGCACATTATAGTCAAACTTTCTAAAGGCAAAGAAAAAGAATGAATCCTAAAAACAGCAAAAGAAAAGTGTCTAGTCACCTATAAAGAAAACCCCATGAGTGCAGCTGCAGGTTTCTCAGCAGAAATCTTACAGGCCAGAAGAGAATGTCATATTAAAAGTGCTAAAAGTGCTAAAAGAAAAAAAAAAAAAACAGTTGTCAACCAAGAATACTATATCTAGCAAAATTATTCTTCATGGACGAAGGAGAAATAAATGTTTCCCAGAGAAGCAAATGCTGAGAGAATTCCTTACCACTAGACTGGACCTACAAGAAAGGATCAAGTGAGTCCTAAGTCTGGAATCAAAAGAACAGTATTTACCATAATGAAAATACAGAAAAGTATAAAACTCACTAGTAAAGCAATCACACAAAGAAGAAAGAGAAAGGACACAAATAGTACTGTTACAGAAATCTACCAAAGCAAAATGATAAACAAAAGAAATAAAGAATACAAAACACAACCAGAAAACAATTCATAACATGACAGGAACAAAGCTTCAAATGTCAATACTAATCTTGAAAATAAATGAATTCAACTCTTGACTTAGAAGATATAGAATGGCTGAATGGATTTTTAAAAAAGAAAACATAGACCTACTATATGTTGCTTATAAGAAATTCACCTTATCAGTAAAGACAAATATAAACTGAAAGTAAAGGGATGGAAAAAGATACTCCATTCAAACAGAAACCAAAAACATGCAGGAGTAACTACACTACTATCAGATAAAACAGACTTCAAGTCAAAAATAGTAAAAAGACAAAGAAGGTCATTATATAATAATGAAGGGATAAATTCCGGAAGAGGATATAACAATTATAAATATATATGCACCCACACTGGAGTACACAGATTTATAAAGCAAATATTACTAGCTCTAAAGAGAGAAATAGGCTGCAATAAAATAATAGTGGGGGACTTTAACACCCCACTCTCAGCATTTATACTGATCATCTAGACATATAAAATCAACACAGAAACAAGATTTAAACTGGACTTTGTACCAAATGGACCAAATTTCATTTGTAGAGCATTCTATCTAAAAACTGCAGAATATACATTCTTTTACCAGCACATGGAACATTCTCCAGGATAGACCATATGTTAAGCCACAAAATAATTCACAACAAAGTTCTAAAAATCAAAATCCTATCAAGCAGCTTCTGAGACCACAATGAGATAAAGCTAGAAATCAATAGCAGGAAGAACTTTGGAAACTAGACAAATACGTGGGCACTAAACAACATGCTCCTGAACAACCACTGGGTCAACAAAGAAATTATGATTAACCAAAAAATTACTTGAAACAAATGAAAATGGAAACATACCATACCAAAACCCATGGGTCACAGCAATAGTAGTGCCAAGAGGGAAGTCTATAGCACTAAATGACTACATCAAAAAAGTAGAAAGATTATACATTAATAATCTATCACTGCACCTCAAGGAAACAGAAAAGCAAGAACAAACCAAACCCAAAATTAATAGAAGAAAAGAAATAACAAAGATTGGAGCACAACTAAAAGAAACGGAGACTACAAAAACGTTATAAAGGATCAACAAAACAAAAACTCAGTTCTTCAAAAAGATCAACAAAATTGACGTAACAAAATTTGATAAACAAATTTGATAAACTAGATTAACCACAAAAAGGAAAGAATACCCAAATAAACAAAATCATAAATGAAAAAGAAGACATTACAACTCATACCACAGAAATACAAAAGATTATCAGAGACTATTATGAGTGACCAAATGCTAACAAACTGGAGATACTAAAGGAAAGGGATAAATTCTTGGACACACAAAACCTACAAAGATTGAATCAGGAAGAAATAGAAAACCTGAAGGGAGCAATAATGTGGAGCAAGATTTAATCAGTAATAAAATTCGCCCAACAAAGAATAGCCCAGGACCTTATGGATTCACAGCCAAATTCTACCAAATGTACAAAGAACTGGTACCAGTCCTCCTGAAACTATTATAAAAAATTGAAGAGGAGGGAATTATCAACTCATTCTACAAGGGTAGCATCACTCTGATACCAAAACCAGACAAAAACACAAGAAAAAAATCAAACTACAGGTGAATATCCCTAATGAACATAGATGCAAAACTCCTCAGCAAAATACTAGCAAATCACATCAGCACAGCAAAAACACACCATGATGAAGAGTGATGTAAAACAGGGATGCGGATGATGCAAGATATACAAATCAATAAACAGGATACACCACATAAAAAGAATGAAGGAAAAAAACATATGATCATCTCAATAAATGCAGAAAAAGCATTTGATAAATTCAACATCCCTTCATGATAAAAATTCTCAACATATTAGGTACAAAAGGAACATGCCTCAAAATAATAAAGGCCATATATGACAAACCCACACCTAACATCATACTGAATGGGGAAAAGTTGAAAGCCTTTCTTCTAAAAACTGGAATGAGACAAAGATGCCCTCTTTCACCACTCCTATTCCACATAGTAATGGAAGTCTCAGCCAGAGCAAACAGGCAAGAGAAAAAAAATAAAAAACATCCAAATTGGAAAACAGAAGTCAAATTGACCCTCTTTGCTAATGATATCTTATACCTATAAAAACATAAAAACTCCACCAAAAACCTCTTAGATTTGACAACTTAATTTAGTAAAGTGGCAGGATACAAAATTAACATAAATAAATCCATGGAAAGCAGTATGGAAGTTTATAAAAAATCTAATAGAATTACCATTTGATCCAGCAATCCCAGAGTATCTACCCAAAGGAAAAGAAATCAATATATCAAAGAAAAATCTACACTCTCATGTTTATTGCAGCACTATTCACAATAGCAAAGATAATAGAATCAACCTAAGTGTCCACCAATGGATGGATAAAAAAAAAAGTTGTGTATATACACAATGGAATCCCATTCAACCAGTAAAAACAACGAGATCATGTCATTTAGAGCAACATGGGTGGAACTGGAGGTTGTTATCTTAAGCTAGGCACAAAAAGACAAGTATCACATGTTCTCACAAGTGGGAGCTAAAAAATTTCATCTCATGGAGGTAGAGAGTGGAAAGATAGATAACAGAGATTGGGACAGGTACGTGAGGGAAAGGGGGAAGATGAGAAGTGGGTTAAGGGGTACAAACATATAGTTAGAAGGAATAAATGTAATGCTTGATAGCAGAATAGGGTGACTATAGTTAACAAAAATGTATTGCACTCAGGTGATGGACACCCTAAATATCCTTGAATGGATCACTATGCATTATATACATGTAATAAAATTTCACATGTACCCCATGAATTTATACAAATTTTTTTAAAAAATTTTAAATTAAAAATATGTATCATCACAAACTAGGTAACTTAAAACAACAGAAATTTATTCTCTCAAAGTTCTAGAGCCTAGAAGTCCCAAAATCAAGGTGTTAGCAGGGCTGTTTCTTCTGGAGGCTCTGAGGGAAAATCTGTTCTATACCTCTCTCCCAATTTCCAGTGGTTGCCAGAAATCCTTGGTGTTTCTTGGCTTATAGACCCATCACTCCAATCCCTGCCAGTGTCTTCACGTGGCATTCTCTCTACACCTCTGTGAATCTGTGTATTCTCTTCTCTTCTTATAAGAGCACATCCTAGCCTAGTATGACAATCTTAACCTAACTAGTTATATCTATAAGGACCCTATTTCCAAATAAAGTCACATTCTGATATTCTTAGTGTGGACATGGAAATTTTGAGGGGGACACTATTCAATCCAGTACAGAGTCCATGTCCTGGACTGTAAAGTTTTGTAAGATGATTCACATTTTTATTACCCAAACACCTAGCCTATACGGAATGAACACTGAATAAAAGACACAGCCAGGTGTGCTGGCCCGTGCCTGTAATCCCAGCTACACCGGAGGCTGAGGTGGGAAGACTGAACACAGGATTTTGAGACCAGCCTGGGCAATATAGTGAGACCCCATCTCTATAAAGAATTTTTAAATTAGGTGCAGTGGCTCATGCATGTAGTCCCAGCTACTGAAGAGGCTGAGGTAGGAGGATTGCTTGAGCCTAGGAGTTCAAGGATGCAGTGAGCTATGATTGCACCACTGCACTCCAGCCCGGGCAACAGAATGAGAACCCATCTCTAAAAAAAAAAAAAAAAAAAGACATAAAACAAATTCCAAAGATAAATACACTAAAAATATTAAAACTAAACAGTTTGTCCTCCAACTTTGAACATTTTACGGATTTTTTCCCTTATTTCAAATATATACATCATACATTGGTTCCTGGGAGCCCATTCCCTAACAGCCATGTTCTCCAGTGTCACAATAATAATAAAGTAACCAGGAGCTGCAATGATCTCTCATAACAAGCTTTATTCTCTCAACAGCTCTCTCAAGTTGCAAAGCACTTTAACAACACAACTGTAACCCATTAAGAGCTCATAGGGTAATTCTTGAAATCCCTTCTACTTTGACACAGACCCCATATGTTCCCTTAAACCCCATATCTACCATGATCTCATTTTATATATATATATATATATATATATATATATATATCTGTTTACTAGGTTATGAGTAAAGTAACATCACAACCATGCTATGTATATACATCAACCTGAAATATTGCTTTTTTCAGTGGGAGATGTGGATGTGATAAGAAACAAAGGAAGTGGTCCATAAAGTCCATCTCAGAACATGATCTTGGCCTACTTCCCAATTTCCAAGGCCATATGATCAGTTATGGTCAGACATCACTAAGGACCACTTGATACAACCATTAAATTTCCCCTATGCAAATACAGTCTCTGCTCCACTGTTCTGTTCTCATTCATCTTCTTTCTTAGCTCTCTAAATCTCTTTCTATCCATAAACCCTCACACTAGACCTCTTTTATACTCTTATAGTGTTATTTGCATGAATCTAGTTTATATGTCAGAACACTCCAAGCAATAAATATCAAATATAAACACGGAAGGTATTACATGGTAGGAGCATTTGACCATCAGGCAACCTAAGTGTCTAATATAGCCTACCTATACCACTAAGTGAAACACCTTTGATCTTAACTTCTTTCAAAATTGAAGTTGATGTTCTTAGAACATAAATGCTGAAGTGCTTAGAAATGAAATTTTATTGCAACTGCAAGTTATTTTTGAATGGTTCAGTCAAAAAGATGGATAAACAGAGAGGCAGACATATAGAAAAAACTAATATGACAAAATGAAAACTGTTGAATCTAGATGTATTGGGTATATAGGAGTTTATTATACTAGTTTTTAAATTTTTCTACATATTTGACTGCTGATAAGAAAATTTCAAGGTAAAATAAAGCTAGAAAAAAATTAAAACTCTTCTATTCCCAATTTCTATGACTGCACATATCTAAACCATACCGCATCCTTGATCCTTCCAAACTATCCCCCATCTGGAATTCTCCATTTGTACAAATGTCACCTTATTGAAAAACTGTGGTTTGAAATGCTGGAGTGATCCTTGATTCCTCTCTTCTTTTCTGGCTTCATATTCACCAGTCCCAAGTCTACTGAGTCTTCCTTTCAAATGTCTTATATGTTTCACTAACTTTGCATTCCCACTGACATCACCTTTAATACACCCCTGGTCTATTTCAGTATCCCAATTCCTAACTTGATTTTCATGTCTACTATGTCATCATCAATTTTATCATGTCATTTCCCTGCTCACAAGTTTTCAATGGTTCTTATCTACCTCTCAAATGTTGTCCCTGACTACTCCCATATACAACCCCTGGACTTCAGGCAAACAAGTCCATTTCTCATTGCATTCTTGTAGTCATGCTTTAGTCATACAACTCTGCTGCCTGAAATAATTTCTCCATCCCCACTGTAATTATTCAAGCTCTATCAGCTGGCACTTAATACATAAAAACCTATTATTGCTGTTCTTTTTACATATAAACATTATCTCATCGCTACAGATCTATAGCCTTGGTCCTCATTATACCCAGAGACTGCTTAAGAATGTAACCTCCAGGAGTGCAGAAATCTTGCCTTTCTTGATCACTGACTTATCTCCAGCACACAGGAAATATATATTATTTGGGGAATAAATTAATAATGTGCTCCTGGAAATTTTCACTTTTTTTTTTTACATTTTATGTTGTGATATTTTCCACATATGCTTATATGATTCTTTCCCCACAAAAAAAGGCCGAAATATTTTCTAACATCTGCAATTGTCAGGAAAGCATAGCAAATAGAATAAGTGTTTGAGATATGAGAGATATTGTAGACTTTCCCCTAAAAAAGCAAACTCTTAGGGAACTCAGCCAAAATGCAGACACATATATAGACAGATAGTAAGTTAATACATATGGAAAAAGTCCAATTGTTAGTACCTGAAAGACAAGGTCCAGGGGACCTTGTAATATGTGGTTATGATTATGACAGTGAACCCTATCTTTCCTCACCTTGACCCCTACATCTCACCTTCATCACTGGGCCTCTCAAAAGCCATCTGCATCAGTTCACGCATGCCTTGACTCTGGGACCAATCCCACCACAGGGAACGAGGCACATGAGAGTTTCCACTTGAAGACCCCAGTGATCCAGAATCAAGATATTCTCACTACGAGTCCCACTCCTACTCTGTTACTCACTTCTCAGAAAACTTGTTCCTGTCTGCTCTCCCAGCTCTCCTAGATCCTCTTTATATATCTTGATTTCAGGTATTAAAATGGTCAAAAGAAAGCTCAGTATGATAGAAAAAAGTTAGGACTAAAGTGTGAAAAGCAAGTTTAATAACCCATCTCAGTGCCTGAAAGTCCTGGCCACAAATATTGAAATCCTAGTGGCCTTGTTTGGTGGGTTAAACAATGTTACTCATGTGCGCCTGCTCTCCCCTGCCTTCTTTATCCTCCATATTTGTATGCACATGCACATGTGTGTGCATGTGTGCATGAGCACATGCAGATGAGTGTGTACACACAGAAAACTTTCACACCTCACATTCTGACCTAGCCTGAGGCTTAGGTCATTCTGTAGGTTGGCCCAGAAAAACAATACCCAGACCTGCCTCCATATTTAGTCACCTATTATTACTCAAATCAGTGATCATACTTGTACTACATTTACTACATCCTCTTCTTCCAACTCCTCAAAAAATGCTTTCATTGAATGAATCTTCCTTCCACCTCTTATACGAAGGACGCATAAAAATTATTTCATTAAATAATAGAATTTTTGCCTCAGTCCTATAAAATCATAATCCAGATATTGGTTCTAGGTTGACTTAATGTCATTCCTACACAATAGATTTCTGCATGCTCCTTTATGTCCTGCCGAGAGCTAATTTTGCTTAGGGAAAAATTTCATCTCTGTAGATTTATATGTGGGCATTGGGCTGCCAGGAAAAAAACTACCAAATAATTATTTCATTTGGAGCCTTAAATTTGAGAAACTTTAGAAACACACTGTTTCCCATTCTAGAATCAGCTCATTTCTGTTGCACGACATTATTTACCTCTTCTGCTTTCTTTGGTTAGATTCTGTTTTAACCTTCTGTGTCCTATCTTTCACGGTGTTCTGATTTCTAAACTACATCAAGTAGATGGAGTGTAAATATTAAAATCAAGATGCCATGTTAGCCTCTTAAATTAACAAACAGAAAGGTTATTCTAATTACAGATTTATCATTGCAGCTGTATTAACAGATCGAGGTGAAGTTAAATATGCACATGCAACATCAGCCCCAAACTGCCTATTACAAAAGAATGTGTAGGCAACAAAGACCGCGTATGTTTCACGGCACCCTTGAAATTGGCTTGGAGAAAATAAATGGTGAATAATTCAGAATAAATGTAGTCAGAAATGTTTTTAAAATGTCTCTGTAAAATTTAGCTTATAGCTAAATCATAGTACCTTCCATAACTTCCTGGGGGCTCTTGAAAAAGTAACTCAGACCAGCATGAGATAGATATTTCAATAATACATTTTAAAATGAGGAGTGTGTGTCAGCTTCATTTTAAATTCAGCAAGACATAGATACAAAATAAATTCATATAAATCTTGGAAAATCTAAAGAAAAAAACTCAAGCCACAATTTAGTGCTAACCATGACACTTTTCTGTAGTCAATGGCACTAGTGATATTTGTATTATGCTTTCAGTCCAAAGCCTAAAATTATTATGATCATTGGAACTGACCTATTTCTGCAATGAGTACGCTCGTAGCTACTCGAAAAACAGGCCTCATACATTTCTTCATATAAAATATAATTCATTGATGGGAAAATGGTTTCTATAAACATAGCCACTTAAATTTCTACATTCATTCCCAACCTTTTCAAAATATTTGCCACCCACTAGGCCTCCCAATTTCATTTTTTAGTGTTGATTTTAAAACATTTCATTAGTTTTAAAGTATGTGATCGTTAAAAAGGAGAAAAGGGCAGCTAAAGATTGATAAAAGTTGTCTAAGACTGCCCTTGAGTCGTGTGAAGATAGGACCAGAGCCAAGACCTAAGAGTTTAGAATTCCTGCCTTTTATCTACCTTATCCCTAGAAAATAATCCAGAAAAAGTGGAAAGCAAGTTCTGTGCTAAGCTTGAAAGCACACATCTCTGAGGCGACAGTGACATGGGCTTGTTTGGAGTCAGAAAGGGTTTTGTGGCATGCAGAACTATCAAAGAAAAATATTTTATTTTCAAATTACAGGTTGAGTATTCCTTATCCAAAATGCTTGGGACAAGAAGTGTTTTGGATTTCTGATTTTTCAGATTTGGGAATATTTACATATACATAATGAGATATCTTAGGGATGAACCCCAAACTAAACATAAGATTCATTTATGTTTTATATACACCTTATACATACAGCCTGAAGGTAATTTTATAAAATATTTTAAATAATTTTGTGCATGAAACAAAGTTTGTTTTAAGCACTCACAAGTGAAATTTCCTACATGTGGTGTCATGTTGATGCTCGAAAAGTTTCAGATTTTGGAGCACTATGGATTTCAAATTTTCAGATTAAGAATGCTCAATCTGTAATAACACAAACAACAATTTTCTATTTTTCTTTATATTTGTTCTAATATTCCTTATATTTCAGTTACACTGTCTTTATATTTATTGAGGTTACACATCATCACATAATTTAAAGGATCCAATCGTTTTTAAAATCATATTACAAAGAAAGAGTAGTCCTCTCCTCCCACTACATTTCATAAGTCTTAAGAGACAAACACTCTCAACAATTGTAGCTTTCTCTTAAATTAACTCCAAGAAAAGAAAGAAAAACACACTTTTATCTGAAGAATGTAAAGTCCTTTTAATTACCAGGCCCAGAGAGACATTAAAATGAGACAGCAATCATGCCCTACTCCCCACTTTAGCTATGTAGTAGTCTCTTGAAACTGCTTGTTATTGCCACAAGTAGCTATGAATTAACCTAATAATGTACCTAAAACCCACAATTTATACCTTAACAATGTATAGCCAATTATCAATCAATGTTATTTTTCTAAACCAATGAGATTTCTTGACAAACAATTTTGTATTAATCTACTCCCTGTCCCCTTTTATTGCCTTTAAAAATCCACTTGTAACTGTTGCTAATCAATGTATATTCAGGGCAACTTGAATCTATGCTCCTGGGTTGCAATCCTCAAGCTTGGCCCAAATAAACTCTCTACTTATATTATTTTTGCCTCAGGTTCTTCCTTTTAGCTCAACAACTCCATAAACCCAAATAATGTTTATTTTGCTACTTCTATATTTTTTTTCATTTTAGACATTGTTTACTGATATCCCACTACAAAAGCTAAGGATTTAGATCACTTGCCCCCTACCTCCTTCAAGATGCAATCATACTAACACTTCCATAACATAATTTTGGTTATATCAATCATCAATATTTGCAATGTTTTGACTTATAAATGATGTTCATAGCTGAATGATAGACTATATTATGGTTACTTCTCCTCAGAGTTAGTAATTGTGTTGCATTTTTTCTTAGTTTTCCATTTCTTAGTTCATTAATTTATCTCCAAACTCTCCCTTAGTTGATTAAAACTCTTCTCAATATGTGCAACTTAAATACTTCAAGTATCTATCAGTTTCCTTTACATGGAGATATCACTCTAAAAGCTTCTGACCTGCCCCAGTCTGAACTGGTTGCTCTCTAGGTATACTGCATGCCCATGCTCCTGGAGATTCCCTTCAGCTCTCTCATGTTGAATCTCATTTTCCAAGTCACATTTATTCTATTTTCTATGTTTATTCTCTTATATTGTGAAATCTTGTCTACCAACTTTCTGAAAAATGATGCATGAGAAGTAAATATTATAATACCCAGGCTATCTGAAAATATCTTGATTATAGACTCACATTTAATTAACAGCTTGACATGGCATCAAACTTTAAGCTTATTTTTGTTTTTTCCCTGAAGTTTGAAGGTATGACTTCTAACTTCCATTATTGCTGTGAAAAGTCTGAGGACATTATGATTACTGATCCTTTGTGCATAATTTGATTTTTTTCTCTTTGCATATTTCAAAAGATCTCTCTTTGTCTCTGGTATTCTGAAATGTCCTAATGATGTTATTTGAGGTGGATCTAATTTCAACCATTGACCTAGGTACTAAGTGAACTGTTTCAAACTGGAAACTTATGTCCTGGCACATTTTCTTGAGTTACTTATCTCATGTATATCCTCCCCTGTTTTCCATTTTCTCTTTCTTAAACTCCTATTGTTTGAATAATAGGAGTTATCATCCTCTTTGATTTGACCTGAAATTTTCTCATCTCCTTATCTCCTAATTTCTTTCACTTAATCTTTTCACCCTGCTTCCCTAGAAATTTTCTCAACTTTATATTATAATCCTTTCATTTATATATCAATAACTGTTGAGCAATTCCTATATATCAGGCACTGTTGTAAATGCTATAAGATACAAGAGTGAAAAAAGCAAATGTAAAAATCCCTGTCCTGGAGGAGCTGACATTCTACTGGGTAAACAAGCAAAAGGATAAGTAAAGTAAAATGTATAGGATGCTAGACAAACAATAAACAAGATACATGAAGCAGATTTTGTTATTTTCCTTTTTTACATGTAAGGAATCTAAGGTACAGGGAGGTTAAATAGGATGCTTAACTAAAGAATAAATAAGAAAGGATACGGATGTCATGTGCGTCCGTGTGAAGAGACCACCAAACAGGCTTTGTGTGAGGAATAAAACTTTTTAATCACCTGGGTGCAGGCAGGCTGAGTCCGAAAAGAGAGTCAGGGAAGGGAGATAGGGGTGGGGCCATTTTATAGGATTTGGGTAGGTAGTGGAAAATTACAGTCAAAGGCGGTTGTTCCCTGGTGGGCAGGGGTGGGGGTCACAAGGTGCTCAGTTGGGGAGCTTCTGAGCCAGGAGAAGGAATTTCACAAGGTAATGTCATCAGTTATGGCAGGAACCGGCCATTTTCACTTCTTTTGTGATTCTTCACTTGCTTCAGGCCATCTGGATGTATTCCTGCAGGTCAAAGGGGATATGATGGCTTAGCTTGGGCTCAGAGGCTTGAAAACGACAGTTGGGAAAAGTTGCAATTTTAGATCTATTGGTCAGGGAAAGTCTTCCTGAAAAGATGAAATTTGATTAAATAGATTACGGAAGTGAGGAAATGAGCTTTACAGATATCTAAAGGAAGCAAAAATATCCAGGTAGAGAAAAGAGACCAAGTAAATGACACAAGGAGGGAATGGTCTCCATGTTTGAGGAAGAACAAGAAGTCTCGTGTGACTACAGTGGAATGAGTGAGGGACGTAACAGGTAATAATATCAAAGAGGAAATTCTGGAGCCAGGGTGGGGGTTAGGATGGGGAGTGAAGGTGGGCAGGAGAGGACAGGGGACAGATCATGTAGTGTAGGTTATTCTAAAAACTTTGGCTCTTACTTCTGGTTATGCAGGAAGTCATTTTCTCAAGATCTGTCTGGTTGTTCTGTTAATAGTAGACTATAAGTTTCTCTTCTAGGTAATGGTAGACTAAGAAATTTAACCAAACCCCCCTGATGAGAAAAATGGGGGTCTTCTTCTTTACTTCTAAGAATAAAACTCCAGAATTATATCAAGATAGAAGATGGGCATGGGGGATCTAACTGCTTCTCAAACAGAATTAGATCCTGTCCTTCTGTTTTTCAACCCTTCCTTCACCCTTCACTTTCAGAGGTATCACTAATCCTGATTTTTGGGGGTCCAGAGGTATAAATGTGTTTATCACCTTCCCCCTTTGCCAAATAAGGATTCAGTGCTCTTGCACTCTCTTTCTTTGCTTTAAGATATATTTTTAATTGACAAATAATAATGTATATATTTAAGGGGTACATTGTGGTGTTCTTACATATATACACATTGTGGAATGATTAAATCAGGCTAATTAACATAGATTAAGTCAGTTACCAATCATCCTGCTTTCCAGCTGCCAACATTTTCTTGTATCTTCTCCACTATTCTGTTTGTCTTTGTGGTCTTATCTTATTTTGTATCTCTCTATTCTTATTTAACAGGGATTTCAGGGAAACAGGAAGTAAATGCTTGTTCACCCTGACATTTTAAACACAAATTGAAACAACAATTCTGCATTTCTAAAAAACAAAAAAACAAAACAAAAAAACAAAAAGAAAACAAACAAACAAAGAGCCAAATTAAAGTGTAAGTTAATAGAATGGAGTCTCTGAAGCCAGGACTCCTGATTTAAAAACAGCCTTGAAGAAGTTATTTTACCTCCTGCGTCCCAGTTTCTTTATAAAATAAAGAAATAACATACCTCCCCATGTGATTACAATACAAATTAATACAAACAAATGAATTTATCTGCCACATGGTAAGTGCTCAATAAACCTTAGTTGTTCTTATTAGCAATCGTACTAAATCTATATACATGGTTTCACAACAGCAAGGAAAATATGATAAAATAGAATATTTTTGCAGTAAGCTTTTACGAAATATTTGTTTTCCATAAAAAACAATTCATTGAATATATCTAATATATTTCATTTTGGTTTTCTCAATCCTTCCATTTATTTGCTTTTCATTTTTTCTTCTTTCATCTGTTCCCACTTGCTAGGCCCACACCCATTCTCAGTTTTCTTCTACTAGTGCATTCAATAATATATGAATCCGTTACTTTGGCACTACTTGTCCTCTCCTATTAGCCTCTTATTCCCACTTGCTATAGGTTTGCCATCAGGTGGTACCCCACTTCATTATTTGAGACTTCTTTCCTAACTTTCCCTGGGTCTGTATCAGAACACCATCAGTAATTTTTCAGCCCTCAACCTTCACTTTCTTTACTGTTAATTTCACACTGGGGTTCATTATTTTTACCTCTTTTGTATGGTTGCCATCAACAGGCATGCTTTTCTTTGTTATTAACAAAAGCCAGTAATTTGCACCATTTAATTTATGTTGTTTTGAAGGAAATAAAAAAAATTACACTATCATTTTTCTGACATTTGATAAATCAAGGGGACTTTTAGAGCTCTTCCAATTCTTAAGGTGATTCTTAGCCTTGAGATTTCTGTTCTAGATTTCTACTCACTGGCTCATGGATCCGATTGGTTGAGTTCTGTGATTGCAGCATCACTTTCTAATCTGGCCACTTCTGCAGAGTCAGAAACTGGCATCAAAATAAGTCATAGCCTTCCTGATTCATGCAGGTTTTTCAATACATGAACTTTTACACCTTTCTCTGCAGGAGCAAATTATTGCATACTAGATTTTATTTTTGACCTATTCAATCATGTTTCCAATTATTCATTTGTATTCATTCATGTATTCCAAGTATTCAGTAAGTGTGTGTGTGTATGTGTGTGTGTGTGATTTTAAATGACTGAAAGGAAAAGTAACATAAGGTTTATCCTTAAAATGTTGTTTCATATCTATTATAGATCTGAAAAGAGCTATCAGACTTGATTTTCCATGACTAACCAATTTAGAAACCCTTCATCCCTTTATTTTCTTTACCTTTTTATTGGTGGGTTCTCATATGGGTTTTTTTCCAATTGTTAGTTTGGATTTGTTTCAGCAGCTACTAACTTGGATGCTACTGAAAATAACTTTCATCAAAAACTTTGAGACCTCTTTCTCACAGGTCAGAAGTTGAATCCTACTTAGATTAGAATGACATGCGAGAGTGACAGGTCAGTGACTTGGTTCTGCCCTAAGCGGACCTTGTTCTTTTGCTTTTGATCTAGAAGGCATCAGTATTACTATAAATTCTCCTGAGCAGATAAGAAACAATATTGAGTGGGCATTTTTATTCTTTTTTTATTTATTTTATCCAAATCTATAACTCCTTGAGGTAAGGGGGGAAATAAAAATGCAATGTCTTATTATTTTTCATTTTTTGTTCCCTTTGCTGGGTATTTGAGGATAAAATAAAATAATCTATATGAAATAACTTTGTAAACTTGAAAAATTCTACATAAATATAAGAAATTGTTATCTTGTCAGATATTAATTGAAAAGTTAATATCTGGTATTTTCCCAACCAACTTGTAGTTTGACCAATAATGTTCTCTAGAAAAGTGAAAACAATCATGAGTCCAAACTTACTGGGTTTGGAGAAAGATAAAAGGTTGCTCGTAGTATAAGTCAAATGTCTCAAGAGTCTGCGTCATTGAGAAGTTGTTATTTTAGCTGAGTGATAAAAATAAGAACTTAAAGGGACTTTCTTCCTCATTAAGTATCCACTTAATGGATGTAGGTACTTCCATATATGGAACATTGTATCTGTTCCATATATGAAACTTGTTTCTCCACTTATTCCTTCAAACACACTTTGCAACATTTCATCATTATATGCACGACATAATCAGAGTATCTGTAAATATAACATGGAATGTGTATGAAACATCTTTTGAAATTAGAAAATCAAATGGAAATAACTATTAACTGCCATGTGTTTAAATTTTTATTATGTATACTGTGGGGATGATCAAACTATAACCCATGGGTCAAATCCAGCCTGCCACTTGTTTATGCACATAAAGGTTTATGGGAACACAGCCATACTTATTTGTTCCCATATTGTCTAAGACTCCTGTTGCACTGCAACAGCAGAGTTGAGTAGTTGAGACAAAAAACATCTGGTCCATACCACAGGCTCTAGGAATACCCCTATAAATCCTGACTCCAGGCCCACCCCAGCTCCAGCCTGCTCCCTGCAGAGTCAGGCTCTGGGCCAATCCCAATGGAACAAGGCTTTGAGCTTTCCCCAGTGCCAGGCCAGCCACCATAGCCTTAGGCTCCAGCAAATAAGAGTCCAGGCCTGCCCCCACGGACCCAAGCAAAACTAAGATTTGATTTTTTTGAAAGACAACATTGACAAATCTTTAGTTATACTATGGGAAAATGAGAGATGACTCTCAGATAAGTGAAATTAAAAATATAAGAGGAGACATTACGACTAATAACAAAGAAATACAAAGGATCATAAGAGACTACTATAAACAATTATACACAAATTGGATAACCTAAAAGAAATGGATAAATTCCCAGAAACATACATCCTACAAGACTGAATCATGAAAAAATTGAAACTATGAAGAGACCAATAAAGAGTAAGGAGATGAAATCAGTAATCAAAACCTCCTAACAGAGAAAAAGTCCTGGACCTGATGGCTATGCTGGCAAACTCTAACAAACATTTAAAGTAGAATAAATGTCAATCTTTCTCAAAGGCTTCCAAAAAAAAAATTGAACAATAGGGAACACTTCCAAACTAATTTTATAAGGCCAGCATTACCCTGATATCAAAGGCAAACAAGGACACTACAAGAAAAGAAAATCACAGGCCAACATCCCTGGTAAACAAAGACGTAAAAAATCCTAAATAAAATACTAGCAAACCTAATTCAACAGCATATTAAAAGAATTATATGCTATGATCAAGTGGGAGTTATCCCTGAGGTACATAGCTGGTTCAATATGTACAGTTTGATACATCAAATTAACAGAATGTAAGATTAAAATTATATGGTTATCTTAATAGTACAGAAAAAGCATTCCATGTAATTCAACATTCATTTATGATTTTTAAAAAGCTCTCTACAAATTAAATACAGGAGAAATGTATCTCAACACAACAAAGGCCATATATGATAAGCTTATAGACTAACATACTCAATGTTAAGAAGTTGAAAGCTTTTCCTCAAAGATCAGGAACAAAACAAGGAAGCCCACTCTTGCCAGTTCTACTCAATATTGTACCAGAAGACTTAGCCAGAGCAAGTGGGCCATAAAAAGAAATATGAGGCATCCAAATCAGAAATGAAAAAGTAAAATTATCCATGTGCCAATAACATACTCTTATATATAGAAAACCCTAAAGACTCCATCAAAAAACTACTATAATAAGCAAATTCAGTAAAGTTACAAAATACAAAATCAGCATACAAAAATCAGTTGTGTTTCTATACACACAATGAACTATCCAAAAAGGAAATTAAGAAAACAATCCCATTTATAATTGTATCAAAAAATAAAATACTTAGGAACAAATTTAACCAAGGAGGTAAAACTTCTGCACATTGAAATCTATGAAACATTGATGAAAAAAACTGAAGTCACAAATAAATGAAAAAATATTCTGTGTTCATGGATTCAAAGAATGTTGTTAACAAGTCCATACTACCCAAAATAATCTACAGATTCAATGTAATCCCTATCAAAATTCCAAATATCATTCTTCACATAAACATAAAAAAAAAGTATAAAATTCATACGCAACTGCAAAAGACCCTGAATAACCAAAGCAATCTTGAGACTAAAAAACAAATCTGGATATATCATACTATCTGATTTCACAACATGCTACAAAGCTATAGTAACCAAAATAGCACCATACTGGCATAAAAACAGACATACAAATCAATAGAATAAGAGATCCCAGAAATAAATCCATGCGTTTTGGTCAATTGATCTTTGACAAAGGTGACAAGAACATATAATGAGGAAAGAACCACGTGTTCAATAAATGGTGTTGGGAAAACTGAACATACATAGGCAGGAGAATGAAATTGGACGCTTATCTTACCCTATATATTAAAAAAAAACTTAAAATGGAATAAAGTCTTAAATGTAAGACCTGATACTGTAAAACAGTCTGGACAATGATTTTTTTTTTTATTATGACACCAAAAGCACAGGCAACAAAAGCAAAAATAAATACGTGGGATTATATCAAACTAAATAGCTTATGCTCAAGAAAGGAAACAATCAACAGTGATAAAACAACTTACAAAATGGGAGAAAATATTTATAAACCATGCATCTGTTAAGGGATTCATATTCAAAATATACAAGAAACTCAAACTCAATGGAAATGAAACAAATAACTCAATTAAAAATAGGCAAAGAAATTCAATAGACATTTCTCAAAAGAAGACATACAAATGACCAACAGGTATATGAAAAAATGTTCATTATTAATCATCAAAGAAATGCAAATCAAACAACAATGAGATATCATCTCACACCTGTTATCATGGTTATTATCAAAATGACAAAAGATAAGCATTGGCAAAATGACAAAAGATAAGAATCAGCAAAGATGTGGAGAAAAGGGAACCCTTGTGCACTGTTGCTGGGAACATAAATTGGTACAGCCATTATAGAAAACAGGATGGAGATTCCTTTAAAAAATAAAAATAGAACTACCATATGATCCAGCAATCCCACTTCTGGGTATATATCCAAAATATATGAAATCAGTATCTCAAAGTGATGTCTGTGCTCCCATGTTCATTGAAGCATCATTCACAATAGCGAAGAGAGGTTATCAACCTAAGTGTCCATCAGTGGATGAATAAATAATGAAAATGTGGTATATGTACATCAGTGGAATATTATTCAGCCTTAAAAAAAATCCTGTCATTTGTGACAATATGGATTAATCTTGAGGACATCATGCCAAGTAAAACAAGCCAGGCACAGAAAAACAAATATTGCATTATCTCACTTACATGAGGAATCTAAAAAAGTTGAACTCGTAGAAGCAGAGAGTAGAATGGTGGTTACCAGAGACTGAAGACTTGGGGGAATGTTGGTCAAAAGATACTCAGTTATGCAGAGGAATACATTTCAGTTATGCAGGATGAATAAGTTCTGATGATCTAATGTACAGCATTGTGACTATAGTTAACAATGCTGTATTGTATACTTGAAATTTCCTGAAAGTAAATCTTAAAATATTCTCACCCCAAAAATATGGTAACTATGTGAGACAAAAGATATGTTAATTAGCCTGATTGTCATAATCATTTGACAATGTATATGTATATCAAAGCATCACGCTGTATACCATAAATACATACAATTTTTATTTGTCAATTATACACAAATAAAGCTGGGTGCAGGGAAGAGAAAATTCATGGCCCACAAAGCTGGAAATACTTATTGTGTGATTATTTACAGAAAAATTTTGCTGGCTCTTCATAGTCCAGAATCGTAGCATACTTGCTAAAATCCTAACCCTGTAGAGCTATAGTAGAGAAACTTATTTCATGGTATAGACTTTTTATCAGAAAAGGAGGAGTTAATTGATATGATTCCTTACTTAATTGCTAAAGAAACTTTTTTTTCATTTTCATTATTTTGAGACTACAGAGGTATTGTTTGTTTGCCTCAGTTTTTTTTTAATTTCTGACCTTAAAGGGAAAGGAGAAGAAAGCCTCCACAGAAAGTCATAGTCATTTTTAAAACAGAATACTCAGCAGAAACTTTACAAGCTAGAATGGTTTAGGGTCCTGTCTTTAGGCACCTTAAGCAGGACAACTGTCAGCCAACAATTTTGTATCCAGCAAAACTGTTTCATAAATGAAGAAGAAATAAAGTCTTTTTCAGACAAACAAATGCTGAGGGAATTTGCCGCTAGCAAACCAGGACTACAAGAAATGCTAAAAGGAGTTCTAAATCTTGAAACACAAGCTTAATATGCACCAAAATAAAACCTCCTGAAAGCATAAAACTCACAAAGCCTATAAAACAACGACACACACACACACACACACACACACACACACACACGCACACAAAGTAGGTAACAACTAACATGATGAATAGGTCAGTATCTCACATCTCAATATTAATGTTGAACATAAATGGCCTAAATGCTCCACTTGAAAGATACAGAATGGAAGAATGGATAAAAAAATCAACAAATCAAATTATCTGCTGGCTTCAACAGACTCACCTAACACATAAGGACTTAAATAAACTCAAGGTAAAAAAGCACAAAAAGATATCCCATGCAAATGGGAACCAAAAGCAAGCAGGAGTAGCTATTCTTACATCAGACAAAATAGACTTTAAAGCAAAAACAATTAAAAAAGACAAAGAAGGTCATTATGTAATAATTTAAAAACTCAATCCAACAAGAAGATATTACAAACCTAAATTTACATGCAACTAACACTGGAGCTCCCAGATTTATAAAACAATTACTACTGGACCTAAGAAATGAGATAGACAACAAAACAATAATAGTGGGGTACTTCAGTACTCCACTGACAGAACTAGAAAGATCAGTGAAACAGAAAGTCAACAAAGAAACAATGGACTTAAATTATACTCTAGAACAAATGGACTTAATGGATATTTGCAGAATATTCTTCCCAAGAACTGCAGAATATATATTCTTCTCATCAGCACATGGAACATTCTCCAAAATAGATCATATGATAGGACACAAAACAAGTCTCAATAAATTCAAGAAAAGTGAGATCCTATCAGGTATATTCTCAGACCATAGTGGAATAAAACTAGAAATCAACTCCAAAAGGAACGCTCAAAACTATACAAATACATGGAAATTGAATAATTTGCTCTTGAATGATTTGGGGGTTAACAATGAAATCAAGATGGAAATTTTAAAAATTCTTTGAAATGAATAATAGTGACACAAGTTATCAAAACCTCTGGGATACAGCAAAAGCAGCACTAAGAGGAAAGTTCATAGTGTTAAATGCCTACATCAAAAAGTCTGCAAGAGCACAAATTGACAACCTAATGTCACACCTCAAGGAACCAGAGAAACTAGAAAAAATTCAACCCAAACCCAGCAGAAGAAAAGAAATAACAAAGATCAGAGCAGAACTAAATGAAATTGAAACCAAAAAATATATAAAAGATAAATGAAACAAGAAGCTGGCTCTTGGAAAGAGAAATAAAATTGACAGACCATTAGCAAGATTAACCAAGAAAAGAGAAGATCCAAATAAGCTCAATTAGAAAGGAAACGAGACATTACAACCAATACCACAGAATACAAAAGACCATTCAAGACCACTATGAACACCTTTACACACACAAACTAGAAAATCCAGAAAAAAATGAATAAATTCCTGGAAACATACAACCCTCCTAGACTAAATCAGGAAGAAACTGAAACCCTGAACAGACCAATAACAAGAAGATTGAATCAGTAATAAAAAAAAAAAAGCCAGTAAAAAAAGTTCAGGATCAGATGGATTCACAGCTGAGTTCTACCAAACATTCAAAGAATAGGTACCAATCCTACTGAGGCTATTCCAAAAGATAGAGAAAGAGGAAATCCTCCCTAAATCATTCTATGAAGCCAATATCACCCTAACACCAAAACCAGGAAAGGACACACACAAAAAAAAAGAAAACTACAGACCAATATCTCTGATGAACATGAATGCAAAAATCCTCAACAAAATACTAGCTAACCAAATCCAACAGCACACGAGGAAGATAATACATAATAACCAAGTGGGTTTCATCCCACCAATGTAAGGATGGTTTACAATAAGTGAGTCAATAAATGTGATACATCACATAAACAGAATCAAAAATAAAAACCATATGGTCATTTCAATAGACACAGAAAAGGTTTTCAGTAAAATCCAACATTCCTTTATGATAAAAACGCCAACGAACTAGGCATAGAAGGGACTTACCTCAAAATAATAAAAGCCATATATAACAAACCCATAGACAACATCATACTGAATGCAGAAAAGTTGAAAGCATTCCTCCGAGAACTGGAGTGAGACAAGGATCTCCACTTTCACCACTCCTAGCCAGATCAATTAGGCAAGAGAAGGAAATAAAGAGCATCAGAATGGGAAAAGAGGAAGTCAAACTATTGCTGTTTGCTGATGATACAAATGTATACTTAGAAAATTCCAAAGACTCATCCAAAAGACTCCTAGATCTGATAAACAAATTCAGTAAAGTCTCAGGTTACAAAATCAATGTACACAAATCAGTAGCACTGCTACACACCAACAACCACCAAGCTGAGAATCAAATCGAGAACTCAATGCCTTTTACAACAACTGCAAAAAAGTAAAATATCTAGGATATTTTAGGAGGTGAAACATCTTTACAAGGAAAACTAAAAAACACTACTGAAAGAAATCATAGATGACACAAACAAATGGAAACACACCTCATGCTCACGGATAGGAAGAAACAATACTGTGAAAATGACCACACTTCCCAAAGCAATCTACAGATTCAATACAATTCCCATCAAAATACCATCATCATTTTTCACAGAACTAGAAAAAACAATCCTCAAATTCATATGGAACCAAAAAAAGAGTCTGAATAGCCAAAGCGATACTAAGCAAAAAGAACAAATCTGCAGGTATCACATCACCAGACTTCAAATTACACTATTAATACAAGGCTATAGTTACCAAAACAGCACGGTACTGGTATAAAAATAGGCATTTAGACCAATGGAACAGAATAGAAAACCCAAAAATAAAGCCAAATACTTACAGCCAACTGATCTTCGGCAAAGCATACAAATTACACAATAAATGGTGCTGGGAAAATTGGCAAGCCACATGTAGAAGAATGAAACTGGATCCCCGTCTTTCACCTTATATAAAAATCAACTCAAGATGGATCAAACACTTAAATCTAAGACCTGAAATTATAAAAATTCTACAAGATAACATTGGAAAAACTCTTCTGGACATTTGTCTATGCAAATAATTCATGACTCCAAAAGCAAATGCAACAAAAACAAAAATAAATGGGGCATAATTAAACTAGAAAGCTTCTGTACAGAAAAAAAATAAAAAAAATAGTCAGAGTAAACAGACAACCCACAGAGTGGGAGAAAATATTTGCAAACTATGCATCTGACAAAGGACTAGTATCCAGAATCTACAAGGAACTCAAACAAATCAGCAAGAACAAAACAAATAATCCCATCAAAAAGTGGGCAATGGACATGAATAGACATTTCTCAAAAGAAGATTGATTAGATATTTCCCAAGAAAAGATACACAATCATCCAACAAACATGAAAAAATACTCAACATCACTAATCATCAACGAAATGCAAATTAAAAGCACAGTAAGGTAACACCTTACTCCTGCAAGAATGGCCATAATTAAAAAGTCAAAAAACAATTGATATTGGCATAGATGTGGTGAAAAGGGAACACTTTTACACTGCTGGTGGGAATGTAAATTAGTGCAATCTCTATGGAAGACAGTATGGAGATTACTTAAAGAACTAAAAGTAGATTTACCATTGAATCCAGCAATCCTACTACTGGGTATCTGCCCAAAGGAAAAGCCATTATATTAAAAAGACACATGCACACACATGTTCACAGTAACACAATTCACAATTGCAAAGATATAGAACCAACCTAAGTGCCCATCAACTAATGAGTGAATAAAGAAAATGTGAGGTGTGTGTGAGATGTGTGTATGTGTGTGTACATATATATATATATGGTATGTTTGTGTGTATACATATGTATATATGTGTATGTATACACACACACATACAAGCATACCATGGAATACTACTCAGCCATAAAAAGGAACAAAATAATGTCTTTCACAATAAGTTGGATGGAGCTGGAGTCCATTATTCTAAGAAAAGTAATTCAGGAACGGCAAATGAAATACCATATATTCTCACTTATAAGTGGGAGCTAAGCTATAAGGACGCAAAGACATACAGAGTGATCTAATGGACTTTGGAGACTCACATAGGGGAATTTGGAAGTGGGGGGCGTAGAGTGTACACTACTCGCGTGATGGGCACACTAAAATCTTAGAATTCACCACTACAAAAATCACGCATGTAACTAAAAACTAAAAACTATCAAAACTGAAAGCTATCAAAATAAAAATAAATAAAACAGAATAGCTCTCTCTTAAACATAGAGATCAGCTTTTGTAGGCTGATTCTCGTGTCACTAAGATAATAAGAGAATGAGCTTTAGTAGTTTTTAATCTAAGCACTGTAAATAATACATCTGAGATTTATGGAGCTATACAAATTACATGCAAACATGTAGCAAATATTTTCTTCACAAAAGAAAGGAAAAGTTTAGTAACTAATTTATAGCTAATGGAGAATGACCATGAGGTCTATGACTTCTAAGTACCAGCTCATATGTCTTTGATCTTATTTTTTATTGTATGTACTGATCCTCAATTATTACATAACAAATTACCCCAAAACTTTGTCACTGAAAACAGTAACAAATACGCATGCAGTTTCTGTGGGTGAGGAATTCAGTCATGTCTTAGCTGAGTAGTTCTGATTCAAAGTCTCTCATAAGGTTACACCCAGGATGTCAGCACCAAGCAGCCATCTTAAAAGATGAGTAGAGCTGGAGGATCTACTTCTAGTCTACTCACATGCCTGGTTTTCATTAACACTCTCCTCAATTTCCTACCAGCTTCCACCTATTTATTGCCTAGTTCCAAAGCCACTCCCATATATTAGGGTGTTTTTGTTTTTGTTTTTGTTTTGAGATGGAGTCTCGCTCTGTTGCCCAGGCTGGAGTGCAGTGGCCCGATCTCGGCTCACTGCAACCTCCACCTCCCAGGTTCACACCATTCTCCTGCCTCAGCCTCTCGAGTAGCTGGGACTACAGGCGCCCACCACCACGCCCAGCTGATTTTTTGTATTTTTGGTAGAGATGGGGTTTCACCATGTTAGCCAGGATGGTCTCGATCTCCTGACCTCGTGATCCGCCCACCTCAGCCTCCCAAAGTGCTGGGATTACAGGCGTGAGCCACCACGCCTGGCCTATATTAGGTTTTTGTTATGGTAGCATTCCACTTCCAGGTACCCAAATCTGTATTACTTATCTATTGCTGTATGAAGAACTTAATTCAAAGTTTAGGAGTTTAAAACCGTAATTTTTATTAGCTTATATATTTTCTGTGGGTAGAGAATCTGGGCACAGCTTAGCAAGGTGGTTCTGGTTCAATGTCTTTTATTAAGATGTTGGCTAGGGCTTGAGGTCATTACAAGGCTCAACAAGAGCTGGAGGATTGGATTACAAAGTTACTCATTCGCATGGCTGACTGAGTATCTTCAAGATAGGCCGGCTGGCTTCCCCCAGAGCTAGGGATCCAGGAGAAAGGGCAAGGCAGAAGTCACATGTCTTTTATGACCTAGCCTCAGAACTCACACTTGGTCATTTCTGCAACATTCGCTCAGTTACATAGGTCAGCCTTATTTAGTTTGGAAGTGAGAATCACTGAGGGCCATCTTGGAGGCTGGGGCTACCACACTAAAATTCTTAGTTCATTTATTCCTTTAGTGATTATTTTTTTTTTAGACGTAGTTTTGCTCTTGTCACCCAGGCTGGAGTGCAGTGGCGGGATCTCGGCTCACTGCAACCTCCACCTCCACCTCCTGGGTTCAAGTGATTCTCCTGCCTCAGCCTCCTGAGTAGCGGAGACTACAGGCACCTGCCACCATGCCCGGGTAATTTTTGTATTTTTAGTAGAGATGGGGTTTCACTACATTGGCCAGGCTGGTCTTGAACTCCTGACCTTAGGTGATCCACCCGCCTCGGCCTCCCAAAGTGCTGGTATTACAGGCGTGAGCCACCACACACAGCCCCTTTAGTGATTTTTTAAAGTAGATTAATATGTCTATATTTCACTATCTGCTATTGCAAAATTCATAAGTCCCTAGAAACAAATATTTTTCTTAACTCTATTGTCAGCCAAACATGATCCAACTTGAACTCATCTGTCAGCAAAACCTGGTTTAAACTGATAAGAGACTAACTTTAGTCTCTGTTTATCCCACTTTGTGTAACACTTCTACGTTTTACTGCATAAATGTATTTGATTAGGTGGCGAGATCCCAGATCCTCCTGGGGTGTTAGGTAATATAAAATATATAAACTATATTAGTTTTCTAAAATCTGAAAAATTTTGAAGTTTAAAAGATATTCAGCTCCAAGGGTTTAAGATAAAGTTTAACTTAATAGAAACAAATACTGATCTATTTTGCTTTACTATTGAGTTTGTGAGAACTTTTTTGAGCTAAAGGCCATACGTAACTTGTTATAATTCTCCTGGCAACAATAACACATAAATGTAGGGCAAGTTCCCCAAGAAAAAACAACTCATCTCTTAACTGGTGATTGAAAAAATTATACCCAGGAAATAACAATGGACATCCTTCCACTTCCCCCTTGCTCCTCCCATCACCATTGTCTATAGTCCCCACTTTCTTCTGCTATTTCTTTTTTTTTTTTCCTTTGAGATGGAGTCTCGCTCAGTCGCCAGGCTGGACTGCAATGGCGCGATCTCGGCTCACTGCAGCCTCCGCCTCCCATGTTCAAGCGATTCTCCTGCCTGAGCCTCCCGAGTAGCTAGGATTACAGGCACGCGCCACCAGACCCAGCTAATTTTTGTATTTTTAGTAGAGACAGGGTTTCACCATGTTGGTCAGGCTGGTCTCGAACTCCTGACCTCATGATCCGCCTGCCTTGACCTCCCAAAGTGCTGGGATTACAGGTGTGAGCCACTGCACCCAGCTCTTCTGCTGTTTTTTCTCTCTTTCACCTATACGATTTTGTTCCACCATATCCTCTTGCCATTCCCTCCTTGACATTTCCAAAATACAATTAACCCCCCCAAAAATGTTTAACAAAACAGACACAATGTATCTGTAGTTGCCAATAAGTAGCACATGTGTATATCTGACTGTCTAATCCCATAGCAGAGGTTAATGATGCACTGTCCCATATTCCCTTGGTCTACCTCTGACCTTACCCAGAGCTTCAATAGACAATTCATGTGTACAGTGACAGCTTCTCACTGGAACTACCCAAGTTCCTCTATTTCCATGTGGCCTATTCAGTGATGGAGCTTGGGCAGCCTAAAAGTGGCACAGATTAAATATCTACAACTAATGAGAAATAGAAGTTGGAAGCCAAGGCGGGTGGATCATGAAGTCAAGAGATCGAGACCAGTGTGGCCAACATGGTGAAACCTTATCTCTACTAAAAATACAAAAATTAGCTGGGCATGGTGGCAGGCGCCTGTAATCCCAGCTACTTGGGAGGCTGAGGCAGGAGAAACGCTTGAACCCAGAAGGCGGAGGTTGCAGTGAGCAGAGATCACGCCACTGCACTCCAGCCCAGTGACAGAGTGAGACTCCTTCTCAAAAAAAAAAAAAAAAAAGGAAGTTGATGGGTAAACACTCCAGCTTCTCCTACACTCAGTAGAACCATCTCAGTGCCTTAAAACAATGGTTTATTTTTTACTCGAAGTCTGCTATGGGTCCAGGCAACACCCTAGGGTATCCTCCCCGATGTAGTGACTCAGCATTATGCCTCCACATAATACATGCTTTGAGGTATTTTCCACATTCACCAGTATAGAGAGAGAAAAAGCGAGGCCTGCACCAAAAAGCAGCACTTAAATGCTCCCATGAAGTGGTGGACATCACTGCTGCTCACATTTTACTAGTGAAAGCATGTAACGGGACCATACCTAACTTCAAGAGAACAGAGATGTAAAATCCTCCCATGTTCCCCATAGAAGAGAAGAACTAGATGTTAGAGAAAAGGAGAAATGCCAGCCACACATACTGTGTGCCTTCCTTTGCAACATGTTTTTTTTTTTCTCAACATGCTCTTGAGATTTTTCCATGTTAATGCATGTAGGTTTAGTCGGTTCATTCTCATTTTTGTCCAGTATTTGTGTGACTATATGACTATAGTTTATTTTCCTACGGATTTTTAGGCTATTTCCAATTTTTTGTTATAACTAACAAGATTGCTGTGAATATTTTATATGCATAATAAGAATTTCTCTAGACTACTGTCCTCATTTAAATACTATTTTTATGAGGAGATACACGCTGAGGTATAAGGAGGGGTCAAGAGAATGGCTGAAGCACTTGGTGTACAGACTACAATATAAAGCCCAGAAATGTACAGAAATCAAAGCCAACACCACAAATACTGTCTATTCATGTTTGTTCTAAATGAATAAATTGATATTATTTTCAGAGTAATTCTCTTTCTCCATTGAATATAACAGAACAAAAAGCCAAGGTTGTTGACAATGTATCATTCAGTTAACAAATGCCAAAATCAGATTTTCTGCATCCTATTCAAACTCTGTTGCAAATTATGAGCACAATTGCAATTTAATATTACTAATAGAAGACACACCTTTGAAGCCTTCTGCAAATGTCAAGATGAGTGAAGTGTTTGACAAGACAAAGAAGATGAATCAACTACAATGCTTTCCACTTCAGAGTGAAAAAAAAAAAACAGTAATAATGCCATAAAACATTTCCCCAGAACAAAATGTGCCAGGGAAAAAACTGATGTGATGAAAAGAGGGTAAAAAATTCCTCTCTCTAAAAGTCGAGGACAGGGACAAAATAATAATGAAAATTCAATTGAGTGAGACTAACTTTGTAACAACTACTGAACAGGAAGGTCAGCAACATAATTGCTTATGTACAGCTAGACCTAATGTTAGAACTGTTAGATGTTTCATAGAGCTTTCCACCGAAGGTGAGGAAATAGCTTTGTCTTGAAGTCATTTTTACTAAATGGCACCTCCTGCTTTGTCTTTTGCTTTCTCCTTATGTTTGTCTGAGCTATCATTTCTTACAACTTTTAAAATATCATGGCTAAGGTCCCTTTTACACATAGCTAAAAAAGCACTCTTCATCTGCTATGTACTAAATGTTTATGTCCCCCCATAACTCATATGTGGAAGCCCTAATCCCCAATGTGATGATATCTGAAGGTAGGGCCTTGGAGAGGTCATTGGAGCGAGGTTAGGTCATGAAGGTGAGGCCTTCATGATGGGATTAATGTCCTTACAGAAAGCGGAAGAAACAGAAGATCTCTCTTTCTGTGATGTGAGGATAGAAAGAAGGTTGCTGCCTGCAAACCAGGAAGTAGGCCCTCACTACACACTGAATCTGTGGGCATCTTGATCTCAGACTTCCCTGTCTCCAGAACTATGAAAAATAAATGTTCGTTGTTTAATCCATCCAGTCTATTGTACTTTGTTACAAGAGCTCAAACTAAGATATCATCTAAAATTCTCAAATAGTTTAACCATTTGTTTTTCTCAATCACTGTCCATAAATGAATGGATTACCACTGAAAGACATGCAAATTCATTATTTTCATAAGCTATACTGAAGCGAAATAAAAGATTATTTGCCTAAACATGGACTTTGCAGACACTAGGGGCACCTACACATCTCATTAAATAAAAGCCTGGCAGACAATGTAATCCCATTACTTTCAAAAAGCACTGTGTTTGTGACCTCCATTTAACAAGAATAAGAAACACAGACAAATAGAAAGGGTGGGGGGAAAGCACAGAATTTTTGGATTATTGCTGATAGATCCTTCCCTAACATTTGCAGGATTGGGGTAGAGTATACATGGAGGCCTACATGTCATATGTCTCCTTCTAACAAAGTGGAAGACCAGATTTTAATTTAGAATTCTGGGAGTCCTTGACGTTCTAAGTAAGAACATGATCACGTAGGAAAAGCCTGTGGCCTGTGGCCTGCTATGCTCTCTTCTTTCCCCTGATGTCCCTGCATTCCATGTTGCAAATTTTCACATACATGTGTAGATACCCTTGCCTGAACACCTCAAGTCTGCCCCAAGCCCCCACAATATAGTGGAGCCCTCTGTATAGTGGGGCTCAGTGCAGGGTCCTCTCTCAGCAGGACTAAAGTCAGTACTGATTAATGACATTTCTAATTTCTTTTAAGGAAATTGGCTTTTAAGAAAGGAATACACACACAAAATCATCTCCGTCAGAGCTTCACTCTGGATGATAGTCCTAGCTTGCTTGAAAAGTTTGAGGAGGTGATAAAAGATTTTTGAGAGGGGTGCATGAAAAGACAAAGATGGATTTTATGCAATTCCCAAGAGGATGATGTAAGAAAAGAATACTCCTAGCTAAAGAAAGAAACAGAATGAAGATGAGAGCACACCTCTTTCATATCATTTGCTTATTATACTTCCTCTCCCTCTCAGTAATTCCTTTCATTCATAATGAAGTTTTTTTTAAAAACAACCTGCTGTGCTATAGCACTTAGACAATGGGAAGAAGAAGACAAAGAGAATGTCAATATAAGGGTTTCCATCTTCGATTTTGAAAGCTGCTTGGGAAAATGAGACACTTAAATGCAACAGGAATAGAACAGAATGAGGTGGTTTGTGCTCAAGCACTAAAACACAGAGTGCATGATGAGTTCAGTAAAGGTAGATAGATCCAGTGTGAAGTGGCCAGGAAAAGTCTCTTCAATTCCAGCACAGTCTTGTCAGAATTAATAAGATTTTAGGGTGTCTGGGGAAAACAGCTTTTCCCAGATAAAAGAGCAATACCTCAACGTTCACATCCTAATTCTATTCCAACTCATTTCTATTAAAATAAAAATAGACAAACTAGCCAGGCAAAGAAAAAATTGAGTATAAGAAACTCAATGTCTACTGCTAACTGTGCTCAACTTCCTCCAAAGATAATTCATAGACATACATAAAGTAATATCATAGCCATATACACAGTCTATCTTCTCTAGAGGTTTATATTTTTAAATGAGGAATATTAATATTGACAAGTACTTGATAAGATGTCCTTGAATATTTAACAATCACAATGGAGGAGATACAAGGTAAGAACTGTTGACATTAGATACAGGTTAAGTGTTCTTACTGCAGAACACAAAAGGTCATTTCTTTGGTTGTATGACCCACCTAGAAACTCACCAATACAAGGCTCTGTATTAAACATAAAATTTCAAGATGTCTTTGAGAATTACAGGAGCTAGAAAGAGTATTGATGAAAGTGACTCCAGACTCCAAGTAATGGAAGAAAGATGGCACTTTCGGTGGTAAAATTGAAAACTTTAGGGTTCGGATTAGGAATTAATGGATTCATCAAGAATAGGGTCCAGAGAGAAAATGACGTAAGTTTTGTCTTAACACAGAGTAAAACAGAGACTAAGAATAATGTAAAAACAAGAGCAAGCGGTCAAGCAGTTACCTACACCATATATTGGAGTAGCACTCTTTGGGAACAACTCAGAGAAAGGATTAGTAGCAGATGTGCAGGTCCCCCATTACTCATTCACCCCAGGGCAGCCCGTAGAGATCTAACAGGGCTGGATGTCAGACTCTGAGCCTGATTAAGGCAGCATTAATCTCCGCCTCAGTGCAATTAAAGGCCAGAGTGTAATAGGAATATCACTTGCCAAAACCTTGGCTCCACCTCTATCCTGTCAACTCAGCATTAATGATTGAAAGAAGCACCAGGATCTTCAGGATAAGTGAGTTGGGATCTAAAGCTTGTGGCTGCAGCCAAATGACATAGCAAACTGGCAGTAGGATTCACTACATCAACCATCATGTTTGTGGAAGCAACTTTCACTGCCTTTATATGGGTAGGGGGTGCCACCCTTGTAGTTGACCTGGATGGACTGCCATATGCACTGCACCATAACTAATTTCCATAGAGCTTTGCAGACCATCTCCTTTCTGGAAGGCCAACTTGCAGGGTATAAGTCTTAAATAAATTAATCCTTACCTTAAGGAAGGTTATTTGGGTAAAAATGATTCTGGGAGCAAGATTTATAATTTAAGAAAACAAAATAATGTATTTCCTTGCCACTGGATTCTTGGTTCAGACTTGTAATTTGTTTTGACATTAAGATGTTAACACATATAACACAAGCAGACACTTGGAAAAGTGCTTGTGAAGTAGCTTTGCTCTCAAAAACCTCTGTACTGTCAAGAGAAGGACATGGCCACACAGTTCCAAGGAAGAGGGTCAGAAACATGTGGATCAGAAGCTTTCCCCCAGCAGCCAAGTTCAGTGTGAACTGGCTCAACTCCAAACTTAGCCACGGACACGTGAGGGAACCCAGCAGTGACCAGCAGAATGACTTAGCTAATCCCAGCTCGGATCAGCCACTCTCTACAGATTCAAAAGAAGTAATTTTTGTTTTAATGGCTGAGTTCTAGGGTGACTTGTTACACAGCAATAACTAAGTGATACAATGTTCAAAATGGCTTGGAGGAAGTATTTTCCCATTGAGCACAATAAAGAAGGTGTATGAGATGACATTGGAGAACTAAAGGGAAATTCTTTAGCAGTGACATCAGTGCATATAAATAAAGGCTATCACAAAGGAAATTAGAGCATCTGAAATGCCAAAAATACATCAGTATTGCTAATTAGAAGAAATAAAACAAATGTCATTTGACAAGGCTCAAGAGACTATCCATGGTCACATGTACCTTTATGTTATCATTATTCCCAAAAGACTAGTCTTCGGTTTGTCCTTGCTAAATCTTTAAGCTAACAAGTTTCCTCACTTCGTATTATAAAACAATATTTCTTTATCTTCCATAAAGATGTGTAATAATAGTATTCAGATGATTTATAAGTTACAGAGACTAGGAAAATACCAAACATGCCCACATTTCCATATTGCCACAGGTCCATAAATGTTTTAACACAAATCACGTTGATGGCACTTAACACGTATTAGTGAACATTTTCATATGGTGGCAGGATCAAAATCTAATGAAATAACCCACTTTGAGGCAAAATTGGTTTATTATTCTGGACATCATCGACCTCAGGAATTTGACAATGTTTAGGTCTAGTACAGACATTAAAAGGTTCTTCCTATGTTTATCAATGAAACTCGGTTATTTCTGTAAAAAGGTTTTATCTTACTAGTTCTGTTCACCACATAGAAGAATCCAGGTAGATATCTAGAATCAGATCAAATCAAGTCAGATATTTCTATGTAAGCTCTGTGTTAGAAAATGAAACTGAAAAAGAAAGGGGGAGAGTTGATGTTTTCACCAAAAAGCATATAATCCAATTATATATTTCAGGTAGATGAGTGTTCAAGGGGTAGAATAAAAGAGGGGTGAGTGGTTCTAAGTTAGGAAGTAATTCAGAAGAAGAAAAGGTAATGTTATGGTAGCCATTAGTAAGAGCGCCATGGGTGAAATGGAACACATATTGGGCCTCAGATAGGGGGTAAGATTTTGATTGCCAGAGTGGAGAGAGACAGGTTGCCCCTGCCAAAGGAAGATGGTGAAAAAAAAAGGAAAACCTAACATAAATAAATATTAAGTGAAGATTAATCAGAATTCTTATACCGTTAGAATGATACCTCTTTAGACCATGAACAAGCATTAATTTCATTCTAATCACACATACAAAAATAAATGTCCTTTGTGTGATTTATAGTACTTTTAGAAGCCCAAGGACTTCTTTATATTATGAAATACTTATTATCCCCATGAAGCAGAAGTGAGAATTAAGAATATTTTAAGGAAGATAGATAGTTAACAAACCAAAAGATACATGACTTTCCCAAAGTCACCTAACTTCAATCTTCCCTTTTCCCCTTCTCCTAATATCCTTCTTTGTCACACCTTGGAGTCTAAAAAAGCCAGATTGTATATACTTCGTATCTTTAAGAAGCTGAATCACAAAAACCAACAGAATATACCAACTAGTGAGAACCATGAATAAAATTTGCAATAAAATTGTCCTTCGTCCCAATATTGGACTCAATTAGGTACCAAATAACCTGATAATCCCTTTCCACATTTGAAAAACATAATAAAGCAAAATCTACAATTCTGTTGTAAAAGTCAGCTTTGAGCCAGTAGCTGTTCCTTTCTCACTCTCTTATCATATACAAAACATCTAAATCTTCAATATTTAGACTCCCGAACATTTTGCTTTCTGAGAGTAAGTATTAGAATTCACGGAAAAGCTATGGTAATAATATAAATCAGCAGTAAGTCATAAAGCAAGTTTCCCAATCTCTTCTTGTGACTGTGGGAGCAGGGAGAGGCGGGCAGTGTGGGAACTGGGGCATGAGGGGGCAGAAGTACAGAAGGAAATCTTGGCTCTTATTAATGAAAACATCTTCTCCCTGTGTGAAAATTCCACCCCGATAGAAGACAAGAGCTCCACTTCACAAACTTGTAAAAACTAAACTTTCAAGCTAATGTTGCTTCAAGGTCCATCATTCTGCCAGAGGTGGCAGTACCTTAATTTGTCACTGTCAAGCAGGCAAATTTCTTTAAGGTCTGATTATTGTTTTCTATTCTACTTTCTCTGGACACATTAGCTTGCTAATACAACAAGCATGCTGGAGATCAACTTCAGGGACATCAAATAGAGCTCATTACTCTGAACTGCCTGCTGTGTTAACTGTCCTGGAAAGAATGATGTGATTCAGGTAAGGGTATTGGATAGGGCACAGACTGTCCAAATGTTTCTGTGGTCTTTGCTATGATGCCTTCAGGAGAGCATGCTGATGAGCACATATCTGTTTCTCTGACCCGGAACATTGAATTTGAAACATTAATTTGTAACATATGAAATATTTCATCCTTCTCCCTATTAGAGGGCCCAAATCAATCACTCAGTGAACAGAGAGCTGAAGTATGAGCACAGAGGATTTCTCTCCAGAAGTATCCACATAGATTTCCCTCATGGTTGGGTCAAAAAACCTCTGTAGAAAATCCCACTTGAGGTTTTCAAGGTCCTTCACCTGCATCCAATTTAAGGGACTTTGTATTAGCTAAGAGACAAGTATAGCAAAAAGCATTAGGCTCAAAGCTCTCCCTGTCATGCATATTTTTTCCTTATTCAATTCTCTAGCTACTGTTTCAATTTGAGTTTTTCACCAAAGAACAGAACCAGGACAAAATGTTTGTGTGGTTTCCTGAAAGGCTTTGGAGAAAATAATACTAAACTCTGACATATGATGTAGCAGTGTGCAGTTAAAAGCTGACAGAAGCCAATATTTATAATGCTATTTAGAAACGATAGGACAGTTAGTTATAAAACCTTCCAAACCCTTTATAATAACTCTCTTCCAGGGGCCCTTGCTATGAGATCAGCTTATAGTTGGAAATGGCTTTACAACAAAGACATTTAGTGCTTGCATAATGGCAACAAAACAAGATAAACATTTAGAACTTCCCTTGCAACCACCCAAAGGAGGTGGCTCCATGCTAAAGCCTTCCCCAGTGGTTCCAAACCTGGCTGCTCAGTAGAATCATCTGGTGAGACTTTAAGATTCTGATGCCTGTGCTGCATTCCCAGCCCAGTTAAATCAGAACCTCTGAGGTATAACTCAAGCATTGAAAATTTTTTTAATTCAGTTATAGTTTACATACCATTAAACGCACAAAACTTCCATATCAATTGGCAAATGTATATACAGCTGTGTAACCTACCCCCCCCCCCATCACAATATGGACCATTTCACCCCAGGAAGTTCCCTTAATTCCCTTTACAATCAATCCTCACCTCACCACCCCCCAAAAGGTAACCACTGTTCTCATTTTTACCACTATGGATTATTTTTACCTATTCTAGAAATTCATATGAATGGGACCTTATAGCACATACCTTTCATGTTTGGCTTCCCTCACCATAATACTTTTGAGGCCCATCTATGTTATGGCATATATCAGCAATTTGTTCCTTTTTATCGCTGAGTGATAATCCCTTGTATGACTATATGTAGATTTTTAAAATCCATTCTCCTGCTGATGGAGATCTGAATTGTTTCCTATTTGGGGTTATGAATGAAGCTGATAGAGACATGGTTGGGCACATATTTATGTGGATATATACTTTAATTTTCCTTGGATACTTAGGAGTTCAATTGCTGGAGCAAATGGTTAAGTCCTTTTAATTTTAGCCATTCTAGTAAGTATGTAGTGTAGGCATTACCAGTTTTTAAAGCTCCCTGGGTGTTTACAATTTGTAGTCAAGGTTGAGAACCGCTTTTCTACACAATTGTACCCAGAGAGGATGTCCTGGTCTCAACTATTACAATTAGAAGTGTCCAAAGAGAATGGGTTATCTTACGAGCTAACAAGCCCTCCTTTACCAGAAGTACGAAAACAATTAGTGCAAATGAGGAATGGTATATATGCAATGCTTCTTAATAGTATCCACGCAGATCTTCTAGGGATTTTGTATAAATGCAGATTCTGATTCATTAGGTCTGGTGTAGGGCCTGAGATTCTTCATGTCCAACGGGCTCCCACATCTTGTCAATGCTGAGGATCTGGAAATCACACTTTGAGTAATAAGGGTACACAGTCAGTTCCTGTATTAGGTAGGGGATTGGAGTAAAATTGAGATTCCTTCCTAAACTATGATTCTGTAGTCCGATGACATTCACATCCTCCATCCTGATCACTTGCATGGGCTGCAGTCTCTGAACATTTCCACTTGGATGCCTGCCTGAACATTATAGCAATTCCAGATCCATAGTAAAATCATTATACCCCCAAGTGGCTGCCTGTCCAAACCTCCCTGTTTACACTTAACTTTAAAACTAACCTCAAAACTCTGCTTATCAGAGCTATCATTCTTGTTATGTTGTCCTTTCTCTTTAATGACCAGTCATCAACAAGACTTTTCAAATCTCCTTTAATTTAATTCGGCTCATATCTGTCAGTCACCCAGCTGTCAGTGAAAGACACAATAGGAGGTACTGCGAAATTCAAAGGAATAGGCCCCACATTCTAGTGAGGAAGCAGATGCAAACAACTATGCAACAGAAGACGGAGACTGGAAAAGCTCATCCCATAAGCTTGATCTAGCTTGCGCTCCAACTGCTCCCATTGCAAGTTAAGCTGGTGTGTCCACTGCTGTAACAGCCTCTTACTAAAAGGAAATGGTATCACATTTTTCACATCCTAACTTTCTGTACACTCCATTTAGGCCTGTTTTCCCGAAGAAGAATTTTCATAATATTATTCCTTTGCTCAAAAGCATAAAGTATTTTCCCATCCTAGTGCTAACCACTTCCAGTCTAAATCCCTCCACCTGGCTTTTAGGATTCTTTATAATCTGTTACCAACCTGCAGATAATATAGAACTTCTTGCTCCAGAACTAATTAAATCTCACCTATTCAGTGAGGCCTTCCCTGACCAGTAATAGGCCCCAGTGATCTCTCCCTCTTCTCAAATCCTCAACTGCCAATAAGTCAATATAAAAAGTAATTTAGCCTTTCATTGTTTAACGATCTTATTTTTTTAAATTGTCACATATGTGGGTGTTTTTCTTATTTAAATAAAGATCCACGAAGATAGGGTACTTGCCCTATTCATCCATCACATTCCACAGAGCACCTTCTTAGTGTTTATTGGAAGAAGAGAAGAGATAGTTGGGAAAGGAAACTAATATTAACTAAAATTTTCCTATTAGTCAAATACCTTGGGATTTGCTTCATACAGAGCAATTTATTGAATACAACCATTCCAGGAGGTATTAGCCTCCCTTGAAACTGACTTGGGTAACTCACAAGGAATGATTCTGGGACCAACAGCATCACCTGGAAAGTTGTTATAAATGCAGATTTTTGTGCGCCCTCCCACCCTACATATACTTAATCAGAAACTGGGAGCGGAACCCAGCAGTTTGCGCTTTAAAAAAAATGCTCCAGTTGATTCTGATACAAACTAAATTTTGATAATCACTGACTTAGAGTTTGAATAAATTAACCAAGGTCAAATAGCCTGTTAGTTACAGACCTGTTCAGTCTAAGACCAAAAACCATTCTCCTAATATTACATCATAATGTTCCTTGACCAATTAATTAATAGACCCTTCTGGATAACATAGAAAGTTATGAGCCTATTTGTTTCCCATTTTTAGACTCTAGAGTAAAATTTTCATTTCAAAGGTGATTTAAAAAATTAGAGTATGCCCTAAAATGACTGTAGCTGTAGGAATTATTATAATACAAGACGTTCACATTGCTTCTGTTAACATACACTTAAATTTCCAGGAGGCCAGAAGCACCCAATGACTAAGAAAATTGGAACTTGGTCTCTATCCTAAGCCTTTGTGGTCTGACAAGTAGTTGTACATAAATTAACATCAAAATAATACAATGCCAGCTTTTGAAAATAATAGAATAAATGCTAAATGAGGACTTTATCTTCATTTTAGTCAAATGTTCCAAAGAGTAATTGGTAAAGACTGCCTGAGCTTTTAATGGGGACAACAATCTCACTTGCCTTAATCATTAGACGAAGGGGAAAAATATCTATATTAATCAAGTTCTACTGCTTTGCCATTCTCTTAAAGAGACTCTGTAGTCTCAAAGGCCTCCTCAGAAAGTCCACCAGAAAAGCCTTACTCACAAGCTAGATCTCATGAATCATCTTTCCAACACATGATAACGGATAAGTGAGGCAGTATCTTACAACAATCTTTATACTTTAAAAAAAATCATTGTTTATTTTACAGCAGTAAGATCAGATTAGCATTTTATTAGAATCTAAAAAAGACATGATTCTACAAAAGTTCACTTTTTTCATTTCATGTGAACTGTTCCCTAAGCTTTTGCGTTTACATATAAAAAATATATGATTGCACCCCATATAAGTTGCTGCTATCAAAAATTTAATGTCATAGCAGTTGTGTCTGTCATGCTACATGGATCTTTTGTGCTAGCTAGGTAAGGCTTTAGTATGCCAACCCAGTAGGCAAGACTTCTGAACATACTGCCTCTTAACATACACAACTGACTGCCATGATGGAATAAATAATTGAGAGAGATGGAAAGGACCTTAAAGATCATTTTGTTAAGTTCCCTTATTTTGCAGGTGATGAATCTTAAGCCCAGAAAATGAGGGTGACTTCTTTCTGGCCATCGTCAATGGCAGCAGAACCTGGAATCCAGATCTCCTGACTCTTACCTTGCTGGGCTCACTTTACAATGCACTCTAGAATGTCAGTGCAATTCATTACTTCCTTGCCTAAAGAGTTTTGAAAGGAACTCATTCATGTGATCAAAGTAAGGTTAGATAAGGTTTCTCAGTTTGACTTATGCCTTTAATAATGAAGAAAAGTGTCAGAACGGCCAGGGATATTATTCCCTAGTCCCCAAGTTCACCCAGAGGGAAGAAAAATTCCACTCTACTCTACAACAGGAAAGAAAAAAAGAAGGAATCCACTCAGCTTCTTCCTCTATACTCCCTCCTCAGGTATGCCTCCCCAAAGGAGGGCTGAGGAGGTTCTTATCAAAATGACAGGATTGGGAGGTACATGTTGGCTCAGGTTCTTCCAGGCTTGCTTCTTTCCAAAGCTCCTGTCCTCAGGACACACATAATTGTCTCGTTTTTAGTAATTTAGGCAGATATTTTTACTTCCATTTACCTAATTCATAACCTATTTTTCAGTGAGGAAATAAGCTGAAAATAACCCCCTCAAACCTCAGTAAGTTCAAAGCTTTCATCTATTGGAAAGTCATGTGTAACAACAGCAATTTCTGTTACTACTACTGCTGCTACTACTACTACTACAACAAAATTTGGTTCCAGATTAATAAGAAAATTGAGGCATAAAAGAAAACTTAAAAGCCTTTACATAGTAATACAGGAGGCTATCTTCCTATCATCAGGATAAGACAGGATTTTCATAACTAAATCTCTAAAATCACAAACAGCGCTGAACAAAAGGAAAAGATTGATGAAACTGAGCTACATTAAAATTCAGATTTTTTCATCAAAATACAGCATAAGAAAAAAAATCTATAAGTCTTATAACCAACAAAGGACTAATATCCCAAATATACAAAAAACTTCCATCAGTCATTAAAAATAAAACAAAAGCAACCTAATAGAAAAATTATCTAAAGACATAGGCACTTTATAAAACAGGAAATCCGAATAGCAAAGAAATACAAGAAAAGATACTCAAGTTCATTACCAATTAGGAAAATGTAAATTAAAACAACCCGCCACTAAATATTGGGCAGACAGACAAAATTTAGAAATCTAACATTACCAAGAGTTGCAAAGGAAGTGAAGCAATAAAAATTCTCATTCACTACCAATGAGTGCATAAATTTTGAAGTACAACCACATTGAAAAGTGGTTCATCATTACCTAGTACAGTTAGAGATGTGTCTTGTGCAAAATATCACCACAAATTTTTCATATTCCTGTAGGCATGCCCCCTTTTCAATATGGACTTGCAGCTCTGCCATCCATAGGTAATGTCTATTTCTCCAAATTTTTTATTCCAAGTTGACCTTATGACATGCTTTGACTGCTGTAGTAGAATGAGATGGATGTGATGGAGTGCGAATATTGAACCTAGGTCTCAAGAGACCTACAGCTTCTACTCTTGCCCCCTTGCTGTCACATGACTGATAAGAAAAAAAAAAAAAAAAAAAAAAAAAACAAGCTAGTCCTTGATGAGTAGAGACCACACAGAGAAAGAGGTCTGACTGACAGTCAGCAATCACAGCAACACATATGAATCAGGCAATCTTGGGCCATCTCATTCTAGTTGAGCTGCCAGGTGATAGCAGCCACAGGAATGAACCCAGGAGAGACCAGCAAAAGAACTGCCTAGCTGAAACCAGCCCAGATTACTGACACACAAAATTTATAAGCAAATAAAATGGTGGTAGTTCTAAGTTACTACACTTATGATGGTTTTTACACAGAAACAGATAACTGATTCATTATTCATATCCTTTGACTCAGACTCCACTCATTTTGTATCCTAGAGAAACTCTCAAGAGAAACACAATTTCCCCAGGCGACAAATAGAAAAATGGTCATAGAAGTATTATTCATCATAGTCCTGATATGCTTTGGCTCTATGTCACCACCCAAATCTCATCTCGAATAGTAATCCCCATAATCTCCACGTGTCGAGGGAGGGACCTGCTGGGAGGTGACGGGATCATGGGTTCAGTTCCCCCCGTGCTGTTCTCGTGATAGTGAGTGAGTTTTCATGAGAGCTGATGGTTTTATAAGTGTTTAACAGTTTCTCCTTCACATTCTCTCTCACCTGCCATCATGTAATACATGCCTGCTTCCCCTTCCACCATGATTGTAAATTTCCTGAGGCCCCCCAGCCATGCAGAAATGTGAGTCAATTAAACCTCTTTCCTTTATAAATTAACCGGTGTCAAGTATTTCTTTATAGCAGTGTGAGAATGGACTAATAAAAGTTCAAAACTGGAAAAATTCATATGTCCATCCACAAGAAGAATAGATCAGTAAATTGTACTATGTTCATAGCATAGAATACTTTACAGCTTTATAATTAGCCTTCATCTGTACATATATTGCATACATTCTCCTGTATGTATATTTTATAATTTTCAGAATGAAATCGTCATCTTTATACCTAGTGAAATAGGTGAGCAATTTAATGTTCAGAGGCAACCAGTATAGTAGAAACGCAGATGCCCAAACATCACTGATGCCTTGAGATGGCTGGTAAATGAACTTTAGCAAAGATAGATGAGGCTGATTTACCAGGAAGGGAAAAGGTTCTGATTTAATAGGATTTGTCACCTACCTTGACATCAGGCCAAGTAAGGCATCCTCCAGGTTTTTGACCTCCTGCACAATTCCTTACAGCATTAATATACCTGGTGGCAGGGATAACAGTCAGTTTGGCTCACAGAGAAAATGCTCAAAAGGAAAGCAGAAGATTCGATCATGCCCCCTTCCTGCAGATAAGAATAGAAAACAAAAATAAGATGCAATGCTCCTTTGCCACTCCCAAGAATCTAAAGGAACTAGTCCGCTCAGAAATAAAATATAAAATAACACATGATATTTAAGAGTATATGTCTTCAGAGTCATTGTGGTAGATTGGAACAGTTTAGCTACTTTAATAAGAGTATACTTCTCCAGTCTACTGATGCTGAGCTTGGACCTGTGACTATTTAGTCAACAGATTGTGGGGAAAGTGACAGTGTGACAGTTCCAAGCTAAGGCCTTAAGAAACATCCCCTGTTTCTGCTTGCCATCCTGTGCTCCTGTCATCTGCCATTAGAAGAGCATATTCCAGAGAGCCATGACCTCTCTAGCCTTGGCCCCAGAAAACAGAAGAATAGATTTGAACCTGACCAGAAGTCTGGTGTCCGATGTGGCCCAGCCAAGTTCAGCCTAGATCAGCTGAATCATGGGTGACCTACAGACCTAGGAACTTAAAAATAAATGTTTGGTGCCATAACCAGTGGATTTTCAAGTTGTTTGTTTTGCAATAAAAACTAACAACTACCATCATCTCAAAGAAATAATTTCTCCCAGGCCAATGTCTATAAGAATGGGGATGGTCAGCCACAGAACACGAAAAAGAGAAAGTCTAAAAGGCAAATATTGTACCTATCCAAGACAAGATGTACCACAAGGAGTGAGGTAGATCAGACCCAAGGACACAACCTCTGTGATCTATGTGTGCAGGCTTATGTTTAACAGGGAAGTTATTACAAATATTAAACATTCATATTATACAACCAACTCTTTTTGTTCTGATTCCATGCTCACCAAAGAACCCTGTGAATGTAATTTGGCTTCATGTGTAGCTTGCCTGCAGAGACAGAATATGCTAGTTGTTGGAATAATTAAGCAATGTGACATATGTAAATAAGGAAGTCCAGAGTCTTGAACACAACAGAGTTCAATAATTTGTAGTTTCCCTATGTCCTTCCCAAAGTCCACTGACACCCTCTCCCAAATGAAGGCACTATTTCCCACCATCCACTGCAGGAACCCATTCTTGTTCAGACTCAGTACTTTAGATTCTATCCTTTGCCACTTGGGTCCTGTTTGACATAAGACAGATCAGATTACTTTCCTAGAATCACATCTTTAATGTGTGTTTTGCCCCTTAGAAAGAAGACTTTCACAAAGAAACATGAACATATTTCCAGTATCTGTAACCATACATTTAATGAGAATTGCAGAAATATAAATAGATCTGAAGTCAAACCCACAGTTCCTTGAATGCCTGATGAGATGCTCCCTCCTTATTTAACAAAATGATTCCATTAGGTATGAATCTCCATTCTCATAGAATGTTAACTGCAACAACCTGCATATGGCTGAAAACTTTTTTCTATTATTCATATGTAACTCTTGTCATAATAAATGAGTTGCAGAGTCATAAAGGCAGTACAAATTTTGTACAAGTTCCAAAATATGGAACAGTATAGGTAACAATTTTTATCATCTTTTGGTGTCCAAGTGAGGATATATAAACTGACTAATAAAGCCTCAGAATTTAAAGCCCTGCTTATATTTTACATAATTTGTGGTTTTCATTTGCAGTATATTTGGCTATTCTTCGTTGTCATTCAAATCTGGGAGAGGGCAAATACATCCATTTTATGTGCACAAAATATATAACCCAGGGAATCTAAATGAATCCGTCTCTCAGAATTGCCGTGATGTCATAGATAAAACCTAGAACTCTGATACTCTTTAACATGACTAAGTAACTCCCTTGCACTCTTAAATTTAGTTGCTTAGAAATAATATGGTGCAGAAATGCTGGTGAGTAACAATTATTAAAGTAGAAGTTCCTACTACATGTGCACTTTATATATCACTGAAGCTTCCTGTAATCCAAAGTGACATACCAATAAGCTCCTGAGAGTGCATGGCAGCAAACACATTGGACTCATTAATCAGGAAGGAGGTGGCTCAGTTAAAGCAGATAGACCATGAGACAGAGGCCAAAGAAGAAACACAAAGTGGAAAGGAACAGTGTTGCCTTGCTCTGCGCAGGCATTATTCAAGAAATAGATGCTTAAGTTGCTTGCAGTAACTAAGTCACCCTAGTCCCAAGAAGCCCTGAGAAGCCATCTACTCTGTCCCCTTTTGCTTCCCACTGAGAACCCAATCACAGCATTCCACATAAAGAATAGCAGATTTTTTTTTCAAGTTTTGGATGCCTCTGGGGCTCCCTATGCATAACAGACAAACAAATTAGGCAGCTGTTCTTCAACCTGTAATAAATGCTCATGGAAAGTTAAGGAATATAACTCTTATTATGTACTCACTAAATACTATAGGAAATAGTATCTCCATTTCACAGAGAATAAAACAGACTTAAAGAGGTTAAATTTCTCAGGGGCATAGTACGAATAACTGGCCCAAAGAGCTTTGATCTCAGCCTTGTCTGACTCTTCTTGTTCTTTTCAATATAATGTGCTCAGAATCAAGCATTGTGTATTAATACATGACATTTCATTTTATAACTTGAAAAGTTGTCTTTATCTTATATTGCTTGTATCAAATTATTCTTAACAGTAAACAAATTAATTTGGGGAGTAGGAGAATCATTTTGTGATTGTTAATACATGTACTATCTTTGATTACTCTTTCATTCCTTTCCAAATAAAACCACTACATTTTAAACATAATTTTAACATCTCTGGTGATTATAACCTGTCTGGAAAAGTTTGTTGTTCTTAGAATGTCATCTTTGATCAACTGGAAAATTCTTGGCCATTCTCTAAGGGTCCTAGTAACAATCAATACATTTTTTTAAACTATTGACTTTCTGAAAGCTTGTGGTACACCTGAATGGCTTTGGTTGTAATCACAAAAGCCAGACACTATTTATTATTATTTTGCTATGCAGAATTTTGCTGGCTCTTTCTTTTCTTCATCAGCATGTCACATAACACCTTCAAGGACAGAATGCAAGGTAGAAGTTTTGGAACCTTTTCCCTCAGTCTTCCAGGAAATCTTTTAACCTTTTGGCCGTGAAAGTGCTGAGGTTCATAAGATTTCCTCGAGCAGCCAGCACAAAAGGAGAATTACTGTTGCAATGTTTAAAGGCCTACAGATAACACTAAACCACAGAGCCCATCTCTTTTACAGTTACACATTCCTTACATTTGAATACATTGCCCAGCAATGGAATATCCGCCTGTATCTGAGGGGGGAAGACACAGTCATCAACCCTGAGCATAGCACATTCATCATCTCTACTAACAGCAAATGTGGGATTCCTCTTTGTATTTCATATACTAACCAGTAAGTTCTGCTGCCTTTTGACAAATCAAATCATAGCTAATATATTTCTCTCTAGACTTATGGGGCATTAGCTAACAACCATATGCTGAAAGTCACTGTGCTCTCTGAGTCAGTATTACAATAAGCAATTTTTAAAAGAGGGCTGAGTAACAGAACATAGGCTCAAGAGTGGTAAGGGATGATGTATAGGGAGAGAAAGAAAAGAAGACGAAGAGAGAGAAAAAGAGAAAAAGAACATGCACAGAACAGTAGGAAGGGATGGAGGAAGGACTAAAGGAAGGAGAAAGCCATTGAATATGATTAATTTGATAGATGGTATATAGAAAGGTAAAGTTTGGGGTAAAAGGCCAATTACTTCCCTAGAGTCACATCTTTATTATGTGTTTTGGCCTTTAGAAAGAAGACTACCAATTATGCAGCTTGGAAAGAAGGTTTATATGCCTACAATCAGTTCTTAAACCCTTTTCACCAAACCAGAATAAAAGAGGGCAAAATGAATAGATATGTCTCTCCTTACTCCCACATTTATTTATACTCTTATCCCTTAAGTTGCGTATTTTATGACTTATTTCCTGTTTCAAAACCCCTTTACGTCTTTTCCAACATGACTTTACCTAGAAAAATATATAAAAATATTAAAAGAAGTCCATGGTATTATTTATCCAAGCTCTCTTAAAAGGTGCCCCCAATGTATGCAAATAAATTGACAATGTAGAGAAAGGACAAGCAAACAAGCAAACAAAAACTTAACAGCATATAGAAGGATGTACCTTTAAAAATGAAATTATTGGCAGTTTTCCCACCTACGAATAATACCTTTCTTCTCATTTCCAAAATTTTTGAAGGCTGTTCTAGCCTTTTAGGTGCAAATACTATGACTTTACAGTCCATAAGAATTTAATATCATCCTTCTTTTGAGAATTTTATTAGGCTGTAAGAGTTTTATACCCTGTGATGGCTTTCTATGATATGTTCATTTCTTTCAGGCTCCAATACAGATGAATCTGTACCTCTTCCAAAGTTAAAGGAAGTCAGAGGACAGGTGTTAAATAGAAGAAAAAAAAACTGAATATATTTGCTTGCCTAGCAAGGGAGAGCCATGTCCCTCAGTTGTGTGTCCAGAATAAATTAAGAGTTAAATATATAGGGAAAAGGAAGAAAAGTATTCCAAGTAAGGCAATATTCTGGATTCAGTTCTCTGGTTGATTTACAAGGTAAATTGTGAAATACTGCTTGAGTTGATGCTTTAAGATTTCACATTACTGCTGCAAGGAAGTCTGGTTTCAAACAAGTCTGAAATGAAGATGTAAAAACCAGTGGGGACTGAGAACAGGATCATATGTGCATGCTTGAAGCCTAGCAAAGAGTTTCTTTAAAATAGAACAATGCTTCAATTTGTCAAATATAAGTTTTTATTGATACTCTTTGTTTGAATGTATAATTCTCAAAGCTTATTTTAACAACCCTACTGCCAAGAAAAACAATTGTGAATGCTCACTGATATGGTTAGGCAGTGTTCCCACCCAAATCTCATCTTGAATTGTAGCTCTCATAATTCCTACATGTCATGGAAGGGACCCAGTGGGAGTTAATTGAATCATGGGGGCAATCTGTCTCATGCTGTTCTATGAAGTCTCATGAGATCTGATGGTTTTATAAAGGGGAGTTCCCCTGTACATGCTCTTTGTCTGCCATCATGTAAGACGTGACTTTGTTCCTCATTCATCTTCTGTCATGATTGTGAGGACTCCCCAGCCATGTGGAACTGTGAGTCAATTAAACCTATTTCTTTTATAAATTACCCAATCTCAGGTATGTCTTTATTAGCAGCATGAGAACAGACTAATACAGTAAATTGGTACTGGGTAGTGGGACATTACTGTAAGGATACCCAAAAATGTGGAAGTGACTTTGGAAGTGGGCAAAGCCAGAGGCTGGAACGATTTGGAAGGCTCAGAAGAAGACAGGAAAATGTGGGGAAGTTTGGAACTTCCTAAAGACCTGTTGAATGGCTTTGACCAAAATACCAATAGTGATATGGACAGTAAGTTCTAGGCTGAGGTGGGCTCAGATGGAGATAAGGAGCTTGTTGAGAACTGGAGTAAGGTCACTCTTGCTATGCTTTTGCAAAGAGACTGGTGCCCTAGAGGTCTGTGGAACTTTGAATTTGAGAGAGATGATTTAGAGTATCTGGTGGAAGAAATTTCTAAGCAGCAAAGTGTTCAAGAGGAAGTAGAGCATAAAAGCTAGGAAAATGTTAAGCCTGACAATGTGATAGAAAAGAAAGCCCTAATTTCGGAGGAGAAATTGAAGCTGACTGCATAAATCTCCATAAATAACAAGGAGTCCAATGTTAATCCCCAAGACAATGGGGAAAATGTCTCCAGGGCATGTCAGGGACCTTCAAGACAACCCCTCCCATCACAGGCCTGAAGGCCTAGTGAGGAAAAATAGTTTCTTGAGCTGGGTACAGGGCCCCCATGCTGTGTGCAGCCTAGGGACTTAGTGCCCTTCGTCACAGCCACGCCAGCCATGGCTAAAAGGAGCCAAGGTACAGCTCAGGCCATGGTTCCAGAGGGCGTAAGCCCCAAGCCTTGGCAGCTTCCACATGGTATTGAGCCTGTGGGTGCACAGAAGTCAAGAATTGAGGTGTAGGAACCTCTGCCTAGATTTCAGAGGATGTATGGAAATGCCTAGATGTCCAGGCAGAAATTTGTTGCAAGGGTGGGACCCTCATGGAGAACCTCTGCTAAAGCAGTACAGAAGGGAAATGTGGAGTTGGAGCCCCCCAACCCCAGAGTCCCTACTGGAGCACTGCCTAGTGGAGCTGTAAGAAGATGACCACCATCGTCTAGATCTCAGAATGGTAAATCCAATGACAGCTTGCACTGTACACCTGGAAAAGCCACAGACACTCAATGCCAGCCTGTGAAAGCAGCCAGAAGGGGGGCTGTACCCTGCAAAACCACAGGGACAGAGCTTCACAAGGCCGTGGGAGCCCACCTCTTGCATCAGCATGATCTGGATGTGCGACATGGACTCAAAGGAGATCATTTTGGAACTTTAAGGTTTAATGACTGCCCTATGGGGTTTCAGACTTGCATGGGGCCTATGGTCCCTTTGTTTTGGCCAATTTCTCCCATTTGGAGTGGGTTTATTGGCCCAATGCCTATAGCCCATTGTGGCTAGGAAGTAACTAACTTTCTTTTGATTTTACAGGCTCATAGACAGAAGGGCCTTGCCTTATCTCAAATAAGACTTTGAACTGTGGACTTTTGAGTTAATGCTGAAATGAGTTAAGACTTTGCGGGACTGTTGAGAAGGCATGATTTGTTTTGAAATGTGAGGACATGAGATTTGGGAGGAACCAGGGGTGCAATGATATGGTTTGGCTGTGTCCCCACCCAAATCTCATCTTGAATTGTAACTCCCATAATTCCCAAGTATTGTGGGAAGGTCCTGGTTGGAGGTAATTCAATCACAGGGGCAGTCTTTCCCATGCTGTTCTGGTGGTAGTGAATAAGTCTCACGAGATCTGATGATTTTATAAAGGGGGGTTCTCCTACACATGCTCTCTCTTTGCCTGCCGCCATGTAAGATGTACCTTTGCTCTTCCTTCACCTTCCGCCATGATTGTGAGGCCTCGTCAGCCATGTGGACCTGTGAGTCAATTAAACTTTTTTCCTTTACAAATTACCCAGTCTCAGGTATGTCTTTATTAGCAGCATGAGAACAGACTAATATACTCACTATATAAAATGTGTTATAGGAATATTTCATTTAATTTTTACCACAACCCAAAAGGTACTATTAACCCAGCAAGGTAAATATTATTTTCCTAAAGTGGATTTGTTAGGCCAGTACAAATATACAAATGTCCACTTAAAAAGATAAATCAACTAATATTAGCAATAGAAAACCACCTGGTGATTGGAGGTCAATTTAAGTAGTGGCATTGGAGACTGAATGAAACTTCCATTCTATCTGATTCACTGTAATAAAAATCTGTGTCAGAGGGGCAGGCCTTCTTGGGTTGCATTTGCTGACATTGAGTGTGGAGAAGGTTTTCATTCTAGGAAAGACTGGCTTTACCCTAGGTCTTAATTCCTACTTCATATTATTATTTATGACCTATGGCTTATCTCTCTTATAAGACAGTGAATCCCTTGAGGTCATTATCTTCTCATAATCTTTCAGGAAAGTTGTTCAATAAATATTTGTGAAATGAAGAGTTCCAAACTATCCATTCAAGTATATATTACAATCTTAATATGTAATTCAAATCACACTTGTCTGGGTTATACAGGTAGTGAAAATTCTATTCTGCCCTTCCTGGACTTATATTCTGGTAGGGAGACATGCATGCCAATAAACAAGCAGAAGTAAATAAGGTATTTCCTCTGATGGAGGTATTCAGCAACCATAACAGGGGCCTAGAAGATGCTGCCCCTTAGTTTGCCTGGAAGTGAAGGAGAGCTGGGTGGGTTGAAGGGGAAAAGGAGAAGAGTTAACATAGATTCTATCCAGCCAAGGCTGAATAGCTCATACAGTTGCAGCAGGAATGAGAACTCTCAGTGGGTACCCGGAAGAACAAGTTAATTCAGTAAATAGAATGTAATAGATAGGGAGGTATAGAATTTTATAATGAAAAGAGCACTGATCTCTGAGCCAAAAGACCTAATTCTAGTTACAACTCCACTACTGAATTGCTGAATTAACTAAGAGAAATTACTCAAGCTTTCTAAAGCTGTGAAATGTGGGTAGTAATCATGCCTCACAGTCAGTATTAATTGCCCAGGCTGAATTTGGTTGTCTGATATTGCATTCTCTACTGAAAATAACACTCTATCTCTCCTGGAAGCTATTCTTTTCTCTACACTAATTATGTGGTTCAAGTAGAAGTCCCCATCTCTTTATGAACAGCCCTTTTGGCCATACTTGACTAACCCAGTATTGCCCAGTGATCTCGAACATGGACTCTGAAGTCAGACTTCCTGAGTTTGAGTCCTGGTCTAGCTACTTTCTAATTTTGTGACTTCGATTAAATTATCAAACTCCTTAAGTCTCAATCTTCTTAAAGTGTGTCTCATAAGTAATACATAATCTAAGTTACATGTAAAGCACTCACCATAGTACTTAGAACATGTTAAATATTCATTAAGACCCATTGCTATATCATCATCATCATCATCATTTGAGCCAAGGAGATTTGGGCAGCCATGTTCCCGGGTATGTGGAAGAAGCCAGTACAAAAGCAGAGACAGGAAATAGAGTCCTTGATTCCAAATATTCTATTTGCAACTCCACATTTCTAGCCTCCCTTCCAGTTAGACTGGTGTCACATGACTAGTTCCAATCATCCCTGAATCCCAGCTTGACTTCCAGCTTCCCATGCTTTTGGGTACATGATCCAAAAAAATTCTTTTTTGCTTCACTAGTTTGAGTTAGATTTTTGTTTCTCGCAATCAGAAGTCTCACCACAATGAATATGGAAAGCTGGAAAAATTTAAAGTTCCATGCAAATCAAGATGTAATTACTTTAAAATTTTAATGTGTTTGGGACACTATTTACAAACCTCACATTTCTTTTCTAAGTACAGTTTAATTTCTTTGCCTCAATGCCATGGGAACCACTGCAAATAACTACAAGAATGAAATTGAGAGTCTGCCTGCAAACACAGGGTAAAAGCTGAATCAACATTGTGACCTCTGTATTTTCACTTTTTAAAATACTTCACTGACACTTGTAAAGTTCAAGCTACAGGAAAAAACTGTTTTAATGTTAAGATATCCCTATGTTAAGATTTGTACTTTTTTTTTTTAACTTCTCAATACAAAGTGAAAAAGTTCTTTAAATATGTTCAAAGTGCAAACTGGAGTTAAAGTAACAAGCTGTCTCTACAGAATACATATTATGTTGGTGGTTCCTTAATTTTAGTATGTATTAGAGTCACCTGGAGGGCTTTTTAAAACACAGATTTCTGAGCTCCACCTTCAGATTTTTTGATTCAGTAGATCCCAGACAGAGGCCAAAAATTTGTTTTTCTAACAAGTTCCCAAGTTATGCCAACATTGCTTGTCCAGGAATCATGCTTTAAGAACCACTGCCTTAAGTAATTAATTCACTGGAAACATTTAACCTATAGAAGACCAAGCTAAGAAATCTGTCACCCTTACATTGTGGCCATATTTCCTGTTTAAAGAGCAAAGTGCATGTTTAAAAACTTAAGTTTTAAATGCCCTCTGTCCTACAACTAATTTTGCCATTGCCTTCAAAATATATGCCTTTGTTTTTCCATGATTTCATATGGATGCTTAAAAATCAGTATTTACTGGTTAAATCAGTATACTCATTGCTGATGGTGGCATAAATTACTTTTGAAGAACAATAAAGCAACACAAAGATGTCAATACCTTTTAAAATAATAATTCCACTCAGGAATATTAAATAGGAGAAAGGTATGTACACAAATGTTAATTATAAGTTTTATCCATAGTAGCTATAAATTAGAAACTATATAAATGCCCAACTTTAGGAGAACAGTTTAATAAATTAGGTTCCACAGAAACAATGTACCATTATGCAACCATTTACACGATGATTATTAATATAATGTAGAAACATAAAAAATAATGATTTAATATCAAATACAGAATAATGCTAAAACTATGTAAAGATGAATTCACATATGGAAGCTAAGAAGCAAAAATTAAAAAGATGTTTGATGGTGGTTGGTAGGCTTTCTCTTTATTTTACACACTGGTTATTAAGACTTCATTATCTCTCAGCTTCAAACTGCTGGTGTGTACTGATCCGCGAGGCTCAAGCTGGGACTCTGCGAATCCCCTTTCAGCTCTGCCAGTGAGTGACTCCCTTTTATTCCCTACTACTAGAGAGCGTTCGAGGGAGACAATAAGTTAGAGGAGTAAAAAGGACTTGCTTTCTCCAGTTTTTGTTCGGAGTCATCCCAACAATGATTCTTTACCCCACCCGGGGCACTTAGTTCTAGTTTGTAGTTTTTTTTCATGTATCCAGAACCAGCCTCATTGCACCCCCTCAGACACCAGTACCAAATGGCTGGCACCCCATCTTCACAGGTCTGAGTCCCAGTTCTTCGAGACTCCTCCAAGGTCTATTTTTCATCATTTCAACCTCTTTTCTTTGTTCACATAGTCCTGGGAACTATGGTAGGCAATAGTTTCCTGATGTTACTACCACTGCTTATACCTCCATGCCCTCACATTGTCTTTTAGGTTCTCTAATAACTGATTAACAATTATTTTTATTAATTTGTGTCAGTTAAAACACTTGCGTTTTCTCCCGAGTGGACCGTACTTGATAAACTATCTTCTACTATTGCACTTTTAAATAAAAAAGAAAACATGTCAAGTCTCACTGATAAATGAAAAATAATTGAAAGAAACTGTAAATATTTAACCAAAATGCTTTTATTTTCTGGAGAAAACAAAAAATTCTGATACTTACATAGCTTTGCCTTATGTCAGACAATAACATGAGGCACTTTTGATCTTTGCAGGTTGATTTTAGTGTTTACACTCATTCTCAAAGTAACCCATGGAGCTGATCTGGAACTCCATGCCATGAAATGGCACGTAAACACACAAATCTGCAGCTCTGCCCATTCAGTGAATACAGAGCATCTTCTATGGGCCAGACTCTGCTATGTGATGGGAAACAAAGCTCACACCCACAAGAAAACCACTAGTTAAAAGATTATGTGATAAATGCCCAGGTGATAGAAATAGGTCCAGGTTGCTATGGAAACAGAAGCCATGTTTTGTTTGTTCAGACTACTTTCTCTGGTACCTATTACTTCAACAACAGTGAGAAGATTTTAGCTGGAAGAAGAAGAGGCAAAAATGCATGCTAGGAAAGGGATCCAACTGGTAAAGGGCATGGAGGTCTGAAAAACCATGGCATAATTGAAGATGTGCAAACAGTTTATGACAGTAACAAGTCTGGCATGCAGCAAAGAGATGGATCTGGTTCTGCCGGTGAAGGAATTGGGAATCACTGATGGATTTTTAAACAATAGTCTTGATCCTTTTAGGACACTTTCTGCCTATCATGGATTTTGACAATTGGCACATTGAGAGGATTCCAAGACCTGCTGTCAGTATAAGTGGGATATGTCCCTGGCTGGTTCTTAAACTGCCTTTCATCTTCCCACTCCATGATCCATCTTTGTTTGCTCTGTATCGATTGCTGCTTAATGTCTCCAAATCCTTGTTTGCTCTGGCCTTTATACTTTGACATCTCTATTGATTACATTTTCTCTGCCTCAAAACCATCACACTTCTTTCCTCTCATGGCTTGCCTCCTATTCCATGGTGCTGTGCTTGTTCTAGGCATGACTGGTCACATTTGATCTATTCAACTTGGTCCTGATTAGACTCTCTAGACTCCTTGGCACCTAATCTTGATCTTCAAAAATCCTGTGACAGAGGGTTAGATGTGGAAATAGTATTGAATTTGGAAATAAACAAACCTGAGTTTACATCTCTGCCACACTTATTGGTTTGCTAAGACAGTGCTCCCAAAATATTCTATTTGCAATCCCACATTTCCAGCCTCTCTTCCAGTTAGACTAGTGTCACATGACTAGTTTTGGCCAACGGACAAGCAGTTAAGAATGGTGTTTCTCACCTACCACTTCCACCTTTGCTTCCATGGAAACCTGTTCCAGATTATTTTGATACAAGGTGGCAGAGCCTTCATCGCCTTGAGTCTCTTAACTATACGGAGCAGAGCCCCCCACCAACCAACATCTGATATGTAACATGAGTGAGAATAAACACTATAAGCACAATAAATCTTTACTGTGTTAAACAACTTAGATTTCAGGGGTAATCATTCCCACGTAATAGCCATCCTATCTTGATGAATACATTAATTATGCAGCTTTAGACAAGATATGTAACTTTTGTCCTCAGTTTTCTTATCAGAAAAACAGGAATGGTACCTCATTGGGCGGGATAAAGATTAGTAAGATAATAGATAAATTACCTACTGTTCTACATGTGTGTCTGTAGCATGAATTAGTTCATATGTAATTGGTAAAATGGGGAATTATATATAATATAGAAGTCAGGTTGGTATATGCACCATTTTTCCTAGCATAGTAATATTTTGTCTTTTGAGTAACAGGAGCTATATACCAAGTAACAGGAGCTATACACTACACAAGAGGTGAATGCTATAGCTGAAACTAAACATCAGTGAAATCCCTTATTTGTCCTTTGACTTGCCTAAATCTCCATATTTCTGGTTTATGCCTATTTTCTTCTTCATCCTTCCAAAATTCCTCCCTGCCTCTTTGTGTTTGATAGTCAAATGACAGCTTTTTCAGGTTTCTGTTTTGTCCTTGACCCCCAAATGGCTTGCCACGGTCTAGCATAGGACTCATTTTAGGCTATCCCTGGTACCTGCATTCTTGTGACCTGGAACTGTGGCCAGGTATCTGTATTATATTCCTAATATTAGATAAGAAATATGGCAGGAACGAGGCAGGGCACAGGTGGACTGGAGATTTGTTGGGTGCAATTCTTAGTGGAGACAGATGGCTATATAAGAAGCTCAGGAAAAAAGTAAAGGCTAGAGGTATGAATTAGATTTGGAAGGCATAGGCTTATAGGCTTATGGGAAGTAGTTGAAACCATGGGTAAGAAAGAAATTATCTCAAGAGATGATAAATGTACAAGACACAGACACAAGACATAGAGGCACCAATATGTAAGGAGCAGTGGAGACATTATGAGGCCATATGTACATGATGAAACACAGAAAGAATAACATGTAGTAACCATTTACCATTCTAAGTGCTATACCCATATTAAAGCAAAGCACACAATCCATCCTCTTAGAGATTCTATAATGTATCTCTTTAAGCCAACATAAACTAGCCTATGAATGAAAAACATATAATGTATTATGAGATATAAAACAAGAAAAATCTCAAAATATTATTGACACAGACTGAGTCATAGCCAACTGATCAGGGATTCAAATTGAGAGCCTAGCTAATAGCATGTGCTTCCCTGGCCTTACCGTCAACTGGCATCCTGCTAAGGAACAAACCCACTATCTCAAGAGATGAATCTTCAGACCTTCCTAGCATCTTTGTGCTTCTTCGACAACAAACGCCTCCTGGCATATATTGCCTTACAGAAATCTTAAGGACAAATCAGGTGCAAAAACTTGACACCACTGTGTTTCAAAAATTCTGAGAGAAAGGAAAATGTCCGAGTACTTGAAATTCAAATATCCCAATATTCAAAAATGAGAAACATGACTATTAGAAAGGAAAAGCTAGCTAGCTTGATATTCATCCATGAAAAAATTCTAGAAGTGATTAAAGATGAGTTGTCAACCTCACCAGCTATCAACATGACATCATTAACAAAGCATTCCAAGCAAATCTCATTGTTTTTGATAGGAAACCAAAATAACAACTCATAGGTTTGACATGGACAGTTTATCTAGGATTCAGGAAAATATCCCATGTTAGAGTGACCAATTGTCTTGGTTTGTTCAAAACCAAGGGGGTTCTCAGACACAGGACCTTCTGTTTTAAAACCAGAAAAGTCTCAAGCAAACCAAGACAAGTTGGTCATCCTACTGTGGTGCTCTTGTAGGCAAAGTGCTCCACCATGGCTGCATGATACTCTTGTTAGGAAAAATGCACAGATATTTAAGTAATGAATGCCTATTCTTGTTGATTATTTGTTCTCATTCAGTGGAGAGGGTTGTCTCTAATGGTATGCCATAGAGCTCTTTCCTTTGTTATTAAGTTGGTACAAAAGTAATTGCAGTTTTGGACCATGAATTTTAATCATTATAACTAGGCTCAAACACATCTTTATTAATCAAAATAGGAGCCATTACAATCAACACATTTTTGCCAATGAGAAATAAGTTTGTTCATTCCCGTAGCATAAAAATCCATGCTTCAGGATTCAACAAACTCTTGGAAAGCATTTTCTGCATCCTGCTGGTTGTGGAAGCATTTTGCCTGCAAAAAGTTGTTGAGATGCTTGAAGAAGTGGTAGTCAGTTGGCGGAGGTCAGGTGAATATGGCAGATGAGGCAAAACTTTGTAGCCCAATTCATTCAACTTTTGAAGTATTGGTTATATGACATACAGTCAGGTGTTGTTGTAAAGAAGAATCAGGCCCTTTCTGTTGACCAATGCTGGCTGCAGGCATTACAATTTTTGGTGTATCTCATTGATTTGCTAAACATACTTCTCAGATGTAATGGTTTCACTGGGATTCAGAAAGCTGTCGTGGATCAGTTCAGCAGCAAACCAAATAGTGACCATGACCCTTTTTTTTTGGTGCAAGTTTGGCTTTGGGAAGTGCTCTGTAACTTCCTCTTGGTCCAGCCACTGAGCTGCTCATCACCAGTTGTCGTATAAAATCCAGATTTTGTCGCACATCACAATCTGATCAGAAATGGTTCATTGTTGTTGCGCAGAATAAGAGATGGCACTTCAAAATCTTTTTTTAATTTTTGCTCAGCTCATGAGGCACCCACTTATCGAGCTTTTTCACCTTTCCATTTTGCTTCAAATGCCAAATGACCGTAGAATGGTCAACGTTGAGTTCTTCGGCAACTTCTTGTGTAAAAGGATCAGCTTTGATGATTGCTCTCAATTGGTCATTGTCAACTTCCAACTTCCAGTGGCCGGCCACCACATTCCTCACCTTCAAGGCTCTCGTCTCCTTTGCAAAACTCCTTGAACCACCACTGCACTATATATTCGTTAGCAGTTCCTGGGCTAAATGTGTTGATGTGGCGAGTTGTCTCTACTGCTTTACAATCCAGTTTGAACTTAAATAAGAAAATCGCTCAAATTTGCTTTTTGTCTAACATCATTTCCATAGTCTAAAATAAGTATAAACAGCAAATAAGTCATTAGCAAAAAAAAAAAAAGCGATAAACGCACATTAAAATGATGCATAACATAACCACATTTAAGAATGTATTCCAGTATCAAACGGCAGATTTCAGCGCCAAAACCACAATTACTTTTGCACCAACATATGCTGCTCAATAGTATTACCTATTACTTGAATCAGAAGGAATTTTTAGCAAAATCATAGATAATGCTAGCATGAAGATTTGTTATTTATAAAAAATTTATCAAGCAACTATTAGGCTCTGTGCACATTTATAGGTCCTAGGTATAGCAGAGAATAAGACAAAGATCCCACCCTTGTGATAGACAAATGAAAATATAGTAAAAGATCAGAAAGTGAGAAAATCTATGAAAAAATTAATCTGCTTAACAGACCAGAGAGTGACAGGACAGTTAGGTGATCAAGGTAGTGTTGTTTGTGGAAGTGACATTTGAATAAATATATGAGTGAAGTGCAAAAAACATGTGAAAAGCTGGAAAATAATAAAATAAATTCAAAGACTCTGAAATAGGAATGAGACTTGCCCCATATTTTAACATACTTTGCCTCAAAATAAGCAATATTTAGGAAGTTTTATTTACTAATTTTATACCTTCTTTCTATATCAAGTAGAACATAACCAAGGTTTTATGGTATCCCAGCAATATAAAATAATCATGTAATTTTAATAGCAATGCAGGAGACTCCTGAGGGAAAAAAGGTAATTGTAAGTCATGGTTGTGAGTACAAAGTATTTTCCGTGTCTGATCGCCTTTACCTGGTGGGAGGAAGTGGCATCCCAGGTTGTGGTTTGTCCTGGAACCCAGGATTGAGTGGGGAGGTGATCCACTGTGGAACTAAGTGTGATCAGGTCTAAGGCCCAGGTGGAAGTGAGAGGCAAGTAAGAAAGGGTGTTTATTTTGCTGAAATAGCAAGTGGAAAATCAAGGAACACTCGAAACATCAAATTCATGAAAGAGGTCAAAACGGCAGAAAACTGGGATTTAAACAGAATAAGCAAGTAAAAAAGAGCCCTTCAAGCAACACTTTGCAGAGTTCTTTGGCCTTTAATATTGCCAAGTCCAAGGTGGAGAGAGGGCCGTTAAAGGCTTTGAACTGTTTCCTACAATCAAAGTCTCCAAGCTGCCAAAGCAGAATTTCAAAGGACCTATGTAACTGAAAGTACTCTTAGAAAGTTGCTCAGATGACAAGCCTCCTGGTAACCATACAGAGGATCATTTATCCCCTTCTTATCCTCTTCTTTCAATTCTTGTCCTAGAGCCTTTGCAAAAAATAAAAAAAATAAAAAAATTTTAAAAAGCTTCAAATCTGATTGCTTAGATTCCAGCCCATGAATTTGCCCACTATTGTTAGGTATTTGCATCAGTTATCTATGGCTGCAAAACAAACCGCCCCAAAACATAGTGGCTTAAATGTCACTCATAATTATCTGGGTCAGTAATGTAGTCTGGACTCAGCTGGGCATTTCTCCTGCTGGCCTTGCTGCTCAGTGGGGACTGGATGTTACACAACAGCCTCACTCACATGTCTGACAGCTCATGCTGACTGTCAGCTGGGCCTCCCTCTCCTCCATGTGGCCTGTCATCTGCAAGGAGGCTAGCCTGACTCCTTCATACAGCCATCTCAAGGTTCTAAAAAGGGGGGAGCAGAAGCTGCAAAGTCTCTCAAGGCCTTGGCTCCAAAGCTTATATAAAACACTTCTGCCACATTGTATCAGCCAAAGCAAGTCACAAGGCCTGCCCAGATTCAAAGGATGGAGAAATAAACTCTACGTCTTGGTGCGATGAGAGGCAAAGTTATAGTATACAGGGAGGGACTTTGCAAATGATCTACTACAGAGTAAGAGGTCACTTATCTAAATGTAATCTTCTTTTCTACTTCCCTCATCCAAAGGGCTAAGTAAGATCTGATCCCAGGCTTCTTCCTCTCTCCCTTCTTACTCTGGCACTGTCCTGCAGGAAATAATACAGGCTATCCTGTTCTCTTCATTAATTCCCCTACCATTGCACCTGTTTGAGGAAGCTGAGGCTCTTTCTCTTCCCACAGGCACATTCAAGCAATCAAGAGATCCCATCCATTTAGGGATGGGATCTGAGGATTAAGGGAGAAATGGGAGACACACACTCTTGTGCCACTTATGGAGGCCAGCTTTGGAGAAGCAAACACTTATTCAAGGAATAAAAAGGTAATCCTTTGATAATCTTCATGATATGCTCTCATGAGCATAGTTTCCTTAGAAACTTTACAGAGGAGAGAATTACCCAATTATGAGTGAAGGCAAAATTCTAATTTGCCTGGTCTTCTTAGCTATAATGCCATTTAATGGAAACAAGGCCTTACCCTCATTCTTTATAAATAAAAAATGAGGCCTCCTTTGTAAATACTTCCCTGACCACCTCCCTCTCCCCACTTAAGCCTACACCCTACCTGCTTTCCATCTGCTATCTTCATAACTTGTGCACTCATTATACTACACTGTGCTTATTTATTTCATGTATATATCTCCCCTAATTGATAGTGAGGCCCCCAATTCATGTACATCTTTGTAATGCTAGCTACACAGTGATTGGCACAGACCAGGAGTTCTGTTTGTGAAATTGAATTGAATTTATTATAATAGTGATATGAATTCCAGCTCTTCAACACCACACCCTAACAGATACGCTAATGCAGCTCAAAGTGTCTTCACATGCAAAGGGGACGTGGACAATATCTCTGGTTTTGTATAAACTACACAACAAAAGAAAACTTTCTAGGATATCTCATAGTGACTACGATCCCTTTCACTTTTCTTTTTACTAGAACACTTTTCTCCTTCTTTCCTTGGTAAGAGGGAGGATATGTATGTGTGTGTCTGGGGGAGTGTTTGTGTATAAGAAGAGGGATAAACTTTGTGATTAATAACATCAGAATTCTATGCCCATTAGTGATTTGTCTTGAACTTTTCCTTTCTGATACCTGAGTTTATAAGGAGATATTTTGTTTAACTTGGCAAAGGGTCTTCCCTGATTCAGTCAGATCTTAAAAGTTCATACACAAAACTGAAAGGGAGGCATGCAACCATTGAGAATTGCCAGGAATAGAATGGACTTGTAAAAATCAGAACCAGAAAACCAAGTCTGCCATGACTGAGGCATGAGAAAAATAAGGAAAACAAAATTCTTTAGGCTAGACTTCAAATGAGAATGAAAAGGAAAACTTCTTAATTCTTATGTTACTTCCACCTTTTCCATCAATGAAAATGATCATCAACTTGGAAAGGGTAGAACAAACCTCATTAAGAGGGAATTGAAACCCAAGTAAAGAAGTGAGAGCCACTTTAAATGAGCTTGTGTCTCCAGGCACTAAATAACTGGAGGTAGTATAGGCGAGATAGGGGAAAAAAGACGATAAAGGAAACAAACATTTATTGGGCATCTTCTTCATTCTAGGGTCTTGCTACTCTGAGTGTGATCCATGAATCAGTAGCATCAGCATCATTTGGAAACAGAGAATCTCAGGCCCTACCGCAGATCTACTGTATCAGAATCTTCATTTTAGCAACAGTCTCAGACGATTTCATGCACACATTAATTTTTAAAACACTGGCCTGGGAAACATGTTAAGAGATGTACATACATCATCTAACTGTATATTCGTTATATATATATACCCTATGAGGTATATTTTAATTTCTCTTACAGTAAATGAAGAAGTTCAAGCTCAAATAAAATGACTGACTTGCCTATTGTCAGAGTTAGTAAGCAGTTAGACCAGAATTCAAACACCTGTGGAGTCTGGCATTTTCAAAGTCCATGGTATAGCTGGGACTTTGGAACATAATGCTTGCTACGATAAATCATTTGTAGATATGAACATACAATACCCCTCACCTCACTATTATTTCTTAAGAAATCGGAAGAAAAGTCAAAATAGCCACTGAAAATACACAAGATTTTCAAAAAAGAAGCAAAGATCAGTTCCTAAACATACAGAATGGAAAGCTCAATATCCATTAAGAAGGGGTTGGGAGAATTCCCAAATTCTAATTTATTGAATGCTTATTGAGCACGTACTATACCTGCCAGGCACAATTCTAGGTACTTGGCATGCATTAGTGAACAAAACAGGCAAAGATTCCCGCCCTCATGAGCTTACATTCTTGGGGGGAGACAATAAACAACAGACATAATGGATAAGTAAATTAAATAGTAAAGCATTAAAAGAGATTGGCTTACAGGGGACGGGGGAATGGCAAAGAAACCTGAAGTACAGGGAGAGAGTGGTGCAGTTCAAAATAAGATAGAAAGAATGGGCCTCACTGAAAGAGTGAAGTATGAGCAAAAATCTGAAGGAAGTGAGAGAGCAAGCCAATCCTTCTAGGAGAAGATTGTTGGAGTCAAGACTCTGATGTAAAGGCATGTTCCAGGGACAGCAAGAAAGTCAGTATGGACGGAGCAGGGCCAGCAGTTAGGAGAGACCACCAGATAGGTAATTGAGGACAATCACGTAGGGATTCCTGGGCCATTGTAAGGACTTTGTATTACACCCTGTGTGAAATGCAGACATTAACAGTTTTTTAGCAGAGGAATGATGTGACCTCATTTTTTTTTTTTTTTTTTTTTTGAGATGGAGTCTCACTCTGCTGCCCAGCCTGGAGTGCAGTGGCATGATCTCAGCTCACTGCAACCTCCACCTCCCGGGTTCAAACGATTCCCCTGCCTCAGCCTAACAAGTAGCTGGGATTACAGGTGCCCACCACCACACCTGGCTAATTTTTTTTGTATATTTAGTAGAGATGGGATTTTTACTATGTTGGTAGATTTTAATTTCTTTAAAATTAACTCTAGATGCTGTGTTGAAACTAGATTGTATGGGGTCAGGACAGAAACAGACAGATGTAAGTTACATGCAGTAGCATCCCATCCTATGCAAGGTTATATGATTTGTCTGTGTCTCCACCCAAATCTCCTCTTGAACTTTAGTTCCCATAATCCCCACATGTCGTGGGAGGGACCTGGTGGGAGGTAATTGAATCATGGGGGAGCTTACCATCATGCTGTTCTTGTGATAGCGAGTGAGTTCTCAAGAGATCTGATGGTTTAATAAGAGGTTTTCTCCCTTTTGCTTGGCACTTCCCCTTGCTGCTGCCACCATGTGAAGGAGGACGTGTTTGCTTCCCCTTCTGCCTTGAAAATTTCTTGATGCCTCCCCAACCATGCTGAACTGTGAGTAAATTAAACCTCTGTCCTTTATAAATTACCCAGTCTCAGGTATGTCTTTATTAGCAGAATGAGAACGGAGTAATACACAAGGTTAGGTTTTAAAGTTAAAAACTTTGAATCTTTTCACTGTATCATCAAGAAAGCACAGCTGTATTGGCTTACTTGTGTTTAGAAATCATGATGTATAAAAAAATTTAAAAACTGTTTTGTGAGAGATTCCATTTTCTCATTATAACTGCCAAAAAACAATGAGAAGCAGCTATGGGAAAATAGAGTTCAGTACAACATATGCCAGGATTTCTATGCAGTAAAAACTTTTCTGTCACTGACAAGCTTGTATAAGTGTGGGCTTATCTGCATGACAGAGGCTGCTTTTTAAAGGGAATTCAGGCACAGGTTACACAAGATGCCCTTTCAGATTTCTTCCAACCTTTCATTTCCTTTATTCTAATCCACACCAAAGTAACTTCATTTCCAGAGTTCTAACTAGGGCAGGGCCACAGGAGATTTGTCACAGAACACTGCAATAGTTTTAGGCCATTATTTGAAAGCCATCTCCTCCTTAGAAAATGTACCTTCACTTCCAGCCCCATGGTGACAAGCTTGTCCCAGGTCCCAGAACAACCATTAAATATAAATAGAGACAGACATCCAAGATCAAGGACAGAGAGAGCCCATAATCCCAAAGGCACCTTTATGTAAAAGGGCAGCATTGCTCTCCTTCTCTCCTTTGTTCTTTTCTTCTTACTTCACTTCTGGGTTTGTTTGACCAGTGTCATAATACCCTTATGGCTCGGATGGAACAATTAGGACTTACTAGCATACTAAGTGAGTTCAAAGGTTGAATTAATGGGTGGTTAACAAATGGATCCTGTCAACATGAAGAAAGTCTCCAAACGACATGCCTCTGGTTTCTGGATCTGGTCAAATATTTTACAATGGCAGAAGTATATACGCAGTACATTTCAACCTTTGCTTGCTGCCAGGAACACAACAAGCTTCTTCCTAAGCATATAACTTCAAATATGAGCCATAACCAATATATTCCAACTATCCTCTGAATAACTGCAAATGTAATCTGTTTTCCCATATAAGATGACAGCCACTCAGCCGGGCGCAGTGGCTCATGCCTGTAATCCCAGCACTTTGGGGCCGAGGCAGGCAGATCACGAGGTCAGGAGATCGAGACCATCCTGGCCAACATGGTGAAACCCGTCTCTACTAAAAAAATACAAAAAAAATAGCTGGGCGTGGCCGGGCACGGTGGCTCACGCCTGTAATCCCAGCACTTTGCAAGGCGGGCGGATCATGAGGTCAGGAGATGGAGACCATCCTGGCTAACATGGTGAAACCCCGTGTCTACTAAAAATACAAAAAAAAAAAAAAAATGAGCCAGGCGTGGTGGCGGGCCCCTGTAGTCCCAGCTACTCGGGAGGCTGAGGCAGGAGAATCGCTTGAACCAGGGAGGTGGAGATTGCAGTGAGCCGAGATCACGCCACTGCACTCCAGCCTGGCGGCAGAGCGAGACTCCGTCTCAAAAGAGAAACAAACAAACAAAAAAATGACAGCCAGTCATATAAGAGAGGTGCTTTGGGAACCAATGGAAAAGTTGTTTGTTGGTTTCAGAGTCCATGATTCCCAGGGAATGTCCATTTCTCCCTGAATGCTGTCACTACCTATCCAGGTGCTGGTTTTCATCACTCTACATCCCTGAGCTAAATGATATATTTAACCATGAAGAACATACCTCATATACAAAAGTGAATAAAAGCCAGAACAGCATTAAGCCAGCAACAACAACTAAAATCCAAATAATTCAATAAGTGAGAAAAATAACTCCATAACTCTCATTTCTCCATGGCCCATTCCAAAATCCCCTTGCCTTCAGCCAGCATTTCAGGAGGGCGGAATTTTTTACCAAGTAAAATGGTTCAATTCAACCAAGATGTCTGAGAATTTGGTAGCATCTTCACTCCTTTCTCTAGATATACTACCCCATTTATGTCTGAGATTCACTGTTTCTGCTTCCCTTTGTATTGCCAGCTTCTTTCTCTGGCTTCTTTTACTTTTGCCAAGTATAGAACCACTCAGCTAAGCTGCTCCCAGATTCCTAACCCACAGAAACTGAGATAATAAATGTTTATTGTTTAAAGCTGCTAAATTTGGGAGTAATCTCTTACACAACAACAGATAACTGAAACATTAGGATTTCAGATGGCCTATTTTGATCAAAGTCAAAGGAATCACATAGAATAATAAAGCATTAGGTTAAAAATGAACGCTGGAGCAATACTGCAGGATATCTTGAATGCCATGCTAAGGGGTCTAGAATTTATCTTGAAGCAACGAGGATCCTATGAGCATTTTTGAATAAGGGAGTTTTCAAAGGAATGTGTTAGAAAGATTGGTCTAGCAGACCTGCATGGGATAGATTTGAAAAAAAAGAAAAAAAAAAAGCATAAAAGTAGGAAAAATATGTTATTCACACAAACACTCGATCCTAGTCACATGTCCTACCTAATCTGATCAAGCTCATTCTGCCCTATATAAGTTTTTCATATACTGAGTTAACTTGAGATGGGCAGGGTTCATGGTCAATTCATATTTGAATACCTTGCACGTAAGTACTTAGTAATATGGGAATTATGAAGAAACCTTTCCTAAATTCGCTCCACTTCCCTGCAAATAGGATAATACTCTTTCTATGGTCTCTTTTGTTCATACAGCTAATAGATCACATCTGAAATCTTGGCATTACATTACCAAGTACACTTTATTTTTTTCCTCTCCCCTGTATAGTATTAGCCCCTTTGGGGCAGTCAGAACCAGCTAAATAATTTTCAAGGTTCAAAACAAAATGAAAATGCAAGGCCCCTTGTTTCAAAATTATTAAGAATTTTAAGACAATGATGGGAGAGGGGGACTTCTGAGCAGAAGGCCCCGTGTGCACAAGTCACACCTCAGGAAGTGATCCTTGAGGGCAGTAATTCCGTGTTATGTATTGTTTTAGCCATAGTTTTTACCATGGGAATATTTGGGAAATGTTGATTAAATGTACTGAGTGAACAATGAAGGTCAAGAGAATTTTACGGAAAGGGATGCTTTACTTGGGAGAAGTTAAACATAAGTGGAGTCCACCCAATAGTTAAGATACCCTGTTTAAGACACAGTCAGGAGTGCCATCTGCTGTCATGGCCCCCTCTCCTGCCCGGATTGCTTCTCCTGAGTGCCTGTATTGCACAATTTATACATACATATCCTCACATGGTCCAAAAGTCCTGTTTGTCCTATGATGACTCACACTCTAGGGGAAGCTGGCTTTGGTTTGGTTATTCATTTGATTTCCCTTATGTAATGGCAATGACAGTGATTTAATATGTAAGAAGCAAACAGCTAAAGGGATTTTCTAGGCAGAAACAATGTATTGACTAATAAGACAGTAAGGGTTGATATACTCATAAAATAAAGAAAACAAGGTTGAGTGATTTAAAAAAACATGCTGCAGACAAATCCTAGTTTAATTTCTGAAAAATTCAGAAGAGCAGAAAAGTGCATATTGATCACCCTCTCTGAGGGCTGGCACAAACCTCAGAAATAAGCTATAACTATGAAGAATTGTTTTATCTATTGGACAGACAATTTATTGAACCCCTTCTTACCACAGGTGAGTATCCTACCCACAAAACACAAATACTTATCTTTGAACAATGCCTCCATGCGACACTAAGGAAAAAAAGCTGCTTGAAAGACATTAGTCCTTCCCTCATCTTCTCCGTCATTTTAGGCGAGTTGCTGCCGTGGCTCTGGAACTGCAGGCAAAGCTTAGCAATTGTAATGGTGACCCCCAGTGGCAACTGTCTGAAAATGAAAGACTTGCTCTGTTTCTCTGCCAAGGATGTCAATTTTATTAAAATGCTTTAAGAAGGATATTGGCAATTTTGTTGAACTGTAATAAAAACTGTGTGCTTGGTTTCCAAAAAAAAAAAAATCAATATCCTCTCCTCTACTTTATTGTCACTAGTTAAACGTATGAGTTTTCCTTTTGAAAGAGACCCTTTTTCAAGTAAGACAAACGGTTTCTGGAAGGTCTGTTCAATAATGCTATACAGGTGCTTCACTCTTCTCAAAGAGAGAGGCGGAAATGAGGCCAAATGTCAAACCTGGGTTCACCTGTACCCTCTGAGTGTCCGCTGGGTTCTGAGAGTCAGCCTTAGTGGGGATTTAATAGGCAGCTACTTATGTAAGTCCAATTGAACTCTGGAAAAATAATTGATAATCCAACTGAATTCCGGAAAGACGTATGGGGATGTGTTCAACGGGCAACAAAGCATGTTAAAGGGATTGGGTTGCCCTCTAGAAATTCCCATTCAACACAAGACAAAAGAGATCAGATCAAAGAAAGAAAAAATTCACTAACAGAGGTTTGAACAATAAGTAAATCAAAATTAATGAACTGTAGACTGTGTACCATATTCAATTTTCTGTTTGTATCTTTTCTTCTGAAACACATATGAACAAAAAGAAGCAGGAATATACTGTCAATTTACTAAGTCATTTAAGCCTGTATTCAATAAAATTCACATACAAGTGCCCTTTAAAATATCCTTAGTATGATTTAAACTATTGAAATGGACTAAACAGATACGTGTTTGGTAGATGTATTAGGGTTCCCTAGAGGGACAAAACTAATAGGATATATGTATATATGAAAGAGAGTTTATTAAGGAGAACTGACTCACACGATCACAAGATGAAGTCCCATGAGAGTCCATCTGCAAGTTGAGGAGCAACGAAGCCAGTACTGGTTCAGTCCAAGTCCCAAAACCTCAAAAGTAGGGAAGCCAACAGTGCAGCCTTCAGTCTGTGGCCAAAGGCCCAAGAGCCCCAGCAAACAACTGGTCTAAGTTCAAGAGTCCAAAGGCAGGCCGGGCGCGGAGGCGCACGCCTGTTATCCTAGCATTTTAGGAGGCCGAGGCAGGTGGATTGCCTGAGCTCAGGAGTTTGAGACCAGGCTGGACAACACGGTGAAACCCCGTCTCTACTAAAATACAAAAAATTAGCCGGGCGTGACGGCGCGCGCCTGTAGTCCCAGCTACTAGGGAGGCTGAGGCAGGAGAATCGCTTTAACCCAGGAGGCGGAAGGTGCAGTGAGCCGAGATTACGCCACTGCACTCCAGCTTGGGCGACAGAGCTAGACTCCGTCTCTTAAAAAACAAAAAAAGAGAGTCCAAAGGCCGAAGAACTTGGAGTCTGATGTTCGCGGGTAGGAAGCATCCAGCAGGGAAGAAAGACGAATGCCGGAAGACTCAGCAAGTTAGCTCTTCCACCTTCTTCTGCCTGCTTTTTCTAGCTGTGCTGGCAGCCGATTGGATGGTACCACTCACATTGTGGGTGGGTCTTCCTGGCGGGGACGTGTCTTCCTCTCCCAGTCCACTGACTCAAATATTAATCTCTGCTGGCAACACCCAGAAACACGCAGATATACTCAGAAACAATACTTTGCATCCTTCAATCCATTCAAGTTGACATTTAATATTAACCATCATAGTAGACCAGGCTAAATACAGTAGACCAGGCTAAACTATGGTTCTCAAACTTTGCTGCATATCAGAAATCACCAGGGAAGATTTGGAGAGTCCCAAAATTCAGCTTACACCCAAAGCTTATTACATCATAATTGCTAGGGCATAGGCATCAGTATTTTTTAAAGCTCCCTGATCCCAAGCAATTCCCACATGGAACCAAGGTTGACTGGCTGCCTTAGTTTGACCAGGGATTAGCATATCATTTACCTACCATGCATTTTACCTATCTTAAAAATATTTACAAGAGTTATCTGCTAAGAGTCTATTAATAGTATCACCTGAGGAGCTTTGTTTTGCATCCCAATATCCAGGCTGAAACCCAGATCAGTTTCATCAGAATTTGTGGGGATAAGACCCCACCAGGGCAACAATATTTTTTTAAAAATCCCTAAGTGTTTACAAAGTGCAGTCAAGGTTGAAAAACACTGCATATTCAAATATTGAGGAAGACCAATGAAAAGCCCTAACTTGGTATAACTAAATCATTTTAAAGTATAGCATTCGTTTATTATTGATTGTTCTTTGAAGCTACAGAGATATCCCCAAGAAATTGGAAATACAGAAATAGACAGCCTTCTGAAAATAAACATGTAAAGGTACTACATAGAGGTATAACCTGTTGTAACACAGTCAACCCTAAGGAAAAAGAAAACAGATTTAAAAGGTTAAATAAACAACCTTCTCCAAGGCTCTAGCCCAGTGGTTCTTACCCTGGCTACACATTAGAATCACCTGGAGAGTTTTTGCAACCTGCCAATGCCTGAGCCCCAATCCCAGGGCCTTTGACTTAACTGATGAAATTGATATACTTAAAAGCTCCCCAGGTGATTTTAATGTGCAGCCAGCATTGAAAACCACTGTTCCAGGCAAATAAGGAATATGTCAGTGTGCCAAAACTGCAACATAGACGTGTACCAAGAGATGCAAAGAGAAAGTTAGTATTTACAGAACATCACAGTGAAGCATAAATAAAAGTGATGAATAGATATGAAATTTCAACAATGGGTACACAGCTCTATCAAAGAAAGTTTTTGACAAGAGATTTCAAATACCTCTGTCCCAGTAGTGAAGCAACTCCTGAAATAGGAAGATTTGTTCATCTGTTTATCTTAAGTTCCAGGATACACGCGCAGGATGTGCAGGTTACCTAAGTAAACGTGTGCCATAGTGGTTTGCTGCACCTTTGAACCCATCACCTAGGTATTAAGCCCAGCATATATTAGCTATTTTTCCTGATGCCCTCCCTCCCCTACCAACAGGCCCCTGTGTGTTGTTCCCCTCCCTGTGTCCATGTGTTCTCATTGCTCAGCTCCCATTTATGAGTGAGAACATGAGGTGTTTGGTTTTCTGTTCCTGTGTTAGTTTGCTGAGGATAATGGCTTCCAGCTCCACCCAGGTCCCTGCAAAAGACATGATCTCATTCCTTTTCATGGCTGCATAGTATTCCATGCTGTGTATGTACAACATTTTGTTTATCTAGTCTATCATTGATGGGCATTTGGGTTGATTCCATGTCTTCGCTATTGTGAATAGTGCTGCAATGAACATATGCTTGCATGTATCTTTATAATAGGATGATTTACATCATTGTTCATCTATTTTAACTTAGGGACTTTTCATGACATTAGCTTTGTTTCTTATTTAGTGAAGCAAACTTTTAGATATGTACTGAATTGACCACAGGTGAGAATGTACTTATACAGATAGTGAGTATTCCAGTGCTCTGACAGTTATTTCTTATGTGACCTTAATCAGTTGACATCCTGGTGCCTGTCCGCATCTTCTGTGCATTTACCCAAAAAGTATTCCTCAGCAAGGTTATGGTCAGTCCTAGCCAATGTTCCTTCCTAGACATTTTGCCACTTCTATCTACAAATTTCAATATTTATAACTTCAGGCTTTTAAATATAAGAAATCATGTACTATTCATTACTTTTGAAAAATATGTAAATATTGAAGTCTCTTGTTAAATAAGTTCCTATTTTATTTTCATTCACACATACACACACACACACACACACACACACACACACACACACACATGAATACTTGTTATTAGGAATTAAGCTTTTGGGAAACTGATATCCCATGCTCTTAATTTTTCTCCAGTATATTCTCCAGGTTCTTATAAACTTCTAAAAATTCAAAATTTTTTGTTTTGTTGAGGAAGTTTATTTTCGTTCTTCTAGTACTCTGATTCTTCACTGGAATGGGGGAAACATTTTATATATACCAGACTTGCCAGTTTTTCAAATAAAATTTCCCACCTACAGATCTGATAACGGTTGCTAAATATAGATTTTCTCTCAACAGCACAAACTTGTTGTGAGGGCTCTCATCAAAGAGCTCAATCTTACATTCGGTGCTTCCCAGTTGCTAGGTAAAACAATGGGTGTAAATGCAGAATACTTCATATTCTGTAAATAATGCATATAGTATTGGTCAATGTCTCTATTATGAAGTTTCAAATCAATAACTTCCTTTTGAAATTTAAAGACAGAACCTTTTTGCTCTCTCGTCATTGAACAGGCATTTCCTCTGATCAGTCATGGAAAAAACAGTGTAAGTTCCTATTTCCAACTTCCTGTCTCTATTGCCTAGAAGCTCAGAACCAGCTCTAGGAACAGCTAACTCTCTTCCAGTATTCTTCTGATGGAAAAGGGATTCAAATACCCATGGAGAGAGTCACCAGTGGCCTTAATTGCTTATGTTTCCGAGGCAGTTTACTTTACAAGACTTTTGATTTTTGTTCTTATTTTTGAAACCTTATTTTTAATACGGCTTTAATGGTAAGCTCTTCAAATATTTTTGGAAGTATAGTAAAATTTTTCTTTAGAAAAATAAACACATTGGCAAAATAAAACTTTAGATAGTTTGAAATTGGCAGGCTTGTTTTATAATTTGATTCAGTATTAATAACAATAATAATAATAGCTAGCATTTATTGAGTCAGGCATTGGGCTTATGGCTTTACAAATATTGTCTCATTTATTTCTGACAACTGTGGGAGACAGTATTTTTATTCCCAGTTTTCAGAATAGGAAGCTAAAACTTAAAGAAGTTATCTGACTTATGATAATTAATGTCCAGTATTTAGTTTCTAATTATAAAACTTGATTAATGGCACTGTGGGGACTTTCCAAGGACAAAATTGAACAGGATAGTAAATAAGTTCAAAGTAGATTGGGTAATTTTTTGTAGAGACAGGGTCTCACTTTGTTGCTCAGGCTGGTCTCAAACTCCTGGCCTCAAGCACTTCTCCCATCTCAGCCTCCTGAGTAGCTGAGATTACAGGCATGAGCCACCATGCCTGGATGATTGGGTAATTTTAAGAACAAAGAGGAGACAGCTGCCAAAATAATGGGAGCAAATTAGGTAAGGGGTTAAGAATTTTTATCTACCCTCAGAATGATACCTTAAAGAATATTAATCACAGCAACTATTTAACTATGAAAAGTTAAGTTTATGTGCCTTCTTCCACAGAGCTCAAACCCCTTGAAGAGGAATATTTTATTTGAAACCATACATATATATGTATTTGAGCTAGGTATGCTGTGCATGACTGTTTTGAGAGTGGTGGTGTGTCTCCTTGCTTAACAGAAATACGAAACATAGAGACTTCGTATTATTTTATCTATTTTTAGGCAACAAAAATGAAGTCTTCTGACCCACTACCATATCTGGGTAAAATCTTTGGCTCAACGGATGGCTTAAATATGAGTAAGTAGCAGTTATATTGCTGATTTATAGTGTCTATCTCTAAAATCCTTGAAACTGTGTTAATTTTTCTAAGGAATACTTCCTTACTTCTCAACTGTTTCATAGAACAATAAAAATGGAGACTAAGAATTTTTGTTTATAAACTAGGTGATATAAAATACAAACAATAGTTGTAGCAATGGGCTTTCTTCTTATATTCCCCTACAGATCTCTGTAGGATCTGAGTTGGGAGTTTCCAAGAAATCATAAAGAATGGTCTTCAAAGATAACAATATTTGGGTTTTAATCTCAGTTGAAAACCTTTGAGATCTTTGATCTTGGGCAATTTGCCAAAATTTGGGGGTTGCGGGGGGTATGGGTGTCTTCATCTCTAAAATGTGACACAAAAATTACTTTGGAAGGTGTTGAGGGATAAAATGAAATAAGTTACAGAGAGTCTGAGAAACAGAAGGGATTCATAAAATATTAGATCATCTGGCAACCTCCCTCCCTTCCTTCCCAGTGAGATATCTTTCCCTCATTTTCCAACTGGTTTTAGAATAAATACTATTCCTCAAGATTGATTCAAATATATCTTTGGTTTTGGTTTTACTAATGGTTTTCCCCATCTCCCTGTCTCAAATATTATTTTATTGTATTAGTAATTGCAAGTCTAGTTTCTGTAAAGACAGAAATTCATTCTAATTCATTTAGAGCAATTTGACATGAATCATTTCCTATACATAGTGGTATTAAATAATTATTGGCAGCTTGGCAGTATGTATTTACTTTAAGCCATGCTTCTTTTTCTACTGGCAAATAATTAACAAGATTTCTTCCAAGGAGTAGCCTATATTTTGAAGTATAAATGTCAAACTGGCAAAGCTTGTCACCTAAGGAGAAAGGATGATGTACTTTACAATAAAAGTGGTACAATATCAAGGCTCAAGCTGGACATTGTAGAATTTGAATCCAGAAGTCAGGAGCTTCAGATACAGTAAATGCCGTTCTTCATTCTGACGGCCCTCCATCAGTCACTTTTTATGTGAAGTCTATACAGCTGAAATATGTCTAGAACATTTGCTAATATTTGGCCCATTAGACAGGGTTCTCCCCAACAATCTGAGATTCATTCATTCAGACATGCCAATATGTTCCCTGGTTTCCTAATAAAGCTCATGTACCTCCTGAAAGAGAAAAAAACTTCATTAACTCTGCATCCTCCAAACTTAAAAACATTAAATATGCTCATTTCTGAAAAAAAAAAAAAAAAGTCCTTTTAAAGTTGTGTTTTGTTTTGTTTGTTTATTGTATATTTGATAAACAGAAAGAACTACGGGCTGGGCGCAGTGGCTCACACATGTAATACCAGCACTTTGGGAGGCCGAGGCAGGTGGATCACCTAAGGTCAGGAGTTCGACACCAGCCTGGCCAACATAGTGAAACCTCATCTCTACTAAAAATGCAAAAATTAGCCAGGCGTGGTGGCATACCCCTGTAATCCCAGCTACTTGGGGGGCTGAGGCAGGAGAATCGCTTGAACCCAAGAGGTGGAGGCTACAGTGAGCCAAGATCACGCCACTGCACTCTAGCCTGGGCGACAGAGCGAGACCCTGTCTCAAAAAAAAAAAAAAAAAACCGTAAAGAACTATGACAATGTAGGATATATCAATAAATCACCCCCAGATCTATTCTTCTCTTTTACTGACCTCCATTCCTCCATCTACAGGGGTCGAGAGAGAACCCAGAATTCTCACACTTCAAGACATTTCCCACAGGCCTCCTCCTACGTAACCTCTTAACCTCTCCACTGTTCTTTATTTCAAGATCATTAACTCAAATTCAATTGTACTCTTCACTTCTGTGTTTGTCAGTCACCAACCGAGGTCTCGGTTTATCCTTAATTCGCTAAACCTTCATTACTGTAGGACTCTGCACCTCTCTTTTCTGATGCTATCTCCCACCCATTCACAACTCTGAGCCTTTTCTTCTATGCCCTTTAAAAATAGTTCTTAAATTTTTTTTGTCACAGGACTCCTGGAAATTCTTAAAAATTATTGAGGACACCCAAAAAGCTTTGTTTATGTGGGTTATATTTACCAGTATTTGTTGTATTAGAAAGTTAAAAAATTATTATTTAAAATAAACTTATTGTATATTAACATAAATTACATACTTTTTATGAAAAATCTATTTTATAAAAACAAAAAATTAAGTGAGAAGAGTGGCAATACTTTATATTTTTTAAGTCTCTTTAACGCCCGCCTTATTAGAAGACAGCTGGATTCCTATATCTGCTTTTGCATTCAATGTGTTGTGATACACTATTTTAGTTGATGTATATGAATAAAATTCAGCTTTACCCAGATATGTAGTTAGAGCAGAAATAATATTTTAAGAATATTTTCAGAAAATTGTGGATATTCTTTTTTGACATTATATCAAAACTCAACAAATGGTAGTTTCTTAAAAATTAGTTGTAATGTGGAACCTTAAACCATACTAATAAAGTTATTTTTATTCTGTTACATTAAAATTCTATCTTACACTTTGAATAGTTCTACCTATGCATGATTTTATAACATCATGCATCACTCATTTGAAAAATATTGCTTCACTGAGTTATGTAGAGGTTCCAAATGCTGACACATTTTATTATACAATATCAAAAAAACACATTTGTTAATACCACCACTAATCTCATCAAACGAGTCTGTAAGTACAGAAAGCTGTTGCCTTTGCAGACAAAAGTTTTCCATAAATTAAAATTTTACTTAAAAGCTTACATTTTATCCTTGGCAACAAATACTGTCAATCATTTTTCTTCAAGTAACAGGTTCACTTTATTCATTTTTGAGAAATTATCTGCCAAATACCCAAGACTGAGTAGCCAACATTTGTACTGTCAGTCTTTCCATTAAAAATAATCTTCAGGGGAAAAAGTGGTTAGTTCGGCTGGTAGCCCAACCAGTTGCATATGTGCTTTCCTTCAAGACAACTATTTACACTTCAGTATGTAGAACAAGTGTTTTATGCATAGTTCATATTTAATCACATGGAATATTGAATAGACATGCAATCGAAGGTGGATATTGAAAAAAATGCTATTCTAGAATTAAAGATCAATCATCAACAAAACCCAGAGGGATATAAGTGTTATACAAATGGAGTTGAAATTGTTACAATATATTGACATCATCCTGTAATCTCTTAGTCAATCTTTTTGAAAACATCAAGAAATGAGCTTTCTTCTCATTGTGCACTTACACTTTATCCTTGTACCAACTAGGATGCCTTGGGCTGCAGGTAAGAATAAATTTTACTCAAAATGATTTAGATAGTCAGGAAAGTTGTCATCTCTCAAAAGGAGAAATCCTATGGTAGGGTATCTTTAGGGCCGGTTAATTCAAGGCTTGTGGCACCAAGATGAGTCTCACATTTCCAAGTGACACATGAATATATGGAACATCTGGTACAAAATAAGATGCTGCCTTTTCCTGTGAGTCTCTTTCTAAGAATGAAGACGCCTTTCCCAGAGACCCTCCAGCAGATCTCATCTCACATCTCATGCCAGACTGCACTGTGAATACCTATGCCCAATAGAAAGGAATCTCCATGACTAGCTAAGATTAATCAAGATTTACTCTTAAGCTCTAGGTAGGGTCACCTACCCAAAGGGTTGAATGCCTGAATAAAATCAGGCTTCATTCAATAAAGAAGAGAGTGGGAGGGGTGTTGGGGTAAGTGCTGTCAATGCCCTGTCCACAGCTTTTTTGCTCTCCCTCGTGTACTTTAAAGGCTGCTGACTACAAACTCCTGTGACTCCTGGATTGAGAGTTTTTCCTGGGCATGGAGCTATAAGCTGTGCACAGGGCAAGCCAGTAGTACCAGAGAAATAATAACTCCCAAAAGCAGCCCTCAGCTGATGACAGATGGGAAGTTGGTGGGTAAATATCCAGTTTCCTAGGTCCCCATGTGGGATAACTCTAAGATGCATTCTACATTTCCCAGAATTAACCGGCAAACAGCCACCATGGTAACTCCCTAATAATGCACTCTTTATTGGCTGCCTTCCTCCCTTGTCTCATTTTTTCACCTCCCTTACCAGTGTCTCCTGTTATCATCTCCCAAATAAACTATTTGCAGTAGCATCTTTGTCTCAGGGTCCGCTACTGGGGGAACCCAAATCAGGAAAATGGCCCGCCCACCCCCATTACCATGAGGAACTCAGAAGTCCTTTTTCAATTCTTTGTTCTTGGAGGGCGTTTATTAGCCTCCTTCTCCTATAAGAGTTCCTGTTCTCTGCTGAAAACTGCGAAAATGAATATAGAGAGACGGACTTATTCTTTTGTAAGCATGCACATTTTTTTTTTAGACGGAGTCTCACTCTGTCACCCAGGCTGGAGTGCAGTGGGGTGATCTCGGCTCACTGCAACCTCCACCCCCCAGATTCCAGCGATTCTCCTGCCTCAACCTCCTGAGTAGCTGGGATTACAGGTGTGCACCAGCACGCCTGGCTAATTTATGTATTTTTAGTAGAGACGGGGTTTCACCACGTTGGCCACACTGATCTCGAACTCCTGACCTCAAGTGATCTGCCCACCTTGGCCTCCCAAAGTGCTGGGATTACAGGCATGAGCCACCATGCCCAGCTGCAAAAAAATATTTTTATTAAGTACATGAAATTAAGCATGTTGCCTGCCATACCCAGGTCTCCTTCTCAGGAAGCATGTCCCCCAAGCCTCTGCTCAAGTGGCAATCATGTATGGCCACATTTTCACCCAAGGGTAGCCAGTGCTTTGGCTGGCAGTGCCCACATAGTATGAAAAGATAAGCAAAGAAAATCTAATTTCCTCTCTTGAAAATTTCAATTAGGAAATACCAATAACAAGTGAATGAGGAATTTCACTGTGTGACAATGAGCTGGAGTTAATGAACAGTTTGTCAGGGTCATAAGGCAGTAAATAGAAATTATTATGAACCAGAAACTGAGAAAACCAAAATTACGATGTACTAAAAAATGATAGATGAAGGAGAGGAAAACAATAAGCAGATAGTATCAGTTCATAAGAAAGCAGGCCGACTAGGAATACCTAAGTATTATTAATAGGGAATCTATGCAATGGAGACTTATGGAGCTGAGGTTTGGAGAGCTATTACTGTTCCTGCTTCTCCTTCCAAAAATAATTTCCATGAGGCTTGACACTGTTATAGCTACTGAACTGGAATTTTTAGGAGATTCTATCTCCTTATTGGCCATGTCTATCCTAATACCAGTTTCCCTTCTATAAAGCAGCATGAATAAGTTTCTCATGACAATATTCTAACCAAAATGCTTTTATAAAGTTTCATCACAGAAAAAGCCAGATTTATTCAATATACAATGAGACATTTAATATGTAGTCCATGTTTCACAACAATGTGAATATACTTAATATTACTGAACTATATACTTTAAAATGATTAAGAGGGTAAATTTTATGTTTTCTTACCACAATTATACATACATACACATGTATATAAGTTATGTACATTATATATATATATACACTTTTCAATTTGTATGTCTCTATATAAGATAATATAAAATTAAAAATAGGACATACTACATAGTTATAAAAAAATTAGAATAAGGCGTCCTGGCTTGTGATACACCCACATAATAATTGCATTTTCTAGAATGGAATGTTACTTTTTAGAGCTAAAAAAAAACCCTGTTATTGCACTCTTAATCCCACACCCAAACTAAGGATATAAAAGGATTGACAGTACTTGTACATTAGCAGAGGAATTCAGAAAAAGAAATTGATTTGCTGTAACCACTTTGCTAAACCGAGAGAAAGAAGTATAAGGAGACCATCTGAGAAGTTTCCTGTATTTCTCATGTAGGCTGAGAAACACGCTGGTAAGGTCAGACTCATTCCTAAGTAATGTACAGGACCCTGAATCTGTCTACTGCGCTGGTTTAAAACATAAGTGAAAGAAATATTGCTTCTTTGGGGATCATGTGTATTCCCACAACAATTTGCGAGAAACATGCCATCTACACACAAGAGAATTAGCGTATCTTAATCTCATGTCTTGTCCAAGAGAGTTTGCTAAAGGGTCAAATAGAAGCTAGAGGCGGGGCATGGTGGCTCACGCTTATAATCCCAGCACTTTGGGAGGCTGAGGTGGGCGGATCATGAGGTCAGGACTTCAAGACCAGCCTGACCAACATGGTGAAACCCCACCTCTACTAAAAATACAAAAATTAGCTGGGCGTGGTGGTGCATGCCTGTAACGCCAGCTACTCAAGAGGCTGGGGCAGGAGAATCACTTCAACCCAGGAGGCAGAGGTTGCAGTGAGCTGAGATTGCACCACTGCACTCCAGCCAGGGCGACAGAGTGAGGCTCCATCAAAAAAAAAAGCAGCAGCTAGAAGTGGAAGGAGTTAGTAACCAGCCAAGGGCAATCAGAGATACACTTGTCCCTATCAAAGGAACTGAAAGTGAGAGCTCCTCAGCATTGAGATGAAGAAAGGCAAAGCACCACACGGGTCTCTGGTGAACTCATAAAGGTATACCCAAAAAACTCACCTTTAAATACCTTCCAGATCTACAGAACATTGATACTAGATTATCACACAATGACATGCAAGCAAGAATGCTCTTGTCTTATACCCTTCTGCCTCCTGTAGCTCTAAACCTAGAGTGATCTGAAATGGCTTTGTGGAAAAAAGGTTAATGTGCAAGAGGAGAAAGAAAGAGCAAGTTAACCAGAACCTCCACCCACCCACTAGCAAACAGCCTGCAGCAAGCAGACTAGAAGAAGAGAGAAGCTTTACCTTCAAATGAAACTTAGCACTTTGACAGGACAAAGTAATTACTAACTAAAGATTGTTTCATATCCAAAAAGTAACCATCAGAATCATGGGACTGTCCTTAACTTTGATCAAAAGCCAAAAAAAGAACCAGCCCCACAGAATAAATTTAAAGAGCTAAATATTGGAAGACAAAAATAAAGTTGCTTTATAATTATATCCCATGAACCTGCTTATTCAATGGAAAGGTTACAGATATTTAATTTTAGGAAATGGTTAGACTGGATAAAAGCTTTTTTTGAAAAAGGGCTAAATCTGATCATATAAACGTTACATTTTAAAAATAGCCAAAGAAAATAACCACAAACGCTTATTTAGATAGGAACAATATTTTTGAGTAGCAAAGGTACAAGCAAAATAAAACAAAAGCACAACTGAAAAAAATCCTGAGTTGATGTCTAAAAAGTTAAAGGAACTGGTGAGCATCAGAACATTAGGAATTTTCCCATGCAGAAAATGTTGTAAATTCTATTTTCCAAATTGTAATTCCATTATTTTGCAATGAACACCATAAAAATTTTAGACCTAGGCCTACTCTCTCCTCAATACTCTAATTTTGTGTTTCTCTTTCTAACATGTATAATGAAATAGACACAGATTTTAAGCATAACAATAACAATATTACTCAGAATAGTGATAATTTGCTGAGCACTCATTCTGTGTCAGGTTTGGTGCTATAAGACTTATGTGTATCATCTTATTTGACCTTTGATATGGTTTGGCTGTGTATCCACCCCAATCTCATCTTGAATTGTAGCTCCCGTAATCCCCATGTGTCATGGGAGGGACCCGGTAAGAGGCAATTGAATCATGGGGTCAGGTTTTTCCATGCTGTTCTCATGATAGTGAATAAGTCTCACAGCATCTGATGGTTTAAAAAAGGGCAGTTCCCCTGCACACATTCTCTTGCCTGCCACCATGTAAGACATGTCTTTGCTCCTCCTTCGCTTTCCACCATGATTGTGAGGCCTCCCCAGCCATGTGGAATTGTGAGTCCATTAAACCTCTTTTTCTTTATAAATTACACAGTCTCGGGTATTTCTTCATAGCAGTATAAAAATGGACTAATACAGTAAATTGGTACTAGTAGAGTGGGGCACTGCTATTAAGATACCTGAAAATATGGAAGGGACTTTGGAACTGGGTAAACAGGCAGAGGTTGGAACAGTTTGGAGGGCTCCGATGAAGGCAGGAAGATGTGGGAAAGTTTGGAGCTTCCTAGAGGCTTGTTGAATGGTTTTGAGCAAAATGCTGATAATGATAATGGACGACGAAGTCCAGGCTGGGGTGGTCTCAGATGGAGATGAGGAATTTATTGGGAACTGGAGCAAAGGTGATTCTTTCTATGCTTTAGCAAGGAGACTCATGGCATTTTGACCCTGCTCTAGAGAACCGTAGAACTTTGAACTTGAGAGAGATGATTCAGGGTATCTGGCAGAAGAAATTTCTAAGCAGCAAAGCATTCAAGAGGTGATTTGGGTGCTCTTAAAAGCATTCATTTTTATTCATTCACAAAGATATGGTTTGGAATTAGAACTTATGTTTAAAAGGGAAGCAGAGCATAAAAGTTTAGAAAATTTGTAGCCTGATGATGTGATAGAAAAGAAAAACCCATTTTCTGGGGGAGAAATTCAAGCTGGCAGCAGAAATTTGAATAAGTAATGAGGAACCAAATGTTAGTCTCAAAGACAATGAGGAAAATATCTCCAGGGACTGTCAAAAGTCTTCACAGCAGGCCCTCCCAACACAAGCCAGGGGCTGTAGGAGCTAAAAATGGCTTCATGGACCGGGCCCAGGTCCTGGCTGCTTTTGCTGTCTCGGGACTTGGTGCCCTGTGTCTCAGTCATGGCTAAAAGGGGACAACATACAGCTCAGGCCATTACTTCAGACAGCACAAGCCACAAGTCTTGGCAGCTTACACATGGTGTTGGGCCTGCAGGTGTGCAGAATTCAAGAACTGAGGTTTGGGAATCTCCGCCTAAGTTTCAGAGGATATATGGAAATGCCTGGATGTCCAAGCAGAGGTACGCTACAGGAGCCCTAATGGAGAAACTCTGCTAGGGCAGTGTGGGGGGGAAATGTGGGGTGGGAGACCCCACACAGAGTCCCCACTGGGACACTGCCTAGTGGAGCTGTGAGAAGAAGGCCACCATCCTCCAGACCCCAAAATGATAGATCCACCAACAGTTTGCACCATGCACCTTGAAAAGCCACAGACCCTCAATGCCTGCCCATGAAAGCAGCCAGGAGGGAGGCCGTACCCTGCAAAACCACAGGGGCAAAGTTGCCCAAGACCATGAGAACCCACCTCTTATATCAGTGTGACCTGAATGTGAGACATGGAGTCAAAGATCATTCTGGAGCATTAAAATTTGACTGCCCCACTGGATTTTGGATTTACATGGGGCCTGTAGCCCCTTTGTTTTGGCCAATTTATCCTATTTGGAAAGGGTGTATTTACCCAGTGCCTGTACACCTATTGTATTTGGGAAGTAACTAGCTTGCTTTTGACTTTACAGGCTCATGGGCAGAAGGGACTTGCCTTGTCTCAGATGAGACTTTGGACTGTGTGGACTTTTGAGCTAATGTTGAAATGAGTTAAGACTTTGGGGGATTGTTAGGAAGGCATGATTGGTTTTGAAATGTGAGGACATGAGATTTGGGAGAGGCCGGGGTGGAATGATATGTTTTGGCTGTGTCCCCACCCAAATCTCATCTTGAAATGTAGCTCCCATATCCCCATGTGTTGTGGGAGGGACCCAGTGGGAGGTCACTGAATCATGGGGGTGGGTTTTTCCCATGCTGTTCTTGTAATAGTGAATAAGTCTCAGAGCATCTGATGGTTTTATAAAGGGCAGTTCCCCTGAACATGCTCTCTTGCCTGCCACCATGTAAGACATGCTTTTGCTCCTCCTTCACCTTCCACTGTGATTGTGAGGCCTCCCCAGCCATGTGGAATGTGAGTCCATTAAACCTCTTTTTCTTTAAAAATTACCCAGTCTCAGGTATTTCTTCATAGCAGTATGAAAATGGACTAATACAACCTTCAAAGTGCTATTGTAGGTAGGTAGTTGCTATTGTTATCTCCTTCTTACAGATAAAGTCATTGAGGCAGAGAAAAGTGAAGTAACTTGCTCAGGACCATGGAGTTAGTAACTTTCCAAGCCAAACCCAGTGTGTTTTACTTTTCTGGGAAGAATTTTGAAAAAATGAGATGCTTTAGAGGATTTATTGATCTATTACCAGGCTTTGCTTTCTGACCTTGGCTGGGAGCTGAGGCTCCTCTAACACCTGTGCCATTTGTTTAGTTGGAATAGGTATGTTGTCTCCTGACAGCTAAAATCCCACTTTCACATGGGCCTGTTAGTGAACACACTTGAAGTAATTAATCCTCCCAGGCCCCAGCTATTAGCAGTCCCTTTAATAAGTCCCAAAATGATTAAAATAAATCCTCTTTACAATTCCCATCAGCAACAAAATCGTTAACAACTAAAAATGATTTCCATATGTCCCTAGCTTGCCTTGTGACAAAACTCAGGAATCTATTAAAATTACTTCTGGCCATGAAGCAGAAAAACAAATGTGTTTTCTATAATTCCTTCTTAATAGCGCTGGACCAGTTTACCAAGAAACATGACCTGCAAACAACTACATAGCTATCCCCAGTGACAGCATGCTAGCACTTTTTATTCTGCTAAAAAAAAAAATCATCTCCCTCATTACAACCTTGATGCTTTCTACATTGGTAGATGCTTATATTTTGTTTGTAAATTATGCCTCATACCTGTGGAAACTGTGTGAGGCTAGTGCTACTTCCATAAATAAATAATAGATTCTTCTCTACAGCAAGGAAATAACATGCCAAAGCCATATAATCATTCATATATACATCTTACCTTCAGAATAACATCCTTGCATCAACTGAGATTTTGTTAGAAAATCCAACTGGGTAATGTGATCAGCTACATCCCAATGTACTAAGGTCACAAGGAGAAGCCTTCATTCATCCCCTTGCTTCTGTGTTCCAGTGTGCCCCTGACTGTGATCACAGCCTGTCCCCTTCCCCCATTCTTCTCAATCCTGTGCTTGTTTCCTTATAGCTATCCTTCCTAGATTTTCTTCATTTATGTGTCCTTATTAACTTCATTGTCCTCATCAGATGTGATCACGGAGAGATGATTGGTAAATGAATTGCATTAGCAATCAGTTTACTTAAGGTTCACCCTGCATCCTTGTATGTGTGAATTAGGGAATTAGAGGGTCTAAGGAGAGAGGAGACAGGGACAGACACAGAGGGGCGGGAAGGAAGGAAAGAAGGAAGGAAGAAAGGAAAGAAGGAACGATGTGACATATCAGATATTTGTAGTAATGTACCTAGGACAGACATTATATGATCAATGGATTATATTATGCCATTCCCACTATGATAATAGATCTTTGGAAATTTTTTTAAATGACACTTTAGATGAAAGTTGGAAGAGTTTAAGAGAAGAGAATCTGGTGTTTCTCCATGATTCTTTTGTTCATAATCTTTTTCCCCCTCAAATAATTCCAACTCACTTAGTTGGGATGGAGTGGAGAGTAGAGGGCACAAAAAGAATATATCTGGCCTCTATTCAGTGTGGGTATAGATTTGAAATCCAGGCAGTCTGCCTGATAGGACTGGATTACCTACTGAATGTGTTGGAATATCCAAAACATTTTTTTAAATCCCTGAGTCACTTCTGACTTGCCAACCATATGTTGAACCATACATATTTACATCAATTTACATCAATACGATTTAGAAAAATAAGACTTGAAACAGGGATTTTTCTCTACAGTAAAGTGGCCTAGAGATTTTTGTACGATGTTGGTGAAAACTGTGTGTTATGGGCTGAATTTTGTTCCCCTAAAATTCATATGTTGAAGTCCTAACTCCCAGTACCTCAGAATATGACTGAATCTGGAGATAGGGCCTTTAAGGATATAATTAAAGTAAAATGAGGTCGTATGAGTGGGTCCTAAGCCAATGTGACTGGTTTCTTTGTGACTGGTGTCTGTGTCCATGTGAAGTCACAGGGAGAAGGTGGCCATCTACAAGCCGAGATGAGAGGCCTCAGAAGAAATCAACCCTGTCACCCCTTGACTTCATACTTCTAGCCTCCAAAATTGTGAGAAAATAAGTTTCTGTTGTTTAAGCCACTCAGACTCTGTGGTTTTGTTATGGAAGCTCTAGCAGACTAATACAGTGCACTATACAGAACCCAGTCCTTTTTTTACCCCCTTTTATCAACTTTTATTTTAGAATCAGCGGGTACACGTGCAGGTTTGTTACAAAGGCATGATGCTGAGGTTTGGGGTATGATTGAGCCCATCACTCAGGTAGCGAGCATAGTACCCACTCTTTATCCAGGTTCCCAAAGATGAGAAGTCAGAAACTGGAGTTGTTTAATTTTGGATATGGGAAGGATATAAAAAGAACTCCAGAATTACAATTGGTAAATGGAAGGAAAGGGTAAAGTAATGTAAAAATACCATGTGTTACTATTTCTTATCAACTTTCAGAGTGGGCCGTGAGTTACAGGGTGGGCCCAACAATATTATGAATATTAGAGTACTAGAAAAAAAACAAAGCACAGCCTTTTTGTAATTCTCACCTATTTTCCTAGAACACAGAACATGAATGCCAGGATTCCTTTGGGATTTTGGAGATAGGATGGATAAAATATGGAGACGACTATAGACAAATAAAACGGTCTAGTTTTGTGCCAGGATCTTCCTATTTCACTTTGAATAGATGCCTTCATAAAGAGCAAACATGTTTCCTGATACTCCACTCAGTTTTGAAAGGAAATTAGGCAGAAGACTCTCATCAAAACATCTGTATTTCTGGCAAAGAAAGCACGATGCATTATCTCCCAAATTATATAAGGATGTTTCAATAATAATAGTTACAAAATGTCCATGTGGATATGGGAAACATTATACTTCAGCATTATAGAATCAGCATTAATGGTTACAACTCTCCTCATCTTTTAACTGCTCATGGTAGTATTGTTTACCAAATTAGTTACACTCATAATTTGAAGATGTGCTTCATTATATAAGTCAAAGGCATGTGTGTATGTTTGTGTGTGTGTGTGTATACATACATGTGTGCCTGTTTAAAGTGGGAAAGAAAGACACCCACGGGAGTTTAGGCAATGTGCATAATAATAATCTATCTGGAAGAATTTCTAAAGGTCTGTCAATGAAGTTTTAGGAATTTTCAACAGAGAACAAAGACAAAATAACCATCCTAAACACTACTAGTGGTTTCTTGATATTTTATTTTTCTTTTCACTTCTTTTCTCCATGCTGCTTATCTATTTTTAGCTCTTAGCATCCATTGATACTTACAGATTCTTAACCTTCTGTAACTCCACATTATTTTCGAGAGGCAGATTTGTCTAAATGCCTCATTTTTATAATTCTGCTGTTATTAGCCTAATAAGTATTCTCCCTCACACTCGCTGCAAAGTGGTTTTCTAACAGCATAAACAAATAAATGAACAAATAAAAAATGTGACTTCATTTGCTATACCCAAGTTTTGTGCTTGAAAATAAGCTGCAGTTTTTATTTTCTATGCTCATAAGAAATTTGCAAATCCATCAGGTCAAAATAACCAGCACATGCAAAATGCTTGTTACTTCCCATCAGTTTTATTTTTAATAGACATCTGAATAGTCAGAAGAATTGTCAATCTGTACATTCTCCTTTGATTATAGAGGAGACAGCCTGCCATCACACTAGAAATAGTTAATATTAGTGCAGTAGGTGGCCCAGAAACATACAGCTCTGTCTGCTTTCAGATTTGTATTTATTGGGAGAAAGTCTAGGCAGTCTATTTTGTGCCAAATTCTTTAAGAAGGTGTTGCATGCTTATAACCTACCTTTTATGAGACTCTTAAGATCTTAGCAATTATAATATTTACTTTTCTCCAGGAAGTGTTTTTATGTGACTTCCATACATATATTACTTAGGTTTTTATTGGTATCTAATATATACATGCTCATCACTATGGTAAGACATGCAGAAAACACACAAAAACGTAAGATATGATCTCCATCATTAAATAAATTGCTTATAATTTGGCTGATGAGAAAACATTAAGGAACATAAATAATACATGACCAAATTCAACTAAATCCTAAGATAAAGTTCCTCCTAGATAAATTCTAAAGAGAGTAACTTCAATGAGAATGGAAATAGACAAAGAAAAGCTCCGAGAGGAGGTTAATCTGATCTTTGGAGTGGTAGATTGACTTATGGGCTCCATTCTTCACCCTATCCTATATCCATAGGCTTTGACAGGCGACTTTGCAGTTCCTCCATTAGAGACTGACTATATTGCCGTGGCTTTTAACTTTGAGAATGGCCTTGTGCCTTGCTTTGATCAATGGAATGTTAGCAAACAAAGGCTTGAAATGTGCTCCCATGGTGGGCATGCCCTTTTGCACTTCTGCTATCCCTTTGAGAAGAGCCTCCCCTAGATAGCTGCTGCTTCCTCAGCCTGGATCCCAGAATGAACACATGGAGCAGGCCTAAGCCCAACTTTCTACAAGGAGCAAAACTCAGTTGGACTCATAGTTTAAGGTAGAGCTATCTAGTGGAGCACAGCCTAGATTAGGCACCTCACAGACACATGAAAAAAAAAACTTTGTCACTGAGTCTTATTACACAACAATAACTGATTGATGCACTTGGAGATAGGTTACAGCTTGAATAGGTGAAGGGTAAAACAACAAGAAGGCGCTTGTTTCTAATACAACATGTCTTGTGAGCTTAGAACATAAATGTTTCACGTTTCTTTTATTTCTCCAATTACTCATCATCCTACTAGACCATATTAGCAGGAGTTCTGGTATCTCTTGTTAAAAACCAGCATACCCCCTCCCTCCTAGTTTGTACGAGAATTGTAGTCACTAACTCAGTTCAAAACAGGCTAGAAGAGACCAAGAATTTTCTCAGCCTAGTAGGAAGTCCCGGTTTGCTTCTTTGCCCCCATCATTACTGCATGCCATCACTATGAAAACTCATCCCACAGATTGCTCTCTTTCTTCAGTACTATAATAATAGCCAGATTAGTTTTGAGGCTTGTACAGGACTCAGAGTACCACCACTCAAACTCTCAAGGTTATCGCCTTTTCAAAAATGTCTATTTACGTGTTTACGTTTTATCCTCAAAGTGAAATTTTTGGGCCAAAGCAGCTGGGTTCACAGGGCCTCAAAGCCTCCACTCCAAGCTGCGTGAGAACCAGGCCTCCCTCAACAATTTCTAGACCCTAGTGGAAAAGCAACACTCTCACTTTTCTTGTGGTGAGAGCATCTATTCTGAACAATCAGAGAGAGGCTAGTAACTTTCAGTCTCACCAAAACAATGAACAGTGTGTCACTGCCTTTATTCCCATGGAGCTCCTTGCTGTTATGCAAATATTTCCCTTCTCCCAGGGAACAACTATACATACCAAAGAGTATCCCGACAGGCAACATTTATCAGGTCATAAAAAATTATGGGCGTCTATCTCCTTTCCACTTCCATACCTAAAATATTACTTAGAGGTTCAAGAAAGATTCAGAGAATTTTATTCCTAGGCTATATTCTTTTTTTTTTTTTTTTGCCTCCTGGTGTGTTTTAATTTATATTTTTTAAAATTTTTTTTATTATACTTTAAGTTCTAGGGTACATGTGCACAACGTGCAGGTTTGTTACATATGTATACATGTGCCGCGTTGGTGTGCTGCACCCATTAACTCGTCATTTACATTAGGTATATCTCCTAATGCTATCCCTCCCCCATACCCCCACCCCACGACAAGCCCCAGTGTATGATGTTCCCCTTCCTGTGTCCAAGCGTTCTCATTGTTCAATTCCCACCTATAAATGAGAACATGCGGTGTTTGGTTTTTTGTCCTTGTGATAGTTTGCTGACAATGATGGTTTCCAGCTTCATCCATGTCCCTACAAAGGGCATGAACTCATCATTTTTTATGACTGCATAGTATTCCATGGTGTATATGTGCCACATTTTCTTAATCCAGTCTATCATTGTTGGACATTTGGGTTGGTTCCAAGTCTTTGCTATTGTGAATAGTGCCGCAATAAACATACGTGTGCATGTGTCTTTATAGCAGCATGTTTTATAATCCTTTGGGTATATACCCAGTAATGGGATGGCTGGGTCAAATGGTATTTCTAGTTCTAGATCCCTGAGGAATAGCCACACTGTCTTCCACAATGGTTGAACTAGTTCACAGTCCCACCAACAGTGTAAAAGTGTTCCTACTTCTCCACTTCCTCTCCAGCACCTGATCTTTGACAAACCTCACAAAAACAAGAAATGGGGAAAGGATTCCCTATTTAATAAAGGGTGCTGGGAAAACTGGCTAGCCATATGTAGAAAGCTGAAACTGGATCCCTTCCTTACACCTTATACAAAAATTAATTCAAGATGGATTAAAGACTTAAATGTTAGACCTAAAACCATAAAAGCCCTAGAAGAAAACCTAGGCATTACCATTCAGGACATAGGCATGGGCAAGGACTTCATGTCTAAAACACCAAAAGCAATAGCAACAAAAGCCAAAATTGACAAACGGGATCTAATTAAACTAAAGGGCTTCTGTACAGCAAAAGAAACTATCATCAGAGTGAACAGGCAACGTACAGAATGGGAGAAAATTTTTGCAATCTACTCATCTGACAAAGGGCTAATATCCAGAATCTACAAAGAACTCAAACAAGTTTACAAGAAAAAACAACCCCATCAAAAAGTGTGTGAAGCATATGAACAGACACTTCTCAAAAGAAGACATTTATGCAGCCAACAGACACATGAAAAAATGCTCATCATCACTGGCCATCAGAGAAATGCAAATCAAAACTACAATGCGATACCATCTCACACCAGTTAGAATGGCGATCATTAAAAAGTCCTAGGCTATATTCTTATTCACCTTAGCGAAGCAGTTCCTAGTTTCTTTTGCTAAAATTATTTTTAGATTATGTCTTACCAAGCATCCCACCACAAATACAAAATCCCAAAGACAGGAGTGAGCTTGAGATATTTATAGACTACGCATGCCTTTAAGAAATATTTATTTAGTGCCAAATGGATCCAGGAATACTACTGGGTGCTAGGGAAACTCAGATAAGCAAGACATGTCCCATGTCTTCAAGCAGCTATCTAGTGGAAGAGACAAAAGGGAGTTGTAATTAATTAAACTACAAAGGGGTATTGTGTTCAATAGGGAAGTGTTAGAAACAATGCTTGCAACAGGATGTTGGTTAAGTAAGTTTTTATACCAACATATAACTTACTATTTTGTACCAATGAAAATAAAATTACAGAATATTAACTGAAGTGAAAATGTTTTTGATATATTATCTTTTAAAGGCAGTTAGTTGCATGCCATATTGCAGCAACAGAACATACTTGTTATATGCAAATAATACATACACATATAAATGCATAGTATACAGAAATGTAACATATTGGCTAAAATGTTAATTCTGGTTACCTTTTGGTGGTGGAATGATGACCATTCTTTTTCTTTTTGCTTATTTGTATTTTCTCATGTATCTACAAGGAACTTGTATATTAAAGAAAACTTAAAAGTAATTTTTAAAAAAAGGTTAACACACAAGAAGACCAACCCTTCAAGCAAAGGATGATTGTTCATGGTCGGAAAAATTACAAATGTTGAAGCAATGTAAATTCCTCTTCACCGTAAGACTCTACTAATATATTCTCATGCTACTTGGTTCTATATCTGGGTCTAAATGGGACAAATCTCTCTCCATATGAAGTTCTCTTCTTAAATAAATTTTTGCAAATAATTTTAAATAAAATGCTTTAGGATTGAAAGTTTTATGTAAAATCTCTTCCCACATCATCAAATCTAAGAATTCATTTCCTTGAGAGTATGACTTGTTTTCTATGTTATTTGCATAAGGACTTAAGCATAAGATTGGTAACTGTTTATGCTAAAATGCTACATGTGATGGCAAACTGTTTCTCATCTGTGCATCAAGAGGCAAAGTAGATATTTCTAGACCTATTATGAAAATGTGTTAACCTTTGGCTTTCCCTCATAGGACACTGTTACTTACATCTTTAAAATTCCATTTATTTTTTTCATCCATTTCATCTATTTTTTGCCCTGAAATATCTAGCCATCTTTTCATTATTTATACTGCCTTGGAAATAGTTGGAATAAAATCAATTTAGGATCATATACTATGTGCCAGGTATCGTGCAAAGTCTTTTACATTGATTTTCCCATTTAACTCTCAAAAAAAAAAGATCTGCGGGTATTGTATTATGTGCCATCCCATTTTACAGATAAAAAACTTAGTTCTTAAACAAGTATAAATCTCCACAAAAAGGAACCAAGGCTCCTGGGAGAAATCATTGGTCCAAAGCTGGGGAAGGTAAAATACAGGTGAACCTGGAATATTTTGTGAGGCAAGAAAATAGGGAAGCACACAGAAACTCATAAGAACACAGAAACCAGATTAAATAGGCACTCACTGGAAAAATTGGGACAAATTGAGCATCAAAATAATAACAGTAATTGTTTACAACAGCAACTGAATTTTTAAAAAGTAATCTAAGAGTTAATACTTAGCCAAGTTATAGATAGTTCAGTTCAATAGGTAGGTAAGGAGGTAGGTAGGTAAGTAGATAGATAGTCAGATAGATAAATAGAGATGATAGGCAGACAGACAGATAAAAGGGGTAAAGGGGAACTTCTTCTTTATAGCAGAATTCCAAGTAATAAACACGAATAATGATAGAGCTAAAAAAAATCACCTTGCAACCACCGTATAAATAATTTATTGAGATGAGAATTATTAATAGGTAAAAAAATGATTGGGTAAATGCTTATTGGGAGAAAAGGATATTTAGATAGCATTTCTCCATGAATGGCTTGTTAATTACAAAGGAAAATAGCTGCCTATACAGCGGAGAAATCTGGTGGATAACAACGTAGGCAAGTGACCCATGTCAACATCACTAAAAATGAAGCAAACTGATATCAAGTGCCTCCAAATACGATGCACTGAGCAAGACACAGTAGCATTTAGGAAGTATTTTTGCCAAAAATGCATAACCTGAATAAAATTATTAAATAATTTCAACCCAAATTGAATGACATTCTACAAAACAACTGTCCTGGACTTCTCAAAAATAACAATGGAGCCAGGTACAGTGGCTCATGCCTATAATCCCAGCACTTTGGGAGGCCAAGACAAGAGGATTGCTTGAGGCCAGGAGTTTAGAACCATCTTCGACAACATGGTGAGACCTCATCTCTAAAAAAATAAATAAATAAAAACATTAGCTAGGGGTGGTGGCAAGCACCTGTAGTCCCAGCTACTTGGGAGGCTGAGGTGGGAGTATCACTGGAGCCTAGGAGCTGGAGGCTGCAATGAGCTATGATCATGCTACTGCACTCCAGCCTAGGTGACAGAGCAAAACTCTGTCTCAAAATAATCGTAATAAAATAAAATAAACAATGGCATGAAAGATGAAAGACAAGAAAAAGGCTGAAGAACTGTTCTAGTTCAAGAGACTAAAGCGACATGAAAATTAAAGTACTATAGTATCCTAGATTGGGTCCCACATCAGAAAAGGAACATTGTTATAAAGGACATCTGGGGGGAAGATTGTTTACATTTAAATAAGGATTATGTATTAGATGATGATATTAATATCAACTGTTGTGTATTTATAATTGTATAGAAGCTATTACTCTAATTTTTAGAAACTATATAATGAAATTTTTAGAGATAAAGAGTCATTATGTCAAAACTGTACTCCTCTTAAATAAGAATAATAATATGTCCTTAGAGTATGTACAGTATGAGCTAAAGTAGATACAGCAAAATAGTAACAATCGGTCAATCTAGGTAAAGGATATAAGGGTGCTTATTACACTTTATTTTACATTTTCTCTAGGCTTAACATTTTTCACAACAAAATGTGGGAGAAAAAAGGGTTTAAGCAACTTGCCAAAGACACACAGTAAGTGGTGGCACTAGGACTGAAACCCAGACATTCTGTCTGCAAAGCCAGCCAGGGCTTTTGACCATACCTCATTATCTGAAGAGCCAGAGGGATCACTTCAAAAGGCCAGTCTGCTCAAAACCTTCCCAGCGTTTCCCTTCTTACTCAGAGCAAATGCTAACATCTTTATTTACAATTGATTACATGGCCCTGCACCACTGCTACTCAGAGTATGGTCTGTACACCTGGGAGGAATTAGAAATGCAGAACTCCAGACCTACTAAGTCTGAATCCCCACTTCAGCAACATCCCCAGAGGATTCACACTCACATTAAAGCTTGGAAACAGCTGTCTCCATTACTTAGTCTCTTCAGTAACTGTAACCTCATCTGTCAGTCTCCTTCTTTCTCACTGCACTCCAGCCATATTGGCCTCCTTGTGTTTATCTATCATTCCACACTCAAGGCCTTTGCACTTGCTATGTCTTCTGCTTGCAATGAATTTGCCACAGATATCCACCTGGCTCAGTTGCCCAACTCCTTCACAACTCTTCTCAAATATCACCTAATCGGCGAGGCTTTTCTGATACAAAACACCTCCACATTCCCCCAAGAATTACTACCTATTTACCCTGCTTGCTTTTTCTCCAAAGCCCTATTGACCACCTAGCATACTATGCCTTTGCTTCTTGATTTGTTTACTGTCTTTGTTCCCCTACACTCCTGTAAGAACCATGAGACCTGGAGACTTTGTTTTGTTCTTAGCTTTATCCCTAGCATCTAGAACAGGACCTCACCCATAGTAGTTACTCAATAAATATTCATAGAATGAATTTATAACCAAAATATCTGTAATTGTCACACTTTATAATTGTCCACATTTTAGAGAAACAGATTCAGACAAGCCAAGGAACCTGCCTGTATTAGTCAGTTCTCATGCTGCTAATAAAGACACATCCAAGACCGGGTAATTTGTAAAGAAGTTTAATGGACTCACAGCTCCACATGGCTGGAGAAGTCTCACAATCATGGCAGAAGGTGAAGGAGGAGCAAAGTCACATCTTACATGGCAGCAGGCCAGAGAGCATGTGCAGAGGAACTGCCCTTTATAAAACCATCAGATCTCATGAGACTTATTCACTATCACGAGAACAGCATGGGAAAAACCTGCCCCCATGATTCAATTACCTCCCACCAGGTCCCTCCCATGACACGGATTATAGGAACTACAATTCAAGATGAGATTTGGGTGGGGACACAGCCAGACCATATCACTGCCCAAGGTCACTCAGCAAGTTAGAAGTGCAGCCACAGTTAAATCTAATATCTGAGTTTAAATTTTGTATTTTCTGTGACTGCTTTACTACTTATAGTACTCTGAAAAAGAGCTCAACCTACATAGTGACTGCACTGCACTGAGAAAGAAGATGAGTCCTTGCTATCACATGGCACTTGGCAGATAGAACAGATTTTCACATGTGGATTATTTCTTTCTTTATTCTGACTTTACTCCACAAAGAAATAAAGACTATGTTGCATCATTGGATCCTCTCAGCACTCATGTATGGAGTAGGTTGGCACAACCCTATTAGCCCTGTTATCCAGATGAGGATCATCCTCTTGATCATCCTCTTGACAGGGAGTTGAATGCCAATGCCACCTTATACCTGGTGTAATGGCATTGTGAAGTCCTTCTTAAATGTGTCTCTGCAGCTGTGACCTGGGTACTAGCTTTCTTTGGGTCAGTATCTGTGCTGTATCAGAGATAGTACCTACACCTGTGTACACCACCCTGGTTCTCTTCATGTCCTTACTGTTCTGTCCCAGAAATGCATTTTGTTTCATTTTAAACTAAATGACCCTGAACTCTGGCAATGCTTTTTGGTTAATGACTTTCATTTAAAACATCCAACAGAAATGCATGCTTACAAACTAAAGCATTCGTCCTCTCACTGCTGGCTGTGAGAGGTCAGTGGATCTCAAAATTCACTAAACTTTAGAAGCACTGGGAGCTTTTAAAAAATATACTGGTGCCTGGGTCCCAGCACAGTGATCCTTATCTAAATGGTTTATGGTAAATCCCAAGCATCTGTATTTTATAAAAGACCCCAAGTAATTGTAATTATTATCCAGTTTTGAGAACCACTCTAAGACCTCAAGAAATTAAATACATGCACAAGCATACACATGCATGCACACACATGCACACACACAATGTAACATCTCAGACAGTCTGCAGCAGCTATGGCCCCAGTAGAGAGAAACACCAATCAGATGATAAAAGGAAGAAAATGTTACTGAACTGGCCCTCAACAAACAACATGGACCTTGCTCAATGACCAGCGAAAGTCAAGGATATGAGAAGTGTCATTTACACCTTTGATTTAACTGCCCACTGAGCTGCATTTCTTTATTTGCTTGCAGCCTTTTTCAGTTTCAAGCAGGTTCCATTGAGAGGCATCTAGCAACTCTGGATACATCAACAACCTTGATTCACCTTCAAGGAACATTACCTAGAAAACACTATAAAGTGTGGCTGTGATGCATGGAGACCAGCAACCCCAAGTCATACCCTTCACTGTGGAAGAATTGGGGTAAATATCAACAATTGGTACATATCACTATCAACAATTGGTAAATATCAATAATTACATCATGTCCCTTCTGTTTGTCAATAGTAAATGAAGTTACATTGTTTCATTTGTTTGCAATAGTTAAGCATCACCAAAATAAAAAAATTAACACTTTGAGGACTAGAGTTTTCTTCATATGGTGAGCTGCTATCTAGTAGGTTAGGAAGCCTTATAAATATCATAAAAAGATATCACTCCTGTAAGTAAGAAGCCACTCACCATTTTCTAATGCTTAGATACATATTTTGATTATGCCAAATGCAAAATTGATTTTTAAAACTTTATTCAACTTCATGATATGAAGAAGAAATAGAGGCAATAAGCAGTATTTAAAGCATTTGACTATGTCACTGATCCCCAACATTCCTGTTCATTAACACAAACTCTACCAGTCTCTAGCCACTTAATTCTTATTCCTGCCACTTCAAATCCCATTTCCTCCAAGAATCCACTCTGGGCACTGTAATCCACAAATAAGTTTTCCTTCCTCTTTATGACCTCATAATTCATTTGCATTTTGGTATGACGTTGTATCATTAGTTATTTTCAATGAGATTATACCTTTTCCCAGCAACTGAGCTCTGCTCATCTTGAGGGTAAAAGTCATCTTATGCTACTTTGTATTTTCCTCATAGAGCTTGCACACAATACACACAGCAAGTAGTGGGTGTTCAATAAACATAAGTTGATCAATTTCTTACTAAAAAAGAATGAAATGACCTAATTTGTGAAAATTAACTTTTATCTCTAATAGTTTGAAATATATTTAAGTAACAATCGATTCAAAAGTCATTGTCAGATTAGAATTCTTATTGGTAAACTTTAAATTTCCAAATACCCTGGAATCATTTACTAACACAAGTTTAGACCAATATAATTCTTCAAATTTCAAATAAAATATCACTTTAGGCTTTTCTGTAAAGGCATTCAACCATTCCTTGATTACCATGAACATATCAAGCATGTTTCCATTTCAGGGCCTTTGCACTTGCTTTTCAATTTGGCTAGACCATTCTTTCCTCTTATCTGCCTCTTACTTGTCATTCCATTTTCAACTTAAATGTACCCCTTCAGAAAGGCCCTCCAAGACCACTCAAGTTAAAGTAGCTTACACCCACCCATACACACACACACACACACACACACACACACATACACACGGTTACTCTTTATCATGTAATCCTACTGTTTTCTTCATTATACTTAAATATCATTACACATTTTCTTTTATTACACTGAAAATAACTTATTCATCTATTTGTTTATTGACTGTTTCCTGACATTCAAATGTATGCTATGTGGGAGCAGCAGCCTTCTCTGTAATGCTCACCTCTCTATCCTCAGTGCTCATAAACTGGTACACAGTAAACACTTAATAAATGTTTATTGTAGGAATTTATTTTGAACAGTGTGAAAGTTGAGAGGTGAGCACTGTCTTTCTCAGAGATGAAGCAGACATTTGGAATTAGGAAACAAATCTCATTTACATGTCTGGTTACTATGACGCCCCTAAATGCTTAGCAGAAAGAGACTTGAAACCGAGTTATAAGGAGTTGATAGAGGACATAATTTGCTTGATAAAAGAAGAAATGGCAGCCCATGAGAAAACCAAGCAAGCTATTAAGAAAAACTGCCCCGCTTTTACCTCATGCATGTATCAAATAAGTGGACGTAATATCAAAGTAATCATTATTTGTTGAAGTGAAATCAATAAATACTTAAACCAGTATACCTTGTCACTTATCATTTATATCAGTTATCCTTCCACTATCTTAGTATAATTCTTTCATGTTTAACACGTCCTTGCCATAAAATATCAAGTTCTCATATTAAATTAAAATGAACAATCGCAAGGATAACATTTACATGTTCATGAACAAATAAATATAATTTACAGTGCAGTACTCAACCTTGAATTTAATACCATCTTTAGCATCGGCAACCTTGGGATTTTTAAATAAACTTTAGCGTCTTGCGTCAAAGAATGACTATGCAACTTCTGTTCTTCCTTTATTATCTCTGCCAGAGCTTTTTTAACTTAACCCCAGGTTGAAATTAATCAGATTTTCTTTATATTCTCCCAAAGCAGTTGACACTCCAAGTGACTTTGATGTTCAACAGCATTTGTTAAGATGTCTTTTGACATTCATTCACAGTATTGTAGCATCTTGCAATCCTAAAGTTTTTACCAGCTGAAATACTTTTCTTTACCATTGTATATTTCAATGAGCTTTAATTCAGATCAGTTCCATTTGAGCCTTAACTGAAAATGTTCTTTTGAGTATTGCTACCTCAGATGCCTGAGATCTGCCCTAATACATTTTGTCACAAGTAGGCAGAGAGCTAGAGTGCTAGGAGGAAGTCTTTTTGTAGGGGTTTAGTAGCCTTAATTGAAATTTAAATGACAGGAAATATGAAAATAAAAATAAAACATTTTTCTGGAGATAAGCAAAATTTCCAAACCAAAAGACTCCTTTCCAAAGGAATAATTGAAATGCAAGAAGCTATAAAACTGATTTTAGATGAAATAGTGAATCATCCTAGTCATATCTTGCCACACGCCACCCACTTATCAAGTCACTGCTAAACACTCAAAAGTTTTATTCTTTGCATTTTTAATGATGATATTTCTAATGATGATTCTATATTTGGTTACCTGCAACCAAATATTTTGATGAATAATTAAAGTAACATTCAGGGAAATGTATGTGGAAAAATCCATGAAGATTTTCTTTGGAGAGTGACTGTAGCAGCTATGTGCAACGTTTGGTGTTTATGGTTCTGCCATTTTGGTTCTACTAATTGTCAGTCAGCTTTACAATGTGCTAGAAGCTTGAGAAATACAAAACAAGTATAAGAATGGTAGGATGTTTGCGTTAGTTATCACTTGTTATCACAGGTTATTGCTCCTCCAGATTCACTCTTCACCATTCTGTGTTCTGCTCTGTGCCCTGGAAAGGTGATGCGCATGAACCATATCAAAGGATTCACTTGTCCTCCAGCTTCTGGCAGTGTTTGGCCAATAAAGAGCTCCAGCAAGAGGTGAAATGATGAGAGGAGAGTGAAAGAAGTACAGTTGTCCCTTGGTATTCTCAGGGGACTGGTTCCAGGACACCTCTCTGATACCAAAATCTGCAGATGCTCAAATCCCTTATATAGAATGGCATAGTATTTGCATATAATCTATGCACATCCTCTTGTATACTTTAATTTCTAGATTACTTATAATACCTAATACAAAGTCAATGTTATACAAATTGTTACACTATATTGTTTTTATTTGTATTATTTTTTATTGTTATATTGGTTTTTTTTGGTATGTGTATTTTTTATTTTATTATTATTATACTTTAAATTTTAGGGTACATGTGCACAATGTGCAGGTTTGTTACATATGTATACATGTGCCATGTTATTTTTATTGTTTTTTCCCGAATATTTTCAATCTGTAGTTAGTTGAATTTGCGGATACAGAATCCACAGATATGAAGGACTGGCTGCATTTATTTCCTATGAGGTCACTACAGGCTGGCTGGGTCACAGAGCCTCTGGGTCTCAAAACCTACTCCATTTACCCACCCTTTTCAGCCTAGAGGAGCTAACACTGCTGTTAACCAGGACACTGTGTGAATGAGTTCCTTCTATACTCTCCACACCTTTGTAAATAGTCATTTATTAAACTCTTCTAAAATTACCCAACTTCAGTTTCCATCTGATTCCTCATGAGACCTTCAACGTTCAAATGGCTGTCTTGGAAGAGTTCCCCATTTGGTAGATACAATGAAGCCTAATACATTAAAGGAATATGATACAATCAAATATAACACAAGAGAATGACAAAATCCAATATTAAATTATAAAGTCTCCACAAATGTTACTGAGATTAAGGCAAGTGAAGGACTATTTGAGAACAAAAGTTGGACTGAGAAGATTTCCAAGAAAAGATGGAACTTCAAATGGAGTGATGAAGCAGGAGATTCGGACAGCAAAAAAGAAGGGATAAAGAATCCCCTGTGGGAGAGTAACTTTGGCAAAAGCACAAAAGCAGAAGAAAGAATATAACGTGGGAAGATAGTTAATTTGGCAGTTCATCTGCTTTATCTGGTTTACAAAACCTCCAGTGGAGAGGTAAATCCATGGTTAAAATACTGGCCCAAACCATCCTAGCTGGGCCAAGCAACATATGAGTGAATTCCACCCACAAGAATCAAGATGCTCCAGTGAAGCAGATGAGAGCACCTGCCCCTGAAGCAATGACATCTCAGAGTGAGTTCAGTCATCAGTTATCATAGTACCCAAAAGAACATATTGAGATGCAAAATAATTTGTCCTGGGGTTTACACGAGTTTATTTTTCTAAGCCTCAGATCAAATGCTTTATCAATTCTCATCACACAAGACATCTCTACAGTTTGAATGGAAGGTTTATGTCTTTTATACAATATGCAAGCCCCTGTTACACCACGCCCCAAGGAGGGAAGTAGTGGCATGAGCTAAAGACCCATCTGCTACCCATTCATGTTGAGCATCATAGTGAGAGCATCCCTTGGTGCTGAGATTCTTGCTGCCAACCTACCCTATGTTCTGGTGTATAATCCAGAAGCTCTGAGCCTCTGGTTACTAACTTTTACTTTCTAGATAATTTAAATTCTCTGAGATTCCATTGCCTCATTAGTTAAATGGAAATAGCCATACCTGCCCTTCCCATATGCTAAAGTTGCTGTAGGGACCAAGTTAAGCAATATCCATTAAAGCAGTAGGGAAGCTAAATAAAAGGTAATTCCAAAGAGAGATATTACTAAGGAGAATGGAGATGGTGGGGCTGGCAAGGTAAAAATATCTCCCTCATAAATTCTTAGCAACATAAAAGCATAATGTTGGTGTTTATGCCATATGATGATTTAGTAGTATATTAAAAAATTCAGATGGCTAGAATCTGTGGGTTTCCCCCAATTTGCATCAGTACAAATATTATTATTAGAAATTATATTAAAATACAATATTGGCTTTTGTGTATTGCCTCACAGTTCCTTTTATAGCAACTAAAACAATGTGTCCCATGTTTGTGCAAATCCCTTCTGTCATTTATTTCACAGAGGCTTTTGATGACAATACAGGCATATAAAAACTTGTGAGTCAAGTTTCTCTAGCCTGCAAAGACAGTGTCCGTTGGAAGACGTCAGTAAATCACATCACAAAAATTCCCCTGGTCTGCTATAAAAATTCAGGAAGGGTGACCCTGACTGTAACCTTGTTTCTCCAAAGTAAATCCAGTCCCTGCATCTGCGCTGCATATAATTACGAAAACACAGTTTACGATCTGTAAAAAGAAATAATCAAGAAATGGATGTGCCTCTCCTATCATACCAGTTTTTAGGGACATGAGAATCTACTCTGAAATGAATGAGAAGGAGACATAGGAGAGACGCAAAAGAGAAAGAACAAGGATAGACAGACAAGAGTGAAAACCTTCCATTCTTGAAAGAAGTCAGTGTCCATGACATTTCATATCTGATGGTGCATATGCTGCACAAGAAACTAGAAGATATTTTCTCTATAAAAGATTGCTTTTATGGCAATTTTTCAAGCTGACACTTAAGTTACGGCTTCTTCTATTACAGCTTCTGTAGCAGCAGCTCTTTCATTACAGAATTCTGGCCATACATTTTACTGCAGTAATAAAGTAATAGGAACCTAATCTCTTTTGAAAGGGTTTGCGGAAAGGATGAGTGCAACACTGGCACAGGACAGAGTTTTTGACCTTTCCCCAGTGAAGTACAGACAAAGTAGGTCACAGATGATCTGATTTTTTCCTAACTTGTCTTTATTCTAGCATGCCCTGGGTCTTTGCACAGATCTCTAGTATTCATTTCTATTTCAGAGTAATAAGACATAGCTAATACAATATTTGAGTCAATTCCACCAGGTTGCTACATAAATATTTAATTTTCAGCATGAACTTCTGGTCTCTCCAGGATTCTTCAGCTGGATCCCCACTGGAAAATGGAGCTTCTGGCATTCCACAGCTTGTGGATAATTATTTTGATCAAACTGAACACAGAAAGTGTATGAAAAGAGATTTTTAGAGATCTCAGATGACCTTTGCCTTTAACTGAGTAACAGGACACACTATAAGGAAGTCAAAACAGTGGTTCTCTTGGCCTTCTATTGCCCCATTTAGACCATGTTTCCACCAACCACTTAACCACCAGGTTATCCAATTATAGTGCCTTTTTCTCCATTCTTGTGACACTCTATCACTTTTTAACCATCTAAATGCCAGAACATTGGTGATTTGGGAAACTGAAAAGTTTTTCTCTTCAGTAACTGCTCTGATATTAGAGGTAGGGTCACGTAGTAGTTATAAGTGGATTCCAGAACTAGATGCAAATCCTGTGTCTGTGTCATTTAAGAGCTGCACAACCTTGGAGAAGTCAGCTAAACTCTCCAAGCTTTTGCTTCCTTATCTGTAAATTGATGAGCACAGTAATAGGATGGTTTTGCATAAACCCACGTAAATTTACTTAATTTAGTGACTTTCACATGAAATACTCAATAAATATTTATTATTATTATTGGAGATACCAAAATCCACCTTCAGAACCCATCCAAAAAATTTATGATATATTTTGTAATAAAAGTATGTTTATTCTACACCTCTCTCTGAAAACTCCAAAACAGAATATGTTTTTAAAAATCCAATCTATATAAATTCAGGAAATAGCAAAAACCCCAACTCACAGTTTGTAAACAATATATGCCAAAATTCCTTGAAGTTTGGACTTAAACGAGGAAGGATGCGAAAGCCAAAAGTCACTTCCACTGCCCTTGATTCCCTTACAGAATCTTGAGAGGCTGGATTGAAACTCATATATTTGGACCAATGAAGATCACAGGCATGGGTGGGCTATGTGGGAACTGCAGGTCCAAACAGTTCCAAGTCATAAAATGAATGTCATGGGAGGTGGGTTGATGAAGGGATTGCACAACTTTACTATACTATTTCTAACCCAAACTACAAATTGAAAGAAGTGAGACCTGGAGGAAAGAGAAAACACCAATTGGTTCTGCAGCAGTCTTATCAACAAAGATGAATAAACACTAAATAATCAAAGACCTATTAGCTCAGAGGCTCCAATTCGGTTCATGTTGATCTCTGGTTGATAAGCTTTCTGTGCTCTCAAGGAAAGTGACACAAGCACATATAGTGAAAAAGTACCCTTTAGAATTATACTAAAATGGAATTTTAGTATCAGAATGTCCCAAATACTGCATGGAACATACTTGTAACATTAAAAATGTATCCACATGTATTTAAAATTCAGTCTGAACTGGACACCCTATGTTTTTATTTGCTAAATCTGGCAGTCTTACCCCACCCACAGATAAGAAGCGGAAAAAGTTCAACTTGGCCTGCATACACAGACACTATTAAAAAAAAAGGGGGTAAATTAACATAGTAAGCAAACAGAATGAAAAATGTACTTCAGATGCATTATCCTCAAGAAACTAAAGAAAAGCTCAGACAAGCGTTTTATAATCTCAAAAAAAGTAAAGGAATATAGACTCTTAGAAGAAATAGCTCAAATACTACATAAAACAGCAAGAGATGAAAAGTGATCTGGAAAAACTGAGGAAAAGAATTGTAAAGCAACTTGAAAATAAAAATAATGGCAAGTAAAATACATTCTGCTGAGAAAGAGTCAACAATATGAAAAAGAAGTATGAGAAAACAACACAAAGTCCAGAAGATAAAGGCAAATGCGTGATGAGCAATCAGAATAAAGGCAGGCAAAGAAAATCCAACGTCAAGATGATGATGATGATAACGGCACCAGAAAGAGAGCAGAATAAACAGAATAACAGGAAATCATTCTGAAATAAACAAAGACCCAAATCTACAAATCAGTGACAAAATGTATTCTGAAAAACACGATAGACGATACTCAACACAAAGATACAATCTGATGTAATAACTAAATTAAGGAAATAAAAGAACCCTATAGGCATTCAGTGGATAAAGCAAATCATCTACAAATGGGAGAAACCAGACTGCTATCTCCTTCTACTGCCAAGAAACAGTGGAATAATATCTAGTGTTTTCATGGGGAAAAGTGCAATATAATAACATTATATTCATTTAAAATATAACAGAAATATTTATCAAATTTGTTGGATTCTGGTTTTCATTTGCATTTCATTTGCATTAGTAACATTGAGCATTTCCCATATACCTGTTGACCATTTCTATGTCTTTTTTGAAAAAATGTCTATTCAAACCCTTACCCCATTTTTTAATTGGTTATTCATTTTTGTACTATTGAGTTGTAGCAGTTCCCTATATATTTTGAAGATTAGCCCTTTATCAGATATATGGTTTGCAAATATTTTCTCCCATTCTGTAGGTTATCTTTTCACTCAGTTGATTGTTTCCTTTGCTGTGCAGAAGCTTTTTTTTTTTTGGATGGAGTCTCGCCAGTGCAATCTCAGCTCATTACAACCTCTGCCTCCCAGATTCAAGAGATTTTTCCTGCCTCAGCCTCCCTAGTAGCTGGGATTGCAGGTGCGTGCCACCACGCCTGGCTAATTTTTGTATTCTTAGTAGATACGGGTTGACTGCAGAAGCTTTTTAGTTTGACATAATCCCATTTGTTTATTTTTGCTTCTGTTGCCCGTGCTTTTGGTGTCATAGCCATGAAATCATTGCCAAGACTAATGTCATAAAGGATTCTCCTTCGTTTTCTTCTAGGAGTTTTATGTTTTCAGGTCTTACATTTAAGTCTTTAATTCATTTTGAGTTAATTTTGTGTATGGAGTAAGATAAGAGTCCAATTTTGTTCTTTTGTATGTGGACATCCAATTTTCTTAACATCATTTGTTGAAAAGGCTATCTTTCCCTACTATGTAGTCTTGGTACCCTGTCAAAGATTAGTTGACTGTATACATGTGGATTTATTTCTGGGCTCTCCATTCTATTCCATTGGTCTATATGTCTGTCTTTATGTTAGTCACATACTGTTTTGAATACAGTAGCTTTGTACTATATTTTGAAATCAAGAACTGTGATTGTTGAAGCTTAGTTCTTGTTACTCAGGATTTATTTGGTTATTTGTGGTACCATATGAATTTTAGAACTGTTTGTTCTATTTATGCAAAAAAAAAGCCAATGGGATTTTGATAGAGATCACACTGAATCTGTAGATTTCTTTGGGTAGTCCATACATTTTAACAATTTTAAGTCTTCTAACCCATGAACACAGAATGTCTTTCTATTTGTTTGTATCTTGTTTAATTTATTTCATCAATGTTTAATAGTTTTTAATATACAAGTCTTTCACCACCATAGTTAAGTTTGTTCCTGGGTATTCTATTCTTTTTGTTGCTGTTGTAAACTGCATTATTTTTCTAATTTCTTCTTCATTGTTCATTGGTTCATTGTTAATGTACAGAAATGCAACCGATTTTTGTATGTTGAGTTTGCATCTTGCAACATTACTGAATTCAGTTATTAGTTCTAAGAGCTTTTTAATGGAATCTTTATGGTTTTCTATACATGAGATTATAATGTCTACAAACAGGAACAATTTTACTGCTTCCTTTGTGATGGGACGCGTGTCAGGATGGCTATTATCAAAAACAAAAAGATAAATGTTGACAAGGATGTGGAGAAATTGAAATCCTTGCACACTGTTGGTTGAAATGTAAAATGGTACAGCCACTGTAGAAAACAGTGTGGAAGGTCTTCATCTTCGAAAAGTTAAAAATAGAATTACCATATGATCCGGCAATTCCAGTTCTTGGAATTTATCAAAAACGATTAAAATCAGAATTTTGAAAACATAACAGCACTCCTATGTTAAGTGCATCACTATTCACAACAGCCAAGACGTGAAAAAGAAACCTTAAATGTTCATCTATGGATGGATAAAGAAAATGTGGTCTATATATATAATTGGATACTATATACATAATGGGATACTATTCAGCCTTATAAAGAAAATAATTTTGCAATATGGGACAACATGGATGCACCTTGAGGACATTATTCTAAGTGAAACAAGCCAGACGTAAATACTGCATGATTCTATTTATACGAGATATCTAAAACAGTCAAATTATAGATTCAAAGAGTTGGAATTGTGATTACCATGGGCTTCAGGGAGGGAGAAACTGAGTGTTACTAATCAATGGACATAAACTTACAGTCCAGGAAGAGCAATAAACTCTAGAAATCTGCTGGACAACATTCTATCTGTAGTCAACAATAATTTATTATATATCCAAAAATGTTTTTAAGAGGATAGGTCTCATTTAACAGTTCCTACCAAAATAAAATAAAACAAAATAATACTAAATAGTGCAAGAATACAAGAAAAAGAAATAAAAAGCATAAAGATTGGAAATAAAAATAAAAACTGCCTTTATTCCTAAATTTCATGACTGTATTAGAATATCAAAAGGAATCTACAAAAAAACTAGATCAAATAAGTAAATTTAGTAAGGTCATAGGATACAAAGGCAGAGTACAAAAATCGATTGTATTTATATATAGTAGTAATGTACTATTGGAAAATGAAATTGAAAGAGAAATTCTATGAACAAACAATACTTAGGAATAAATACTTAATGAAAGGTTATATAAAATCTCTATAACAAAAACTTCAAATTAAAAAGTCAGGAAACAACAGATGCTGGAGAGGATGTGGAGAAATAGGAATGCTTTTACACTGTTGGTGAGAGTGTAAATTAGTTCAACCATTGTGGAAGACAGTGTGGTGATTCCTCAAGGATCTAGAACTAGAAATACCATTTGACCCAGCAATCCCATTACTGGGTATATACCCAAGGTTTATACATCATTCTACTATAAAGACACATGCATGTGCATGTTCAGCACAGCACTATTCACAATAGCAAAAACACGGAATTAACCCAAATGCCCATCAATGTCACACTGGATAAAGAAAATGTGGCACATATACACCACGGAATACTATGCAGCCATAAAAAAGAACGAGTTCATGTCCTTTGCAGGGACATATATGAAGCTAGAAACCATCAATCTCAGCAAACTAACACAGGAACAGAAAACCAAACACCGCACGTTCTCACTCATAAGTGGGAGTTGAACAATGAGAACACATGGACACTGGGAGGGGAACATCACACACTGGGGCCTGTTGCGGGGTGGGGGGCAAGGCAAGGGATGACATTAGGAGAAACAGCTAATGTAGATGACGGGTTGATGGGTGTAGCAAACCACTATGGCATGTGTATACCTATGTAACAAGCCTGCATGTTCTGCACATGTATCCCAGAACTTGGAGTATAATAAAAAAAAGAAACTTCAAAACATTAAATATGGGTTCACCGTATTTAATGCGGGTAGGTCATATAGCTTCTATGTCTAAATAGAACTCTGTATTGCTGTGTTATATTGCCCCACTTATGGGAGAGGCCTTATTTTTGTCATTTGGCAGCAACATTATCCTGAAAGGTTTCAGTGTCCTTCAGTCAAAATATTATGTGAACTATCTCTTTTCCTGAGTCATCTTTGATGAGAAATTAATTTGAATTTTCTATGACCTCTATCCAGAGGACAATTCTCTCTCTCAATGATGTTATTTTTCTCAAATGAAATGCTCTGGACTTAAAGACACAATAATATTTTAGTTCACAGTCCTAGACATTGGTACATAAACATATGGTTCTTAATTCTTAGGAACCGTGTGATACCTACATGAAGAAAAATCCAAATTGGGGGCCAACAAAGGTGGCAAAATAAATAAATAATAAAAGAAAAGAAAAACATCGTGTTTCCTCTTCCCTCCTCCCTCTCATCATTAAATTAGCATTGTTGTGGTCTCCCAGGTATTCGGTGTGGTTCAATGTTTGTGGCGAGGTTGCTGTCAGATTTTGTAGTGACTTTAGGTGGATTAGGTATTGAGCAGAATAAAGTTCTTCGAAAAGCAGGGCATGATCTTTGTATTCTTGAGAGAACATAGGCAGAACCTTATAATCACTTGCTAATTACCCTGAGTAAAGTAATTTGTTTTATCTGTCTGCCATTTGGTTTTCCTGCAAAGTGCTATATATATATAGGATTTTGCTCAAACTAATTACTACTATTTTATCATGAAGACTGTTCAAAGGTAATCCTCTTTCCTTAGCTTGCTTTCTCCTTGAATTTAAAGTCTTATGGTAAGCCAAGAAGCAGTTTAAACATCCTAGACTGTAATAGATACTCCTGATTTTTAGCCTCCCACTATAATAATGTGCAATGACACCTCGGTACTCAAAGTCAACAGCTGCTAACAAGCATTGTATATGGCTTTTCTTAGTTGAAGGTTATGGAATGGGTAGTAGGTCAAAATCAAAAGGAGTCTTGCTAGAATTTTATAATGACAGAGCACTTATAAATATCATAGTCACACAGGACCTTAAAACTGACAAGGAGCTCTCACATACCTAATTTCGTAGAATCTTCCTAATTATCATGAGAGGTTAGGTATGGTAGATTAGATTACTGTTCAGAAAGTACTCACTTCCTACCCCACCCCATGTCGTAGAGGAACATTTCCTCGCCCCACTGATTTTGAACTTTGTGACTTGCTTTGATCAATGGGATATTAGCAGACATGGTGAAAGCAAAGACTTGAAATGTGTTTGCACAGCTGGGCTTTTGCCACTGCCACGAAAGACTATGTCCCAGAAAACTGGTCCCAGAAGAATGAGGGATATTTGGAGCAGACACAACCTGGAGCCTGAAGACAAGCCCAGCTGAGCCCAGCCTAGATTCACCCCGGCTGACCTGCTTACATATAAGCCAAAATAAATGTGCATTCTTAAAAACCTTGGATATACGGTGCTTGTTATGCAACAAAACTGATTGGCACTTCTGCTGTCATTATTCCTACTTTGCGAATAATGAGAGTAAGACTCAGAGAAGTAACCTTCTCAGAGTTTCCTATAAATTAAATAACAGAACCATAGTTGCCTATATGAAAAATAAGATAACAAAAAAAGGCCAATGGCATTTATGAGGCTGTGTGTGATATGCATTTGATCTGATAAAAGATCTACGTGTTGCTACATAAAAAATTACAAATATGAAGCCCGTTTTCTCTTTTGTCTTATCACTTCAGGATAAGTTCTAAACACTGATGGCTTTGCAAATGGATATTGACAGTCTCAGTCACAATATTAATGAGATATATTGGCTAATAGAAACCCTGAAGTTATATTTTCTTTATTGAGCCCAGTAAGATGAAACTCAGCTCCAGCAGTATTCTCTCATTTGAATGGCTGGTGTGGTTTCCTTGATTGAAATGACTGCTCTGTTGAGTTGAATGAATGGCACTGCTAAAAAAGTACTCTGTCAAATATTGATAGCTAATTAGATGGATTTTATCATAATAGTCAACTGCACTCACACACACGCACACACAAAGAAGAGCTATTAAAGATCTTGACAAGAAAATAAACTGAGCCTCAGAACATTACTGTTTATTCAAAGCTCATTTCTAAGTTTGGCACTCAAAGTAGGAAGATTTATTTTTATAAAACCAGTGAATAATAAACCCAAGGGAATATGTGCACATTTTAAGAAAAATCAGTACTAAGGTTGTCTATTATAGAATTCCTGGGATTCTTGACCAACCAGCTTTTTAGAAGCTCTGGAGTCTCCCAATTGCTCAGGCAGTTAAAATTTTTCAGGAATAGCCTGAGGAAGTTTTTCTAATAAAGAAATAGTCCAGGGACAAGGAAAAAAATACTGATACTTGAGAATAAATAAAAAGCTGTGAATAATCTTTAAGCCTTCACAAAGATGTCTATATTGTGTGAAGTTTGAGGCACTAATGCAAATATAGAGTGAAACTGAACACAAATTGGGGGGAAAAACTGAATCTGAAAGTAAGAGAGAGAAAAAGAAAAAGTAAAGAACCTCAGTGATTTCATTAAGAAATTACCATGGGGTAGGAAATCAGCTCAGAATTAAAGTTAATAAGTATCAGAGATAGTAATCAAGATGGTCCAGTAGCAGGGATACCAGCATCGTATGATAGGAAAAAAGGTATTGGTAGATATTGAGACTATTTAATAAATTTCTGTTCTCATATATTTTGACTCAAGTTAGCCCAAATATAGCTATTACTCTGCCCATTAGACTGAGAAAAATGAAAAGCAGCAATGCCAACAAATATATTAAGCCACAAAGACCTTGAGATGGCTCAGGTGGATACTCTTCCTTCCTCATAGATTCATAAATTATTCTTGGAAAATGCTCACAGGCAATTGAGCTAATTTGTAAGATTCCTTTAAATGTTCCTTTATTTACCTTGTTTCTCTTTACACTGTGAACTTTACTACAAGCTAACATCTGCTAAGAATTAACAGGGGAATGCAGGCTATTCAATTTAACAAAAAGTTAATGATTATTTGCACCAAATGATGATAACAGTAATAACATTAACTACCATATGTTGAATATTAGTATCCTCCATGAAAATTGCTTTATAATCAAAAAGCAAAATATACTCCTTGCCCTCAAAGAACTTACTTACAGTGTAATAGGAAAACTCTAATGATGATACTTTATTAAGCAGCTACTATGTGTCATCACTGTTCTAAATGCTTTACTTATGTGTATTAACTCATGTCATTATCACAAAAAAAATCTTATGAGATGGAAGCTATTATTATCACCATTTGATAGTTGATGAAAGTGAAATCCATAGAGGTTTAAGTAACTTGCAGAACATCATAAAACCAAAACCCATGTTCATAACCTCTATGTCATAATGCTCCTTTAACATCATAAATAGTTATGAGGTAAAATATAATGCCAAGAAGGGAGGCATTCTTTCTAATTAGGATATATCAGAAGGTTATCTTAAAGACACAAGCATTTGAGATGAGTAAAATATAAGTTAAATTTAAGTCAGTCCACTTGGTCACTGATTAGCTACTGATGTCAATGATGTCAGAAAGAAGTGTGATTAGGCCAGGCGCAGTGGCTCATGCCTGTAATCCCAGCACTTTGGGAGGCTGAGGCAGGTGGATGATGAGGTCAAGAGATCGAGACCATCCTGGCTAACATGGTGAAACCCCCATCTCTACTAAAAATACAAAAATTAGCTGGGCGTGGTGGCGCATGCCTGTAGTCCCAGTTACTTGGGAGGCTGAGGCAGAAGAATCACTTGAACCCAGGAGGCGGAGGTTGCAGTGAGCCAAGATCGCATCACTGCATTCCAGCCTGGTGACAGACCGAGACTCCGTCAAAAAAAAAAAAAAAAAAAAAAAAAAAAAAGAAGTGTGATTTCTGCAATGTAAACATATATCAAAACATCATGTTGTACATCATAAATGCAGTAAATCTTTATTTGTCAACTTGAAAAATAATTTTTAAAAAAATAAACACGAAAAAGAAAGGTGACCAAAATGATATTTGGATAATTTTTCAAGTTCATATATCACCCCAATCTGTACCTTCAAGGTACCGAGCACCTAATAATATAGTAGAAGAAAGTTCTTAGGTTATTGAAAAATAAATTGGCTAAATTTTCTCAGAACTTTAACAATTGCAGAACTTTAATCTTTAAAGCATAGTAACCACATATGCCATTCATCTACCTCAACATGTGATCCCAATAGTGACTGAATTTATAAAATACTCTGCATAATGGGTTAGACCACAGGTCAGGAAATTATGGTCCATGAGCCAAAGCCAATCCAAAGCCTGTTTTTGTAAATAACATTTTACTGAAACACAGCCATACTCATTAATTTACATATTGTCCATGGCTATTTTTGCACTACAATGGCAGAGTTGAGGAGTGCAGAAGAGACTCCATGACTAGCAAAGCCTAAACTATTTACTATGTGTACCTTTACAAAGTTTTCTAGCCCTTGGATTATAGAGAACTTTAGAATGAATAATCTCTCATTTTCATGAAAATCCTCTTACCCTCATCAAAAAATGTCCCCTTGATTCTATTCTAAGGCTCCTATAATATTTGAAACAATGTTTACAACATCAATATTATCTTTCCCAGGTTCAGTAAAGCCCAACCAACCCAAACTCATAGCCTCCTATTCTTTTATAAACGTCCTTCATTTTTTTCAAAACAGTTCTAAGTTACTGATGCCAAAAGGTTATTCATCATCTTCAACTTGTAAAGTATATACAAGTAGAAGATACTCTCCTGAAAGTTATAAAAATGACTTTAAACAGGACATAGGACCATTCTCTAAACTTTATACTCTGGCACGGACAATGTAAGTGCAAACAGTTGGTATGATATAATGAACAAAAAACATCCAAGCAGGTTATAAGCTAAATCTACCCAGTGGGTAGTTTTTATAATGTTATCTTCACAGTCCCTCCAGGGAACATGAGTTCCAAGTGAGACAAATTTATAAGCATATTCACAGTAATGTACTCAAAACAAAGCCTAAAAATTGAATTCCTTCTCCTGGCTTCCCCAAATAAGGATTCAACAGTTAACTTTGATGATCTTTTTTCCCATATCCTCCTTCAAAATTTCCCTTAATTCCCCATCTCCTCATTGCTGCCAATCTAGCCAGTATCTTTCCAGGCTCTCCCTTTCACAAATCAAAAGTTGTGGACCAAATGTTTGAGTCTCCCCCAAAATCAAACGTTGAAGCCTTAACCCCCAAAATAATGTGACTACATTTGGAGGAAGGACCTGTGAGAAGTAATTAAGGTTAAATGAGGGCATGAAGATGGTGACCTAATCCTATAGGGCTGGTGTCCTTATAAGAGGTAGAGAGAGCAGAGTGCTTGTTCTCTCTCCACAAGCACAAACAAGAGGTCATTTGAACACATAGTAAGAAAGCAGCCATCTACAAGCCAGAAAGAGAGCCCTCACTAGGAACCAGATCTTCAGACACCTGGATCACAAGACTTCTAGCCTCCAGAACCATGAGAAAATAAATTTCTGTTGTTTAAGTCAAGCAGTCTCTGGCATTTTGTAATGATAGCTCGAACAGACTAATACACCAAACCTAAACATCACCTATCTCAGTTTGTTTTGTGTTGCTATAAAGGAATAACTGAAGCTGGGTAATTTATAAAGAAAAGAAGTTTATCTGGCTCATGGTTCTGCAGGCCATACAAGAAGCATGGCACCAGCATCCGCTTCTTGTGAGGACCTCGGGAATCTTTTAATTGTGGCAGAAGGGGAAGGGGAGCCAGTGTGTCACATAGTAAGAGGGAGAGCAAGAGGAGGAAGGGTGCCAAACTCTGAACAACTAGCTCTCACATGAACTAATAAAGTGAAAACTCACTCATTACCACAGAGGGAGGACACTAAACCATTCATGAGGGACCTGCCCCTATGACCCAGACACTTCTACTAGGCCCCACCTGCAACATTGGGGGTCAAATTTCAACATGAAATTTGGAGGGGACAAAAACCCAAACCATATCATCACCTAAGGATTACTTTCAAAAGTGACACTTTGGGCATGCTACTTTCTCCTCAAGAACATAGGTTTTGCTGACATGATCGTCTCTTCTTCTGTGACTATAATGATGTTTGAATTATCACCCTTATCTAGCATCCAAGGTTTGCCACAATCTTAGCACTTTCTAACCTTAACTATCTCCAAGAATTAACAAAGTTAGGTGCTTTGTTCACTGAGCCTGAATAAACCTTGCTCATCTCTACATTTGTTTGCCCTGAATTTTCACAAATAGCCCTATCTTTTCTGTCCATTTTTAAATACTTTATCTTTCTTATACCTTTAGTCAACTATGGGAGCCTGCAATGACTTCTTCCTCTGAATAAAATCTACTGCTTATATCACTTGTTTTGTAAAATACACATACATATATATATATATATATACATACACACACACATATTGAAATAAACCAAATATGTTTTAAATATTTTTTCAATCCACCAGCTACAGTTAATTCGAATAGTAAATGAAAAAAATAAAGAAATAAAGCTAACTTTTACTGTAACAACAATAAAAAAGACTTAACTTACCTAGAAGTAACTTCATCCAAAACACATGGGATCTATAAGATAAATGAGTAACAGAAAAGTTCTGTGAGATATAGCATATTTTTAGGAAGATTGAATAAATATAAATATTATAATATGTACAATAATACATATTTCATGTATATGTCCATTATTTCCAAAGCAATATATAGTAATAAAGCAATATCAAAATCCCAATATGATCATTTGAATCTTGATAAAATTAGTCCAAAGTTTATCAAACATAAAACAAGTTAAAACAGCTAATAAGGAAAAAAGAAAAGTTATAGGAGAATTGCCTATATGAAATCTTTGACATTCTACAATAACTAACAGTATTATACTGGTACAATATAAATAATCATATAAACATATAGAATAACTTATCAACAGGTACTAATCTATAAAAGACTTTACTATTTCTTTAGAGAAACACTGCAAATCAATGGAAAAGATGGACACAACTGACTATAATTTAAAGAATATTGACTACTGGGAAATTAATAAACTCATAAAATTAAATTACATGTAAGCTACAGAGTTAACTATAAAAACTAAAACCTTAAAAAATAGGACTAAAATAGGTAAATATGTGCACTCTATGTGACGAAGTAATTTCTAAGCATAAAAAGAGTGAAATAAATGGAATAGATTTTATTGCACAAAACAGAAAGCTCTCTATATTTAAAATATTTGAACCAAAATTTAAGGGCAAAGGTTAAAACAAAATAAGGAGAAAATATTTGAAATAACCATGGCAAAGGAGAGGGTCAAACAATAGACAGCATATTGGTATGAAAAATACACCCCATGTTAACAGAGCTTCATCTCTGGATGTTATTTTCCTCTTCTAACTTAATGCATATTTGAAATTTTTAGCAGTAAACAAAATGACCTATGTAATTAGTAAAAAAAAAAAAAAAAAAAAGTCATGAGGAGAAAGGAAAAGAAAAGTATAAAATAAAAAAGGAATTGCCAAGGAGGTTCTGGTTAGCAGAGACAGGCTGTTCTTCATTTAAAAATCACCAAAGATTTTTAAAATGGAAGAGAACTGAAACAAGAATTAGTCTATAAGTGATGGCAAAGGGCTCTCCCCCGTAATAGGAGTTATTTAGTGTCTGATTCTAGAAGGAGCTTTGGTCAAAAGAACAAAGCCAAAGGAAAAGAACTTTGGAAGATTACTAAAAGCAAAAGCAATTTTATAAAGTATAATGTAGTTCTCAATTATACACTCTTAGATGGAGTAAAATACTATAATCCAATTGAAATCTCTACTTCCATCTGATGGTTTACGAATAGTAACAAAAGTCTACAATTAAATTACTGCATCATTCACTTTTGGATAATAGATTGATAATATTAATACTTACAAAATAAAGAAAATTTAAGAAGGAGAAAATCATGTTTTCAGTATCAGTAATCAGAAGTCAGAATCAAGAGCCTACTGTTTGTACACTGCCTAAAATAACCTGTGTTAAGAATTAGAGTGCCATTGGATTTGAGGTTTGAATAGAGTAAAATTTAAATAATCACTCTAACAATTATTTATAAACAGACTATTATGTGCCTCTGCCATATTGAAGAGTCAATACAAGGAACAAAATAAGCATTTCCTCATCCTGTTGAGTTTTCAGACCATTGAGGGTTACAGAGACGTAAATAGACAATGATTATATAGTGTAATAAGCATTGGAGGGAGACACTTACAATGCTTTGACAGCACATAAGGAGCATTTATCTCAGATATGAGTGGCCAAGGAAAACTTCCTGAAAGAATGTACTTTTAAGCTGAGACCTGAAAGAGGGTAGAAGCTAGCCAAATTAATATAAAGGAGAAACGAATTATAGACAGGGGAAAATGCATGTGCTCAGATGCAACAGAAAGCATAGCTTGTTGCTGGAGAACAGAATGGGGAAGGAGAGTGATAAGAAAAAGGGCTGGACGAGTTTAATCAGATTAGTAAGCCTGAACTTCTCCTTAGGGTAATAAAAAACCATTTGAGCAGGAATGGAAGGGGTGATATAATTTTTTAATTATTAATTTTTCTTAATAGGAGGGACAGGGAGAGTCCATGGACTCAGCTAAGAGTTTCATACTATGAGATAAAATGGTGGCCTAAGCCAGAATATAATGCTGTGGATGGGGAAAAGTAAACAAATTTTAGAGACATTTAGGCATCAGAATATTTAAGAAATAGGGATTGAATGTGGGAAGAGTAGAGCCTTTTAAAATCTGTAGAATTTCAGTTGTTGAATTTATTGGAATAAAGTTTTTCATAGCATTCCTTTATTAATCTTTTGATACCTACAGAACCTGTAGTAATGTCATCTCCCACTCCTGATACTAGTAATTTATGTTTACTCTCTTTTATTCCTGATTATTCTGGCTAGAGGTTCATCAATTTTATTTATCTTCTCAAAAACTAGCTTTTGGTTTCATTGATTTTCTCTACTTGTTTGTTTTCTATGTCATTAGTTTCCACTCTGATCCTTATTTATTTTTTCTTCTACTTATTTTTTGTTTCATTTGCTTTTCTTTTTCTAGTTTCTTTGTTCCTGTCTTCAATATCAGAGTTGCTTTTAAGCTTTCTTCATTGAGACCAGATCATTTAATCTAGGGCTATTTTCCTCCACTTCTTAATACTCTACCCAATGTCTCATGAATTATGAGATTTTTGACAGCGCATAAGGAGCATTTATCTCTGGCTGATAGGAACAGTAACTATTCCTAGCCTTGAGTGAGCACGGGAGATTTTTCTCTGTAATCCCTTCAAGTGACTTCTTCCACAGTCTCCGTTAGTTCTTTCACAAGCATGCATTGATCAGTAGTCAGCTAAAGACTTGAAAGGAACCCTCTTAAGACCTCTGAAGTCCTCTGTCTGTGCGGTTATCCCCTCTCCCTTATTCTACCCTGCACCCTCTGGTCTCCTAGAGGAGGGTAATGGGAACTGATAGTTGAAAGAATGGCTTGACCACCCCTTAGCAAGTCCTGTATAGATGTACCCTTCACTTTAGACTGTGTGGGTACAAATCACTCCCATTGCTCTAAATTCTCAGACAAAATCCAGAAAAAAATATTCTCATTTTCCTCCCGAGTCATCTACCTTTTGTAGCCAGGAGTGTCCATCATTGACAGTATGCAAGGAGAGAAGGGAAGTACCCGTCTCTGATGAAACTTTCATTAGTTAAGGAGTTGAACAAGATAAGATCCAAAGTTCCTCCCAACTCTATTATTCTATAATTTTATGCACAATTCTAAAGAAGTAATTATCAGAATGCAATAGGAGAAAAAAGTCTATCCAATAAGCATAAAGAAAAAATGTTATTTCATCATATTAAAAATGAATGGCTAGATGACCTAGGAAGGAATGAAGGAGATGGCAATAGTTTTATTAGCAGTGTAAGAGAAGTAAAGGGCATTATATCATTAACATATTGTACTGTTTTCATATTTAATCGGTATATCAGAATGGCCAGCAACTTCAACTCAGGTCATTCTCTGCATCCCTAATGGGTCATAGCACATGTAATATTAATTATAGTCATTAAGTGAGAAGTCTCTGTAATGCTTTCAACTTAGGGTCTCTCCCACAGAAAGCTAAAGAAAAAGGTCTTCAGACAGACATTTACATTCCTTTGCTCTTGACTCAGCTTTTGTCTTAATAACAGGGAAATAATTACAGGGCTACAACATGTCACTCTTGAAGAGTTACTTAGAGGACAGTATTGATACCTACTCCCATTTACCTAATCCCACTCTACTTCTAGGTGATTCATTTATAATCCCATGGGTAAAATAGGGTAAAAGCTATTATTCTGGAGTTTCTCCAAATTGTGAGAAAATATAGGTCAATCTTTGCAGTTTGAAGTTTCAGAATATCAAATTTTCATTACTTGAAGTAATGGACTGGCCTAATAAGCAAGTAATTTCCATATTACCTTTGGGGTTTAGTTCATTTAAAATCAAAAGAAACAAGTTTAACTATTTTTTCTACCACCTTTGTTTTTGACTAGTTTAATTAATACCTGCTGTTTCCAGCTGTGATGTCGCAAAGCATAATATGGTCATTAGTACTGCTCTGAGACCTACACAACTAGAGCCCCTGCCCTGGGTCCTACTTCAGAGAGACCAGTTCCGGCCCTCTGAGTATGACCCTCTGTGCTGGATGATGACTCTGAAGGCCCAAGGGTACCTGTCCATTTGGAACTCAATACCTTCCATCTCCTGGGATACTGAAGACCTGGAGTTCCCAAAGCCTGCAATAGCTCACCTCCCTGCATCTGGCCTCCCTAAGGTCGGCCATGCTAGAGCATGTATGTCCCTAAACCCAAGAGACAGCTGTTTCATAAGGTGTGAAGAGAGTCTAGATGGAATGTCCACATGCCTGTGTGTGGCCCCTCTTCCTGTTAGACACAGCCAATGATGAGAAGAGGTGAGCTGACGGTCAGAGACCATGAGTTTTACTCTTTCCTTGTGTGGAGGATGCCCTCACAGAAACCTTGAATGAGAAGCACACCAGCCACATAAAAAAATGATTCAAGCCAGTGAAATCCAAAAGTTAAATCACATATGCATGGATGGAGAAAAAACTGGGAAGTCTATCAGACTCCCCAGTTTTTCATGTTGCCCCTTCTTTCTCCGCCCCCGTCCTCTACCAGCTGGGTAGGAGGCTGCTGAATATTGTGCCTCTAACCTCATAGGGTCACAAAGAGGAAAGAGCAACACCAGAGAATTCCTGATCCTTCTTCCCCTCAAGCTCTGCGCTGAAATCCCAAACCTGAAAAAAAGGAATTACAGAATCCAAATCTATCTTCTTCTTCTCAATTACTTCCTTCAATCTCCCCCTTCTTAGTCAAAACAAAACCAGGATCATTGAGCATTTTTTTGTGCTTAACACAAGAAATAGCTACAGACTGGGGATACAGGAGGCTGCTGGATTCCAATTAACCTCACCACTTAACTTTGATTGCTGTGATACTCTGGATGAACTCACTGTTTATTAGTAAATAGGGGTGAGGATCTTAAAGACTAATGATGGCACTGATTGTAGCTACACAATAGGGCCCAGATGTTTCTACACTTACTGCTTCCTTTCCTTGACCCTCTTTCCTGTAATTACTAGATGAAAGATGCAAATATGGCATTCAGGAAACCTGAAGCAAGCCCAAGCTACTGAGATGGTTAAAGACTAAACTGAATATTTGTCTTATACTCAGATTTCACAAGTTACATAACACATAAGAGAGACACTAGAAGGGGAAAAAAGGCCATACTGCATACTTGAAAGTGAGAATAGGGGAACAAATAAGACACATTTAACATGTACAATTGTTTGATATCAAAGCCAAATCTTGATGAGAAAGCCATACTCTACCATAAAGCAAGGTCACGTATCACAAAATCAACCATAGAAAATAACTCATGAGGGCTGTGCAGGGAACAAGGTACATACATATATCATCCATTGTAAGCTGATCTTACTGATCAGTCATCTCTTCCACAGTATAGAAATTTCATTTATCACTTCCATTTCTCTAAATGAATTTCCTCCCTACCATAGAATTTGTGTTGGGGAATCATAGAAGTGATTTAGTCTATCTAGAATTGCAATCAGATTTCTTTGCATATGGTTAAAGTTCTTACAAAACTACCAGATCAAAAACTAATTACAATGTAAGCCTCAGAATAAGCTACAGAGGTTAAAAAAAAAAAAAGAGGGAAGATTGCTAGTACTCACCAAATCTGGTTCCTTTCTTCTTCCTGTGTACCTGCCCTTCTTGCAGTTAGGCAGGACCATATGATTAATTCTGGCAAATGGACTGTGAGTGGAAAGAAATGGAAGAGACATGTTTCAATTTCATACTAAGGCAGTGAGAAAGTCTTACATTATCCTTCTCTTCTGCCTGTCTTCAGCAAATAAAAAGGCCATGTTGTAAAGATGGAATCACAAGATGGCACCTGCTTGGATTCCTAAGTCACTCCCTACTGGAAGGAGGCTTTCCTGGAGACTCTCTAGAACTGCAGCAGACCTTATGTGAGTAAAAATAGCCACTGAGATGCAGAGGAATTTTTTTGTCATTAATTCAACATTGTCTATCCTAACTGGGATATGTATGTTACCAATGTAAGCATACCTAATATATTAGAGGTGATCTTTAATCCTAAGTAATCCTTAGACCAATAGACCATTGAGTTGATTTGATAGCATATGTAACATATATATGTGTGTGTGTGTGTGTATATATATATGTATATATATGTATATATATGTATATATATGTATATATGTATATATATGTATATATATGTATGTATGTATATATATGTATATATATACACACACACATATATATATATACATATATATATATATATATATATGTGGGGGGGGCTGAATTTTGATATCCCTAGTCCAAAATAATTCTTTAAAATTTATCAAATTTACTTATCTTGCCTGAAATTTAATTTGAGGGCCTCCTAGTTAGAATTACTCTGAGGAGTTTCTGCCATCACACACCAAATCATTGAATCATATTTTACCTGAAAAAGAAGAAAGGAAAAGCCTAAGACAGTCTAATATATTAGTCTTATATTTTTTCTGCCTCAGACCCATAAATATACCTTGCCCCTTCACAAACAGGTACACACACAAGCATACAGAGACATAGAAACAGATGTACTGTCCACTCTATGCCAGAGCTCTGCTAAGTGCATAAGAACACAGAGTTAAGTAAGACATGATCACTACCCTCAAGGAGAAGTAGAAATAAAAACCATGAAAAGATTATGATAGAGTGTAATAAGATCTTTGATCCAGGCTACAATTGGAGCTCAGTAGAAGGAGAACCTAATTCCACCCAAAGGAAGACAAAAATGCCCTCACAGAAGAGATGACGGAAGCTGAGTAATGAAGGGAATAAGAATTTTCCAGGTAGACAAGGAGTAGAAGTGTATTCCAGGAAAAAGCACAGTACATGAAAACATATCAAGTCACAAAAGAACTCCCCAAGTATTTAGATTGGCTGAAATGTAGTGTGCTTGTAGGGGTAATTGTGGGATGTAAGTTTAAAAGAGCAAGTCAAAAAAGGATCACAAAGCACATTTTAAGCCAGGTTCTTTCAGTTATCTATTGCTGCATAACAAGCCACTTCAAAACTCAGTGGCTTAAAACAACAGTTCATTATTATTTTTTTGGAGGCACCACAGTTCATTATTACCTGTTCTGTTTCTTTGGGTTGACCGGGCTCAGCTCTATGGTTCTATTTTGAGGTCTATGATGTTGCAATGAAATGTTGGCTGGGGCTGCAGTTCATCTGAAAGCTCAGTCAATTCTGCTGGAGGTTCAAAATTGCTCAGTCACATGGCTGGCAATTGATGTTGCGAGCACAGCTGGAGCTGTCAACTGAAGCACACACACATAGCCCCTCCACATGGCTTGGACTTCTCATATCATGGTAGCTGGGTTATAAGAGGGAGTCTTCTCATATCACGGTAGCTGGGTTATAAGAGGGAGTCTTCTCATATCATGGTAGCTGGGTTATAAGAGGGAGTCTTCTCATATCATGGTAGCTGGGTTATAAGAGGGAGTGTCCCCAGAGTAATTGGTCCAAGAAACAGAAAGTATAAACAGCCAGTCTCTTGACTTCCGGGACCAGAAAATAGAACAGGATTACTTCAGTCATAATTTTGTTAAAACAGTCACAGAGCCCATTCCATATTTAATAAGAGTGAACATAGACCCCATTTCTCAGTGGGAAAAGTATCAAAGTATATGTATCCATCTTTAGTCTGTCACACAGGGCAAGATCTTAAACTTTATTCTGAAAGCACTGAATGGAAAGCAAACATAGGCCTTTACACAGGAGACTGATAAGACAGAATTACATTTGAGAAAGATGATGCTAATGGCAGAGGAAGGAATTTGGTATTGGGGGAGAAAGAGTAGATTCTAAAAGCTCAATTAAGAAGAAATGAGCTCACATGAGAGATCATGAGGGTTTGAAATTGTGATAGCCTCTATAATGCTGGAGAGGAGAGAACAGAGTCAAGAAAATTTGAGGGGACAAAAATGACAGGACTTGGTGACAACTTTGATATAGGGACAAATGAAGTAAAGAGAATAGATAAAAACCACTCCTGGGCATCTTAATATTTAAGTGAGTGGTGATCTCATTATATGAAAAAGAAAAGATCAGAAAAAGAAACTAGGGTAGTGAGGGGAGCAAAGGACGAATTATGAATGCAGTTTTATTTTTAAAACTATAAAAACATTTCTTTATAGTTTAAAAAATAAAATGAAGAAAAAATTGTTTTTAATGGAATAAATATTAGATAATGCATTTCTCCAGGACTCAGTGATCTTCTCTATATTAAAAAGCCTAAGTGGGTATTATGGAAGAAATAAATATTTTTTCTTCCTCTTTTTAAGTTTATCTATAGAGAATTCCTTGGCAAAATTGTCAACATTCTATCACATGGCAGAAATTAAATTTAATAAATCTGCCTATATTAGAAAAATGGATTTTATAAACTGTAAGTGTGTCATTAAAAATTAATAGCATCCACTTCCTACAAAGCCACTACTTTCCATTTTTCTGAGCCATCTTTCAGAATATAATTAGCTTACATTTTGATCATCTACAAATGATTGGCTTTAGCCATTTCAGATGAGCCCCCACTTGAATTCCCTGGCAGCACTGAACTGAGATCAATAATCTCCATGAGGATCTTCTCAGAGGATCCAGCAGTCTCCACTCACTGCAAATGAAATGCTAGCTACAAGAATAGAGAGCCCAGAAATAAGTCCATGTATTTGTAGTCAATTGATTTTTGACAAAATTACCAAAAAAACACAATGAGGAAAGGGTAGTCTCCTCAATAAATGATGCTGGAAAAGAAATGATATTTACATGCTAAAGAATAAAATGAGACTCTCATCTCACACCATATTCAAAAATCAACTCAAAATGAATTAGACAGTTAAACTGGAGACGTGAAACTGTAAAACTACTAGAAGAAAACATAAGAGAAAGCCTCTGTGACATTGGTCAGGGCAAAAAAAAAAAAAAAAAATGGATATCACTCCGAAAGTACAGGCAACAAAAGCAAAAATAGACAAATGTGATTACATAAAACTAAAAAATTTCTGCAGAGTGAATCAACAGAGTGAATAGACAACCTGTGGAATGGGAGAAAATATTTACAAACCATATATCTGATAAAGGATTAATATCCAAAATATATAAGGAATTCAAACAACTCAATAGCAATAAAAATGAACGACCCAATTAAAAAACAGGCAAAGAACCTGAATAGACATTTCTCAAAAGAAGACATACAAATGGCCAACAAATATATGAAAAGATATTCGACATTACTAATCATCAGAGAAATGGAAATCAAAACCACAATGAGATGTTACCACACACCTGTTAGAGTGGATATTATCCAAAAACATGAGAGATAACAAGTGTTGGTGAGGATATGAAGAAAAGAAAGCCCTTGTATACTGTTGATCAGACTGTAAATTAGTACAGCCATTAAGGAAAACAGTATAGAGGTTCCTCAAAAAATTAAAAGTAGAGCTACTGTATAATCCAACAATCCTACTACTGGGTATATATCCAAAGGAAATGGAAATAGTATGCCAAAGAGATATCTGGACTACTGTGTTCACTGTGGCAATATTAACAATAGCCAAGGCCGGGCATGGTGACTCACGCCTGTAATCCCAGCACTTTGGGAGGCCAAGGTGGGTGAATTACCTGAGGTCGGGAGTTTGAGACCAGCCTGGCCAACATGGTGAAACCCCGTCTTTACTACAAGTACAAAAAATTAGCTGGGCGTGGTGGCAGGTGCCTGTAATCCCAGATACTCAGGAGGCTGACGCAGCAGAATCGCTTGAACCTGGGAGGCAGAGGTTGCAGTGAGCTGAGATTGCACCACTGCACTCCAGCCTAGGTGATAGAGCCAGACTCTGTCTCAAAGAAAAAAAAAATAGCCAAGATACAAAATCAACCTAAGTGTTCATCAAGGGATGAATGGATAAAGAAAATGTGGTATATATACACAATGAAATACTATTCAGCCTTTAAAAAGAAGGACAATGTCATTTGTGACAATATGAATAAACCTGGAGGACATTATGCTAAATGAAATAAGCCAGACACAGAAAGACAAATATTGCATGATCTCATATACTTATATATGAAAAATATCTTATATATTGACTAAAACAACTTTATAGTTATTTAGACTGTCTAAATAGATCAACTAAAATAACTTTATAGAGGCCTGGAAACTAGTCAAACATCTATAGCAACCAAGCAAACACCAAATAAACAAAAAGCTTCATTCAAAATGGTAGGAAATTTTTGGCTCTTTTTTTTGGCTTTTGCCCACATTCTCCCCAGAACAGTGAATTCAGGAGGAAGTGGCCCAATTCCTGGTTCCCTTCCTTGTGCCAGAAAAAAAGAGAAGATATTTGCAATGTTCTATCCTGTCCACATGAGAGCACACATATACGAAATCTTAAAAAGTTGTACTCATAAAAGTAAAGAGTAGAATGGTGGTTACCAGAGGCTTGGCGGGGGTTGGGGGGTGAAGACTGGGGAGATGTTGATCAAAGGATACAAAATTTCAGTTAGATGAGAGTAAGTTCAAGAGATCTATTGTACATCATGGTGATTATAATTAATAATGATTACTGTATACTTGAAAATCACTGAGAGTAGATTTTAAGTGTTTTCACCACAAAAAATAAGTATGTGAAATAGGCCAGGCACGGTCCCTCACGCCTGTAATCCCAGCACTTGGGAGGCCGAGGCAGGCAGATCACCTGAGGTCAGGAGTTCAAGACCAGCCTGGCCAACATGGCAAAACCCTGTCTCTACTAAAAATACAAAAATTAGCTCGGCGTGGTGGCGCACGCCTGTAATTCCAGCTATGGGAGGCTGAGGCAGGAGAATCGCTTGAACCTGGGAGGCAGAGGTTGCGGTAAGCGGAGATCGTGCCACTGCACTCCAGCCTGGGTGACAGAGCGAGACTCCATCTCAGAAAAAAAAGAAATAATACATATGTTAAATGGCTTGATTTAGCCATTCCACAATGTATACTTATATCAAAACATCATGTTGTACAGTCTAAATGTATATATAATTTTATTTGTCAATTAAAATGTAAAAATGAAATAATGTTTTATTAAAAAAAGAAATGCTAGCTACAGATGCATTTTGAAGAAGTACAAAAACAGCATTGGTACTGCTCCTGCTAGGTATTACTGCTGTCCAAGATTGGCTAATGGCAGACCAAATTGAAGCACAGGCCTCACAGAAGCTCCACGCTATTAAAGGAAGCTCTAAATGATCCAGTGTGGTACACATAGTATATGTTAACTTTTGGCTTATACCTACACCATGCTATTGAAATGGTTTGAAGCAAAACCTTTTCATTGGATCTTTATTTTAAAATTAATTTTTCAGTTACACATACATCCTCAGACCTCATCAGCCTGGAGAATCCCATTAACATTAGAAAACCAAATTGTTCTGGATTTTACCATCCCTCTAAGATTTCTAGCCTGATAAAAAGTATCCCCCACACATTCCACTCTACCACGTACTTCTAGCAGTCCCCAAGAGGTTTCTCACATGTAATCATGAGCAACTCCTATCAGTTTGCACTTGACACTATTTCTTTGATCTCTTCAACCTTCCCCCTTCAGTGGAGACTGCTAAGGCTCCCAGTGGTGACAAAGCCATGTGAAGTTATCTGGCCTCTTCCTCTGTCACCATGGTTGAATGACTTCCTACTGAATACATACCATTTCTAGTACCATATGGCTTTTATAATCTAGAGCCCTGAATAAATTATATCCCAAATGTCATCTCATTTCCTCTTGCAAATTGTTTCTTTCAGACCTATCCTGCCTGGCTCTCAGATATACTCAAATAGATCTCTGGGCCTAGCTTCCATGTCAGGCAAAGATATCCAATCATTACCACTATATCTCATAAAAGAATATAATTAAGTCTTTGAGACTAGGGTAAACTTTCCAAATGAAATTCCATTTCTTTATTCATATTGGTTTTGCTCTGCTTTAAAACTCCTATTCTGAGAGTGACATCAGCAAGATGGCAGACTAGAAAGCTCCAAGTCCTCATTCTTCCATGGAAACATTAAAAAAAACTATAGATTGACTAAAATAACTTTATAGACCCCTAGTCAAACATCTATAGCAATGAAGCAAACACCTAATCAACAAAAAGCTTCATTCAAAATGGTAGGAAATTTTTGGCTTTTTTTGACCTTTGCCCACATTCTCCCCAGAACAGTGAATTCAGGAGGAAGTGGCCCAATGCCTGGTTCCCTTCCTTGAGCCAGAAAAAAAAGAGAAGATATTTGCAATGTTCTATCCTGTCCATAGGCTGTTCAAGCGTCTGGTTTCTGTTTGCCTGACTCAGAGCTCGGACAGGGAATAGTAGAATAGTTTGGATCTCAAGCTAGCAGAAGCCAGGGAAGGCAATGGTGGGTGCCATAGTATGGGAAAACGGCAGGAGGATTGCAGACCTTCAGACGCCAGGTGCAAGATATTGTGGGCAGAGGAATACAGCGGAATATGTAATACCCTGAAAAAAACTGGGGTAAGAATCTATGGGAAATTAAGAAATTTTAAAACAGCAATGTATACAGGGGAATAAAAAAAAAGGGCACACAAACAGGCAGGATGCATGCCCAGAAGAGACCTGAGAATTAAGCCTTCACGCTGGACTAATCCCTAAGGCTCAAGGGCCCACTAATTAGTGGTGGTCTTTGAGGCAAGTCTCAAAGACTGGGAGAAGTGACTATTTTTGCAAATGCCCAATTTTCAACAGCAGATCAAAAGGTACAAGAAGAAACAGAACAACATGACCCACTCAAAGGAACAAAATAAATCTCCAGAAACTATCTCTGAAGAAATACAGGAATTATGTTTATTAGACAAATACTTTAAAATAATTGCCTTAAATATGCTCAAACACCTATAAGAACCAAAGAAAACCAGGAAAATGATATATAAACAAAATAAGAATATCAACAAAGAGAAATTATTTCTAAAAGAACAAAACAGAAATTCTAAAGCTGAAATTCTAAAGCTCAAACAGGCAGAAGAAAGCATCAGTGAACCTGAAGACAGGTCCTTGAAATTATTGAGTCTGAGGAGCAAAAATAATGAAGAAAAGTAAAGACCCTAAAAGATTCATGGGACACCATCAAGTGGGCCAAATACACATAATGGGAGTCTCAGAAGGAGAAGAGAGAGAGAAAAGGAAAGGGCATTACTTAAAGAAATAATGGCTAGAAACTTTCCAAATTTAAGGAAAGACATGGTCTTAGTCTGCTCAGATTGTCATAACAAAATACCATAGACTGGGTGGCTTAAAAAATGTAAATTTGTTTTTTCACAGTTCTGGAGGCTGGAAGGTCCAGGATCAAGGAACCAGTATAGATTTCATTCTGAGACGTCTTCTCCTGGTTTGCAGGCAGCCACCATGTTGCTGTATGCTCACATGACCTCTTTGTTGTGTGCATATGAAAAGAGGGTGCAAGCTCACTGTTGTCACTAATCCCACATTGAGGGCTCCGCTAAATACCATTCCACTGGGGGTTTGTACATCAACGTATAAACTTTGGGAAATGCAAACGTCAACTATAACAAACACAGGTCTACAAATCCGAAAATTCAATGAATTCCAAGTAGCATAAATCCAAAGACACCCACACAGAGAAACATTATAATAAAACTGTTAAAGGAGAATCTGGAGAGCAGCAAGAGAAAAGCAACTCATCACATAAAAGGGATCCTCAATAATATTATCAGTGGATTTCTAAGCAGAAACCTTACAGGCCATAAGGCAATGGGATTATATAGGTAAAATGCTGAAAGAAAAGTGAAAATTTTATATCTGGCAAAACTGTCCTTCAAAAATGAGAGAGATCTTAAGACATTCTCAGACAAACATAAGCTGAGGGAGTCTATTACCACTAGACACGCCCTAAAAGAAATGCTAAAGACTATTCTTCAAGTTAAAATGAAAGGATTCTGGGTAGTACCTCAAAGCGTACAAAAATATAGCGTTCTCCAGTAAAGGTAAATTCATAAATGAATACTTTTGAAAGTATTATTTTAATATGGACTAAAGTTCTCAATCAAAAGACATAGATTAGCCTAACAGATTTTTTTTTAACAAAACAGTGTCTAACTATACACTGTCTGCAAGAAATTCATTTTAGATTTAATGACACACACAGGCTGAAAGTGAAGGGATGGAAAAAGATGTCCCATGCAAATAATAACCAAAGTGGCATATAGGATCTAATTAAACAAGAGCTTCTGCACAGCAAGAGAAACTATCAATAGAGTAAACAGACAACCTACAGAATGGGAGAAAATATTTGCAAACTATGCATCTGACAAAGGTCTAATATCCAGCATGTACAAAGAGCTAATTTACAAGAAAAAAATATTACACAAAAATTCAGAAGAAAAATCTACAAGAAAAAAACCAACCCCATTAAAAAGTGGGCAAAAGACATGGACAGTTTTCAAAAGAAGACATACATGTGGCCAAAAAGCATATGAAAAAAACTCATTATCACTGATCATTAGAGAAATGTAAATCAAAACCACAATGAGATATTATCTCACACCAGTCAGAGTGGCTACCATTAAAAAGTCAAAAAAATAACAGATGCTGGTGAGGTTGTGAAGAAAAAGGAACACTTATACACTGTTGGTGGGAGTGTAAATTAGTTCAACCATTATGGAAAGCAGTATAGAGATTCCTCCAAAAGCTAAAAACAGAACTACCATTCAACCCAGCAATCTCATTACTGGGTATATACTCAGAGAAATATAAATCATTCTATCATAAAGACACATACACGTGAATGTTCACTGCAGCACTATCCACAATAGCAAAGATGTGGAATCGACCTAAATGTCTATCAATGATACTTTGGATAAAGAAAATGTGGTACATATACACTAAGGAATACTATGCTGCCATAAAAAAGAAGGTGATCATGTATTTTGTAGGAACATGGATGGAGCTGGAGGCCATTATCCTTAGCAAACTAACACAGGAAGAGAAAATCAAATACCACATGTTATCACTGATAAATAGGAGCTAGATGAAGAGAACTCATGAATGCAAAGAAAGGAACAACAGACACTGGGGACTGCCTGAGGTTAGAGGGTGGAAGGAGACAGAGAATCAGAAAAAAATAACTGTTGGGTACTAGGCTTAGTACCTGGGTAGTGAAATAATCTGTACAACAAATCCCCATGGCACAAGTTTACCTATATAACAAACCTGCACATGTACCCTCAAACCTAAAATAATAGTTAAAAATATAAAATGTAGAAAGATCTCAAATAAACAACGTAACTTTATGCCTCAGGGAACTAGATAAAGAACAACAAACTAAACCCAAAGATAGCAGAATGAAGAAAATAATAAAGATTATAGCAGAGATAAATGAAATGGAGAATAGAAAAGAAATAGAAAAAAATCAACAAAACTAGGAGCTGCTTTTTTGAAAAATAAACAAAATTGATAAACTCTTAGCTAGATTAAGAAATAAAGAGAAGACTCCAATAAGCAAAATCAGAAATAAAAGATACTATGGTCTGAATGTGTCTCCCCAAATTCACATGTTGAAACTTAATTGCCAATGTCATAGTATTAAGAGGTGGGGCCTTTAGGAAGTAATTAAGTAAAGAGGGCAGAGCCCTCATGGATGTGATCTACTCTGAAGGAAGCAGACATCTTGGAAACAGAAACCTGGCCCTCATCAGACAGTGAACCTGTTGGTGCCTTGATCTTGGACTTCCCAGCCTCTAGAACTGTGAGAAATAAATTTCTATTGTTTACAAATGACCCACTCAAAGGTATTTTGTTGTATCAGAACCAACAGACTAAGACAAAAGAGAAGGTATTACAAGTCGTGCCACAGAAATAAAAAGGATAAGACAATACTATAAACAATAGTAGGCCAACAAATTGAATAACCTAGAAGAAATGGATAAATCTCTACAAACACACAACCTACCAAGACTGAATCATAAAGAAATGCAAAACAGACTAATAACTAGTAAGACGATTGAATCAGTAATCAAAAACCTCCAAACAAAGAAAAGTTCAGGACCAAATGTCTTTTTTGATTGATACATATTTGTATATATTTATGGTATACATGTGATACTTTGTCACATCCATAGAATGTATAATTATCAAGTGAAGGTATTTGGGGTGTCCATCACTTCCAGTATTTATCATGTCTATGTTTTGGGAACATTTCAAGTCCTCTCTTCTAGATATTTTGAAATATACAATGCATTGTTTTTAACTATGGTTACTTGACTCTGCTGTCAAACATTAGAACTTATTCCTTCTAGCTAACTGTATGTTTATACCCATTAACCAACTTCTCCTTTGTCCCCTACCATGTACCCACCCTTCCCAGCCACTGGCATCTATCATTCTACTCTCAACATAATGACCTCTGGTTCCATCCATGTTGTTGCAAATGACATATTTCATTCTTTTTTGTGTGGCTAAATGGTATTCTATTGTGCATATATGCCTCATTTTCTTTATCCATTCATCCCTTGATGGGCACTTAGGTTAATTCTGTATGTTTGCTATTGTGAATAGTGCTGTAATAAACACAAGTACAGGTATTCCTTTGATATACTGATTTTTCCCCCTTTGGGTAGATACCCAAAAGTGGGATTGCTGGATCATATGGTAGCTCTATTTTTAGTTTTTTGAGACATGTCTATACTGTTTTCCATGCTGACTGTACTAATTTACATTCCCACCAACAGTGTACAAGGGTTCCCTTTCTCCATATCCTTGCCAGCATCTGTTAGTTTTTGTAGAACCAGATGTCTTTGCTGGAAAATTTCACCAAACATTTAAAGAAGAATTATGATATGATTTGGCTCTGTGTCCCCACCCAAATCTCATCTTGACTTATAATCCTCATAATCCCCACATGTCACGGGAGGGACCTGGTAGGAAGTGATTGAATCATGGAGGTGGTTTCCCCTGTGATGTTCTCATGATAGTGAGTTCTCATGAGATCTGATGGTTTTATAAGTGGCGGTTTCCCCTGCTTTCTTCTCTCTCCTGCTACCTTGAAGAAGGTGCTTGCTTTCCCTTCACCTCCTGCCATGACTGTAAGTTTCCTGAGGCCTCCCCAGCCATGTGGAGCTGTGAGTCAATTAAACCTCTTTCCTTTACAAAATACTTAGTCTCAGGCAGTTCTTTATAGCAGTCTGAAAACGGACTAATACAAATTAACGTCGGTCTTTCTCAAACTCTTCCAAACAATTTAAGAAGAGTGAATACTTCAAAAATCATTTTATGAGGCCTGCATTAACCTGATACCAAAGCCAGACAAAACACTACAAGACAACTAGAGACGAATTTGTCTGATGAAAATTGGGGCAAAAATCCCCAAAAAAATGCAAGCAAGCTGAATTCAACAACAACACATTAAAAGTATTATATACCATGATATTTATATCTGGAATGCAAGGATATTTCAACATCTGAAGTCAATCAATGTGACACACCACATTCACAGAATGAAGGAAAAAAACCACATGATCATTTCAAATGACGCTGAAAAAGCATTTGACAAGATTCAATACCCATTCATAATAGAGACACACAAAAATGAGGAATAGAAGGAAATTACCCCAAAATAATAAAAGTCATAGATAAAAAGTCCACAACTAACATCATACTCAGTGGTGAAAGACTGTAAGATTTTCCTTTAAGATCAGGAACAAGACAGAAATGCCTGCTTCTGCCACTCCTGTTCTAAATGGTATAAGAAGTCCTAGCCCGAACAATTAGGCAAGTATAAAAATAAAAGGCATTCAATTCAGGAAGGAAGAAGTAAAATTATCTCTGTTCACAGATGACATAATCTTATATAGATAAAACCCATATTCTATTATGCCATTTTTATTCCTATGAATTTCTCTCTCCTGAATTGTGTACTTGGTCACTATAGTTCCAAATGACCAATTTGTGTTTTTTCCCCACAAACAGTTTCTCTGTATGTATTAGTCAGGGTTCCCTAAAGGGACAGAAGTAATAGGATGTATAAAGGGGAGTTTATTAAGTATTAACTTACATGATCACAAGCTCCCACAAGAGGTTGTCTGCAAGCTTGAGGAGCAAGGAGAGCCAGTCCGAGTCTCAAAACTGAAGAACTTGGAGTCCAATGTTTGAGGGCAAGAAGCATCCAGCATGGGAGAAAGATGTCGGCTCAGAGGCTAGGTCAGTCTCGCCCTTTCACGTTTTTCTGCCTGCTTTATATTCGCTGGCAGCTGATTAGATTGTGCCCACCAGATTAAGGGTGGGTCTGCCTTCCCCAGCCCACTGACTCAAATGTTAACCTCCTTTGGCAACACCCTCACAGACACACCCAGGGTCAATACTTTGCATCCTTCAATCCAATCAAGTTGACACTCAATATTAACCATCACAGTGTATTTCCCTTAACTTCAATGTTTGGTTTCTGCCTACTTGACCTTCTGGTAAACACTAAAAAATAAAGAGTTCACAAGTAAACTAAAAAGTACAGAGGTATGTTATTGCCTGCCCATGACTATATCAGAGTTAACTGCAATCTGCATAAAATATTGATAAATTACTTGATATATGTTTTTAAATGACAGTGATAAGGCATGCCACAACTCCACATGCAAATGAATCCCTTTGGGAGGCCCGTCACAACCTGGCTAGCCTTTTTGTTCAGCCTTATCTCTATCAGACTAGACTTCCCATAGATAGCCCCAAGCATACCGGGACTAAAATAATACCTTTGTTTTTGCTTGCCTTTACCCGAAAAATTCTCCCCCACTTTCCCTTTCCAGTGAACCTCTTCTACTCTTCCCTCATGATCCAGCTCAAATTCTGCCTTCTCTTTCAAGGGTTCCCTACCTGCTAGTAATACTTTTTATATGTCTCTATTATAATATTTATCCCTATTACCCTGTAATTAACCCACCTAAGGTTGACCTCTCCTCATAAACTATAGAACTCTCAAATGCAGGGAACATGTAGGCATTTTTGTATGCCTTATAATTAGATTAATTCTGCCTCACAATAGACCTTCAATAAATGTAGTTGGTTTATTTGATGAAATAGCTAATATTTATTGAACACATTTATTTAGTATGCTGAGAGATTTTTCCCTATCGTTTTATTTGGACCTTGCAAAAAACCCTGTGAGATGAAAAGTATGCCTGTTTTACAGACAAGTAAACTGGGGTTTGTAGGAGCTAAGAAACTTGGCCAAGATCTCAAAACTCTAGTGTTAGAGCCAAGATTTGTTCCAAGGTCTCCATCACTCCAAAACCCACTCATTTAATTATTATGCATATGCGCAGGCATACACGTATTATATGTGTACATATACATACAAATACTGTCTATGGAAGAGTTGAGTAATTGCAACGGAAACCATATGGCCTGCAGAGTTTAACGTATTTACTATTTAGTCCATTGCAAAAGAAACGTTTTCCAACTCCTAAAGAGGAAAGTGAATAGAATCAGAAAGACTAATTAGGATGCTGCAAAGTAAGCATGGTTTGGAGTAATTTCTAGACTGATTGACAGCAAGAAAAGAAATTAATCCAAGAGATAATAAGGGCACAAAATATAGTAACATTAAGTCAGAGAGGCAGTCATGAGGAACAAAATAAAGCATTCACAAACTGATAAATGGTAAAATTACTGGCCAATACAAAATTTAGGAGAAGAAAGCTTATTCTGGTGATAACTCTGGACATGATTGAATTTGAGGTGGTAGCAAGAAATGAAAGTAGAAATTAAAACAGAGGGCAAGCTTTAAACTCTAAGTTACAGCGTCATCAACATGGAAATGATTGATGAAAGTTATTCAAGGTAATGAGCACTCCAGGAGAAAGAATAGAGAAAGAGAAGAGCAAAAGGACAGGAGTGTGAAGACAACAAATGTCTATACTTAATGAACAAATGTGACAGTTTCAATCATTCATCAAATGTAGGTATCACTAAGTATAAAAGTTTATCCCCTGTATAATTTCCTAATAATGTAAAAACATCCTCACTTTATATGCTTTTAAAAATCTTTAGCAAATGTCTAGCGGGTGCAAAGCATTGTGCTACATGGTAGAGAGGGACAGGAAAGAACCTGGTTGCTGTGCTTAAAAGAGTTTCTAACTTATTGAGGAAGGGCAAGAAGGTGAAGAGAACCATGAAGTTGAATGGCAAGTCAGAAAATAATGAGGATGGATTATGTCTAAGAAGTAACCAACCTCAAGGTTATACACTGAAATACAAAGGTTACATACATAATGTATGAGGGATATTTTAAAATTTCATTTTATTGCTGTATTGTAGCTGTTGAGAGTGCTCCCAAGCCTGCAGGGATGGAAGTGATAGCTCTTAAACCTTACTTATCCATTGTCCACAGTGAACACTGCAAGCATTAAGTATTTCCAAATGGGTACCATGGTAACATCAATACACTTGCCTTGGCTTATGATTATCCCACTCACTCTACAACATGCCAGTTGAGTGTTTTTTTCAGTGCTGCTCTACTTGATAAAAATACCTGTCCATTGTACTACTTATAAATGGAGAAAAGTAAATTTATCAACAAATCCTGCTACACAGATTTCTTCTAATCTATCAAAAAATCAGGGCCTTAAGGCATCAAAGCTCACCCCAGCTGTGCTCTTTTTCTGCAAAGTAATGGCAGAATTGCAACACAATCAGGGAAGCATTTTTCTCTAGAACTGGATTTAATCACATCATTTTATAATGTAAATAGCAAAAGTGGCTTACCCTGACTCTGAGGCATTGGAACCCTCCTGGGGACTCTACTTTTACTGGCTGACCTCTAAGAATACCCAAGGGTAAAGAAGAAATGTGGTGAGGCAAAATCCACACTGCTTAGGAAGTGTATAAAGAAAAAAACACATGCAAAAACCTCTGTTTTTAGACAAATCCCATGATCAAGAAAAAAATCTTGATAGACCAGTTAAGAAAAATCTCTGCTTCTGAAGAGATCAACCTCTGGGGAAGCTTTCACAGATGATAAAGTTAGCAGTCACAGTGATTGAAAGGGGACATTATACTTTAAAATGTAATGCTGTTAGGACAGATGTGGTTAGGAGAAGAAAAAAAAGACTATACTGCATATATCTAGAAATACTAAAATAGAAATAAAAATGCCTACTTTGCCATATTTTCCTAGGAGTTAGTATATTTACCCATTTTCCGTTAGGCAGGAAAAGAAGATTGAGTTGAAAATATCCTCCTGTCAATAGATTAAACAGTGATCAACAGTTAGCTGATGGAATTTTATTCCATTCAATTATTTAGTGCCCACTGAAGGCCCCTTTTCCCATCCAACAGGAAATTGCCTTTCTTAGAAATGAAAAACATCCATCAATCTACACAATACAGTTTTATTATACACATAAAAATCCATATTTTAGCCCCAGCCAATGTTTCTTGGGGTCACATAACTCTGTCTAAACAATAGTGGAATTCAAGAATTAAGAAAGTCCTGGAAGAGTATCTGTGTAGTAAAAAGCTTCATTCACTTTTTTTCTTTAAATTCACAAGCTATACAACAAGTGATAGCTACCTATGCAATCTAGGTACAAGTACAGCTTGGTTTTCCAATTCCTTTAAGGAAGACTAAACAACATTCTTATTTCTCAGAGCTTCTTAGCACTGACCAGGTTTTTGTTTGGGTGGGGATTAGGTTTAGAATTAACATGAAGAAAGGTGCTTTCCCTGAGTTTAGATATTTCTGTTTCTTAAATAAGCCTAGTGCCATCAAGTAAGAGATACATAAAAAGTGGCTCGTTAGAAAATCAGACTTTGAAGAAAAGATAATCCATATTATATTTGCAACCCTGCAAGCCTAGAGAAATGAGCATTTGCAAGTGTATGAGTAGTTGAACAAGTCTTTCATTTATACACAAAGTTTATATAGCACAAAATCATATAAATTCTAGTTCACATAACTAATGTGACTTTGTCCTTAAAGCAGCCAGCTGGATTTGAGAGCAATTTGGCTGCCATAGAAGACATTCCATATCACAAGGGTTGATTTGGCGAATTTGCTGGTTTGCAGGTGTTTCCTTCTTTTTCTATATGTAATTCCCAAGAAGCCTTCTAATTGATCAAAAATGTAACTACTATCCCTGGTAGGAGAGACACATTCTTCAACCAACAATACACAAGTGACTGAGTTTCAGGGACAAACATTTTCACTATGCCTTCCAACCCTCTTTGTAATGTACCATCCTCCAAAACCCACCATCAGGAAACCTACCATCACAGTCTTGGCACTGTTAATTAAAGGTATTACAATGATTTATATCTGCAACTATTTTGAGTTAATTGTTTTTATAATTTCATGCTATTCACACTACTTTTTAAACTACAACCACCATTGGCAGTACTATGTAAATATTTAACAGTGGCTACCTACTTTGGACATTTCCATCATAATGGATTTTTTCATTGTAAATGCTGACTGTATTTATATAATCACATTTATAAGTAAATCCTGCCAAATTCACCTTTTAAGCCTCTGGTTTATGCTGGTATTACTTCATAATGTCCAATTTTAGATATTAAATATTTAATACTAATATTTCTTCTACTTGCATGAGCTGAAAATGTGTTTCCTGGCTCTTCAAATCCAATCTATTAACATTATTTTAACAAGGCAATTTATTGTCTTCAGGCCAGGCATGGTGGCTTATGCCTATAATCCTAGTGCTTTGAGAGGCTGAGGTGGGAGGATCTCTTTAGGCCAGGAGTTTGAGATCTGCCAAGCAATACAGCAGGACCCTGTCTCTACAAAAACACAAAAGAATTAGCCAAGCGTGGTAGCACATACCTACAGACCCTGCTACTTGGGAGGCTGAGGTGGGAGGATTGTTTGAGCCTAGAAGTTCGAGGTTGCAGTGAGCTATGATCATGCCACTGCACTTCAGCCTCAGTGACAAAGTAAGACCCTGTCTCAAAAAAAAAAAAAAAATTATTGTCTTCAAATTCCAACATAAAGTAAACCAACACCTTAACTTTTCCACCTTAAAAGACTAGCTTACCCTTTAATTCACCTAGAGTGCATGCATTCCAAGTTTTCCTCATTGAATAGACCTGTTGTTTGGAAAAGCCAAGCACTTCTGTGTGTTTGGTGAGGAGATGGAGGGCTTACCTGGAACTTAACCTAAAACCAGATTTAGTGAACAAAGTAAATCTTTGATTCAAAGATTAAACTATACTTTTAAAAAAATAATTATCATTACAGGCTTTAAAAGTCCTGGAGTGCAGATGCCACAAGGGTGATAACCAAGTTTCACTTTATTGCTACAGAAACAAAACATCTCAAAGAAAATGGAAGAACAACACTCAATAATCCAGCCAAGGAAACATCAAATTTAATTTGGCACATCCTAAGGGTCAAGCGTGTAGCAAGGCAACATTGATTAAACTCTCTCAGCAAAGATCAAAGAGATGTCAGCAGAGTTACTACAAGCGAAAACCATCCAATTCTAAAATGTTAACAAACAGAATTCCGCAAGATCCATATTGCAATGAATGGATCTCAGACATACTGATTGCATCACTCAGATTGTTGGATTTCTACCTTACAAGAATTTAGGGAAAACCTTTGTGATACATTCTTTTCTACATTTGGAAAAATTAATAATTAGTCAGATGTGTAAGTAAACAAAAAAGAAGACTTAATTTGTGTTTGGAGTTGGTTACCTTTACTGAGCCAAAAGAAGACAGTCAGGAGGGCAACCATCTGAATAAATATTCTATGTTATTTAACAGGCTATGATAAGACACTCTAAGAAACATCTTATTTACCAACCTGCCTCAATGCCTGAATTTCTATCAATATTAAATCATTTCTTGTCATCATTCTCTCCATATGTCTTCTCAAAAATGCAAATATTCCTAGGGAGAAGAGTGTACTCAGGGTTGCAACTCCCATATTTGATGCCTTTTTGTGAATTAGAAAAAGGTGTTCTGGTGGATAAACACTGCTCCACTGGATCAAGGCTGAGGCTCTGGGTTCAATTTCAGCCCTCAACAGTACCCATAGGCTGCAGCGTTTGTGCACAACAATACAAGATTGCCTGCTTATGCTCAATAAACCCAGGTTTATTTCCTTGGCAATCTCCATGTTGTTGATGCTACTGAAAAGTAATATCCTCCCTACCCTAGGCAAAACCTTCTTGAGAGACCCCAAAATGAAATTTTACCACTATTCTATCAGCAGTCCTGAAAACTCAGGTTTTAGGCTGAACCTTCATGGTTCCTCAAGGACACTTGCTCCAACCAAGCCTCTTAATCCCTGATACCTGTGATGGCTGCCCCCAAAAGGAAACCCTTTGAGTCACCTAAGCTTCTGTAGTTTCAACCACCTCCCCGCTACCACCTCCCTACCCCCAACCAACTCTTTCTTCGACTGAAAATCTTCTTCCAAAACTTTTATTTCTGGAGCTTTGATTAAATGGTGTGCTGGAGCTAGCTCCTATGGCCTTGCTAGAGCCAGTTGTGCACACCTTCTCCCAATTCCACATTCAGTAATGTTATGTTGGTGGCTTGAAATCAGCCATAATGGGAGTATTTATATCACAGAAATCAACAGACACTCCAAATTGGGGCATTTTGAAAATTAAGATCCCTTTTTTTAAACATTTACCAGCACACCATTGCTCTGATTCAAAAACTTTAAAATTTTTTCTCACCCTCTTACAAAATTAGTTTCTAATTTTCATTACTATTTTTTCATCAGCTAAAATCTGGTTCTCCCAAGATATCATCATTTATCTTGAAGCATTCTTAAGTGGAAGTAGGTCATTTTGCCATATTCCTGTAACATATTTCTTTCAGGTAGCCCTTTAAGGCACTATATTGAAGGAATATTTTTCCTTTATACCATTATAACATTCAATGTATAATTCTATCATGAATTCCCTCATCACAATATGTTATGCATCTGCCTCCCTATTTTCCTGAAAGCTATTTGAGGACAAGAGTCATATTAGACTAATATTTGTACAACCAGTAGATTATCCTCACTTCCGATTGCTGTTCAAAACCATTGCTCTGATCATCCTCCTGTAAGAATGTTTCTGCTTTCAAGATTATGTCATCAGGCTTCACTTCCTCTGCATCTCCTCCTTGCATTCATGTCTAGGCCTTGAGTAGCTCCCTCATATTCAATGAGAGCTGATATCCTTCTTTCAGCTCTGAGCCCTGATCTCATCTTCGGTAACTTCAACATCCTTGAGGATGTATCATGCAGTTTGTATCCACAAAGATCCACATTTTTTCAACCCCATTCTACTTTAGCTACTATCACCTGAGACCATATCCTGAACCTTCATTTCTCCAGGAAATTTTCTACTTGAAATACACCAAACTCCAAGTTCCCACTGGCTGAAACAACATCTATTCTTCCACTATACTTCCTGTTTAACTTTACCAACAATATATCTTTCATTCTTCCTTTTTTTCCCCAGGTCACCAGGTCATCACATTCTTTCAGGTCCACATATTCCCTATCAAACTTAAACTCCATGAAGAATAATTTGAATCACTTTCTTGGAAGCACTTCCAACTTAATCTGCTATCCATCCATGGCATTGACTCTGACATCGCTCAGCATCTAATAGGTACTGGCAGCCACCTTCTCTCCTCTTATATCCTGCCTGCTGAGAGAAAGAGAAAAAGGACAACTGCACAGATAGGTTTCATGACAGAGTCATGGTCTCCAGCTGCAGGTGGTCTCCAACTGGCTCTCAGCAAACTTCTTATAAATCTCTAATTTGTTCTTGCTTTCATTTTTTAAAATTATTGTGTTCAAATATACATGTACTATTTATCATTTTAACCATTTGTAAGTGTCCTGCTTTCATTTTTACAGAAGCTTTTCTGAACATTTACTGCTCTCCTTGAAACCTCTACACCATTCTTATTCCCTTTCAGGAGATAAACTTTTCTCCTGATTCACAATTAAAAGTAAGGTTCTCATGAAAGCCCACTGCTAACATTTGCAGAGCCCAGAGCAAGAATACAAATGGAGGCCTTTACCTGGCACCTATCCCACACATTTTTCTTCTGCCCAGATCCTCCTCTTCCCTCTAGCAGTATGAAGAGCCTCCCTAACAAACCTATGGACACCCCAACTTGTATTTCTAAGCTCCATCTACATTCCCCAAGCAGATACCTCTTGGCCGTCTCTCACATCTAAGGATACAAACAACAGTGTCATAGCCTTCCCCCAGTAAGACAGATCTTGGGAAGAAAACTGTGCAGGTCCTGAAAGTGGGCTGAGGTTATCTGAGAGGAAAATTCTTAAGTCACAAGTACCTGGAGCATGGTTTAGAAAAAGAAGTTCAAACTCTAGGTGGGCATATCCTATTAGCTCTATGGACTTCTCACCTCACGAAGAGGGCATAGTCATAGGAGGATCAGAAAGGGGCATTAAACGCAAAGGACCCATGGCATGGATTCCAACTGCCTACGTTCTCCTTACTTTGTTATGCTGGACCATATACATCCTATACTTCAGCCGTACCACCAAAAATAATTATTTCCAAAATAGGCAATTCTGCAAGTCATACAACTCTGTGCCTTTGACCACTCCTCTCTACCTATCTGGAAGTTCTTTTTCCTACTCCCTAGTCTGTTAAGCTAACTCCTCTCAGACTCAGTTTACCCATCAGCTCCTTTGGAAAGACTGAATTAACCATAACTTCCTTGTGCTCCTATGGCACCTTATTCATTTCTCTATTACTGTACATATCACATTGCTCTGACATGTTTACATGTTTGTCTCTACAACTACGTTGTAAGCTCCTGGAGGGAATGCACTATGTTCTATTCATTCTTTCATTCATTGATTCACTCACTGATTCTAGAACCTTTTCCTTTTTTTATTTTTTTCTTTGTCTTTTTTTTACTATACTTTAAGTTCTGGGATACATGGGCAGAACATGCAGGTTTGTTACATAGGTATACATGCGCCATGGTGGTTTGCTGCACCCATCAACCCATCATCTACATTAGGTATTTCTCCTAATGCTATCCCTCCCCTAACCCCAAACCCCCTGACAGGCCCCAGTGTGTGATGTTCCCCTCCCTGTGTCCATGTGTTCTCATTGTTCAACTCCACTTATAAGTGAGAACACGTGGTGTTTGCTTTTTTTGTTCTTGTGTTAGTTTGCTGAGAATGATGGTTTCCAGCTTCATCCATGTCCCCGCAAAAGACATGAACTCATCCTTTTTTATGGCTGCATAGTATTCCATGGTGTATATGTACCACATTTTCTTTATCCAGCCTATCATTGATGCATTTGGGTTGGTTCCAAGTCTTTGCTATTGTGAACAGTGCTGCAATAAACATGCATGTGCATGTGTCTTTATAACAGAATGATTTATAATCCTCTGGGTATATACCCAGTAATGGGATTGCTGGGTCAAATGGTATTTCTGGTTCTAGATCCTTGAGGAATTGCCACACTGTCTTCCACAATGGTTGAACTAATTTACACTCTCACCAACAGTATAAAAGCGTTCCTATGTCTCCACATCCTGCTAGTATTGGCAAATAATATTCCTACGGATAAGATGCAAGAAAACAGTAAAATGGCTTTGTTTTCCTAGATATCCTATAGAATCCACTCATCTCTCTAATTTCTCCAATGTTTCCACTCACCACTCACTAGATTAACAAATCTGGAGGGCTCCCATAGGTTAAATAGTCTATCAGGCATTGTGTGTGTCTATGGGAACGGATATATAATAGGAAAGGTAGTGTTCTTGCTCTTATATGACTTTGCATTTTAATTTGGGATACAGCTTATATCCTCCAAATAACAGTACAATAACAAAGAGTGCTAGCAAAGTCATACTAAATCATCTCTCTCTAGTTCAAAGTTCCACAGATCTCTAGAGCAGGGGCAAAATGCCACCAGTCTCTTTGCATAGCAAGAGTGACCTTTATTCCAGTTCCCAACAAGTTCCTCATCTCCATCCAAGACCACCTCCGTCTGGACTTCATTGTCCATATCACTATCAGCATTTTGGTCAAAGCCATTCAACAAGTCTCTAGGAAGTTCCAAACTGTCCCATATCTTTCTGTCTTCTTCTGAGCCCTCCAAACCCTTCCAACCTCTGCCTGTTGCCCAGTTCCAAAGTCACTTCCACATTTTGGGGTATCTTTACAGCAGTGCCCCACTAACTGGTACCAATTTATTGTATTAGTCCATTCTCACACGACTAATAAAGACATATCCTAGACTGCGTAATTTATCAAGGAAAGACGTTTAATTGACTCACAGTTCTGCAGGGCTGGGGAGGCCTGAGGAAACTTACAATCATGGAGGAAGGGGAAGCAAACACATCCTTCTTCACGTAATGGCAGCAAGGAGAAGTGCAGAGCAAAGTGGGGGAAAAGCCCCTTATAAAACCGTCAGATCTCATGAGAACTCATTATCACAAGAACAGCATGGAGGTAACTGCCCCCATGATTCAATTACCTCTCACCAGATCCCTCCCCTGACATGTGGGGATTATAGGAAGTACAATTCAAGATGAGGTTTGGGTGGGGACACAGCCAAACCATATCAGCTGCAGTTTGGGTTCAAGTCTGTTTTGCATGAGCATAGCCCTTGGGACAGAGAGCTATCTAGACCAAAGAGTATATTTCATGGCAGAGGAACAGACACAAGAGAATAAGCCCAACTACACTAGCATATTTCAGGCCTCTGCTCACATCACATTCACTAGCATGCCACTGGCCAAAGCAAGTAATATGGCCAAGACCGGCATCTATAGGATAGCATAGTAGACAATCTTCCCATGGAGATGAACAGGAAAAGGATGATTATTCCCTGAACAATAATCGAATCTACCATACAAAGACAATAGTAGTCTCATGTCAAATTTTTCCAAGGAATAGAAACATCAAGAACTCCCCCTAAGAAGATATCACAGTCATACTACATTCAACAGTTAGGCGTTCAATGTGGATTTTTTTTTTCTAGTTTGGGCCATGAATATTTTGTAAACAATATCTCATGCATCTTCACATTTCTGTGTTTTATAAACAGTTCAACAAATTAGATGTCAAAGAATCCTAAGGGCGGAAGTTTCCTGATAAGAGGAATCTCAAAGAAATTACAGTATATTTAGAAACCAGAATGACATTTCCATCCTTTATTTGTTTACCACTTGAACTTTAACAACTATATGGCAATGCAGGAAAAGATTTCTTAGTCATTCTCTGGGTGATTTTTCAGTCTCCTGAAAAATTATAGACCCAACAATGTTTCAAGGACTTCATAATTCACCAAAATTATCTAAACTTCTAGAAAAGCTATTTTTTCTGAAATGCCCAGGACTTATAGTCTATGAAGCTAAAGCTGACCTGCTTTCGGCTTGAGGTCTTTCTCGATCTGTGGAATTTATGAATAAATCCATTTTTGCTATGGTATCTGTTTATGGTTAAGAGATAAAAAGTGATTCACATTTTTGAGATACCAGCAATAACAGCAATACTAGCAGTAACAGCTATTCCAATTACAATCCTGACCAGTGGCTATAAAAGTACCACTTTATACCTAAGCCTCATGAAAGTGCCCCAGCATGGTGGCATGATTCAATGAGTTGTTTTTCTCTTTACTGATGTGTGTCCTTATATTTTAGGGCATTATTTATGGTTTTCTTCCCCTGATGCTCTTTAGATTTCTGGTCAGTGATATTTTATCACAGATAGAAAAAAAAGACTTAATTAGGTTTTTAAAAGGTTTGGCTTTAGCTCTAACCATAGTGATTTTATCACAGCATGGGCAGAGAGAGGAGAGAAGCCAACACAAAGTAGTGAAAAGGAAGTCTCAGCAGGCAAGATGGCAAAGTTTTTAGTGAGAAAATTACGTTGGACAGGATACACACACAGTACAATCTAGCAAGCAATCGATAATGTAAAATTTGGTATTTAGATGGCATCCCTTTATTCTAAGAATTCAAGTTTCTTTCCAGACACAAAGTACTCTTAACAACATTCATGTGGGTCAAGAAGCAAGTATTGCTGGGTCAGACTTGCAAAGGAGAAAACAAGAGAGCTGTCTGGGTCAAATAGAAACACTGTCAACCAGGATCTTAAAAACTAAATCTAGCCATCCACGCAAGCTAAATGACATTAATATGATAAAAACAGGTGGTCCTAGGATGTTAAAGTATGGCAAACAGAGAGGACTGAGGGCACATTAAGTGGCAATGGACTTGAACCCCAGCAGCTATGGTTTTGACTCAGGTAGAAATCACATATAATATTTTTCCCAAAGTGTTGGTTTGATATTTGTGGATATTAAAAGCCAAGACAAAAGAGGACTTTGTTTTTGGTAGTATTTCTAATAGAAATCTCCCGGCACACACACACATATATACATACACATGCCCAAAATCACCTAAGTGTGTCACCTTTAGAATAAAACAAATAATTAAATGTGCAAGATTATAACAGTTAGAAAATAATTAATCAAACATCAACACAAAATGCAAAAATTAATCAAATATATAACCAAGGATTCTCACAAAAGTAATTAAATAGCTTTATTGACTGTTATAAAAAGAATAGTTTTATTTCTTGCAGTATTTAGAGTTCTTAAACTTTATGATGAATAATAAGCTCTTAGATAAATGATAAACAGATTTCTTATTTTTTAAAATGCTATTTCCTATTCTACCTTATTATTGTAACATTAAAAAATATTATAACATCTAAATGAGTAAATGCCCACTCACTCTTCTCCTTTTCCAAAATCAATAAAACCTAATTTCATCATTAATTATGGTGAATATGTAAACTCTTTTAGAAATAATTATTTTGTCCTATATTTAAAAAATGGCTCCTTACCTTTGGAAAATAACATATAACTCTCACCGCTTTTGCTAATGATATAGTATTGATCAGCTTATTCCATATAAGGATGTGAGGGTTTTTTTCACTTTTATTGAGGTATGATGAACAAACAAAAGTTGCCTATATTTACGGCATACAATGTGATGTTTTAATATATGTATACATTGTGAAATGATTACCACAATCAAGTTAATTGGCATATCCATCACCTCACACAGTTACCATTTTTGTTTGTGTGTAGTGAGGACACTTAAGATCTATTCTCTTAGCATATTTCAAGTATACATTACATTAACTATAGTCACCATAGTGTTCATTAGGTCTCCAGTACTTATTCATCTTACAGCTGAAGGTTTGTATCATTTGACCAATAGCTCCCCTTTTCCCCCACCCCACAGCCTCTGAGAACCATGATACTACTCTGCTGAATATGAGTTTGACTTTTTTTTTAGATACCACATATAAGTGAGATCATGCAGTATTTGTCTTTCTGTGTCTGGCTTATTTCACTTAACATAATGTCCTCAAGGTTCATGTGTGCTGTTGCAAATGGTAGGATTTCCTTCTATTTTAAAGCTGAATAGTATTCCATTGTATGTACATATATATCACATTTTCTTTATCCAATATCTGTCAGTGGACACTTAGGTAGATTCCACATCTTGGCTACTGTGAATAGTGCTGCAATAAATATGAGAATGCAGATATCTATTCGACATACTGACTACATTTGTTTTGGATATGTACCCAGAAGTGGGATTGCTAGATCATATGGTAGTTCTATTTTTAGTTTTTTGAGGAACCTCCATAGTTTCCCATAATGGTTGCACAATGGTTGTACTTTCCCACCAACAAGGGTTCGTTTCTCTCTACATCCTTGCTAACACTTGTTGTCTCTTGACTTTTTGATAAAAGCTCCCCTAACAGGTATGAGGTGATATCTCATTGTGATTTTAATTGGCATTTCCCTGATGATTAGTGATATTAAGCATCTTTTAATATACCTGTTGGCCATTTGTACGTCGTCTTTGGGAAAATATCTGTTCAGGTCCTTTGTCCATTTTTAGATGGAGTTTGGTTTTTTTGCTATTAAGTGGAATTTCTCATAAATTTTGGATACTATACATCCAATAAGAATGTGTTCTGAAGACCATTATCTCATGTATTCACTAAATTTCTTCAGAAATTTTCTCTCCCGAAGAGCTAATACTATTTACAGAAACTTTCCACTTATAGTATTAACATTATGTAATTAAATACTGAGAGCTCAAATGAGAAAAACAGCAATATAAAAATTGTCAATGCATTTCTGTTTTAGGGTTCTAGAGTAAAATCTCTGTAATCTTTGCAACCTAATGACTTACCCTCTCACTATCTATAGAAAACTGTGGATAAAATCAGTACTGAGAAAAGATTAGGAATGCCAATAGAAATATGAAAAAAAGGCTGTTTTTTTATTTTGATTTGTTTTACCTGGAGACAGGGAAAGGTGTTCTAGATGTTGTTGTAATTAAGTGTGGTAGAACACACACATTCTCACACACACACACACACACACACACGCACGCACAGTTTTGAAAATGAACTTACAATACTTGTGTTGTATCCACTGAAGTGGATTAACAAAATAAAGATAGATGTCAATGAATTAATCTAACACCCAACTCTAACACTTTACAGCTATGTTTCCATTACACACTTCTTTACCATACTAATTCAGCAAACTTGACATTGATCACAAACATATATGCATATATTCAACACTATCTGCTGCATAAGTACAATTCAGGGGAAAGGAGTTAGCCACAATGGGATGTCAGTAATGAAAGCTCATTTAGGATAACACTCCTCTACCAGAGAAGGGTAAAGAGTTGGGTGGCCCAGTTTCTGACCCAGTAATATTTGCCAAAATCCAAATGATACTTCAAAATATTTTTCCAAAACCAGAGTGGCACAATGCATAGAGCCTCAGGTGGAGTAACTTGGTTATGATTTACATATCTTTAAAATAAGTTTTCAACTTGAACTAAAAATCAATTAGGTTGTATAAACAGACTTTTCTTTTGCCCTTTTTCTGTCAGTAAAATTGTAAACCAACAGGGAAAAAGGAGACTTTCAATGTGCCCAGTAGGGAAAGAAGAATGTAACATTCGAAATACACATAGCTAAAAGTATATAGGAAAATCAAATGCCATGCTTTGAAACATACATCAGAAGTACTAAACTTTCCAGAAAACTCTTGCCCATCCTTACTAACCAAATTCTTCACTCCCAAACCCTAGATTCAGCCGAGAAGCTTGAGATTGCTCGTGATCAGGATGTACAAAGAAGGTTATAAATACGTCAAAATTACACAACAATCATGCATTTTAGGCTGCCCATCTCTGGGAGAAGGAAATAAAACATTGGATCATGATGATTCAGAATCATTTAATGCGCTGTTTTGACAGATTTCAAATTCTTAAAAGTAAAAGAAAACCTCTTAATAAAACAGAAATGAAGACAAAAATACAACTAAGCAACAAACAGTATAATGGAAGATATTTGAAGGTATTTTGACATTTCCCCCCAAACAATAGTCTTTTGGTAAATTTGTAAACTAGAGGAAATATATTCATGAAGTGAGGAGAGAAAACACAAAAATGTTTTCAAAAGTAAATAAATTGTTTCAAAATCATACCAAGCAGCATATTTCCAACATTAGCATTAAGATACAAATGTAACTAAAAACAAAAAACAAAAATGAAAGGAAGCAAAAAAATTAACATAAAGCATTTTGCCCATATTTTAATAGCTATAAATGTTCAATAAACTCAAAAGGGGCCATACAAAGAAGCAAAATAGCCATAATGATATTTCACTCCCTTTTTAGTCTTTAATTTACTGGCAAAGTAACAGATATTGAGTAGTTAATGAAATTAACCAACATCCCAGAAAAAGAAACTCAAAGAATAATTATACATATAGCTATGCAATCCCACTTCCCAAATGCTCCAGGACATTCTAAAATTAAAATTCTCTATCATCAAACAGGCCAAAAGAGATAAGCGGTTCCAATTTTTACTTGGAATATACAGCATGCTGTGAGATTTAAAGAGATAGTGTTTGACAGTGTTTTAATTTTATGAGATGCTATACTAATGAAAATATAAAGTAAAAAATATATGTAAATGTATAATTCATGGTCTTACAGTTCTTTATTCTTAAATCAATTAAAATATTATATGTGTGTGTGTTTTGTTTGCGTTTTTGTTTTGCTATGTAGCATTAACCAGTTTTATAAAAGTTGTTCACCAAAAGAAATGCAATCATGTTAATAAAAATCTAGTTTGGATGTTTCCATTTTATCTCATTAAGCTAGTTTCAAGAGCTAAAGAAAGTGTCCCTATTTCTGTTTACTTTCTAATAATAATAAAGCTTATAAGCATTTTGATAAATTTTGATTAAAATATGTCTTGGTTTCAAGAAAAGTTAGAGTCACCATCTACATTCAGAATTCACAAAGGTTACGCAAAAGACTAAAGGAAAAATTTGCAGTAGTTTTGTACAAGAAACTGGAAACAGAAGAAACTAAACCACAACATACCATTCCCTCTTTAAAGGATTTTGCAAACGTGTAAAGTAGGTTTATTTATAAATGCTTGTAAAGTAGGTTTCGGAGCCAGAATGAGAAACAAGGACAATCAAGGGTTTGCAAATAATTCAGAAAAGCATGTAAGAAAGAAACTACAAGCATCTGTTCACCTTGCAGATCACTGTAGAAAGTAGGGATTTCAATGGGCTTGTAATTCTTGACAAGCATCAGTATAAATGTATACAAGAGGCAAGGCGATTTCATAGTTGTTATGTTCGGTTTTGTTTGTTTTGTTTTGTGTTTGGGGCAAGTATCATGTGTGGCATACTTTAATGCCAGATAAAGGTTTGTGCTATTAAAAGGTAATGAGTTTAAGTGCTCTTTAATACAGATGGAAATAACAGAACATAGAAACAAGGAGAGATGTACAGTGCTATTCACTTGCAAAATTCTTCGTGAACCTCCCTGCTTCTTCAGCAGAGGGCACTCTGCAATGAAAAGTGCTTGGAAGCCGAGGATGCTATCTTTGCAATGTAATATCCAAGAATACAGTCACAATGTAACATCGAGAATACAGCAAAAGAACTGCCTTCCCACTTTAACTTGTCTATCTATGGGAAACTCGAACGGTCATGCTATGGTGCTTAGATAGGGGTGAATACACACCTATTCATGATTAGTTTGTAGCTCACTCTCCACCTCAGTGTTATCCAAACTACCCAAGCTGCCTTCTTCCTTCTTGGTCTATCATGAGGATCTATATGTAGCAAAGCGATCAATCCTATGAATGCTGAGAAATCACTACAAATTGCTGAAAATATCAATGTTCTGGCATGAAAACCCCTTATTTAAAAATTGACAGTTTCAAATGGAAAACACTATAGAATTAAACCTTCCTTTCTGCTCCAAAACAATACTGAAGGTAGAATACCCCTTCCTTCTACTTTCCCAGCCCCATTGCATGATTATAGTTATCATGGTCCAGGAGCCTCAGTTGTCTAAACAGTTGGGACCATAGAGAATGCTGTAGAAATGAAAGCATATTTAACAGAATAGACTTTAACCAGGGCTCAGGTTCTGCCACTTATTTAGCTTGCAATTCCTTGGTTCCTTATTGCCAAATTAGTACATAGCAGATATGAGAAACTAAATGAGATGATGTATGTCAAGCGTTCAGTGTTTGGTGTAGCAAGCACTCTGGACATTTCAGCTCTTGTCATCATTAATAAAAATGGTATTTCTCTGTCAATGACATATGCTTCTCATCATTTCATTACTTTCCACTCTTAGAATATATTCACTTTGTCAATTGTACTTCAATAAAGCTGAAAAATGAATATATTCACTTGTTTTGATTTTTTAGAATCATAAAAGTAATATAGTTATATCAACAATTTAACAGTAAGGGGTCTAAATAAGGATTAAAAGTCCCACCCCCTCCTCCCCTCTATTCCTACTTTATTGAGATAATATTGCTAAAATATGGCACTGAAAATTTAGAGCTTATCCTCCCATAAATATACGTGTGTATATTAATATACATATATACACATATGTGTATGTGTATCATATATGTATGTGTACATATGTAACAATAATATATATCTTTTCTTTAACTTGTTCTTTTCCCTTAAAAACTTATTTCAGACATCTTTCATGTCAGTACATATAGCACCATCTTGTTATTTTTAACAGGTGTATGGTATTCCATCCCCTGGCTGGACCATGATTTGTTTAACCAGTCCTCCATTGAGAAATATTCAGGTTATTTCTATGTTTGTATTGTAAATAATTTTGCAAAGAGCATTCTTTCACATAAAGCTTTGCATATATGTGTATATATATCCATAGAACTAATTCTTAGCAATGAAATTGCTAGGTCAAAAGTCATGTCATTTTTAAAGATTTTTGACATATAAGTTTTGCCAAATTGGCCTACAAACAGGATTTATCAGCTTACATACCTACTGACCACTTATAAGAATAATTACATATTCACTTTGCTAGCACTCTTTGTTATTGTACTGTTATTTGGAGGATATAAGCTGTATCCCAAATTAAAATGCAAAGTCATATAAGAGCAAGAACACTACCTTTCCTATTATATATCCGTTCCCATAGACACACACAATGCCTGATAGACTATTTAACGTATAAGAGCCCTCCAGATTTGTTAATCTAGTGAGTGGTGAGTGGAAACATTGGAGAAATTAGAGAGGTGAGTGGATTCTATAGGATATCTAGGAAAACAAAGCCGTTTTACTGTTTTCTTGCATCTTATCCATAGGAATATTATTTGCCAACAGCTTCAAAAAATTGTTCTCACAAAGGATATGGTGCATAAATAAACCTCTTTTCAAACTCAAGGTTTATCATGCATTCTTTATGTCATTGTAGTGAACTAAGTCTTCAGGTGGTAGCACCTCAGTGGCTTCAGAAATCTTACCAAGACTAAATTACTCCCCAAAATTTTGGAATGGGGAAAATACTATCAATTAATGCAATTAGGATCAATCTGAAAGCTAGCATGAGGTAGCATTTGAATAGTTGAAACCCCAGTAATTCAGATTTGGCAAAAAGTTAAATGGAGCACCAAAAATAGGCCACAGAATTGTCTGCGGGTATTATAGAACATTTCAGCAATATTGGGTATAGAACAGTACTGTTCTACCAATTACATGAGGTGGCAGCTAATGGTTTAGGGAGCTATGGTATTTGGTGACAAGCTGCAGCACTTAAAATGCCAGCTATTAATTTTGTTGTCTATTATTTATTTTAAATATTAGTCGGAGAATGTCAACTGGACTTCAGGCTATTAGAAATCCCCTAGATAGTATAATTTCTATGAAGGGAAATGTACCTATCAGTTTATCATTTAACAAAATTTGTCACTTCTGAATGGTGGTAAGGGGTGAGATGTTTTGACTCTTCTAAGAGCACTTATTTGCCTTCTCTCATTTGCTTCAGGTTGAAAATTCTGCAAGGCATTCTTCTTTGAGGCATTTTCATGTAGAACCAATGGCACTCAATACACATTACTATCAAGGAATTGAAATTAACATTTTTGAGCTCCTCATATGTCCCTAACACCACCACAGGCTCCCCACGCATATTGTTCATTGTTCATTTAACCCTTACCACAGCCTCACCAAATAGGTACTATCATTGTATACGTTTTATGTATGTGGAAGTGGACACAAAGAATGCATGTAACTTGCTCAGGGATTCAAAGCTAGTTATCTCCCTCCAAAGCTTATGTTCTTTCTACTATACTGCTGGTTTTTGTGCAACTATCAAAACTTCAAGAAAATGTTTTCAGATAAGAGCCTAAGCAAAAAAGAGACAGCATTTTAATCTCTGGGAATTTTTAGCAATGAAACGAGCCAGTTCTCCCAATCAAGAAGGAATGATAAGGAATGATGAATGCAATTGTCCAATTTACAAACAGGCACAAGAACACTGAACATCATTAGTTGATTCTGGATTGCTTATACTGACAGAACAGAGCAGACATGTAGACAATCTGGGAATACAGACCTTTTAAAAATGATATTTTACCTTGGACTGCATTCTTTTCTCACTTGAATTATTGTAGTAAGGTCCAATTCCTTAGATATTAGCCTCTGAAACATTATGTTAAAGGGAAATTTATCCCATGCTGGACAGACCAGATTCCCATTAGGACATCACTTACTGTACTTGCCGTTCTAGCCTCTGCTTGATTTCTTCTAAAATCAGATCATATGCTCAGGCTGATGTCAAGGACAAGTGAGAACAAAATCCCTACATCTCAAAACTCACCTTATTTTAGAAACATAAAGGAAAGTCGAGATAGAACATAAGCAAAGTAATTACTGGAAAAAGGAGGGGAAAAAAGGAGGGGAAAAACACAAATCAATAGGAGAAAATAGAGGGACTATTTTGCAGCTTGGATGAGATAATAAACAGGAACATACTTATTAGGTAATAAAATTTAATATACTTTGTTATTCAGTATGTGGGTTTAAAAAAAAGGTAAAAGTAGAGACAAAGAATTCCACAGGCAAAATTTTACACAAAACTGCAAGGCAGATAATTGGAAGTTTGATTGCACAACTTCAAAAATTGGTAGCAGATCAAAGACTTCATAGTCTGGTATACTATACCCAGTTCTCTGACCCACACTTCTTAGGAACACAAACTCCATTTATGTTCCTCAGGGACTGAAATGATTTTATCCAAAGATAAAATGATAATCCTATATATAAGTTGTATATTGTTTCTAAATTGCCACATTAGCCTTTTAAACATTACTTAAAAAAAAAAAAAAACTACATATAATAGCCGGGCATGGTGGCTCACACCTGTAATCCCAGCACTTTGGGAGGCCGAGGTGGGCGGATCACAAGGTCAGGAGTTCAAGACCAGCCTGACCAACATGGTGAAACCCCGTCTCTACTAAAAATACAAAAATTAGCTGGGCGTGGTGACGCACGCACCACCACTGGAAGAGGCTGGGGCAGGAGAATCATCACTTGAACCCAGGAGGCGGAGGTTGCAGTGAGCTGAGATCATGCCACCATACTCCAGCCTGGGTGACAGAGCAAGACTCTGTCACAAAAAAAAAAAAAACAACTATATATAATAATAAAGAACTCAACAAAAGAGAATTTTAAGTATAGACGTTAACTTCAGTACCAATATGAGTAAAGTTAGCAATATTTTCTTCACTCCTAATTTATTCCTTTACAAATAGAATGTTCTTATTAACTCAGGCACTATTTATTACACAATGATAAAAAACAAAGAATTTTATGTCAGCAAACGGTTTAGAAAGATACTTATTGAGTACTCACCATGAACATGGCATTTCACTAAGTACTTTATATCCATTGTTTTCTTCAATACTTACAACTCTATAAGGAAAGTATTAATATCCACCATTTGGGGAATAAGGAAGATGAGTCTGGAAAAAGTTAAGTACCATGTTCCAGTGATATATCCAGCAAATGGCCACCTGGGTTACTTCTACTACACCACATGGCCTCTTCTTCATAAGTTCGGAAATGAGAGGCACCAGCTGGGAGTAAGAAACATAGGTTTCAGCCCCTAGTCTACCATGTCATAGTTGCATTCTCTTTAGGAAAATAATTAACCCGTTTCTCCATTTCCTCTTCTCTAAAATGGGAAGAACAGTAGATGTAACTCTTAGAGTAGGTGAAAAAATTAAAGGAATACGTGCTTAACATATGCCAGCTGATATTATTAATTTCCAAAAAGAATTCTATGCCACCTATGTACAGTACATATTCAAAAATAAAGTGAATAAATTTGGGCAGGGGGCATAGTGACACAGAATAAAGAAATAGCAATGAAAAAGGTCAAAAGTCAAGTAAGACTATCAGCTGTCTAGAGTCCAAGGCAACATTTATATCGCTCTCTTTCTCAAAGAACAGAACCTACATCAGTTGCTTCACAGAAAAGCTCAGCAGAGGATTGAAATAATGTGGCTCAGGTGTTCTGACTCTCTATGGTTTAACCCAGTGGTTCTCAAAGTGGGGTCCCCAGCATCAGCATTACATGAGAATTTGTTAAAAATGTAAATTCTCAAGTGTCACCCTAGGCCTACTGAGTCAGAAACTGGGGGTGGAGCCCTGAAATCAGTGTTTTAAGCCCTTCAGGTGATTTGGATGCTCACTCAAGTGTGAGAGCCACTCTTCTAACTTGACTCAAGTACAGGTAGGACCTGGAATATGTCAGATAAGTGGGAGACTGAGTTTTCAGAGCCTACAATTCTGGCCATCTCCTACGGACAAAAAGAAAACTGCCCTAAAGGAGAATTCTATGTGGGGAAATATGGCCACACAATTTGCCTTCAAAGATGTTAGCTACAAAACACACCTCTAAGTTTACCAGTCAAATGAGCCTGCTAAATGCAATCACTGTCACAGGCTAGAGACATAATGACTAAATATAATGTGGTATCCTGGATAGAAACCTGGAACAGATAAAGGACATTCGATTTAAAACAAAAACAAAAATGTAACTAAATCTGAATAAAGTATGGGCTTCAGATAATATTAATATATGAACACTGGTTCATTAGTTGTGAAAAATGTGCCATACTAATACGCACATACTAAGATATTAACAATAGGAGAAAGTAGATGTGGGATATCTCCATGCCATGGTTTCAACTTCCCTATAAATCTAAAACTATTCTAAAATTTTCAATTTAGTTTTAAAATTCAGTTTTTCTTCCTGATAGTAAGTAGCTATCTAAATTGATTGCATGCCCAGTGTTCTCCTTAATAAGGAAAATAGACCCACGGGAAAGTATATGTTTCAGAAAAGAAATTGGTTGTTCTTTCCACAAAGTCTGAAGTATTCTCAACACCTTCTATACTTTCTAATACCTTCTAAATGTTACATGAAGTGGCTGTAACGTTTTCATATATTCTTGTCCCTTTCTTCTCTCTAGCTGAACATGAATCTTCACTTTTCCCTATTTGAAATGACTTATTGCCTGTTTTTCCATATCTGCTTAAGCGAGCAACATTGTAAGTTTCAATTAATTGTATCTTCAACCTGAACATTCAATTTCCAATCCTGGACCTTTTGCTTAATAAACCTAAATGATTATATTAAACATGAAGCACTCAGCTTCCTTTTAATTATCTTGAGAATTCTAGAAGAGAATTTGGACCACTTTGTTCCAGACGACCTTAGACTAAAGCAGAAAGTCATCCTTCAGCTGTTTGTAGAACCATACTTTGTAGAAGCAGCTATAAAAGGAAACTAAACAATCAAGAACTTCAGTCGTTTTGCAAAGAAAAATGTGGGTGGGAAATTCTATACAGTTTATTAAATAAGAAACAAAAATAAAAGCCATTTATGGAATACTTGGCTCCAAATTAATAAAAGTCCATGGAAGCAGCACATTGTAAAATTATGATAAGAGGCAGATTTAACGAAGGGAAATACCACTCTAACTATAAATCAGGGAGATTTTTATCATAGAACAACTAGTAAAAACAGAACCAGCTCTAGGTATTTATCCAAGCACTACAGACAAAACATGGTAAGTCAAAATAAACCAATTGTTCCCTCTCATCCAGGAAAAGACATTACTAAGATCCAGAAGTTTGTCTTTATGAAGAGTGGCATAACTTCAGAGTTCCAGTAAGTTCTCTGCATATCCAACTATGCAATTTTTGAAAGTTACTCTCCAATGGAAAGATTATCAGACTGATTTAGGAGATCTAGCTCTACTACTAATTAACTGATGAAATTAGGCAAATACCCTAATAAACAGGAGTTTCTCACTTCTTGGAAAAATCATCTGTGTACATTTGAACAGCAGCCCACAATTCCCAATACATTTTTTGTATACTGTCTCATTTGATCCTTACAATAAAGCAATAAAATTAACAGCGCAGGGATTATCTTCCTTTCACAGATGAAGAAATGCAGTTTAAGAATTTATGTAATTTGAGTTGGGTCACACAGCTAGAAAGTGGAAAGTGGGAACCTGACCTTAGGGTTTCTGACTTCAGTCTCTGCTCTTCACACATTACCACAAAGCTATTAGGAGATACCTTTTGGCTCTAAAATTCCATTCCCCTTTGACTAAGAAATGGCTTTGAAATTTCAAATTCATAATCTTCCCTCTCCAGCTAAATAAATATGAATGTTCCTACATCTCCACTGAAAAACGTCAATATGTTTTTCCAGTTCAAAATGAGAAAAAAGATTGGAGATTTTAAAAGCATAAGAATCAATCATAATTTTAGCATCTCTCATAGATTTAAAAGATTTTGCCTGCTTTACAAAAAAGTGGGGCAATTCCTCAAAATGTATAAGGCTTTTTAACAATCTTGGATCAATATATTACCACAAGACAATATGAATCAGAGGGTCCATGATTTTGTTTCATCCAATGTAAGTTGTTGTAGGTGATAAATAACAAGTTCTCACAGAAATTAAAAGTAATGAATAGCAAGTAAGTTGGTTTTTCCCATAAATTATGCCTTGAAACTATAGCAGACATTATTCCCCCAATTTTAGCATTTCAACTGTGAAATGAAAATCTAAGTGATGATAATTAGATTATGAAAAGTGAAAGGAAAAGATCTTGGCAAAATTCTGACACTGCCACTCTTCTGTATAATTATCAATTTCACAATTACTGATTTCAATTTATGTTCAGGGGTAATCTAAAGAAGAATTTTAATTACCTCAGAAATTTGCAAAGAGAGACAGACTGGCTTTAAAAATATTAGATTTGTCTTAAAATAGCTACAAACCTTAAAAACCTCAATTATTTCAATAGTAATAGAGAACACACACCCACACACCCCTCTGTCCTCAAACCCTATTAAAAATTCAGGAAGAAAATGCAACAATGCAAATAACTCTATATTAGTGCTAGAAGCTGAGAAGGGTATCATCAGAAGACCAGAACTCTGAGAACATCCTTAAAGACATGAAACAACTCAAATTGACAGAAAAACACAATACTGTTGAGGAATTTGTAAAGCTCTCAAGACAAAGGGGAAAAAAGTGTCAAAATAACCAAAAGCCTCAAATAATCCCAATATCAGAAGCCACTGGAGCTGAGAAAAGCAACAGAGGGTGAGTGGACAGTCAGGTGATTTGATTGAAGGAATAGAAAAGAGCCGGACTGATCCTCTAATGACAGAATCATGGCTGTGGCATTTGCTGTATGGATTATGGCATTCAGAACAACTCTATGCAACAAATTTGGGAGTTCTGCCAAGTACCCTCAGAGTGTCCTTTGGGCTGGGTAAAGTAGGACAGTGCCTCAGGTCATGTAAGGCCATCATAAGGGAAGAAGGGAATGTCCCACACCCAAAAAACTAGGTGCCCACACACTCTAAATGCAAGGACACCTAGCCATATAACTTCTGCCTCCCCCATGTAAGTGTTGGATTCAGGATCTCTATCATCAAAATATATATCCATTGCCCCCCCCAAAATAGAAATTATCTCCTTGGATGTAGGAACTATGCTTCAACTAGCTAATTGTGATCAATCTAGCCCAGCAACTATAAATTTAGACAGACAACCAAGAACCTTCAAATATCTGAGGAAAATCAACAGAATGAAAGACTACCAAACCCAAAAAACAGAAAAATTAACTTCATAAGGAACAGTGTCAGATAGTACAGAAAACAGAAGAAATTTTCAAATACATTTTTGGCAAGGTTTATTCATTTATAAACAACAGGCTTCTCTGAAAAAGAAGCAACAGAGTTCTTAAAAATGTAAAATACCATGGCCATTTTTATAAAACCCAATGGATGGGCTGAGGTTATCATTAAAAGCAGTAAATTAAATCAAGGGAGTCTCCCAGAGTACAGTGTAGAAGGATAAGAGTAGGAGACAAAAACTAAAAAGCATGCAGATTAGATTCAGTGGTTCCAGTATCATATTTACCGAGGCTTCAGAGGGAGAGAACAGAGAAAATGGACTTGAGGAAATATTTAAAGAAATAAAAGAGAAAATGTTTACTGAGCTCAGGAAAGATGACTCTTCAGGTTGTAAAATCCAGCAAGTATCAATGGTAATAATCAAAGGACATAAAAAAGATGAGGACTGGTAAAATCTCTGAACAACAACAATAAAAGCTTCCTGAGAAGTAACAAAAACGTTACTTGCCAAGAAATGAGAATTTGACTGACGTCATAATTCTTGTCCATAACATGGGATGTCAAAAGAAAATGAATTTTTTTAAGTCTCTAAATTCTATGGTTACATTTCTCATGGAAGTGTAAATTGATACAAACTTCATTGCTAGCAATTTAGCAATAACTATCAAAATTAAAACAAAGAATGCACATACACCCTGACCCTGCAGCTCCACTCCTAGGAATTCACCCTACAAGTATATTTGCACAGGTACAAAATGATAAACATAAAAGCATAGTGATTGGGCCAACTAGAGGAAGCCCCAACAAACCTTGATAAATAAATTATCTTTTCTTAACAGCCACTCTCCTTCCCTCTCCCTCTTTTATTTCCTTCATAACCTCAGAGGTCCAACAAGCTAACTACAACAATATCTGTTCCCCTCCTACCCATCTAAGGCTCCCAGACTCTCATTTCCCTAAACAATTTCACATTTGTTTATATCTACAGGCAAGGTAATGATATATCTTAGTATTTGGGGGAGCATTTTTATGTATGCCAAAATATTCCTCATTGGAAGGTAACTAGTACTATTAGAGGATGTCAAACTGGAAGATTCCAGAAGTTGTTTCTCATATTAAAGAAAGGTGCATTTTTTCCTCTCTAAATTTACAATTTTCTTAAGGAATCTTACAAAAAAGGTCTGTTACAGGTAGCCCTGGACATGTAAGATACAGCTAGGAGTAGTCCATTCGAAAGGAGAAAAGAGAACAAGTATTAGATGAGAAAAGAGACAAAGAAGAGAGTTTGAAAATTAAGTCTACGAACTACAGGTTGCCTGGAAAGAGTAGGAGGGTCTCCTCTATGAGCTCAGCGTGGGTCTGTTTTAAGCTAATTCAAAACCCTTCCAAATGAGCTTATTAGATTCTAATTTGATGGCTCTGAACCTAATAAGAATTCAGATCAAAGTGTTCTTCTTTCTCAAAGAGACAGCATTGTCAAAGAGCCAAAATTGGAGTGGGTGTTTGGGGGATTGGGTTATACAGCTTTCACATTATGATTCACCTCTCTACCAGCAAACCCTTCCCCCATGTCAATAGCATCTGTCATACATTTTTATTCAAATTCCTCACCACTAAGGGCAATCAGAAGCTGAAGAGATGCTCCTACAGAAGTGACCTCAACAAAAATAGAAGTCAATAACATGGCCAGCTGACACAGAGGATGTCAGAAAGTGCAAAATGATGGCAAAGAAAAAAGGCAAAACTGTGTAAGGCAGTAGAAAAGGAAACAATCACAGGCCAGGATGAAAAATTAGGGCAATTATCTGGATAATTCAGCCTCAAAACTCGCTTCCTGATGATTGACATAAATGTGTTTCCTTCTCTGGGCTCCATTTTCACAACAGATGGAATATTGGAGCTGCAATAATGCCTTTCTATTCTCCATCATTGCTATTTACAAGAAATTTAAAGGAAATATATCTTCTTTTTACTCCTACTTGAAACTTTATATCTGATGTGAGGGAATGTTTTATAAATATGATGCTACCTGACAGTTTGGCTTAGAAAGAAAATAAAATTATTTCTTGCCTGGATTGTTTTTTGCCTGTGTAATCCAAATGTTGGTACCAATTCTTCACTTCAGTAGACTTCTGGAATTGAGTTGACAGAAGTTATCCATTCAGAACCAACTTATGGATCATAATAAGTGGGCTAGTGAATCAGACACACTGGCACTCAAGGAGAATAAAGGATATAGACATATACAGGTCTCCAGGACATATACAACAAAGTAGAAAAAATAAACTGCCTAAACAGAAGGTAAGAAATCTTTCATTTCTGTTTGAGTCAAATGACACCCTAGCATCTGCAGTGATTATATAAGTATGGAAATAAATGTCCTTTCTTCCCTTTTAGGCACTCAAGATATACACACTCCAGTAAACCATTGACATTCTCATATTTTGTATCAACAGTTTCAATTCTTTCTTAAAAAGACACCAAATATCTGTAACATGTAATACTTTTCAGTTGCCCTGAAGCACAAATTTGAACTGAAGACCAGGAGGCTGGTATGCAAGAGTGACTACTTACTAAGTGGACCTAGCCTCCTGTCCAGTGTTCTTCCTCAACTTGGACTTGTTATTTTTTACTTATTGCAATGTACACAGTTTATTGAGGAGAATTGGGTGATATGGTGTTATTTATTTATGAATTTCAAGGGTATTACAGGTGAGGAGAGGGACTGAAATGAAGGGCTCACCTCCTATACAGGGTATATAAAGAGAAGTTTGGTTAGCTACCATTTGAGAGAAGCCTGAACATCTTCCTAGACCTTAGTACTTACAGGACTCGGCCACTAAACAGAGGGTTCACCACACACACATATTGCACCTATCAAGCTCTATATGTTGGGTCCACGGTAAACCAATATGACATTTCAATTCCCGGAGTTACACAGTTCAGTGAATGAAGTGGAATTAACCTAAGACCTGCTACACTAATTGTCCCCTGTTCATTTCATGTTTACTGCCATCCCATCATACTAATAATTCACAGATTTTTGACCTCCTTCATGACTATAGTTGTGCTGGAAAACCTTACCTGTCTCTGCTACCACCCAAGGAATATTTTTTTTTAGCTGCCAAAACTGGTAAGCACTTTAGGGTCCATATTGATGAATTAAACACTATTGTCTAGTGCATCCTAAGTATTTTCCTTGGCATCCCAGGAGAACTCACATTAGGTACAGTTAAAATAAAAGAATGGAGAGAGAAAAGATGTTCTTCCTTATTCATTCTAACATCAATTGTTCTACTCCCAAGTGAATGGCAGAGGGAAGTTTGAATGCGAAAACTTAATTTCAACAGATGGTTCAAGATAAATTCCTGAATGACCGTCCTTGAAGATTCTTCAAGGCCTACCCTCACAGATATGAATACAATTGCTTTCTTGAAACAACAGAACAGAAGACAATATGCTAGAAATATAAAAATCATGATGGTTTTCAAGTGTCCAGAACTTACCCAACATTAGTTGATCATAGCCTGAATAAATGGGTGGGATGGCAAAGGGGTCCCAGAAAGACAGCTCTATCTCTCTCTCCATTTTGTCCTTTTGCTTCACTTGGCTTTTCTTTTATTCTTTCTTTTCTCTCTGTTCATTTCCCATAAAGGGCCCATATAGACACTTACCATCACAGGGTATAAGATTATTTAGAGCAGAAAGAGACCTTATAAATTACCTTGGCCAAAGCCTTCGTAAATCCTTACCCAACTTCATTCAGCTAGTTGTTGATGTGCCTATAGCCTAAATGTGAACCTCCTCGTTCCCAGATAAGGGTTGTCAGCATAAAGAAATACAGAAAATGACAAATGACATTGTCTTAAGTCAAAATGAGGCATAATTAAGATGATGATTCACCAACATAATTCCGATTCACCAGCCATAATTTACTTTTGTTTGTTTGTTTGAAGGGATAATTTATTACAGTACAAATGATCCTTTTCAGTGTACAGTCTGTGAGTTTTGACAAATGTATATAGTCATGTGACTACCCCACCAAACTCAAGATATGGAACCATTCAATCATCCTAAAAAATTCCCCAATTCCCTTTGGCCCCAGCCCCTAGAACTACTCATTTGTTTTCTGTCTCTATAGTTTTGATTCTTCCAGAATGTCCTATAAATGGAATCACACAGTATGCAGCCTTTGAGCCTGGCCTCTTTCACTTAGCATAATGTGTTTGAAATGCATCCATGTTGTTTCATGTATCAAGGGTTTGGTCCTATTTATGATTTACTTTTTTAATAGTATATGTTTAATTCAGAGAAAAAAATTGACAATGCTATACTTCTAACCACAAATTTCATTACAAATGCCAAAAATAAATTTAAGTCCAAAATATGGATTTACAATAAGGAAAATACCCAAAGCAAGTTATTTAAATAATACCAATTTGCTGCTATTCCTTACATGTGATAATGAAAAAAGCATATAAATTTAACATTCTTCCACTAATTTTTTAAAAATAGCTGATAGATACCCTATCTTGAGTTCTAGCTATTCTAATTCTATAACTTGATCACAAAATCATATTTAGATTAGAAAAGAAAATAGCTTGCCCTGCTCCTAACTCTGGTGATTAACTATCTTCACAAACAAGTAGGGAATTTTTTTTGTCTAATACTGTATAAGCTCTTTTGGCTATAATTCATAAAACAATGCATCAAGATTGTCATTATGATACATTAAATGCAGAATCAGCTTGGTAGTACTCTTCATTGTCTATGGGGCTCTAAATAAATGTGACAGTCTAGGCCACAAGGACTGCAACACCTAGGGGAATCCTAATGATGTAATGCCCACAGCCACTGGACTGAGGAGCGTATGACCTACTGAGACACCAGCTGGAGTGGCTAAGGGAATGCTGGCATCACCCTTCCCCTAATCCCAGGCTGCACAACTCACAGCTCCAAAAGAGATGTCTTCCTTCCACTTGAGGAGAAGAGAGGGAAGAGGGAGGGGGACTTTGTGTTACATCTTGGATATCAGCTTAACCATAGCAGGATATGGCACTGGCCAGACTTGTGAGGACCCTGTTCCAGGCTTTAACTCCCAGATGAAATTTCTAGACACGACCTGGGCCAGAAAAAATAAAACAACATTCCTTGAAGGGAAACACATAGTCCTGGTAGCATTCATCACCTGCTAACTGAAGAACCCTTGGGCCCTGAATACCCAGCAGTAATAGCCAGGTACCACATTGAGGGCCTTGGTGAGCCTCTGCAAATTGCTGACTCCAGGTGAGGCTCAGCGCATTATTAGCTATGGTGGCAAAGGGGCAAAACTTCTGCCTGGGAAAAGCAGAGGGAAAAGTAAAGGGAATTTTGTCTTACACCTCAGGTAGCAGCACTGAGACTGAGATGTAGAGCACCAAGTGGGCTCTTGAGGTCACCAATTCTAGAATTTGACTCTTGGATGGCATTTCTGGACCGGCCCTGGGCCAGAGGGGCATCCACTGCCCAAAGGGTGAGTCCCAGGCCAGGCAGCATTCACCAGTCTTGAATTGCTGAAACCACCCCACCACCCTCTGATTTAAGAGCGCTTGGGGATTAAAGGAACATCAGCCGTAGTCTGGCAGTACTCCCCATGGCCTGTGGTGGCAGTGGCTACGAGTGAGGATCCTTTGCCTTTGGAAAAGAGAGAGAAGAGTGGGAAAGAACACATCTTGTGGTTTCAGTGCCAGCTCAGCTACAGTACAACAGAACACTAGGTAGACTTCTAAGGTTTTTTACTCTAATCGCTGACTCCCAGACAGCACCTTTGGACCCGCCTGGGGCCTGGGTAATTTACTGCCCTGAAGGAAGGACACAGGCCTGGCTGGCTTCGCCACTGGCTGAGTGTAGAGCCCCAGATCCTTGAGCATAGGCAGTGGCCAGGGAGTGGTTACAGCAGGCCTTGGGTGAGACCCAGTACTGTGCTGGCTTCAGGTCTGGCCCAGCACAGTCATAGTGGTGGTGGCCACAGGGGGGCGTGTGTCACTCCATCCCCAGCTCTAGGTGGCTCAGAACGGAGAGAGATTCCATTTGTTTGGGAGAAAGTAGGGGAAGAGAACATGAGTCTCTGCCTGGTAATCCAGAGAACTCCCTGTAATCGTGGTTTATAAACTACTCTTTTCCTAAGTAGGAAGACTAAAAGATGAACGAATAAAAAAATAATAACCACAACAACTTTTCAAGACATAGACAGTACAGTAAGATATAAATAGAAACAACAAAATGTTAAAAAGCAAGGGGATGGAGTTGAGACAGAGTTTTTATTAGTTTTCTTGTTGCTTGTTTGTTTATGCAAACACAGGTAAGTTGTTATCAGGTTAAAATAATGGGTTATAAGGTAGTACTTGCAAGTCTCATGGTAACCTGAAACCAAAAAACATACAACAGATACCAAAAAAAAATCAAGAAACTAAATCATATCACCAAAGAAAAACACCTTCACCAAAAAAGAAGACAGGAAGGAAAGAAAGAAGAAAGAGAAGACCACAAAACAGTCAGGAAACAGATAACAGAATGGCAGGAGTAAGTCCCTACTTATCAATAATAACATTGAATGTAAATAGACTAAACTCTCCAATCAAGACACAGACTGGCTGAATGGATAAATAACAATACCCATTGATCTATTGCCTACAAGAAACATACTTCACCTATAAAGATACATATAGACTGAAGACAAAGGGATAGGAAAAGATATTTCATAACAACGGAAACCAAAGAAGAGCAGGAGTAACTATACTTATATCAGACAAAACAGATTTCAAGAAGACAACTATAAGAAGAGACAATGAAGGATACTATATAATGATAAAGGGGTCAATTCAGCAAGAGGATATAACAATTTTAAATATATATTCTTCCAACACTGATGGACCTAGATATATAAAGCAAATATTAATATAGCTAAAGAGGGAGAAAGATTTCAATACAATAATAGCTGCAGCCTTCAACACCTTTTCAGCATTGGACAGATCTTCCAGACAGAAAATCAACAAAGAAACCTTAGATTTAATCTGCACTATAAAACAAATGGATCATCATGGTGGACGGGAGGCAGGACTAGATTGCAGCTATAGACAGAGCAGCATGCAGGGGCTCCCATTGTGAATTTTAGCTCCACATTGATGGTAAGAACAAACCAGCAATCCCAAGAGGACCCACAGACCCTCTGAAGGAAGCAGACTGCTCCTGCATGACCCAAGAGACACCCCAAATACTGTGAGTGCCCCAACTGTGGAAATGGGAAATTGAGACCCTCCTCTCCCAAACACACACCCCAACTGGAGACACTGAAGGCCTGTTTGCAGGAGAAGTTTCTGACTTTAACTGGAGCTGAGTCAATTTGGAGAGCCGAACAAACTATAGAGGTAGAGGAAGCAGCAGCTCACTGGGTCCCCTAGCAGGCCATTCCTGCCTGGCACCACAGGGACCCATCCAGGGGGTGGCCAGAGGAGCAGGGGGCAAAACTCCACAGACAGAAGGAAATCTCTAGCTGAACTTTGTAACAATTTGAACAGGGTGAGAAGCCTCCTGGCCAGAACTCAGGGAAGGGTGCAAATCCAGTGTGCAGACTCCGCAGGCAGGGGTAGAACCAAGCCCTTTCCTTTCGCAGCTGGGAGGCAAGTAGCCTGGGGCAGATTTTCAAGCCCATCTCACCCTCCACCTGGAAATGGACTTGGGGCTATTGCAGGGGGCATGGTGGGAGTGAGACCAGCCTTTGGGTTTGCACGGGAGCTGGGTGAGGCCTGTGACTGCCAGCTTTCCCCCACTTCCCTGACAACCTGCATGACTCAGCAGAGGCAGCCACAATCCTCCTAGGTACACAACTCCAGTGACTTGGGACTCTCACGCCCATCCCCCCCAGCAGCCGCAGCAAGACCCACCCAAGGAGAGTCTGAGCTCAGACACACCTAGCCCTGCCCCCACCTGATGGTCCTTCTCTACCCACCACAGTAGCGGAAGACAAAGGGCATAGAATCTTGGGAGTTCTAGGGCCCTGCCCACCACCGGTGCCTCTCCATACTACCACAGCTTATGCTCTCTGGAAAGCGTCACTTCCAGGAAGGAGGCCAACAAGCACAAAAATAGAGCATTAAACCACCAAAGCTAAGAACCCCCATGGAGTCCAATGCACCACCCCCTCAACCTCCACCAGAACAGGGGCTGGTATTCAAGGCTGAGAGACCCATAGACAGTTCACATCACAGAACTCTGTGCAGACAACCCCCAGTACCAGCCCAGAGCCAGGTAGACTCGCTGGGTGGCTAGTCCCAGAAGAGAGACAAGAATCACTGCAGTTCAGCTCACAGGAAGCCACATACATAGATGAGTATACTACATCAAGGAAGAGTACTACATCAAGGAAGAGTACTACATCAAGGAAGAGTACTATATCAAGGAAGAGCACTACATCAAGGGAGGGTACTACATCAAGGGACCACCCTGTGGGACAACAGAATCTGAACAACAGCCTTCAGCCCTAGACCTTCCCTCTGACAGAGCCTACCCAAATGAGAAGGAACCAGAAAACCAACTCTGGTAATATGACAAAACAAGGCTCTGCAACACCCCCAAAAAATCACACTAGTTCACCAGCGATGGATCCAAACCAAGAAGAAATCCCTGATTTACCTGAAAAAGAATTCAGGAGGTTAGTTAGTAAGCTAATCAGGGAAGGACCAGAGAAAGGCAAAGTCCAATGCAAGGAAATCCAAAAACTGATACAAGAAGTGAAGGAGGAAATATTCAAGGAAATAGACAGCATAAATAAAAGACAATCAAAAATTCAGGAAATTTTGTACACACTTTTAGAAATGTGAAAAGCTCTGGGAAGTCTCAGCAATCAGACTGAATGAGCAGAAGAAATAAATTCAGAGCTTGAAGACAAGGTCTTTGAATTAACCCAATCTAACAAAGATAAGAAAAAATAATAAGAAAATATGTGCAAAACCTCAAGAAGTCTGGGATTATGTTAAGTGACCAAGCCTAAGAATAATCAGTGTTTCTGAGGAAGAAGAGAATTCTAAAAGCTTGGAAAACATATTTGGGGGAATAATCGAGGAACACTTCCCTGGCCTCGCTAGAGACCTAGACATCCAAATATAAGAAGCACAAATAACATCCAGGAAATTCATTGCAAAAAGATCTTCACCTAGGCACATTGTCATCAGGTTATACAAAGTTAAGACGAAGAAAAGAATCTTAAGAGCTGTGAGACAGAAGTACCAGGTAACCTATAATGGAAAACCTATCAGATTAACAGCAGATTTCTCAGCAGAAACCCTACAAGCTAGAAGGGATTGGAGCCCTACCCTAAGCCTCCCCAAACAAAACAATTATCGGCCAAGAATTTTCTATCCAGCAAAACTAAGCATCATATATGAAGGAAAGAAACAGTCATTTTCAGACAAACAAATGCTGACAGAATGTGCCATTACCAAGCCACCACTACAAGTACTGTTCAAAGGAGCTCTAAATCTTGAAACAAATCCTGGAAACACAACAAAGCAGAACTTCTTTAAAGCATAAATCACACAGGACCTATAAAACAAAAATACAAATTAAAAACAAAAAACAAGGTATACAGGCAACAAAGAACATGATGAATGCAAGGGTACCTCACATTTCAATATTAACATTGAATGTAAATGGCCTAAATGCTCCAGTTAAAAGATATAGAACCATAGAATGGATAAGAACTCACCAATCAACTATCTGCTGCCTTCAGGTGATTCACCTAACACATAAAGACTTGCATAAACTTAAAGTAAAGGGGTAGAAAAAGGCATTTCACGCAAATGAACACCGAAAGCCAGCAGAGGAAGCTATTCTTGTATCAGACAAAACAAACTTCAAAGCAACAGCAGTTAAAAGAGACAAAGAGGGACATTATATAATGATAAAAGGCCTTGTCCAACAGGAAAATATCACAATCCTAAACAATAGGCACCTAACACTGGAGCTCCCAAATTTATAAAACAATTATCAATAGACCTAAGAAATGAGATAGACAGCAACACAATAACAGTGGGGGACTTCATTACTCCACTGACAGCACTACACAGATCATCAAGACAGAAAGTCAAAAAAGAAACAATGGATTCAAACTATACCTTGGAACAAATGGACTTAACAGATATATACAGAACATTTCATCCAACAACCACAGAATACACATTCTATTTAACAGCACATGGAATTTTCTCCAAGATAGACCATATGATAGGCCCTAAAATGAGCCTCAATAAATTTAAGAAAACCGAAATTATGCCAAGCACTCTCCCAGACCACACTGGAATAAAACTAGACATCAACTCCAAAAGGAAACTTCAAAACCATGCACAAACATGGAAATTAAATAACCTGCTCCTGAATGAGCATTGGGTCAAAAACGAAATCAAGATGGAAATTTAAAAATTCTTTGAACTGAATGACAATAATGACACAACCTATCAAAACCTCTGGGACACAGCAAAGGTGGTGTTAAGAGGAAAGTTCATAGCACTAAACGCCTACATCAAAAAGACTGAAAGAGCAGAAACTGACATTCTAAGGTCACACCTCAAGGAACTAGAGAAACAAGAACAAACCAAACCCAAACCCAGCAGAAGAAAGGAAATAACCAAGATCAGAGCAGAACTAAATGAAATTGAAACAAACAAACAAAAAATACAAAAGATAAATGAAACAAGCTGGTTCTTTGAAAAGATAAATAAAATTGACAGACCATTAGCAAGATTAACGAAGAAGAGATAAAATCGAAATAACCTCACTAAGAAATAAAACAGGAGATATTACAACTGAAACCACTGAAATACAAAAGAACATTCAAGGCTACTATGAACACCTTTACACACATAAACTAGGAAACCTAGAAGAAATGGATAAATTCCTGGAAAAATACAACCTTCCTAGCTTAAATCAGGACAAATTAGATACCCTGAACAGAACAATAACAATAAGCGAGATTGAAATAGTAATTTTTAAATTACCAACAAAAAAAGCCCAGGACCAGATGGATTCACAGCAGAGTTCACCAGACATTCAAAGAAGAATTGGTACCAATCCTTTTGACACTATTCCACGAGACGGAGAAAGAAGAAACCCTCCCTAATTCATTCTATGAAGCCAGCATCACCCTAATACCAAAACCAGGAAAGGACATAACCAAGAAAGAAAATTACAGACCAATATCCTTCATGAACATAGATGCTAAAATCCTTAACAAAATGCTAGCTAACCAAATCCAACAACATATCAAAAAGATACTCCAGCATCATCAAGCGGATTTCATACCAGTGATGCAGGGATGGCTTAACATATGCAAGTCAATAAATGTGATACACCACATAAACAGAATTAAAAACAAAAATCACATGATCATCTCAATAGATGCCGAAAAAACATTCAACAAAATCCAGCACCCCTTTATGATTAAAACTCAGCAAAATCAGCATACAAGGGACATACCTTAATGTAATAAAAGCCATCTATGACAAACCCACAGCCAGAATAATACTGAATGGGGAAAAGTTGAAAGCATTCCCTTTGAGAATGGGAACAAGACAAGGATGCCCACTCTCACCAGTCCTCTTCAACATAGTACTGGAAGTCCTAGCCAGAGCAATCAGACAAGAGAAAGAAATAAAGGGCTTCCAAATCAGCAAAGAGGAAGTCAAACTGTTACTGTTTGCTGATGATATGATCGTTTACCTTGAAAACCCTAAGGACTCTTCCAGAAAGCTCCAGAACTGATAAAAGAATTCAGCAAAGTTTCCAGATAAAAGATTAATGTACACAAATCAGAAGCTCTTCTATACACCAACAGCGACCAAGTGGAGAATCAAATCAAGAACTCAACCCCTTTTACAATAGCTGCAAATAATATATGTACTTAGGAATATACCTAAACAAGGAGTCGAAAGACCTCTGCAAGGAAAACTACAAAACACTGCTGAAAGAAATCATAGATGACACAAAGACATGGAAACACATCCCATGCTCATGGATAGGTAGAATCAATATTGTGACAATGACCATACTGCCAAAAGCAATCTACAAATTCAATGCAATTCCCATCAAAATATCACCATCATTCTTCACAGAATTAGAAAAAAATTCTAAAATTCATATGGAACCAAAAAAGAGCCTGCATAGCCAAAGCAAAACCAAACAAAAAGAACAAATAAGGAGGCATCACATTACCTGATTTCAAACTGTACTATAAGGCCATAGTCACCAAAACAGCATGGTACTGGTATAAAATTAGGCATGTAGACCAATGGAACACAATAGAGAACCCTGAAATAAACTCAAATACTTACAGCCAACTGATCTTCCACAAAGCAAACAAAAACATAAAGTCAGGAAAGGACATGCTTTTCAACAAATGGTGCTGGGATTATTGGCTAGCCACATGTACGAGAATGAAACTGGATCCTCATCTCTCACCTTATACAAAAATTAACTCAAGATGGATTAAGGACTTAAACCTAAGACCTGAAACTATAAAAATTCTAGAAGATAACATTGGAATAACCCTTCTAGACATTGGCTTAGGCAAGGATTTCATGACCAAGAACCCAAAAGCAAATGCAATAAAAACAAAGATAAATAGCTGGGACCTAATTAAACTAAAGAGCTTTTGCACGGCAAAACGAATAGTCAGCAGAGTAAACAGACAACCCACAGAGTGGGAGAAAATCATCACAATCTATACATGTGGCAAAGGACTAATATCCAGAATCTACAACAAACTCAAACAAATCAGTAAGAAAAAACAAACAATCCCATAAAAAAGTGGGCTAAGGGCATGAATAGACAATTCTCAAAAGAAGATATACAAATGGCCAACAAACTTACGAAAAAATGCTCAACATTGCTAATGATGAGGGAAATGAAAATCAAAACTGCAATGCAATACTGCATTCTTACTTCTGCAAGAATGGCCATAATCAAAAAATCAAAAAACAGTAGATGTTGGCGTGGATGCAGTGAACAGGGAACACTTCTACACTGCTGGTGGGAATGCAAACTAGTATAGCCACTATGGAAAACAGTGTGGAGATTCCTTAAATAATTAAAACTAGAACTACCATTTGATCCAGCAATCCCACTACTGGAGATCTAACCAGAGGAAAATAAGTCATTATTTGAAAAAGATACTTGCACACACATGTTTATAGCAGCACAATTCACAACTGCAAAATCATGGAACCAACCCAAATGCCCATCAATCAATGAGTAGATTAAGAAACTGTGGTATATACACATATGATGAAATACTATGCAGCCATAGAAAGGAATGGATTAACAGCATTTCCAGTGACCTGGATGAGATGGGAGATTATTATTCTAAGTGAAGTAGCTCAGGAATGGAAAACCAAACATCGTATGTTCTCACTGATATGTGGGATCTAAGCTATGAGGATGCAAAGACATAAGAATGATACAATGGATTTTGGGGACTTGGGCAGAAGAGTGGGAGGGACAAGGGATAAAAGACTACAAATATGCTGTAGTGTATACTGCTCGGGTGATGGGTGCACCAAAATCTCACAGATCACCACTAAAGGACTTACTCATGTAACCAAATACCACCTGTACCCCAATAATTTACGGAAAAAAATAGAACAAATGGACCTAATATATATTTACAGAATATTTCATCCAATGGCTAAAGAATATAAATTCTTCTCCTCAGTACATGGATCATACTCAAGGATAGACCATACGTTAAGTCACTGTATTAGTTCATTCTCACATTGCTATAAAGAAATACCTGAGACTGGGCATTTATAAAGAAAAGAGGTTTAATTGGTTCATGGTTCTTCAGGCTGTATAGGAAGCATGATGTTGGCATGTACTAGGCCTCTGGGAAGACCTCAGAAAGGTTACAATCATGGTGAAAGCAGAACCGAAAGCAGGCGCATCTTACATGGCAGGAGCAGGAACAAGAGACAGAGTGAGGGGAAAGGTGCTACATACTTTTAAACAACCAGATCTCATGAGAAATCATTCACTATCATGAGAACAGCACCAAGAGTATGGTGCTAAACCATTTATGAAAAACTCAACCCCATGAACCAATTACCTCCTACCTGGCCCCACCTCCAACTTCAGGAATTAAAATTTGATATGCAATTTTGCTGGGGACAGAGATCCAAACCATATCAGACACAAAACAAATCTTAAAATATCCCAAAAAATAAAATTATATCAAGCATCTTTTCTGACCACAATGGAATAAAACTAGAAATCAATAATAAGAGAAATTCTAGAAACCATACAAACACATGGAAATTAAAAATATGCTCCTGAAAAACCAGTGGATCAATGAAGAAATTAAGAAGGAAATTCAAAAATTTCTTGAAACAAATAATATTAGAAACACAACATACCAAAACCTATGAGATACAGCAAAAGCAGTACTAAGAGGGAAATTTATAGTCATAAGTGCCTACATAAAAAAAACTCCAAATAAACAACCTAATGATGCATCTTGAAAAACTAGAAAAGCAAGAGTAAACCAAGCCCAAAATTAGCAGAAGAAATAATAAAGATCAGAGCTGAAAAAAATGAATTTGAAATGAAAAAAATATATAAAAATCAATGAAACAAAAAGTTATTTTTTGAAAAGTTAAACAAAATTGACAAAACTTTAGCTAGACTAAGAAAAACAGAGAGATAACCCAAATAAATAAAATCAGAAATGAAAAAGGAAACATTACAACTGCAGAATTAATACTGCAGAAATTCAAAGGATCATTAGTGGCTACTATGAGCAACTATATGCCAATAAACCCAGAAGTTTATTTGGAAACCTAGAAGAAATGGACAATTCTTAGACACATACAACCTGCCATTATTGAACCATAAAGAAATCCAAAGCCTGAGCAGACAAATAACAAGTAATGAGACTGACACCATAATAAAAAAAGTCTCCCAGTAAGGAAAAGACCAGGACCCAGTGGTTTCACTGGTGAATTCTACCAAATATTTAAAGAACTAATACCAACACTAGTCAAATTATTCCAAATAATAGAGGAGAAAGAAATACTTTCCAAACTCATTCTAACAGGCCAAAATTACCCTGATTGCAAAACCAAAGATGCAGCAAACAATGAAAACTACAGGCCAATATCTCTGATGAATACTGATGCAAAAATCCTCAACAAAATACTAGCAAATTGAATTCAACAATACATTAGAAAGATCATTCATCGTGACCAAGTGGGATTTATCCCTGGGATGCAAGGATGGCTCCACATATGCAAATCAGTCAATGTGATACATGATATCAACAAAATGAAGGACAAAATTCATATGATTATTTCAACTGGTGTTGAAAAAGCATTTGACCAAGTTCAACATCCTTTCACAATAAAAACTCTTGAAAAACTGGATCTAGAGGGAACATACCTCAACGTAATCAAAGCCATATATGACAGACCCACAGCTAATACCATGCTGAATGAGGAAAAACTGAAAGCATTTCCTCTAAGATCTGGAACACGACAAGAATGTCCACTGTCACCACTTTTATTCAACATAGTACTGGAAGTCTAGTACAGCTAAAGCAATCATACAAGAGAAAGATATAAAGGGCATCCAAATTAGAAAGGAAGAAGTCAAATTATCCTTGTTTGCAGATGATATGATCTCATATTTGGAGAACTCTTAAGACTCCATAACAAAACTATTAGAACTGATAAACAAATTCAGTAAAGTTGCAGGATACAAAATCAACATACAAAAATCAGTATCATTTCCATATACCAACAGTGAACAATCTGAAAAAGAAATAAAAAAGTAATCCCCTTTACAGTAGCCACAAATAAAATTAAATACCTAGGAATTAGCTTAACCAAAGAAGTAAAAGATCTCTATAGTGAAAACCGTAAAACACTGATGAAAGAAATTGAAGAGGACACCAACTAATGGAAGGATATTCCATATTTATAGATTGGAAAAATTAATAATTTTAAAATGTCCATACTACCCAAAGCAATCTACAGATTCAATGCAATCACTGTCAAAATACCAATGATATTCTTGACAGAAATAGAAAAACAATCCTAAAATTTATATAAAACCAGAAAAGACCCAAAATAGCCAAAGCTATCCTAAGAAGAAGAACAAAACTGGAGGAATTACAATATCTGACTCCAAATTATACTACAGAGCTATAGTAACCAAAACAGAATGGTACTTCCATAATAACAGACACACAGACCAACAGAACAGAATAGAGAACTCTGAAATAAATTCACAGACCTATAGTGAACTCATTTTTGACAAAGGTGCCAAGAACATACACTGGGGAAAAGACAGTCTCTTCAATAAATGTTGCTGGAGAAACTGGATATTCATATGCAGAAGAATGAAACTAGACCCCTATCTCTCGCCATATACAAAAGGCAAATCAAAATGGATTAAAAACTTAAATCTAAGAATGCAAACTATGAAACTACTACAAGAAAACATTTGGGGAAATTCTCCAGGACATTGGTCTGGGAAAAGATTTCTTGAGTAATACCCTACAAACAGGAAACCAAAGCAAAAATGGACACATGGGACCACGTCAAGTTAAAAAGCTTCTGCACAGCAAAGGATACAATCAGCAAAGTGAAGAGACAATCCACAGAATGGGGAGGAAATATTTTTAATCTCCCCATCTGTCAAGAGATTAATAGCCAGAATATATAAGGAGCTCAAACAATTCTATAGGAAAAATCCTAATAACTGGATCAAAACATAGGCAAAAGATTTGACTAGACATTTCTCAAAAAGAAGACATAGATGGCAAACAGGCATATGAAAAGGTGCTTGATATCACTGATCATCAGAGAAATGCAAATCACAATGAAATATCATCTTACCCCAGTTAAAATGGCTTACATCCAAAAGACAGGCAATAATAAATGCTGACGAGAATGTAGAGAAAAGGGAATCCTGGTACACTGTTGGTGGGAATGTACATTAGTACAACCACTATGGAGAACAATTTGGAGGTCCCTCAAAAAGCTAAAAATTGAGCTACCATATGATCCAGCAATCCCACTGCTGGGTATATACCCAAAAGAAAGGAAGTCAGTATATTAAAGAGATACCTGGACTCTCATGTTTGTTGCAGCACTATTCACAATAGCCAAGGTTTGGAAGCAACCTAAGTGTCCATCAGCAGGTGAGTGTATAAAGAAAATGTGGTACATATACACAATGGAGTGCTATTCAGCCAAAAAAAATATGAGATCCTGTCATTTACAATAACATGGATGGAAATGAATATTATTTTTTTGAATGAAATCAACCAGGCACAGAAAGACCAACATCACACATTCTCACTTATTTGTGGGATCTAAAAATCAAAAACAATTGAACTCATTGAGATGGTTACCAGAATTTGGGAAGTATAGTGGGGTTGGGGGGATGTTTAATAGGTACAAAAAATATAATCAATAGGACAAGAGGGTGACTGCAGTCAATAATAATTTAATTGCACATTTAAACAACTAAAAGAGTGTCAAAATATCTCATATACCCCATATGGGATATATTTATATACACCTACTATGTATCCACAAAAATTAAAAAATATTAAAAGAAATAGGTGAAGTAGAGATACTATTTGATCTAAGATAGAAACCAGTATGATCTTTGAGCCTGGAAATAAAATATCAGAGAGAGATTATTATTAAAATCTGTAAAATCAGAAACAATATGCATAGTTTAAATTTAATCATGGTCATCCTACAAGATATAGTCTTCTGATTTTCCCTGATATGATTTATCCCTTGGAGATCTGGTTGACTTTCATGACCTTGACCATATCACCTTCATCTAGGGGTCCCTGAATTATCCTTATTCTTTGCCCTATGTTGGACAGTTCTACTAAGAGGTCTTCCTATCACCCCAAATGTATCATAATAAAAAATTATCGTCTCAATCCCTGAACAAGCTTCTTTTCTTGCCTTCTGCATTTTTGTTATTAATGCCATTCTTAAATTCACTTAAATGCAAAACTCTGGAGTCAACTTTGACCACCTTCTTCCCATACACTTAAACATATCACCAAGCTCTCTCTGATCTTTGCCAAACCATACCTACGACTCCAGTTCAAGCACATGTAACACTATAGTTACACTGTAGCAATAACCTCTTCATTGGTTTCCAGGTCTTCAGTGTTGTAGCTCTCCAACCTGTCTGTATGCAAAATTGTGGCCACAATAAATATTTGCTAAATATAATAAATGCATGTCAAATTAACTTTCCTAAATCATCACTTTCACTACTTCAAATCTTCCCCTCTGGACAATCTTTGACAATTCACTCCCCTATTTTATAACAATAAGTTGAAATCCCTTAAGTGGGCATTGAAGATCTTTAATATATCTCCAAAATACTTTTCCAGACTTTTCCCTCCCTATGGATGAACTTCCATCTCCAGTGAAATTGTTCCCTCTCTGTCTCCCCTCCCCATCAAACACCCATCACTTTCCAGGATCTTCCTGAATCTTCCCCCATCCTTTCAAATACAGTAATTATCATTTGAAGTTTATTGTATGCTCCTGATAATTGTTGGAAATCTATATTGTCACCTTCTAAATTCCAGTGTAACTTATTTGGTTGAACCATATGGAATTGCCAATATTTAACCAAATTTTTACCAAAAAAAATCACAAAATAGCAATTTTATATGGTTCAGCATAATAAGTGTAAAATCTTTGTGTTCTAGGGTTCCTAGAATATGCTGCACATAAAGAATATGCTGCACATAAAGGATATGCTACTGTATTTGATCCAATTTTCCTTACTATCTTTATTTGTAAGCTAGATAAGTAAGTTGGCAAACAGTAACTTACTACTACAAAGGTGGAGAAGTTTTTCTCCAGCTTGACTTTTCAGGACTTTTCACAATCTTGGGTTGGTAGTCACATTAGCACTTCCACACTGAAGACTATTTCCTGCTTCACTTAGGATAGGTTGCCCCATCTAGCTATGATTCTTCAGTTATAGCCCTCTAGCAAAATTAATAGGTTCTGTATTAGTTTCCCAGGACTACTATAACAAGATACCACAAATTAAGTGGCTTAAAACATCAGAAATTTACTATTTCACAGTTCTGGGGTTCTAAGTCTGAAATCCAGGTATTGACAAGGCCATGGTCTCTCTGAGACTCTGGAAATAATCCTTCCTTGCTTATTCCTCGCTTCTCATGGTTGCTGTCGACAATTCTTGACTTTCAGCTGCAGCACTTCAGTCTCTGCCTCCACTGTCACATAGCATTCCCTACTTGTGTGTCTGTGCCTATGTATCTTCTCTTTTTATAAGGACATCACTCATATTGCATGAAGGACCCAACCTATTCTGGTGTAACTCCATCTTAATTAATTACATCTGTGATGATCTCATTTCCAAATAAGGTCACATTTTGAGATGCTGGACATTAAGGCTTCAACATACCCCTTTTTGGGAGCACAGTTCAAGCCATAGCATTCAGGTTCATTCCTGAAAGTTGTTATATACAAAAGTTCAGTTATTTAAAGATTTTCATATTTAAATCATCACTTTAAATGTAAATCATCATTTAAATCATTAAATTTACATATTTTTATATTTGAAGATATATATATATAAATAATTGAACTTTTAAAAATTATACAATTTTATGTAATGGATATATAGTAAGCATTTAAAGTAAGCAAGCATGCAGCCTTTATTCAGCAGCCTTCTGAACTGTTATTAACTTAGCCCATAATCTTATACATATGGTCAGTTTAAATATCCTCTTGTAGGATTCCATTCCAAGATGGCCGAATATGAACAGCTCCGGTCTGCAGTTCCCAGCATGATTGATGCAGAAGACAGGTGATTTCTGCATTTCCAACTGAGGTACCTCGTTCGTCTCATTGGGACAAGTTGGACAGAGGGTGCAGCTCACAGAGGGTTAGCCAAAGCAGGACGGGGCATCACCCCACCTGGGAAGTGAAAGGGGTCGGAGGATTTCCCTTTCCTAGCCAAGGGAAGCCATGACAGACTGTACCTGGAAAAATGGGACACTTCCGCCCAAATACTGCACTTTACCCAAGGTCTTAGCAACAGGCAGATAAGGAGATTCTCTCCCATGCCTGGCTCAGGAGGTCCCACGCCCACGGAGCCTTGCTCACTGCTAGTGCAGCAGTCTGAGATCGAACTGAAAGGCGGTAGCCTGGCTGGGGGAGGGGTGTCCGCCATTGCTGAGGCTTGAGTAGGTAAATGAAGTTGCCAGTAAGCTCGAAATGGGTGGAACCCACCACAGCTCAGCAAGGCCTACTGACTTTATAGACTCCACCTCTGTGGACAGGGCATAGCTAAACAAAAGGCAGCAGACAACTTCTGCAGACTTAAACGTCCCTGTCTGACAGTTCTGAAGAGAGCAGTGGTTCTCCCAGCATGGCGTTTAAGCTCTGAGAATGGACAGACTGCCTCCTCAAGTGGGTCCTTGACCCCCGTGTAGCCTAACTGGGAGACACCTCCCAGTAGGGGCTGACAGAAACCTCAAACAGATGGGTGCCACTCTGGGACAAAGCTTCCAGAGGAAGGATCAGACAGCAATATTTGCTGTTCTGCAATATTTGCTGTTTTGCAGTCTCTGCTGCAGATTCTGCAATATTTGCTGTTCTGTAGCCTCCAGGCAAACAGGGTCTGGAGTGGACCTCCAGCAAACTCCAACAGACCTGCAGCTGAGGGACCTGACTCTTAGAAGGAAAACTAACAAACAGAAAGGAATAGCATCAACATCAACAAAAAGGACATCTACACCAAAATCCCATCTGTAGGTCACCAACATCAAATACCAAAGGTAGATACAACCACAAAGATGGGGAGAAATGAGAGCAGAAAAGCTGAAAATTCTAAAAACCAGAGGGCCTCTTCTCCAAAAAAATCGTAGCTCTTTGCCAGCAAGGGAACAAAACTACACAGAGAATGACTTTGACGAGTTGACAGAAGTAGGCTTCTTCAGAAGGTCGGTAATAACAAACTTCTCCGAGCTAACGGAGCATATTCTAACCCACTGCGAGGAAGCTAAAAACCTTGAAAAAAGGTTAGACGAATGGCTAACTAAACAGTGTAGAGAAGACCTTAAATGATCTGATGGAGCCGAAAACCATGGCATGAGAACTTCGTGACGCATGCACAAGCTTCAATAGCCAATTCAATCAAGTGAAAGAAAGGGTATCAGTGACTGAAGATCAAATTAATGAAATAAAGCAAGAAGACAAGTTTAGAGAAAAAAAGAGTAAAAACAAATGAACAAAGCCTCCAAGAAATATGGGACTATGTGAAAAGACCAAATCTACGTCTGATTGGTGTACCTGAAAGTGACAGGCAGAATGGAATCAAATTGGAAAACACTCTTCAGGATATTATCCAGGAGAACTTCCCCAACCTAGCAAGGCAGGCCAATGTTCAACTTCAGGAAATAAAGAGAACACCACAAAGATACTCCTCGAGAAGAGCAACCCAAAGTCACATAATTGTCAGATTCAGCAAGGGTGAAATGAAGGAAAAAATGTTAAGGGCAGCCAGAGAGAAAGGTCAGGTTACACACAAAGGGAAGCCCATCAGACTAACAGTGGATCTCTCAGCAGAAACTCTACAAGCCAGAAGAGAGTGGGGACCAATATTCAACATTCTTAAAGAAAAGAATTTTCAACCCAGAATTTCATATCCAGCCAAAATAAGTTTCATAAGTGAAGGAAAAATAAAATCCTTTACAGACAAGCAAATGCTGAGAGATTTTGTCACCACCAGGCCTGCCCTACAAGAGCTCCTGAAGGAAGCACTAAACATAAAAAGGAACAACCAGTACCAGCCACTGCAAAAACATGCCAAATTGTAAAGACCATTGATACTAGGAAGAAACTGCATCAATTAATGGGCAAAATAACCAGCTAACATCATAATGACAGGATCAAATTCACACATAACAATATTAACCTTAAATGTAAATGGGCTAAATGCCCCAATTATAAAACACAGACTGGCAAATTGGATAAAGAGTCAAGACCCATCAGTGTGCTGTATTCAGGAAACCCATCTCACGTGCAGAGACACACATAGGCTCAAAATAAAGGGATGGAGGAAGATGTACCAAGCAAATGGAAAGCAAAAAAAAAGCAGGGGTGGCAATCCTAGTCTCTGATAAAACAGACTTTAAACCAACAAAGATCAAAAGAGACAAAGAAGGCCATTACATAATAGTAAAGGGATCAATTCAACAAGAAGAGCTAACTATCCTAAATATATATGCACCCAATATAGGAGCACCCAGATTCATAAAGCAAGTCCTTAGAGACCTACAAAGAGACTTAGACTCCCACACAATAATAATGGGAGACTTTAACATCCCACTGTCGATATTAGACAGATCAATGAGACAGAAAGTTAACAAGGATACCCAGGAATTGAACTCACCTCTGCACCAAGCAGACCTAATAGACATCTACAGAACTCTCCACCACAGATCAACAGAATAGACATTCTTCTCAGCACCATGTCGTACTTATTCTAAAATTGACCACATAACTGGAAGTAAAGCACTCCTCAGCAAATATAAAAGAAGAGAAATCACAACAAACTGTCTCTCAGACCACAGTGCAATCAAATTAGAACTCAGGATTAAGAAACTCATTCAAAACTGCTCAGCTACATGGAAACTGAACAACCTGCTCCTGAATGACTACTGGGTACATAACGAAATGAAGGCAGAAATAAAGATGTTCTTTGAAACCAATGAGAACAAAGACACAACGTACCTGAATCTCTGGGACACATTCAAAGCAGTGTGTAGAGGGAAATTTATAGCACTAAATGTTCACAGGAGAAAGCAGGAAAGATCTAAAATTGACACCCTAACATCACAATGAAAAGAATTAGAGAAGCAAGAGCAAACACATTCAAAAGCTAGCAGAAGGCAAGAAATAACTAAGATCAGAGCAGAACTGAAAGAGATAGAGACACAAAAAACCCTTGAAAAAAATCAATGAATCCAGGAGCTGGTTTTTTGAAAAGATCAACAAAATTGATAGACCACTAGGAAGACTAACAAAGAAGAAAAGAGAGAAGAATCAAATAGACGCAATAAAACATGATAAAGGGAATATCACCACTGATCCCACGGAAATACAAACTACCATCAGAGAATACTATAAACACCTCTATGCAAATAAACTAGAAAATCTAGAAGAAATGGATAAATTCCTCGACACATACACCCTCCCAAGACTAAACCAGGAAGAAGTTGAATCTCCGAATAGACCAATAACAGGCTCTGAAATTGAGGCAATAATTAATAGCCTACTAACCAAAAAAAGTCCAGGACCAGATGGACTCACAGCCAAATTCTACCAGAGGCACAAGGAGGAGCTGGTACCATTCCTTCTGAAACTATTCCAATCAATAGAAAAAGAGGGAATCCTCCCTAACTCATTTTATGAGGCCAGCATCATCCTGATACCAAAACCTGGCAGAGACACAACACAAAAAGAGAATTTTAGACCAATATGCCTGATAAACATTGGTTGAAAAATCCTTAATAAAATACTGGCAAACCGAATACAGCAGCACATCAAAAAGCTTATCCACCATGATCAAGTGGGTTTCATCCCTGGAATGCAAAGCTTGTTCAACATACGCAAATCAATAAACATAATCTGTCACATAAACAGAACCAATGACAAAAACCACATGATTATCTCAATAGATGCAGAAAAGGCCTTCAACAAAATTCAACAGCCCTTCATGCTAAAAATTCTCAATAAACTAGGTATTGATGGAACGTATCTCAAAATAATAAGAGCTATTTATGACAAACCTATAGCCAATATCATACTGAATGGGCAAAAACTGGAAGCATTCCCTTTGAAAACCAACACAAGGCAAGGATGACCTCTCTCACCACTCCTATTCAACAGAGTGTTGGAAGTTCTGGCCAGGGCAATCAGGCAAAAGAAAGAAATAAAGGGTATTCAATTAAGAAAAGAGGAAGTCAAATTGTCTCTGTTTGCAGATGACATGACTGTATATTTAGAAAACCCCATCATCTCAGCCCAAAATCTCCATAAGTTGATAAGCAACTTCAGCAAAGTCTCAGGATACAAAATCAACCTGCAAAAATCACAAGCATTCCTATACACCAATAACAGAAAAACAGAGAGCCAAATCATGAGTGAACTCCCATTCACAATTGCTTCAAAGAGAATAAAATACCTAGGAATCCAACTTACAAGGGATGTGAAGGACCTCTTCAAGGAGAACTACAAACCACTGCTCAGTGAAATAAAAGAGGACACAAACAAATGGAAGAACATTCCATGCTCATGGATAGGAAGAATCAATATCATGAAAATGGCCATACTGCCCAAGGTAATTGACAGATTCAATGCCATCCCCATCAAGCTACCAATGACTTTCTTCACAGAATTGGAAAAAACTACTTTAAAGTTCACATGGAACCAAAAAAGAGCCCGCATTGCCAAGACAATCCTAAGCAAAAAGAACAAAGCTGGAGGCATCATGCTACCTGACTTCAAACTATTCTACAAGACTACAGTATCCAAAACAGCATGGTACTGGTACTAAAGCAGATATATAGACCAATGGAACAGAACAGAGGCCTCAGAAATAACACCACCACATAGCTACAACCATCTGATCTTTGACAAACCTGACAAAAAAACAAGAAATGGGGAAAGGATTCCCTATTTAATAAATGGTGCTGGGAAAACTGGCTAGCCATATGTAGAAAGCTCAAACTGGATGCCTTCCTTACACCTTACACAAAAATTAATTCAAGATGGATTAAAGACTTAAATGTTAGACCTAAAACCATTAAAACCCTAGAAGAAAACCTAGGCAATACCATTCAGGACATAGGCATGGGCAAGTACCTCATGACTAAAACACCAAAAGCAATGGCAACAAAAGCCAGAATAGACAAATGGGATCTAATTAAACTAACAAGCTTCTACACGACAAAAGAAACTACCATCAGAGTGAAGAGGCAGCCTACAGAATGGGAGAAAATTTTTGCAATCTACCCATCTGACAAAGGGCTAATTTCCAGAATCTACAAAGAACTTAAACAAATTTACAAGAAAAAAATCAAACAACCACATCAAAAAGTGGGCAAAGGATATGAACAGACACTTCTCAAAAGAAGACATTTATGCAGCCAACGGAGCAATCCCATTACTGGGTATACCCAAAGTATTATAAATCATGCTACTCTAAAGACACTTGCATACATATGTTTATTGTGGCACTATTCACAATAGCAAAGACTTGGAACCAACCCAAATGTCCATCAGTGACAGACTGGACTAAGAAAATGTGGCACATATACACCTTGGAATACTATGCAGCCATAAAAAAGGATGAATTCATGTCTTTTGCAGGGACATGGATGAAGCTGGAAACCATCATTCTGAGCAAGCTATCACAAGGACAGAAAACCAAACACCACATGTTCTCTATCACAGGTGGGAATTGAACAATGAGAACACTTGGACATGGGGTGGGGAACATCACACACCGTGGCCTGTCGGGGGTTGGGGGGCTGGGGAGGAATAGCATTAGGAGAAATACCTAATGTAAATGATGAGTTGATGGGTGCAGCACACCAACATGGCACATGTATACTTATGTAACAAACCTGCATGTTGTGCACATGTACCCTAGAACTTAAAAGTATAATTTAAATAAACAAATAAATAATAAAAATTTAAATAAATAAATAAATATCCTCTTGTAACTTATATAATGGGGAAGTCAACCCATCTTTGAGTTTATACAAGCTCCAGACACTCCGTTACTACCTGGGATGACAATCGTGGCAATCCTTTTCTGCATTCAGCAGTTTTTACTCCCCTGTGACTGTTATTATCTGCCCTCCACAAGTAAATGGAGAAAAGACATTACTTACCTTTTAACCTTTTCTATGCACTTCTGTTTCTACTTAATTCCCCTGATGCTTCTGGATACATTCTAACTGAACTTTCCACTGTTTATCTCCCCAGATCTCACTCGGAGGCCTTTTCTTCTTTATACCTGTCACTTATCTATTCTACTCTCCTTTATTACTTACTTAACTCAAAATACTGTCTGTATAATCCCTTTCTACTATGTGCTGAAAAGAATATTATCCAATGGAGGTAAAACTTTTAATATTCATAAGAAGGTTGCACTGTCCCAATAACTCAATCCAAAGAATTTGTCATAAAATTATATGCTGGAATAGAAAATCTATAGGCACAAAAAGATTAATTTTTACTGCATTGGGTATCAAAATCAATCATTTAAATAATCAGAAATAGCCACAATAGGGGAATAGAAATCAATAAATAGAGATATAATTTTATTATAACAATTCAATAGAGTATTAAACAACTATTAAAATAATGATTATGAAAGCTGCTTAATAAATACACATATGTAATATTAATTTTTAAATGTCATGAAAATATTTCTCTGACTTTATTATAGCTATGAAAATATTGTAGTAAGGGGTTAATGATACTAATTGACTCAAGGAGTGGTAGAAAAATAAATTTAAATGTGTGATAAATTTTAAAGGTAGCTAAGAAAAGAGCACATTGTATGTCTATGTCAAAACATCTCGCCGGGCGCGGTGGCTCATGCCTGTAATCCCAGCGCTTTGAGAGGCCGAGGTGGGCAGATCACAACGTCAGGAGATCAAGACCATCCTGGCTAACACGGTAAAACCCTGTCTCTACTAAAAATACAAAAAATTAGCCAGGCGTGGTGATAGACGCCTGCAGTCTCAGCTACTCAGGAGGCTGAGGCAGGAGAATGGCATGAACCCAGGAGGCAGAGCTTGCAGTGAGCCGAGATCGCACCACTGCACTCCAGCCTGGGCAACAGAGCGAGACTCCGTCAGAAAAAAAAAAAAATCCAAACATCTCATGTACCCCGTAAATTATACACATACTATGTCCTCACAAAATTTTTTTAATTTAAAATTGTTTTTGAAAAATACAAAATAAAGAGAACAAATAGCATATGCGATTATCAAACTATTAGAGATAGAAACTGAAGCAAATAAAAGTCAGTGAGTATAACAAAATGGTAGAAACGAAAAAAAGAGAAACCATGGCTAAGAGAAAACATAAAATCAGATAGCAAGAATGCATCTAAGATATCAATAATAACAATAAATGTAAAAGTGATTCAATAGCCATGTTGGAAGACAAAGACTCTCAGGTAGGGCAAAAACAAAAATAAAATAAATTCCAGATATGTGTTGTTTGCAAAAGACATTTTCAAATGAAAAACAGTACTTTAAAATAAAAACATGGAAAACAATACCCTAGCCAATATTAGTTACATGAAAAACGGAATAGAATTCAGGGTGAGACATAGAAATGGACAAAAATATTTTATATTGATTTTCATATTGATGAATAGTACAATCCAACAAGAATATACATACGTCACAAATTTTTATTCATCTGACAACATGGCTTCAAAATATTTAAGAACTGCTTTAAAGCAAACAAAAACAAAACTGATAAATTATAAGTCATGAATCTCAGTGGAACACTCTAATCACTTTTCTCAGAAATTCAGTACACCCTCAGAAGAGTGACGAATTGAATACCAGTGGAAGCTGCATATACTAGCTATATTAGAATATTGTTGATGGCCAACAGGCAGAAAATATATTTTTTAAAATATCCATTAAAACAGTTGCAAATTACTGTATAGTAAACTATATGAAAGTTTTCAAAACATTATTTTAAATTGGGGGCCAAATTTTCTGAAAACAGTGGCAAAAATAGAAACTTAAAATTCCTAAATGTTAAAAAATATCTTTCTATGAATTTTAGCACATTTATAGATATGTAACAAAAAATGTCAATTTTACTATATGCTGATTCATTAAAAGTTCAACCTTAGGGGTTGGGCACAGTGGCTCACACCTATTATCCCAGCACTTTGGGAGGCCGAGTCATGCAGATCACCTGAGGCCAGGAGTTTGAGACCAGCCTGACCAACATGGAGAAACCCCATCTCTACTAAAAATACAAAATTAGCCAGGCGTGGTGGTGCATGCCTGTAATCCCAGCTACTCAGGAGGCTGAGGCAGGAGAACCACTTGAACCCGGGAGGCAGAGGTTGTGGTGACCTGAGATCACACCATTGCACTCCAGCCTGGGCAACAAAAGCGAAACGCAAACTCAAAAAAAAAAAAAAAAAGTTTAACTTTAAAAATACCTTTCTTGTGCTATGGAGTATTTTTTAACCATATCTTAAAATCCTCTAGAAATGACTGATAATCAGTACCAGATATCAATCATTCTGCTGCAGGCCATGTGATACCCAGAGAAAAAGCCATTGCCTTAAAAGCACTTATTAGAAAACCAAAAATTTTGAAAATAGCGTCACCCCAAGATGCTTTAAAAAAAAGATGAAATAATTATAACAATAAATGCCCAAGGCGATGAATACCCCATTCTGCATGATGTGGTTATTTCACATTGCATGCCTGTATCAAAACATCTTATGTAACCCATAAATATATATACCTACTATGTACCCACAAAAACGTAAAATAACAAAAGTAAATTCAACCAAACTGAAGATATCTTTCATCCCAGTAATATCACCACTGTCTACCTAATATAGTAAAATGCTTGCCTATTTGGATGAATGTGTATGTGCAAGAATACACATTTCAACATTATTCATAAAAGTAGAAAATGAAAAGCAATCTAAATGTCCATCAATAAAGAAATGGCTATGTTATATTCCATCTGCATTTTGAAACACTATGCAGTAATTTTTAAGTGAGGTGGATTTCAGTGGAAAGATATGTCAAAAACATTGTTATGTGAAGAAAATTTGCTTCACAAGTGATACAGTTTAAAAATATATATGTATTTGTGTGCATACATGCGTATAATAAATTACATTGAAAAAGATGAATTGATGCATACTAAGACCCTAATAATGGTTAATGATGACCTAATAAAGATTCTGGGATTTCAAGAGAGATGGGTAATTGAAAGGTAACTTTTGCTTTTTATACTTCTGTGTTGGAATTTTTGCAAAGAGAATGTATTTTTGTAATTGAGTAATTAAAATTAACCAATTAAAATGTAAAGATAATGTATGCATGTGAACAGAACCTAAAAAGAAGGAAGAAAACTTTAAAGATAAAAACAATTTTAGAAAGGTTTCAAGATGGCCAAATTGGAACAGCTCCATTCTACAGATCCCAGTGTGAGCGACGCAGAAGACGGGTGATTTCTGCATTTCCAACTGAGGTACCAGGTTCATCTCACTGGGGCTTTGTCGGACAGTGGGTGTGGCCCATGGAGTGTGCGCCGAAGCGAGGCGGGGCATCTCCTCACCCAGGGAGCGCAAGGGGTTGGGGAATTCCCTTTCCTAGCCAAGGGAAGCCGTGACAGATGGTACCTGGAAAATTGGGACACTCCCACCCTAATAATGCGCTTTTCCAACAGTCTTAGCAAACGGCACACCAGGAGATTATATCCCGCGCATGGCTCTTAGGGTCCCACGCATGGCTCTTAGGGTCCCACGCCCACGGAGCCTGGCTCATTGCTAGTACAGCAGTCTGAGATTGAACTGCAAGGCGGCAGCGAGGCTGGGGGAAGGGCGTCCACCATTGCTGAGGCTTGAGTAGGTAAACAAAGCAGCTGGGAAGCTTGAACAGGGTGGAGCCCATCACAGCTCAAAGAGGCCTGCCTGCCTCTGTAGACTCAGGCAGTTGGTGCAGCACACCAACATGGCACACATATACATATGTAACAAACCTGCACATTGTGCACATGTACCCTAGAACTTAAAGTATAATAAAAAAATAAAAATAAAAAAACAAAAAACAAAAAAAAAACAATTTTATGTTTGTTTTTGTTTGTTTTAAGATGGTGTGATCCCAGGCATTTAATAATATATTCTAAGGTTTTATAGGGGGCTGGGTTTGTATGGCTGATCCAACCCAATGAGACACTTACATATTTTCAAATGTTGTGGGATTTTGGAAACAAGTTAGAGGGGGTGACAAATGAGCAAATCTTCCATTCCAAAATGTGTCATTTTCACAATCTAGAAAAAGGGTAAATATGTCCTTGGGATATTCAAAATTTCGATTTATCTATATTCCCATCCACAAATTTTGACAGTCTAATAAGATACTAGCCTGACCTAAGAATATTTCTATGTCCAAGCAAGCCTTCCCAGAGTGCCTAAAAGGAATTTTTTTAACCAAACAGGTCGCTTACTGCATGATAAAAGAGAATATATAATTGTTTCTAAACTGTTCCCCATTTTTTCTGATATCCTCTGATGCAAATTTTTTAAATGCTAGAAATCAAATAATTGATTGTGATGTAAAATGATTTGCCTTTGAGGCAGCTTCTTAGAGTAATCAGTTTGATGAAATCAATTCCTGACTTTACCATCCTCAAAAATCCAACCTTCATATAGTAACTTAGTATTCAAGATACAGTTTCTGTTCTGTGGTCTTTTTTTAAAAAAGTGGTTGAATATTAAACTTTCGGCACAACTTAGTGATAAAGATATCTCTGTTTTTACCCTATTTCCAATGTGGTGATAATATTTGCCTTTGTTTTCCTAGTTCCCTTAGAAACAGGAGGTTCTGACCATCATTTATTTTAAGAAAATTTAGAGAAGAGAATAAGTTTCTCTTTCTCATAAGTTCATAAAACACTGCCAATATACCTCTATACCCCTAACTTAAGAATCCCTGTTGCTCACCATAAATACGCATATTACTTGGTCACTCCATGATAACAAATTAGACAGCAAAAGCACTTAGAGCGGTACATTAATGCTTTGCACTTTGCAGACTCCAGGGGACCATTTAAAGTACCGCAGTGGCGGGGGATGCCATGGCAATGAATTGTGAGGTTGCTTCCCTGCAGCCTTCCTCCTCTCTTGCTGAGATGACTTGCCCTCTCCTGACCTCAGTCTGTGGAAATGTAAGGTGCTATAGCACATCACCATGACTCAGGATCAAGTTTCCCTACACCTTGGGCTTGAACAGTGTGCCTAAGTATAACATGTGGGTTTCTTCCATTTTCATGAGATCAAGTTTCTACCAGTATCCTTGATTTAGCAGCTAGATCTCTAAACAACAAGACAGTCTGGTTTGGATCTCAGCTTCACCATTTGCTAGCTCTATGACTTTGGGCAAGTTTCTTAGTTTCTCCAAATCCCAATCTTATTATCTTTAAAATGCAAAATAATAACACCTACCATATACAAAATATAGCACTATATACGGCACATAGTAGATGCTGAATAAATGTTAATTCCCACCACACATATCCTCTTGTGGATTTTTCTTTTATAATCTGAGCAGTATATTAGAACCTCAAAAACTGGTAATCTGCCTTGCCCTTCCAAATCTACATGCCATCCTGAGCCCCATTCCTGCTGATATAAGTCAGCAACATCTTTTGCCCACTCAAATCTCTGACTTTGCCTAATACTGACCTCCATGGGACTCTTGCTCCTGGTGAGACACATGACTGATGTATTTTTCTCTCTCTCAGTGTACCCTCAGGATACCAGGCTCCATCTTGGCCCAACAGCTCCATGTCAGGTAATCCTGCATTTGTACCCCAGTGCCTGCCACTAACACCCTGGTTGACTCTACTAAGAACCATCTCTAAAATCTTCCTGAGATGACTTGGTCTACCCACAGGATGCCATCTCACACTAGTATATCACAAGTGTTCATACATCAAAACAAGAAAATGAAAAAGTAAAAAATCTGCGGAGCACAAAGGACTTTTAGGACAGTGAAACTACTTTGTATGATACTATAATGGTAGATACATGTCTTTATATATTTGACCAAACCTATGAAATTCATAACACCAAGAGTGAAGCCTAATGTAAACTATGGGCCTTGGGTGACTGAGATATGTCAATGTAGGTTCATCGGTTGTAACAAATGTACTACTCTGGTGGGGGATGTTGATAATGGGAAAGTCTACGCATGAGTGGGGACAGGGAATATATGGAAAATCTCTGTACCTTCCACTCAATTTTGCTGTGAACCTAAAACTGCTCCAGAAAAAAATCTATTTTAAAAAACAGTGGATTGTCTTTCCCCCTGTTCTCTTCCCTTACTTTGACACAGAAAGACAGACTTGGAAGAAATAGGATTCTAGCTATCAAGCTGGTGGAAGAGAACTACTAAATTACTGCTTGGTTCCTATTATGTACCAGCATTATGCTAAGAACTCTATATCTATTAATATTAACACAAATCCTCACAACATTGCAAGGTAGCATTTAACAGATGTGGAAACTGAGACTCTATAAGGTGAAATAATGTCCCTAGGTTCACACACCAGCAAGGAACAGAGCTGGAATATGAATTTGTTCATCTGACTTCAAAGTCTATAACGTTTCTTCAAAAATGGTGGATTCCTTTTTCACTATGCCACATTTCTCACACTAAAACATTACATATACATTAATGGACTGCTTCAAAATGTTTGTTAAATGTTGAAATTCTAAGTCATTTCTTTCAGTTGTTCAGTGCAAATCAGCCCTTAGATCTGTACCCATACTTATTTAGTCTGAATGATAGCAATAGTTAGCATTTATTTAGTGCTTATTATGTGTTTGACACTGTTCAATTTACGTATATTCACTCATTTAATTTTAATCAACATCCCTATTTTATAGTTGAAGAATTCAAGCACAGAAAGGCTAAGTAAATTGCCCAAGATCACACTGGCAGATCTCTGATCAGAATTTAGGGAGTCTAGCTGCAGAGATCAAGCTCTTTTACCCTGTTTTACTGCCTCTCAACAATCAGAAAAATTGTATCAAATTCTCCACTTAACCTTGCATGTATAAACAACTTAAGAATCCAATCAATTCCTCTGATATCTGAAGCTACAAAAAACCATTTACTAAAAAATAAGGAGTAGCATGTTGCTTGCAGATCAGACTCTCTAATTATTCATCACACTGCCTCTTTTTCTCCATAAAGATTAAAAAGAAAATCCTTCATGCTACTTACTATAGAAGTCACACTTACCTAGAACGGCACATTCCAGAATAAAGTAGAATCTTTTCCCAAGAAAATAATTTCTCCTTCCACAACAATAATTAATATTATTTCTTCTCCATTTGGGTGGCACTCTTACGATTCTGGCAGAAATGTAGTATACCAAAATTAGTTTATAATCTAAAGCTTGCAATAAAGTTGTTTCCCCACCACCACCATGTATTTTTTAACTTATATACCATATACTCAAAAATTCCATATAACTTTCTGTTGTGAGCAACAGTAAAAAAATCAATAAAGCATTTAATTTCTAAAATCAGGCTTGTTTTGTTTTTCTATTGTATGAGTCAGTGTCTGGCACATGTAAAGTAAAATGAAGAAAATGAGCTTATAAATCACAGTAATCTCCCTGATAATCACTACTCATTTAGTGAAGGGACAATGTGCTCGCTACATGAGGCATTCTTATAAAAGACACCAAGCTGCAATTAACAATCTATAGATCTCATTTGCTCTGAATTAGTAAGTGCTCTGATTCTAATAAATTCTCGATACCTAAGGACCTTATTCTGATTATTTTTATCTCATGCTCCTTGCCCATGGAGAAAGGAAAAGGAAATAATTTCTTCTCCAAATGCCAACTGAGCGCATTCTTTTCTCCTTATTTCTCAATTATCTATCCAGAAAGGTATTCCAACCAAAACAATGTCAGAACACTTAACATTTTTTTAAAAAGATTATAATATTCCTCCAAATCTCTTAACCAGAACATAAAACTATCACAATAATTCCATGATAAATGCTGTTTAAAATGTCCTTGGTAATGAAAAAAATCCTATAGTAACTTATATAGAAAAATTTTAATTGACTTGGCTAATAAATGTAAAGTGGAAAAATCACTGAAGAACTTGAGTTTGAGACAAAGAAGAATAAATCTAAAACAGATCTCAGAATCCAAACACTCATTAAGTTAAATCAAAAAAACTCTAACTGTTATCAGGTTTTATCTCAGCCAAGGGCCCAGAGATGAGGCAATCAGATTATAACAATGCAAGAAGAGTTTAAGAGTTAAGAGTTTAACATTTATAAAGATTTAGGCAGGATGATGTTTCCATCCTGAGAGTATCCCTCCTTCTCTTGAGTAAGACTGACAAGATCTTATGGCTCGGATAAGGAATAGGGCATCCTAATGTGTAAAGAGTTAGAGATAATGTCTTTCTTTTGTTGTCGTGGTGGTTTTTGTTTCTTTCAGGGGTGTTAATTTCAATTTTTATTTTATTTCATTTTATTTTACTTTATTTTTTGAGACAATGTCTCACTCTGTCGCCTAGGCTGGAGGGCAGTGACATGATCATGGCTCACTACAGCCTCAACCTCCTGGGCTCAAGCAATCCTCCCACCTCAGCCTCCCAAAGTGCTGGGATTACAGGCATGAGCCACTGCACCCAGCCTTCAAGTTTTATTTTAGATTCAGGGGGGTACATGTGCAGGTATGTTACATGGGTATATTGCATGCTGCTGAGATTTGGGATACTAGTGATCTTATCACCCAAGTAGTGAGTATAGCACCCAACAGTTAGTTTTTAAACACTCACCCCCCTTCCTCCCTCTGCCTTCTAGTAGTCCTCAGTCTCCATTGTTGCCATCTTTATGTTCATAAAGTATCCAATGTTTAGCTCCTGATTATAAGTGAGAACATGTGGTATTTGGGTTTCTATTCCTACATTAATTTGCTTAGGATAATGGCCTCAAGCTGCATCCATGTTGCTGCAAAGGGCATTATTTCATTCTTTTTGTGACTGTATAGTATTCCATGGTGAATATGTACCATATTTTCTTTATCCAATCGACTATCTATGGGCACCTAATGGATTCCATGTTTTTGCTATTGTGAATAGTACTGCAATTAACATATGAGTGCATGACTTTTTAGTAAAATGTTTTATTTTTTGGATATACACTCAGGAATGAGATTGCTGGGTCAAATGGTACCTCTGTTTCAATATCTTAGATAAATCTTCAAACTGCTTAACTTTTTAACAATAGCCATTATGACTGGTGTGAGATGGTATTTTGTTGTGAGTTGTATTTCTATCTATCTGATAATTAATGATGTGGATTATTTTTTCATGTTTGTTGGCCACCTGTATGTCTTCTTTTAAGAAGGGTCTGTTCATGTCCTTTACCCATTTTAATGGGGTTATTTGTTTTTCACTTGTTGATTTGTTTAAGTTCCCTTTAGACTGTGGATATTAGACCTTTGTCTTAATTACTATGCACTTAAGTGTGTTATTGCAGTAGCAGGTTATATTCTTTTGTTTCCATGTTTAGAACTCCCTTAAGGTGCTCTTGTAAAGCTGGTCTAATGGTAATGAATTCCCTTAGTGCTTGCTTGTCTGGAAAGATTTTATTTTTCCTTTACTTATGAAGCTTAGTTTGATGGGATATGAAATTCTTGGTTACAATTTCTTTTTGTCTGGGCACAGTGGCTCACGCCTGTAATCCCAGCACTTTGGGAGGCCGAGGTGGGTGGATCACCTAAGGTCAGGAGTTCAAGACCAGCCTGGCCAACATAGTAAAAGCCTGTCTCTTTCTAAAAATACAAAAATTAGCTGGGCGTGGTGGCACGTGCCTGTAATCCTAGCTACTCGGGAGGCTATGGCAGGAGAATCACTTGAATCCAGGAGGCAGAGGTTGCAGTGAGCCAAGATCACACCATTGCACTCCAGCCTGGGCAACAAGAGCAAAACTCCGTCTCAAAAAAAAAAAAATTCTTTTCTTTAACAGTGCTGAAAATAGGCCCCTAATCTCTCCTAGCTTGTAAGGTTTCTGCTGAGAAGTCCACTATTAGCTTGATGGGATTTCCTTTATAAGTGATCTGACCTTTTTCTCTAGCTGCCTTTAAGATTTTTTTTCTTTAGCATTGACCTTAGACAGTCTGGTGATGCTATGCTTTGGTGATGTTCATTTTGTATTGTATCTTGCAGGTGTTCTCTAGATTTTTTGTATGTAGCCTACCACTCTAGCAAAATTATGGAAATTTTCTTTAATTATTCCCTCACATATGTTTTCTAGGTTGTTTACTTTTTCTCCTCTCTCTGGAGTGCCAATAATTTGCATGTTTGGTCACTTTACATATTCCCACATCTCTCAACAACTTTGATCATTTTGTAAAAAATATCTTTCTTTACTTCTGTCTGACTGGGCTAGTTTGAAAGACTTGTCTTCAAGTTCTGAGATTCTTTCTTCTGCTTTGTCTAGTCCACTGATAAAGCTTTCAACTGAATTTTGAAATTCCTTAAGTGAGTTTTTAAATTCCAGAAGCTCTGATTGATTTCTTTTAAAGAAATTTATCTCTTCCTTCATTTCCTGGATTGATTTAGCAGTTTCTTTGTGTTGATTTTTAACCTTGTCTTGGATCTCACTGAGCTTCCTTGCAATCTATGCTCTTAGTTCTGTATCTGTCATTTCTGAGTTTCCATTTTGCTTAAGGGCCATTGCTGGAAAGCTAATGTGATCTTTTGGTGGTGTCATTATATCCAGATTTTTCATGGTGTCAAAATTATTGAACTAGTCCCTTCTCATCTGGAGATGCTGGCACTTCTAATTTTTGTAATTATTTTCTTGTGGGTAGAATTTTTTTCTTTTTCTTTCTTTCCCTATAATATTATTGTTTTTTATTGCCTTTTCCTACCCCCTCTCCCAGTGCTTCTATAGCCCTATGCACTTCCTTTGGCAGGATTTATACTGAACTGTTAGAGCCAATGTCTTTGAACAGTGAACAGAAAAAGGACTTTGTAAAAACAAAAGGGCTCTCTCATCTCAGGTAAGCCCTCAGAATAGAGGTGTCACTTTGGGAAGTAAGTAACCCAGAGATCTAGCTTCTCATGAAATCTCTAGCTATGTTGATGATGATAACCTGTCAGCAGTGATGAGAGTATCTAATCAGACACATTATGGCACAGAGCTGTAAAAGGTGGGGAGAGTAGAAGACAACATAGACGAAGGTAATTTAGTCTTATCCTGATAAAAGTCTGTCAAATTCAAGAAGAAAGAATAAATAAAAGCAAGTACTTGAACCATGCTGAATGGCAGAAAACCCATGTACACCAATACGCATGTCACACCAGAAGAACAGATGAAAAGATCACACCTCAACCATCAGATGGACTGCAATGAAAAATCCTTCCTCCAGGACCTGTGACATTAGAATGCGCTTTTTGTAGAACCCTAAAAGAGAATAGAACATTAAAGGTATTTCTGTTACCATAGCCTACCAATGGCATTAGAAATGCATCTGCCATGCAAATCAAGAGAATATATTTCTCATATTTTTGGTAAGACATGAACTCACACCACAGTAAAAGTCATTAAAACCTTTTGGCAATTTCAATCCCAAACAAAAAGGTACTTTGCCCTGCCTTCTCAAGTAAAACATCAGGGAAAATTATTTAACCTAGTCTTGGTAATGAGCTGCCTTCATTCTGAATATCAACTTATATAATGTGCTATAAAACACAAGGTAATTTTCTATCTCTTTTGGAATCTGTCTTCTCCCTTTGACATGGAAAATAAATGGTCACCTCTTGTTAGCTGTCATTTTTTCCTTTCTTTATCAGCCTTCCATTCACCTTCTAGTTTAGGATTTTCATTTGCTGTCTTCAGAGAAAAACACATAAAGAAACTTGTTTAAAATACATATTTAAATACATAAGTATCTGAATAAGTGATATATTTTTAATTTGATATTATTTTATCTCTTTTCCTTATTTGTTTCCTTAGATAAAGGTTTTTAAATCTCTTGCCACCAGTATCATATTCTATAAAGATTTTGAAGTAACATACAGGAATGCATACAGCAAAGTATGCTGTATGTTAAAGACAAAAGTATGTTAAAGAAAAAAAACAAAATTGAGGAAGACAAAAGACACAGTAATGAGACCAGGTAAAACACAAATTACAGTTGATAGATAAACCCCAGTGAGCAATCCAGGATACAGATATGCCACCCATGGGAGACTATGCTACAGTTTATAGCACAGAGAGGCCAATTTATATCTGAGCTCACTGGCAGCTTACAACAAGAGGGAATTATGGTCTTCTACCTGATTCACACTGCCCAGAATATTTTCTTATTGCTTTCCAATTTGGTGTCATTGAAGATACCAGGAATATGACCTGCTCCATATTAGAATCATATACTATCTGAGAGGAAAGGGACTGCAGATCATATAACTCAATGAGAACTAGAAGGATCAAATGAGTTTCCAGTCCAACAAAGAACAGAAGAATCAGTTCTAGAACCTCAATATTTGGAGACCTCTACCCAATGTAGTGCTTTTTCTGGTCAGCAATATTCTCAAATCTCTCCACATAGAGAAGGTGGTCAAGAATCTAAGGATAGTCTGTCCAGGATTCATTAAATTGAAACAACTATGTCTAATTTCCTGGTTTACTGGCTATATTAGGGTAAGCTTCAGGGGACAAAAGGTAGATACAGATTCATCCCCATCATTGGGGTAGCTCCCAGGTTAATCCACTCACAATTAAGAAAAAGTAAGCAGTAAGGAAGTAAGGATCATACCCATATTTATTGGAGCCCTCTCAGAGCCAAAAGTGGAAAAAGAGTTCTCAAGTTAGGCAAATGCAAATTACCCTCATACCCTAGTTACTGTTCTATTTAGTTCTCTCTCTCTCTCTCTCTCTCTCTCTCCCTCTTCCCTCTTTTTCTATCTCTCTCTTCCCCTCCTCAATTCTCCCTACTTTCCACTGAATTTATTCCTTCTGGTCATATCAGAGAGTGGCGAGACAAAAAATCCTAGAACTCACATGTGGCTAGAAATCATTAGTGCTCCCACCAGCCAAAATCAACAGACTTCAGAGAACACAAGGATCATTCAGTAAAGATGTCAGCATGATCATTTCTTAATAACAAGGCTAAAGCCGCATCTAGATCTGCCCTTAAGAAGCTTTAAAACAAGCTTTAAAAGGATCAAACTGATCCACAAGTACATTAACTGCCTATGGAACAAAGCCCAACAATCTTTAAAGGAATACAACTAAAATCAACACTCAACAATGTAAACTTCACACTGTACATCATCCAATAAAAAGATTATCATGCATGTGAAGAAGCATGAAATTTTGACAGATAAGCAGAAAAAAGTAATCAGTTAATAGAGATCAAGAAATCACAGCGATGATTGAATTAGCAAACAAATACATAAAAAAATAGCAATGAAAAATATGCTCAGTATGCTCAAATTTTTAAGGAAAAATACAAACATGAGGAGAAAATGAAAAATATACCTAAAAGCCAAGTGAAATGTTTAGAAATGAAAAACACAATACATGGAATAAGAAACTCACTGAATGGGATTCACAGTAGATTATATACTGCAGAACAGATTAGTAAACTTGAAGACAGCAATTAAAACTATCCAACCTGAGACAAGCAGAAGAAAAGTCTGAAAAAAATGAACAGAAACTCCGTGACCTATTGTACTATATTAAGTGGCCTAACAGGATAGCATCCATTAATTGGAGTTCCAGAAAGAAAGGAGATAGAGGGAGGAATATAAAAATTATTCAAAGAGATAATAGTCAAAAATGTCCAAAATCATGCAAACTGTAAACCCACAGAACCAAGAATATCAACAAATTGAAAGGAAGATAAACAAAAAGAAAACCATACAAAGACATAGCCTAATCAAATTGTCAAAAAGAAACAATAAAGAAAAAATATTAAATGCAGCCAGAGGAGAGTAGAGAAAAAGAGAATTATGTACAAAGGAACTAAAAAAAAAGAACACTTCAGATCTCTTGTTAGAAAGCATCCAAGCTAAAGACAATGAAAATACATCTTGAAAGAAAAAAAGCTGTCAACCTAGAATTGTATACCCAGTGAAAATATCTTTCAAAAATAAAGGTGAGGGAGAATTCTGGTTTTAGCTCCAACTTATCAAGAGCTTAGAAGTTGTCACCCTCGCCCTTACAACAAGGAAAAACCCAGGCCAACTGAAAATCAAGGCTCTTCTTGGACCTGTTAGATAACTGAGATCACAGAGGAAACTACCACCTTGAAATCTGAAGAGACAGGCACCATCCAGAGAGACACAGCCAAGATGTACTTATCTGAGGGAAAAGATGGTGGAGCCATAAACTAGTAGGAACACTTAATGCTTAACGGTAGTTTGACTAATTGCTGGAGGCTGAGTGTGGACTGCAGTAAGAGCAAAAAATTCCTTGGGGTCAAGTCTTAAGGGGAATGCACACTCTCATGGCCTTGAACTCCGGGAATCCCACCAGGTTCTCACGGTGAAGATCCAAAATAGGTCCATTCATGGTTCTGGCAAAAGTGAGGGAAGAGTAATCACTGTGAAATAGGCTTAGAATTTTCTCAATAACCAAAATCCTAATCTCCAGAGGAAAAGACCTTTCCAGAGCTTTATCACAGCTGGAGAAAGGGGCATTTCTCCTATTCCAGCTCCTTAAAGCATAACTGTCTCACTTAAGGGAAAATTTTCTAAAAAGCTATACCACTAGAGAAGTTCACAGTCCAGAGGAACAGGCCCATGAAATAATTTATATTTAATTATACTACTATAGAACCCAAATGCTCATCAACAGGTGAATGGATAAATTGTGGTATATCTATGCAATGGAATACTACTTTGCCGTAATAAGGAATAAACCACTAATACATGCAATGACATGGATAAATCTCAAAAACTTTATGCTGAGCAAAAGAATCCAGACAAAAAAGAGTACATACTATATGGTTGCATTTATGTGAAACTCTAAAACGGTAAGTCCAATCTATAGTGACAGAAAGTGGGTAAGGGGTTACCTGTGGACAGAAGCAGAGAGGAGATCTGACTAGGAAAAAAGCACAAGGAAACATTTTTGGGTCATTGAAATGTTCTATAGCTTGATTGTGGTAGTAAATATATGGGAGTACACATTTGTCAAAATTCATCAAAAATGAACATGTAAAATAGGTGTATTTGGGTTCCAATTTTTTAAAACAAAACTTTTTAAGGTACTTATTCTACAGAGTAAGAATTTCCATCCTTTTCTTTCTTCAGCAAAACTAAAAAAAATTACCCATCACTAATGCTCACCTCTGCTCACCTGACTGATCTCCAAACTTGAAGCCAGCAACCCTGTCATCCCACATCCTTTTCTTCTCAAAGAAAAACAATAAAATTACATTAGTCTTTGTCACTCCTTGCATTTGCCAGCCCTTAAATTATTTTAATTTTTCTCTTCCTATTACCACAATAAATTATAATTTGTTGACCATCCATAGAGTGCTTTGCAAACTCCTCTTTACTCTTCTGCATTTCATCTGAGTATATTTCGTTCTCTCCATATTATTTAAAACTGTTTATTTAAATAAAATTATTATAACTTTTTTATTTTTTAAAACTGATCTTGAATTACATGTAAAAAGCCCAAAGGCAGCTAATATAGTGTTCTCTGTCATACCTAAAAAATGTATTGTTTTACTTTTATGTTAAACCTCAAAGTTCTTGTGAAATTACCTGGCCCTCATCTTCCAAGCCTCCCCTACAGAAACTTGCTAAACAACTCCTTCCTTCCTATTTCTGATACACACACACACACACACACACACACACACACATATATATACAAATTGAAAGGAAGATAAACAAAAAGAAAACCATACAAAGCCATAGCCTAATCCAATTGTCAAAAAGAAACAATAAAGAAAAAATATTAAATGCAGCCAGAGGAGAGTAGAGAAAAAGAGAAATTCTCTACAAATTCTCTTTTTCTCTACTAAATGACAAATTCTTCCTCTTCCCTTTTGAAACCTAAATCTGTTCCAAATCTATTCCCTGATTAATTAGAGCTGTGATATAAAATGTCCCTTAACTAAAGAAAGTATTTTCTCTACTTGTCCCTACATTTATCACTGCTCTAAAACATATTTCTCTTTTGCACATAAATAATGATAATGAGTTATTGGTCTTCTCACTGAATGGTTGAATAGATGAATATATGTCCCTTATGTTGGGCTAGAAGCATCTGATGAATGTCTACTACTTGATTTGTACACGATACTTCTTAACCAAGATGATGATAAACAAAATCAAAGTCATCCTCACATCCTAAAGATAACTACACGTTATGTGCTCTTGAGCTGATCTCAGGTTACTACTTGCTAAACAGAGATACTAATTTATACAATGCTTATAGTCAGCCATATGACAGAACTGTGTACAGTATCTTTACAGAACACAATATACATCTAGAGCCTATGAAAAGAAATTAAAGTAACCCTTTATTCAATCTGCCAAGGGACTATGGAACTTGTAATTATCTGGCTTTCCATAGAAGAGATACATTGCAGTTGGGTACACATGAGGGCACAGGTTTATGCCTCAGATGACAGATGGCAGATAAAAAGCTTCAGAGTGCAAGCTTTTTACCAGACCTTTTTAATTTATTTTCCCCATGCACATCAAATTTTAATGCTGGCTCTCTGACCCAGTATGTTAGCTTTTTTATGAACTTATGATTAACTAGTACCATGGTAGCAGGAGCTAACTTTTCTTCCACTTAAAACTAAATTTTACTCATAAAAGTTATAACCCCTAAACACTGGGTGAAAGAGACCAACGAGGAATAAAGTATTTTAAAAGGACAAATGAGAACAGAAAATTCAGTCTTGCACTATAATTACCAGAAGAGCATCTGGAATTCCATGAGCCAAATCTAGTCAATTACAACACTGGGCAATTCAATCTGAAAAGCAGGGTTCAAGAATTAGCTATATCAACTACTGCCAGGTAGCTTGGTCCCCCAAATTAGGATAATGGTTCCACCCTCTCTTCCAGACCATGTGGTAATTCACAGCCTTGGATGGAATGGCAACAGTGCTTACAAGAGTTACTTTAACACTCCTTTTATTCAAAGACTATAAAGATAGAATGCTATAATTCAGGTGCCTAAATTATGTGGGTAGAATTTGGACTTACAAATGTGTGGCCAAGATGTAAGCTGCGCTTTTGGCTTGTCCTGGAAAAAGAAGGGGAAGGGGAAGGTTAAGTTATCAAACATATGGCAAGGTCCTCTGGCCAGGTAGCTTCAGTCATTTTGAACACCCTTGCTATTGCTATTCACAATGTGAATAACCTTCTAGTTACTGAGAGAGTAATTTGGAAAAAGATTTGTTAATTTGATGAATATATAGTGATTTTGAAATCTTTCCTATGGATACTGGGCAAGAGGCAACTCAAAGGGTGCAACTTGGCATTGTCAAATGAGAACAAGAGCCCCAAATAAATTCATTTCCAGCACATTTTATAGTAACAATGTCATATTCATTTCAGAATGAAGCTCAGTTCCATTCATTACCATCAATACCACTAAAACTCATTTCTCAACACATTATCTTTATTTTATTTTATTTTATTTTTTAGACAAGAGGTCTCACTATGTTGTCCAGGCTGGATTCAAACTTCTGTGCTCAAGTGATCCTCCCATTTCAGCCTCCCAAATAGCTGGAACTACAGGAACATGCCATCGTGCCCAACTTTCAACACATTGTCTTTAAAAATTAAGTCCTTGCACGTGTTAGTAAACGTTTTAAATTATTTATGTTCCCTCTCAATAATAAAATAACACCATAATAAATCTAAAATGGAAACTCTGTCCTTCTAGAATGCCCAAGAACATTTTACAGACTTTGGTTTGTATTTTTTTAATTTAGCTAATCTCCTCTCATGCCTGCAGGGAAGATAGATATGTTGAATGTTCCACATAAGTGGAGTATCCCACATTCTCTTACATTGTCCTGTCTTGCTATAACCCCTACCTTCTTAGAATCCAAGTACTTGTCTTCAGCTATATTTAATGTAGAGTTTTATCATTTTCAGATAAATTCAAATATATATTGGAGTATATATGCTGGTGAGTTTCAGCAGCAGTGAGGAGAATAGAGAGACGTCAGAAACATGTGTTTGCATCCCTAACTGAACTTAGAGCAGGCAACGCTGATTAATTTATCACTAATTTATCACTGTCTCCTAGCTAAGCCTGTAATTTGGCAGTAGGCATATTTATACCCATATCCCAGATAAGACAAGTTAGGATTCAGGAAACCAAGCATACATTCAATCAACAATTATTGAGTACTTACTATTTATCAGGCATGGGGATACAAAGATAAATAAAACGTTGTTTTATCCTCAAAGATCTCATCATCTAAAACAGAAGTTGGGATAAGCAATGAGATATTTATGTAAGTGTTACATAAATAATGATTTGGAGACATCACCATCATCACCACCACTATCACTTTTTGAGTTCTTTCGATGTATCAGACACTATCCTAAGGACTTTGCATGTATGACTTTAAACTACTTGCTCACAACAGCCCTATGAGGTAGGTTAATATTTTACAGATGAGGGAACTGGAGCATGGAAAGATCAAGTAATGTGCTGAAAGTCACCTAACTGGTAATTGGTAGAGACCGGCTTCAAACCCTGGCAGTCTGGAACGAGGAGTCCAAACTCATATCCACTAGGCAATAATTCATTTCATAACCCACAGGAGAGTACCATTAATTCTGTCAGTGGCTTAGTATGTAAGGTCACAAGGACAGATTTCCAGAGAAGGTGTTATTTATTTCGGTTAACCCAGCAACACAATGTGAGTTGAGACTTTGGGCATCTTTTTAGATTCAACCAACTTTTTAAAATTAACTTTTTATTTTGGAATGATTTTAGATAATGCAGATAATAAAGTGAGTTCTCTTATATTCCTTCACTCAATTTACTCCTGTACTAACATCTTACACCTCCATGATATATTTGTCAAAACTAAGAAACCAACGTTAGTACATTGCTATTAACTAAACTCTAGGCTTTAGATTTCACTACTCTTTCCATTATGTCCTCTTTATATTCCAGGATCCAATCCAGGATATCACATTGAATTTATTAGGTTGGTGCAAAAAGAACTGCAGTTTTTGCCAAATAGTTGTCCTGTCTCCCCAGTCTTTTCCGGTCTGTGACAGTCTATTAGACTTCCCTTATTTTTTATAACCTTGAAGTCTTGAAGAACACTGACCTGGCATCCTGTAGAAAGTCTCTCAGTCTAGACCTGTATGATGTTTCTCTCACAATTAGACTAAGGTGAGGGGTTCGAGGGAAGAGTATCATAGAGGTGAAGTGCCCTTCTCATCACATCACATTAGAGGATACATGATATCCCCCTGACATCACTGGTGATATTAACTTTCATCACTTGATTAATGTAGTATTAGCCAGGTTTCTCCACCGTCAAGTTACTATATTTCTCTTTCTCTGATTTGTGCTTTGGAAGCAAGTCATTAAGTCTAGCCCACATTGGGGGAAAGGGATTAAGCTCCACTTCCTGGTAGTGGGGGAGGAGTACCTGCATATATTACAAACAACTTGTTTTAAAACCAATGAAAGTACTAAGCTTGACCACCTAGAGAAAAATACTGGCTTAAATACCTGTGACTTGTGACTAAATTTTTATGAACCTCAGTGAAGTCAGGTATAAAATAGTACTGAAAATTTACCTTTGTCTCAGATTTATTATCAGAATGAAATACTATGCTTATTAATGCATAAATGTTGAGGAAAAGTTATGGACCCTATTCCCATAATTATGCACATTATATTAACAAATTATCAACAATTATTAGAAATTTTCATCTTTGAATCTCTAATAAGAATGCCTGCTCTAAACTGATAGTCCTAAAACATTAATTCTTATCATACTGGAGATGACATGGTTTCACTGAAGTTTCCAGGAAAACAAAGCAAAACATCGATACATCCAAATAATAAGCATATTTCGTCTCATAGAAGGCCTGACACTAGACAGAATCACAGAAAAATGTGGGTCCATAGGGATTTCTATATCATACCTAGCTCATTTGATATCTACATTGCGAGCCTATAACATGGGGGCAGGCACTTGGGTGGGAGCATATCCAGACTTAAGGACCACAGTTCCCTTGGCTCCAGCATTTGAAGAAGCAAAGTTGATGTTGAGGCAACCATTGCTGCACAGAGGATGTTTAGGGCAGTGAAAATATTGGGTGTGATACTATAATGGTGGATACATGTCATGCATTTGTCTAAACCCATAAAACGTATAACCCAAGAGTGAACCCCAGTGTAAACTGTGAGCTTTGGGTGATAATGATGCGTTAATGTAGGTTCATCAGCTGTAACAAATGTACCACTCCAGTTGGGAGCATTGACAGTGGGAGAGTCTGTGCATGTGGGGACAAGGGGTCAATGGGAAATCTCTATGCCTTCCACTCAATTTTGCTGTGAACCTAAAACTGCTTTAAAACATAAACCCTATTAAAAAAAAAAAATAAACCTGTAGGCAGAGAATACTTTATGAGAGATAAAGAAATAATTTATTTTAAATTTTTACTTAGATGGCTGTAGTGTTTAATAAAACTGCTCTTTTTCAAATTATTTAAAACAAATAAATGCTTATAATTCTTAGGCTCTGGCCACAGATGACATACATATTAAGATTTTATCTGCTGAAGTGAGTAAATTGCATTTAAATACCAACATTATAGGTCTATTTGTTCCTCCTAAATGTTCCTCCACCCTCTTGACTCTTCTTCCAAGCCAAGAAGGTCACTCATTCTTACTGTAGTGCAGAGCTATACTTTTGTTTTAGATATTACTGCTAGTCATCACATCAGTCATTTTCAACTTTCTTGAAGCAATACTGAAGCCTTCTTTTCCAGCTCCATTACCTGCTATGACTAGAGCCGAAATCACCCCTTCTCCACTTCTGGGTCTGCTAAACTCTTAACCCAATGACTTACTGGTTGTATATGTGAAATGAGGTGTGCCCAGTGGAGAGAAAATAGCAAATAGAAGCAAGCGACACAGTACACTATTGCGTCTCTGCTGAGCATAATCCCTCATCAGGAAGAAATTTTCTTCCTCTGCACAATTTTCTCAGTGGTTAAGATACTTTTTTGCAAAATTAAATAAGAGTTATAAAAAAATCTGAAAGGTTCATAGAGCAGCAAACAATGGGTATTGTGGCTCATAGCAGCCCCCCACCCCCCTTCTTAAGAAAAAAACCTCATCCCTATATCTCTCCTTCTTCCTATGCTCCCAAAACAATATGATTGTTTCAGGGGATATAATTTTGCATTTCAATTTCTTCCCAACACACAGTGGAAAAAATTGCCAAACTGAAGCCTGAAACCAGAAAGTCATGCAGAGCTTTGTGTGTGCTTTGGAGGGAAGGGGAAAGCGATGAACAGAAAGGAAGCAGAAACCCATTGTGCTGCTCTGGTCTGCAGCCAAACCACCCCACTTGCTCCTGCTTCTGGTACCTCAGGGAGTTTGTTTTTCAAGCTTTTTATGGTAAAATAAACATGTATTGGAAAATGGAGGAAAAGATCTGTTCTTCAAAATGATATTATTTACCCCTATTCCAGAAATCTATGACATACAAAAAAGAAGGCATGAGATGGAATTTTTTAATCTTATAGAAAGGAGATTTTCAAATGTAATTGCTGTATGCTCTAAAGATCAAACCTCAGTTCTTTGATGTAAAAATCTATAGTTTTTAATTTTTTCCAACAATCAAAGAAGGGTCTCTTATCCCCACTTTGCACATTTGGAAGTAAAAGAAATGATTATTTCTGCTGGCATCTCAGGAATAAGTCACATGGGATTGCATGCTTCATTAGACCCTGACAGGACAGAAGAGTGCCATGTTGGAACATAGAGGACTGGCAGTGGGCAGATGCATTATAAAAGGTCATCTCTCAATCTGCTGGTTCCCCAGAAAGCTGGGGACCTTCTCTTTAGGAAAATTTTTCAGCCCTAGAAAGCTAAAAGGTTTAATAAGTCAGTTTGTCTTTCTGTATGTCAGACTATTTTCTTTTCAAGAAAAAGTATAGAGAAAAAAAAATCATAGATTAGCTATTAACTCTTTCCAAATAACTGTTATCAGAACATAATAAAATTATAAAAGTAATCATTTGGTTATAGCCTTTTCAACATTGACCTCTCTTGAAAGATGACAGATATGTACATAGATACATAGATGAATATTAAAAACTTATATGATAGATAATTTATACCATAATACATCATGTGGTGTATATATATGTTACATATACTTTTATATCTAACATAATATCTAATATAATACTCATTATATATAGTATTATATCTCAAGCATCAAGCAATAGCTTGACAACTTCTAGTTTTCTCAAAATTAGGAAAGTGCAGATTATTTATAGTGAGAGCAAAAAAATACCATTAGGAATCTAGTTTATATTTCTATGACCAAGGTATTATACTAAGAATAAGTTATAGAAACTTTGAGTTTAAGTAGACAAAAACATCAAAGGATTCTTATTGACAAAACAATGTAAATCTATTGGTTTACTCTCAAATGAGTGTATGTTACTCTAACAGATGCTCCATTACTAGGTGGATGGATCCTTTCTGTATCCAAATAAAACTTTTAAATTATATGAATAAGGATGCTAGATGTCAAAACTACAAACATCCAGTGTGTACCTTTAACCTTTCATACTAAAGCACCCATAAGCCTCTTGAGACTGTTTAGACAAATAATGATATATGGCACTTTGAGTAGTTTCCATTTATGATACTTCCAGAGGTGTGGAAATACACCAAACCTCATGGAAGTGACAGAGAATTCGTTAACTTTTAACTAAAACACATTCATCCATTCACCATTTATCACATGCCTAACACATGGCAGACACTTTCTCAGGTATAAAATGCCAGCACCAGGTCTAAACTCTATCTTTGAATGTTTTGCTTGAACATAATTACTCTTCTTATTGGGTTCCACTGAGCATTTGAAGCTCTATAGATGTAGGAAAACACAAAGTATTTTCTTCTTGTCATTACTTGTATCAATAAATTTTCATAACCATAAAGTGTTTATATACAAAGAATGTTTCAAGTATTGGGATCCCCCTCAAACCTATAACCTTCCTTTCCTTTAATAATTTGAGAGGGTGAATCTCTATCAGCCCTATCTTTGCTTTTCTAAAATAAGTGTGATATTTTTCACTCCTCGCTTTAAGATATAACCAATTGAAGTTATCAGAAGTCTTGTTTTTACCTTGAGAAATTCTACAAATAGATATAAATCCAGCAACCACAGAAATCCCAGCTTTCCATTCCAGAACAACCAAAGACACAACAGCACAAGAGACGCAGATAATAGAATTTTCTACCACGTTTCTGCAACCAGTTAAGAATATGAGATCATGCTGCCTACTTTTGGAAATTAGAGCCAAAGGACATGAGCCAGCCCACATCTTCTAAGGTACTTTAAAAAGAGAATTTGTCCGGTCTCTGCCTCTCCCAGAAGTATCTTGAAACCAAAGAAGTCATGAGAAAATATAAAAGCTCGATACATTCACCTGTTCCAGTAGACTTTGTTATGAATGACTCTCAAACATCTATCTCAAATATTAGGTCTTAAAAATCCAAATTTCAAACTACCTTTAAAAAGTCACAAAGAGTTATTGAAATTGTGACATTTTACTTTAAATTATTTTCTACTAATCAACTTAGCCTCTTTTTAGAGGTACTAGAATTGTAGTCACCAGCCTCAACAGTCAAGGTTCACTTCTACAATAGCACTTACTTACCATTTGTGGACTTTGCTTACTATGTTATTAAGAATTTGTCTCTATCAATTATTTTCTTCCCCATTCATTTTTTTCTCCATTTTTCTCACATACGAAGATGTGGGGAGCCACATCTACTCCTATGTCTTCACTCTCATTATTAACATAAGCAAAATATGTGTCTGTAACAACTTGGTGTTTAAAAGTATGGAGAGACTGGATTTTAGGCTTACAGAAACATTTGAAGGTATCTATACAGGAAAGTTAGAGGTTTAACTTGGAGGTGTGATGGTATAATGTTCCCAAATAAAATACGGGTTTGATCCATGGACCAAATTGGTAAACAATAAAATAAGTGAACATGAAATAAATATGTTAACGGTCTCGGTTTGCTAATGTTTGAAGACTTCACTGCCTCTTAAAGGCATATGTGTTTGAAGCAACATTTAGTTTGGCAAATTTCACTCTCCATTTTTTGGGCGTTGTATGGTGGGGGTTGGTTCCTAAACCTTTTTTGGCATGCTTGAAAGAGAAGGATTTAAGTCGAGTTCATTATCTCTTTAGTGCAGAAGTCTGGGAAACGAAGAGGCTAGACCAGGGAGACTCAATCCATCTAGCATTCCTTTTTGTTTTTCAAGCTGCCCTGACAATAATGCGGCAGGGTGAAAAGATCAGGAACACTTTATACACATTGTGCTAATTACTGCAAGTACTTAAAGTTGTAATTAGCTTATTATACTGCAGAGATCCTAACATGGCATGTCTTTCAAAAGAATTTCTCTCCAGATCATTATTGGGAAAGCTAACAACATCTGCTTCAAATAAAATCAACCAATTAGCACAGGCAACTCCACATAGTTTGCAATCAGAGAATTATATTGTGCCAAGTGCTAATTTCAATGTGAATGCTATCTCCTTCTCATATCCCACGCTTCTCTGCCAGCACAGCTGGTGTTTAACACCACTGACTTCAGCGAAGTCTCCAAAAACTTATGTTAATTTGAAATAACCTAATCAGAAGTGTGCAATACAGACTGAGGTTGATCTCAGCTTAATTAAAACTGACCTTGTCATTTCACTGCCTGTAAAACACCATTATCTCACCATTTATCACTCAACTACCACAAATATTCCATTTGCGTGAAAATCCAGGAAGACCAGTTCCAAACCACCAGAGCTATTTTCAGAAGTACTGTGAGTGAAGGAGTTTAACGGAAGGAGAGGTCTGCCTATAAGTATGGGGCAACAATAAAGGTAATTCAGTAGACTCAAAATAACTTGTCAGTCCTACCCATGAAGGCTGCTTCTGCCCACTTCCGTTGGCTTCAATGGCACATTCACTCCAGAGACTGGCAGGCATTAGCAGATGTGAAGGCTTTCATTTTAAAATTAATATCTAACCCAGTACCTTTCAGCGAGCTGAATTGCTCAATCAATAAGCATGACATGGCAGGTGTGATGTGTACAAGGCACTAAATTCTTCTGCCAAAGGTACTAGAAAACATCTGCTCACATGCGTGTGTGTGCATGTCAATGGATGAACTGCTGAGAAAAACGATTGCAAGTGGAATATTTAATATGCTTGTATTCACCAAGATGGAATTAAAAACAAGGTAAGATCATATTTGTATGATGTATACATGCCATCAAATACACCTTGCTTAACCTGCATTAAGTCCATAACTCTGTGTTTTTATATGTACATAGTCAACTGTCAATCAAGTAGCAACATCCTGGTTTTCTGCACATTCACACAATTCTTAAAATGTCTTCAGATTCCCATTGTAGGCTTTGTTTGGTTATTTGCATGCCATCTTAGTCCAGAAAGTATTCAAGGCAATGCTAAAAGCATTGAAAAACTTATCTATGAGATAATTCCAATGATTTACATTAGGAAGATTTCTTATTTGTCCCCAGATCACATGCTTAGCCACAACTCAACATATTTCCTGATGCTTTTCCTCCAGTCAAGCAAGCCTCCCTTTTGCTCTTATTCCACTCCCCTAGTCAAACTCAGTCCTAGATTACTATAGCCCACATTCACTTCACCCCTATAATACTTCTTTGCTAGGCCAATCCTTTTGATACAATAAGATATTGACTATCTTGAATTGTTTAATGTTTCCAGTTTTATGTTGACCATGCCACAGGAGGGATAGTTTCATTCCATTTATAAGGAAACCCTCTGGTCTTGTGGAACAAACAAGAGACATGGTGTCAAAGTAGTTGAATTCTTATATTTGCTCTGCTGACTCTATGACCTTAGATAAATGTGACCTTGAACCATATGCCAAACTGTCCAAGCCCAGGTATCCCACTCAGTAAACAAGATACACATCCCAGAAAGTTATTTTAAAGAATAAAAGAGAATTATAATAGATGTGACTGAATCTAAGAGTTCAACATATGTCTACTGAATGAGGTACATGGGATATAACCAAACATTTAATGAAATATGAGTTGTAAAAATGTAATACTGCCAGGAATGAAATTTACAAAGTAAGGAAATAGGAAGTGGCCATTTTATAATGTTTATGGAACTAGCCTACGTGCAAACAAGAGGGGTTATTTACATTCAAGACCCTATTCTCAAAAGTAGAAAAGTGATATTCAGGTGCAAGAGAACAAAGCCTATTTTTATTTGAGCAATGTAGCTAAGTGAAGGTGTCTCCATCCCAGTCAAGAGATTAGGGCCTTGTGAGGAGAAGCTGGTGTAATTGGTAGAAATGAATGCTTTATAATGCTAAATGCTAACTTTCCTGAAGGAAGACCAGGATGAAGAGCTCCTGATTCCTTCCAAAGGAAAGTTGAAATTGCTTATGGCATGACAGTTGTTTAGACAATGTTATACCACTCACATAATCTCTCTTAGGATATTATAATTTGATGGTTAGATAATTCAATTCCAGATTTATTAATGTATATGATTTCATTCACTCATTCATCAAAAATTTCCTGTTTCCTATCTGTGTAATCTTGGGCAGATTATTTCACTTCCTAAAGTTTTGGTCTGTTCCTCTGAAAAATGGTAATAACAAGATCTAGTATTTTGGTTCGTGGATATAAGAAGATAATCCACATCAATTGTTTAGTGTTTTGCCTAGCAGTTAGTAAATGCCCTGTAACTAACAGCTACTCTTGATATTCTTGCTACTTTTACTCCTGCTGCTACAAAAAGGAGTAATTTACACTTCCTAGGAGAATCCTGAACATTGCTCCCTTTTCAGACATCAGATGTCACTTCCTCTGTGAATCCTACATCTAGGCTGAATTAATCATCCTCTCTTTAGTTTCACAGAACTTTGTCTATATTATTATTGTAGCATTTACCATTGTGTATAGTAATAATTTGTTTATATCATTGTTTTCCTGTCAAATTTTTGAGCTACTAAGAAGCAAGAATTTTTGTCTCGTTAATCCTTTTGTCTCTAATGTTGATCAAGTGTTGCACATAGTAGGAATCTAATACATATTTGTTGACTAGGCAAATGAATAAATTTATTGATGTGTATATAAATACATAAACATTTAAGCATTATTCTGAAATACCACAGTCCTCTGAAGTTTAGAATACCAATCTTAGAAACTCAGGAACTTTAAACGTAATACAAGGTGCTGATTTTAAACTTTACACATATCTGAAGCTTTTTTCCTGGGCTATTATGCTTCCCATAGAGTCCTGTGTGGACCTAATGAATTCAGTCAGAAGGATTCTGTTGAAGTTTTCCATGTTTACTGTCACCAGGGTAATTATAAGTCAGGAATTTTGCTACTTGATAACTTCCCCAAAAAGCCCAAATTTGGTGAGTGTAACTACTGTAGAGCAGGACAGCAGGTGGACAAAATGGAGAGAGAATATGTAGACAGGATAGTTCCATCTCTATTCTCACTGACAATCAATCCTGTATTATTTTTACTATTATTATTATCACTATAATTATTATACAGGTTACCTTGGAAATCCATGTGATACAGACTCCTAATCAGAAATTAAGAATGTGCGACTAACCCCTTAAAGGTGGTAGAAAGGTTTCCAATGAAAATCTTTATCATTTCTCAGAGAATCATTCAGACAGAAAGTATGAAGAACCATTTATCCCGAATTGATATAAACTAAAAGAGCTTAAGATTCCAAAAAATTTTAATTGGTGTTCTTATGACCCTGAGGTCTTTGAATCAACAGATAAATTGTGTTCTGTATTTTAATGCTAAAAATATTTTGTCTAATGCTGTTAACATTGTTAAAGTGTGTATAATTTAACTGTATAGTTACCATTCTGGCTTTCCCAGGACTATCTCAATTTTACATTTTCAATAATTATATAAGTAGGCATGTGTTTGTCAAACCATATATCCCAATTTAGGATGCAAAAATTTTAGTATTTATATTTAATTGTGAGTCTTCAGTTAATTAAAATGTGCAATGAACTGGAAGCTCCATTCTGTGTCATTGGGATTGTACTTCTAAACTTAAGTATCTGATTTATGCTTTAAAATAAATATTTGTGTATCACCTGTGTATCACTTAATATGTGGATTTGTCAAACAAACTGAGGGAATTCCCAAGAATGGATTTGGTCCAACTTTGCTTCAGCACAAATTGGCAATGGCAGAAATTCCCCTATTGTTCTTTGCTCAGTTTTATTAGCTCGTTTTTCTTCTACTTCTCTCACTGCATGGTAAACCTTCTTCTGCCTATGTTATAACAACTTCCATTCCAAAAAGCTCAGACAATGGATGATATTTACTTACTGTTTGCAAACAACAGAATCCACAGTGTTGCCAGCAGATGCCCTTGATTCACTGTGAATGAGGAAGGGAATTATAGGAAATCAGTGTGCATTGTATGTCCAGCTGAGATGGATACTGGCAGAGCAGGCTCCAGGCAAAATTTCGGAGCACAAAACTGTATCTTCTGGGCCTTTCCCACTCTAGGCCATCTCTTTGAGGCTAACCATCTCCTTCACACATCTGTTCAAGACATGTAAGCTTCTCAACTCTTTCAAATCGTGTTTCATTTTCTCAAGACCTGCTAGTTCATCTGATAAAATTAATTAAGACAGATGGCTAAGGCCATACTTCCCAGCTGGTACATTTCAATAGAGAACTTCTGGAGATTCAATATCCTAACCTAAAGCAATAGGTTTCTAAAACAAAAGAAAATGCCTTGTACCACTCAGGTCAGTGAAGAACTATTTATGAAGAACTGTGAAGAGTCTGAAATCTTACCTTACTTACAAGCTGACAAACTAGCCTGCCATAGTTTCATAGATGCTGGCAGAGAACAGGAGACTCCTGGATCAGAGACAAATGACTGTTACTCTCAGGACAGCCAGCAGCACGAGTACCATGTTTGTGTCAATTCTCCCTTACCCCACATGTCCCATATGGTGACCAAGTGGGGCCCCAATGGATACTGCATTTTCAGTGGGTGTGCATCACAGCTAAGAAACCAAAAGCTTAGGGAACCTGAATCTTCTATAGCAGGCAGTTAGCATGCCTGCCCTTTGCCCTGTTGGGTAAAGTTATTATACTGGACAGTAAGCATACATGCCTTCCTCTCAAGAGGCTTTCAATCTCTATCTTCCAAGACCGTTTGGCATATACATAAGTTAGAAAATAATCCAGAACAAAGGCCAATCAGTGCCTCTGCTCACAAGATGTGCAAAAATGCAAGAGACTCACGGGGGAATTTTCTCCCAATGTTATTCAGGAAAAGATTTTCACCAGAGACTCCAAATGTCTTGTAGACTGCTGGTTCTCACCTGGAGAACTAATAAACATGCGTATTCCTGAGCCCCACCTCAGAGATTTGATTCAGTAGGTATGGAGTGAAGCCTGACAATATGCGTTTCTTAAAGATCCCAAGTGAAGTTGATTCTGGTATTCTTGCATCTCCCTTTCTGCACTGTCATAGATGACAACTTATTCAACTGATGTGTAGGAATTGGAATTATAATTGTAGGAAAAGATGGTGATGAAGCCCACATGAAAAGAAACAAAAAGAAAAATGGAAGGAAGTAAAGAGGAGAGAAGTTGGTTTGCTCTTATTCAGGGTGAACAATATAAGGATTTGGATTTCAGGCTGTGTACATGGCAAGGAATTTCTACCTTTGACTTTCCACTGGGAGCTGATGAGATTATTTTCCTTCTTAAGCCTAAGACTCAGAACTAGGGAGTTGTGATCCTACACACTAGCCCAATTTAAAGGGTGAAATAAATACTTAACAAAATGTCTCTGTACTCATTTATTTCCTTCTCCTATTAAACTCCAGTGTACCCTGCCCTTGGGACACAGAAAGCTTCCTGAATGGGTAGTAATAGATTTCTCCTCCCAAGTAACATTTATCTATTGACATAGTGTGTTCAAGACATGCATGTTCATACTGCCATTTGTCATATTGACAATACCAAGAGTTTTAGGTGAGAAATTTTTCTCTGTGATTTTTATGTTACCCTGAGAAATTAGGCCAAATTATAGCTTTAGTTTTTAAAATACAGTTCTCATTAACCTCAGAGAGATTGCACATGCATCTCTAGAGATATCAATATGTATCTAATTATTTATTTTTTAAGCATGACATGGTGTATGTTATAAATTTGTTGCCCTCTGTATTAGTCTGTTTTCATGCTGCTATGAAGAAATACCCAAGACTGGTAATTTATAAAGGAGAAAGGTTTAATTGGCTCACAGTTCCACAGGGCTAGGTGGGTCTCAGGAAACTTACAATTGTTTTGGAAGGGGAAGCTACCACGTCCTTCTTCACATGATGGCAGCAAGGAGAAGTGCAGAGCAAAGGTGGGGAAAGTCCCTTATAAAACCATCAGATCTCATGAGAACTCACTCACTATCATGAGAACAGCATGGAGGTAACTGCCCCCATGATTCAATTACCTCCTACCAGGTCCCTCCCACAACACATGGGGATTATGAGAACTACAGTTCAAGATGCGATTTGAGCGGGGACACAGCCAAACCATATCATTCCACCCCTAGCGCCTCCCAAATTTCATGTCCTCACATTTCAAAACACAATCATGCTTTCCCAACAGTCCCCAAAGTCTTAACTCATTCCACCATTAACTCAAAAGTCCAAGTCCAAAGTCTCATGTGAGACAAAGCAAGTCCCTTCTGCCTATGAGGCTGTAAAATCAAAAGCAAGTTAGTTACTTCCTAGATATGATGGAGGTACAGGCATTGGGTAAATACACCCTTTCCAAATGGGAGAAATTGGCCTAAACAAAGGGCTACAGGCCCCATGCAAGTCTGAAATCCAACAGGGCAGTCATTAAACCTTAAGGTTCCAAAATGGTCTCCTTTGACTCCATGTCTCACATCCAGGTTATGCTGATGCAAGAGGTGGGCTCCCACAATCTTGGGCAGCTCTGCCCCTGTGGCTTTGCAAGGTGCAGCCCCCCTCCCAGTTGCCTTCACAGGCTGGCATTGAATGCCTGTGGCTTTTCCAGGCGCATGATGCAAGCTGTCAGTGGATCTACCATTCTGGGGTCTGGAGGATGGTGGCCCTCTTCTCACAGCTCCACTAGGCAGTGGGGACTCTGTGTGGGGCTCTAATCCCACATTTCCCTCCTGCATTGCCCTAGCAGAGGATCTCCATGAAGCTTTGCCCCTGCAGCAAACTTCTGCCTGGACATCCAGGAGTTTCCATACATCCTCTGAAATCTAGGCAGAGGTTCCCAAACCACAATTCTTGACTTCTGTGTACCCACAGACTCAACACCATGAGGAAGCTGCCAAGGCTTGGGGCTTGCACCCTCTGAAGTCATGGCCCAAGCTATATCTTAGCCCCTTTAAGCCACAGCTGGAATGGCTGGGACGCAGACCACCAAGTCCCTAGGAGGCACACAGCAGGGGGTATGGGGGCCAGGGCCTGGCCCACGAAACCATTTTTTTCTCCTAGGCCTCTGGGCTTATGATGGTAGGGGCTGCCTTGAAGGTCCCTGACATACCCTGGAGACATTTTCCCCACTGTCTTGGTGATTAACATTCAGCTCCTCATTACTTATGCAAATTCCTACAGCTGGCTTGAATTCCTCCCCAGAAAATTGGTTTTTCTTTTCTATCACATTGTCAGGCTGCAAATTTTCCAAACTTTTATGCTCTGCTTCCTCTTGAACACTTTGCCACTTAGAAATTTCTTCTGCCAGATACCCTAAATTATCTCTCTCAAGGTCAAAATTCTATAGGTCTCTAGGGCAGGGCCAAAATGTCACCAATCTCTTTGCTAAAACATAGCAAGAGTGACCTCTACTTCAGTTCCCAACAAGTTCCTCATCTCCATTTGAGACAACCTCAGCCTGGACTTCATTGTCCTTATCACTATCAGCATTTTGGTCAAAGGCATTCAACAAGTCTCCGGGAAGTTCCAAACTTCCCCACATTTTCCCATCTTCTTCTGAGCCCTCCAAACTGTTCCAACCTCTGCCTGTTACCCAGTTCCAAAGTCGCTTCCACATTTTCAGGTATCTTTATGGCAGCACCCCATTCTGGGTACCAATTTACTGTATTAGTCCGTTCTCATGCTGCTATGAAGAAACACCTGAGACTGGGTAATTTATAAAGAAAAGAAGTTTAATTGACTCACAGTTCCACAGGGCTGGGGAGGCCTCAGGAAACTTATGATGGAAGGCACCTCTTCACAGGGTGGCAGGAGAGAGAATGAGTGCAAGCAGAGGAAATGCCAGATGTTTATAAAACCAACAGATCTCGTGAGACTCACTCATTATCACGAGAACAGCATGGGGGAAAACACACCTCGTGACTCAATTACCTCCACCTGGTCCCACCCTTGACACGTGGGGATTATGGGGATTACAATTCCAGGTAAGATTTAGGTGGGGACACAGCCAAACCACATCACCCTCTGAGTTCAAAATTAAAGTTGCCAAATGAAAATAAGAATGCAGTGCCTACAGTTGGAGGAAAAATGATCTCTTTCAGTCTTTGTCCCTTTCAACTTCTCTATTCTATTTGATGTTATTATTCAAGCTCTCTTTGAGACATCCTACTCTTTTAACTTTTAAGACATTGGGCTTTTTACATAACGATTTTATAATTTTTACAAAAACGACCTGTGCTTATCATTTTTCTAAAAAAAACAAGCAAAACAGAAAAGTATTAGAAAGCAAAGAATTACCCCAATTCCCACAAACATGGGGAGTATCTGTTAATGGGTACAGGATTTTGTTTGGGGGGAACAAAAGGTTCCAAAATTGATTGTGGTGTTGTTTGCACAATTCTTTGAATATACTAGAAACTGTTGAGTTTTACTTTTGAAACCGGTATATCTCAATAAAGCTACTTTAAAATAAAAAAGGAGTTACATTCCCAGATATCCTCCTCTACTCAGTACATTCAGTCCACTGACCCCTTTCCACCTCTTCAAAAGATCAGAGACATGTTCTTTGGTGAGAGTGTACCTGAAGGCCTCTGAACAGGCAACCGAAGGCCAACCAAAGGCAAGCGTTGTAGTGAAAATGTGGGGGTGGATTAAGGGAAAATTCATGCTCTGAATGTTAAGACACTAAGCCTTCTTTCCCCTTTAGATTCCAGAACCCTGGCTGCTAGGCAGGATCTGCACAGGAGAGTCTAATCAAACCAAGATAAAAAGACATCAAGTACCAGCCTGACCTGCAACCACTCTGCATAAAGTTTGTAAGCAAACGCTATGGCACGGTAGCAATATGCACAGACTATGGATCCGAACCCTCTCAGGTACAATGCTAGCTCTGCTATTTATTAGACATGAAGCCTTTGGCAAGTTATTAACCTTTCCTACTTAATCTACAAAATGGAAATAATAAGAGAACCTGTTTTATGGAGTTATTGTGAGAATTAAATGTAAACCTCTTAGAACAGAGCTTGGCATAGAGTAAGCTTCATATAGTTGTTAACTGTTATTATTATGTATGCCCATCCTTGAATGTAATTAGACAAGAAAAACTAAGTGGTTAAGTCTTAATATTAAAGATAGAAATCAAAACAAACAGGAAAAACGTTGCTGGGAGAAACAGAAAGTGTGAAGGGTGAAAAAGAAAAAATCCTCAAAATTGTCATTAATATCCTCAGAGGGATAAGAGAAGACAGTGCAACCTTGAACAAGAACAGAATGAACAATGATAATAGGTCAACAAATAATGAAATAATTCCTGGCTAGATCTCAGAAAATAATAGAAAAAGGAAACCAATGTGTTCGTGGTCTGACAAGGCACAGAAATAGCAAAATTTGACTATTGTTCACATTTCAATCAATGAACAAGCACATATTGAGCACCTACTTTATGCTTAATTCTGGGCTATGAATATTGTAAGTGGAAGAAAAAAGGTAAAGTAGAAGAGGAAAACTCAATAAAGATTCTACATTATCAGGTAGAACATAATAATATAGAACAACTTAGTATGTGGTTTCCCATGTAGTCAGAGCTTAATAAATATTTAATGAATTAATAAATAAACAAAAGACCAGAACTTCTGGAGAAGCTACAGCCATGTGCCATTGAGAAGTGAAATACTAGCATTGGAAATCTTTTCTGGAAAGCAATTTGGCAATATGTCTCAGAAATGCTCAAAAAACTTTCTACCCTCTAACCCAGTAGTTACATATCTAGTAATTTACTCTCCACATATAATCTCAGAATGTAGGCTAATATTTATCTACAAAGATCTTCAGTGCAGTGTCATTCCATTATCAGAAATTTAGAGAAATCTAAGTATTCAAAAATAAGAGCATCATTAAATATATTCAACCTATCTATATGCCATTAAATTCTGGGTCTCTATTAAAGAGTGATTTTAAAGCCCAATTCATGATAATATGGAAATGTACCCAAAGTGGGGTGAAAACATTAGGACACAAAACTATACCAGGTTTTAAAATGCCAACAACTTTGAAACAAATTTTGTTTAAACTTAACCATTCTCAGCCGCAATGCAGATGCTATACTGTTTTTGAAGCTGACTCTCTCTGACTCTCTCTCTCTCTCTCTTCCCCTCTCTCTCTGCCTTCTCTAACCATGCATTCTCTGTCCGTCCCTTGTTCTTCTAGATCTAATAGCATCTTGCCTTATTATTCGATTTAATAAATATTAGTCGTATCCATTCTCTTGTTTTTAAGTTTCTGGAGAGTAAGAATTACATCTTAAATTCATGCCTCCTTTAAGCATACAGTAAAATGCCTGTGCATTCATCATTTATTCACCAACTCAATAGACAATTATTCTATGTCTATTGAATATGTAGAACTACTAAGGAGAAGTTAAAAGAGCATAGAAATGGAAATCAAGAGATTTGGATCAAAAAGTAGGCTCTGCATGACTAGACAAATGCGTGAACCACAGTAGGCCTCAGTTTCCCCATAGTAAAATGAGGATGTTGTAGGTCAGTAATCTCAATGAATCTTAAGATGAGGATTCATATGCAACTGGTTTATTAAGTAAGGAAAAATCAGAGAGAGTGTGGGTGATGGGGAGGGAATACACAGAGAGAGAAAGCCAAACAAGGGTGTAATTTCAGCTGAAGTCCCAGCCTGAGCCTGATCAAAGTGCTCTGGATCACACACATAAAGTCTAGCCTCAACACTGTCCCACCTTGAGTCAGAGGAGTTGTGCTTTCATACTCACACCTGTCAGTCATTGGTTGGTATGAGGACGGGGATGGAGATGGTAACACTAAACTCCCAGGCACTTCCAGCTGTCTGTGTCTGGACAAAGTGACTAGCCGCCCAAGGCCTTTCCTCTAAAGAAAATCACAGGTCAAGGCTTTTAAAATCAAAGGACACCCAACCTGTGGAAGAGACAGCATTCTGGGTAGAGATCAGTAGCCACTACAGAGGAAGATACTAGACTAGATGGCTTCTAAATCAGTTTTCTGCATCAAATTTCAATAGTAGTCTATTGTATTTAAAATAGAATATATAATCGTTAAATCTATTTGGGGAGATGAAATAAACTTTTTTTTTTTTTGAGACAGAGTTTCACTCTTGTTGCCCTGCTGGAGTACAACGGTGCGATCTCAGCTCATTGCAACCTCCGCCTCCCAGGTTCAAGTGATTCTCCTGCCTCAGCCTCCCAAGTAGCTGGGATTATAGGCATGTGCCATCACACCTGGCTAATTTTGTATCTTTCATAGAGACGGGGTTTCGCCATGTTGGCCAGGCTGGTGTCGAACTCCTGACATCAGGTGATCCACCTGCCTCAGCCTCCCAAAGTGCCGGGATTACAGGCATGAGCCACCGTGCCCAGCCGAAATAAACATACTTTAAATCACTGGATGCTAAGTCAATGTACACTCAAACATAAACACCATTCAGAAAAAGGGAACATCCAGACCTTGATCTGAAGATATTTTAAAGGAGGTAAACCTGTGAGCTAGCCATGAAGGAAATACGAGCTTGTAACATTTGGGCTTGTAATGTGAGCTTGTAAATGTGAGCTTGGACTTCCTCAACACAAATCATTGTTTCTCTCAGGATTTTATCCTGAACAACAAAATACTTCCTTTAAATTCAACTTTCTCTCTCCTCACCTCACCCTCCTTCCCACTGAACTTGCATTGAGACTCTTTATGACATCCGGGCTCTCAAATCCTTTGTCTTCTACCCCTTCTGCCATTACTTTCTCACTTGTTTCCTCCGTAAACACACATATTTTTCTTTATGTGTTTTCCTTTCGTTCTTCCATCCTAAGAACTTCTCCCTTGTCCCAAGTTATTTACATCAAAGTTCCACAAGAAAATTTCCACAGATACTTCAGTGTTTGTCCAGTTCATACACTGCCTCCAACACCCACAAAATGATTAAAAATGATATGACAGTGTATAATTAATGTTTAAAATCTATGGTACTAAATCTAGCTGCCTCCAGCATCTATTGTTTCTCCCCAACTAGATTGTAATCCTCCAAGAACAATGTATTGTATCCCTTCACGCTACCTGGCACAGATCTGGACAAAATATAGACAAACATACATGAAAGGTGACACCCCTCCTTAATAAAAATGATTGCCAAACAGAATCACACAAGATAAACTTCACTTTATAAAACAAAACATTAATACAGTGCAGAATCAGTTTACTGATGGATTCTGACATGTTACTTCAGGATGATAAAGCATAAAATGAAAAAATATGTATCTCAAAGTTTTACAAAATGTACATCTTTAGCAACTTCCAGTTGATTCATTTAGGTGTTTTTATGTCTGATGATAATACTTATCACAGAATTATGATAAATAACATTCTCTGTACAGACATCCAGCTCTTAAAAAAACAAGAGACAGGACAACCTAAGGCAGTAACGCTGGGAGAACAATAATGTCAAGCTTTTCTGGTACAGCAAATGTCTGGTGTTCTATGATATGTATACCAATATTCAATTTTCAATATGCTGCCTAGAGTCAGTCTTGGGAGAGATTTCAATTTCCACTCTATAGAATACTGCCAAATATGGGGAATAGAAGTATTAATCCTTCCTAGGGTTGTTGTGTTGAGTGTTTCTGATTCTGTGAAAACATATGTATAAACAAAAAGGGAACATTTGAGGAAGGAGACAAGCATGGGTTAAGTAGAGTATGCAGACTGGATATCTGTGGTTCATTTCCACATGTGGCAGAAACAATAACCCAGCATCCTCAATGGTTCAATATTTGCTTTGTAATCTACCCACTTTGCTCTCTGCTCACATCTGTGGGTTCTTCATCTTCATACTATTTAACCATTTTACCCCTGGCCTTAAAGCCCTGGATCTCCTAAGTCTTAAACTTACTTATCTCAGAGGGACTTCAAGATGGCTGACTAGAGACATCTGATACTCCTTTCCTCCACAAAGAAGAACTAAAATAGCAGTAGATAATCACACTTCAAATAGATCACCTAAGAGAAAATACTAGAATTCAACAGGGAAGTAACAAAGAAACGCCTAAAGCAAGGAAGGAGAGGGAAGCAAGGCAACCTGGAGGCTGGGATCAGCTGTGAGCCTGGAGAGGCTCCACAATCTGGGGAAAGGGTAAGTGAGTGACGTCCCCACCACTGTGGTCCACATTCCCACCTTGGACTCCTGCAATCTTAGCCACATGAAAACCCTCAACACATGCAGGCCATGAGGTTAGTATAGGCAGCTGCCTGGACACTGTGCAACTGCATTACTCCAAAGGGGGAGCTCATGCCAGGTTCCACACATACCCCAAGTCTTAAGCAGCTGCAGCAAGGCACCATTTTGAGAAACAAGCCCCCAGCAGACTGCATCCTGCTCTGGGGCCCAATAGTCCCTGCGTCCCCACATCCCTGGAGTCCTACTGGCATTGCCCACATGCAGGTATCACTGCTGGCTGCTGTTGCCAGGGCCAAAGCATGAGCCATTAGCAGTAACCCTGCCACCCCTAGTAGCAGGGCTGTCACACATTTAAAAGTGCACTGAAGAAAGGCTACCTTGCTTATACACACCACCCAGGGCTGAAGCATGCACTCCCTAGCCATGTGTTTATGACTGCCGCCACTAAAAGCAACCTCACCCTCCCCAACAGCAGGGCCACAGTGCAACCACTGCTTCCCCCACTTGAGCATTCTGCCAGGGGCCTTGGGCTCACTCTGCTCCTGCCTACCATAGCCAATGCCCCCACACACCACTGGGGGACCTGAGGACAGGACTCCCCGGCCTTGCTCCACCCATCTCCCCATGCTCAAGCATGTTATCTAGGGTCTGAGGATTGCCCGCCCCTTCCAATCACTGTCAGCACCTGAGCACATAGCCCAGAAGCCTAAGGATAGGCCCACCAAACCTGCTGCTACCAGCACAGCTGGCACCCACCTGCACACACCACTTGTGGACATGGGGACTGGCCCATCTAGCCTGTCATAGCCACTACCACATGAGCAAAGATCACTTGGGAGTCATAGGGTCCCACTACTGCTACTGCCATTGCTTAAACCACGCCCACTGACCAGGGGCCTAAGGACCCACCAACCCACCTAGCCCACCTCTGCCATTCCCAGCACCCAAGCAAGCTGCCTGGAGGCTCAAGAATCAGCCCACCTAGGCCTATTAACACTGGTGCCAGTATATGGTGCCCTGAGGCTCAAGGACAAGCATGGTTGGCCTGCCACCACCACAACTAGGGCCAAAGGACATCCTATCCACCTGACATCCCTATCCCCAGCAAAAGTTTATCACAGCCTCTACTAACAACCACACCCTAATCCCCTGAGGAAATTACAAACACTGCTAAGTCTGTTTACAGCTGAAGAAATCATATGAAGACTACACTACTGCATGAACCCAGAATCAAAGCTAAAGTGCCCTGCCCAACCAACAACATAGACACAGCTTCAGGAAAAAGTACTCCCTTATAAAAGCAAATTCAAAAAATTAGAAGAGGCGACTGTTGTACCAGATGTGCAGAATGACTATTGGGTCAGGAAAAAAACTAAGGAGGAAATAAAAAAATTTCTCAAAACAAATGAAAATCAAAACACAACATACCAAAACCTATGGGTGAAAATGCAAAAGCGATGCTCAAAGGAAAGTTTATAGCAACAAATGCCCACATCAAAAAAGTAGAAAGATTTCAAATGCACAATCTAAGATGCACCTCAAGAAACTAGAAAAGCAAGAAAAAAACAAACAAAATCAGGAGAAGAAAAGAAATAATAAAGATCAGAGCAGAACTAAATAAAACAGAGACTAAAAAACAACACAAGGCCAGGCGTGGTGGCTCACGCCTGTAATCTTAGCACTTTGGGAGGATGAGACGGGGGGATCACGAGGTCAGGAGACTGAGACCATCCTGGCTAACATGGTGAAATCCGTCTCTACTAAAAATACAAAAAATTAGCCAGGCGTGGTGGCATGCACCTGCAGTCCCAGCTACTTGGGAGGCTGAGGCAGGAGAATCACTTGAACCCTGGAGGCGAAGGTTTCAGTGAGTTGAGATTGCACCACTGCACTCCAGCCTGGGCAACAGAGCAAGACTCCATCTCAAAAAAAAAAAAAAACCCACCAAAGATCAAAGGAACAAAAAGTTGATTTTTTGAAAATATAAACAAAATCAATAAAGTCCTAGCTAGGCTAACCAAAGACAGAAGACCTAGATAAATAAAATCAGCAACAAAAACAGACACATTACAACTGATATTACAGAGATACAATTTAGAAGAAAGCTGAAAGCCTATCCTCTGAGATCTAGAAAAAGGCAAAGAGTCTCACTCTAACACCCAGACTGGAGTGCAGTGGCGCAATCTCGGTTCACTACAACCTCCACCTCCTGGGTTCAAGTGATTCTCCTGCATCAGCCTCCGGAGAAGCTGGGATTACAGGTGTGCACCACCACATCCAGCTAATTTTTGTATTTTTAGTACAGACTGGGTTTTACTGTGTTGGCCAGGCTAGTCTCGAACTCTTGACCTCAAGCAATCCGCCCACCTCAGCCTCCCAAAGTGCTGGGATTACAGGCAGATGTCCACTTTCAACACTTCTATTAAATATACTACTAGAAGTCCTAGCCAGAGCAATCAGGCAAGAGAAACAAATAAAAGGCACCCAAATTAGAAAAGAAGAAGTCAAATTGTCACTTTTTGCAGATGATATGATCTTATATTAAGAAAAACCTAAAGATTCCACCAAAAAACTCTTAGATCTGATAAATAAATTCAGTAAAGTTGCATGATACAAAATCAATATACAAAAATCAGGGGAGCAGAGGGAGCAACATGGTGGTATAGAAAGCTCCACCGATGATCCTCCCCGCAGGGTTGCCAAGATAACAACAATCTACACAGAAAAAACAAAAACAAAAAAAAACCCAGCTTTATAAGAACCAAAAATCAAGTGAGCACTTATAGTACCAGGTTTTAACCTCATATCGCTGAAAGAGGCACTGAAGAGATACAAAAACATTCCTTAATTGTGGATGCCACCCCTCCCCGACCTCTGGCAGCAGCAGCATGGTACCCAGAGCACGTCTGGGCGCTGGGGGAGGGAGAAACACAGCAATTGTGAGGCAGTGAGCTCAGTGATGTCCTGTTAGAGCAGAAAGGAAAACCGAATCAAACTCAGTTGGTGCTCAACCACAGAAGGTGCATTTAATCCAGCCCTAGCCAGAGGGAAATTGCCAATCCCAACAGTCCAAACTCGGTGCCTGCAAACCTTGCTACCAAAGACTACAGCCCTCCATGTCTGCAAGTAATCTTGAAAGGCAGTCTAGGACATAAAGACTGCAACTCTTAGGTGAGCCGTAGTGCTGAACTAGGCCCAAGACAGTGAACTGAGGTGGAGGTCGGGGGGCAGGGCGGAGGGTGGGCGGTGCAGGTGCAACATATTTAGACACCAGCTGGGGCAGCCAAGAGAGTTCTGGCATCACCTTTCCCCTAAACCCAGGCTCCACAGATCTAGACTCCAAAACAGACCCCTTCCTTCTGCTTGAGCAGAAGTGAGGGAAGACTGGGGAGGACTGTGTCTTACATCTAGGATACCAGGCCAGCCACAGTAGTATAGGACACTGATCAGAGTCATGAGGCCCCGGTTCCAGGCCCTGACTTCAGACATTTCTAGACACACCTTGGGCCAGAAGGGAACCCGCTGACTTGAAGGAAAGAACCAACTTCTGTCAGCATTCGTCACCTGCTAACTGAAGGGCCCTTGGACCCTGAATAACCAGCAGTGATACCCAGGTACCACATCGAGGGCCTAGGGTGAACCTCTGAGACTTGCTGGCTTCGGGTGATACTCAGCACATAACCAGCTGTGGTGGCTACAGGGCCTTCTGCTTGAGAAAAGCAGAGGAAAAAGTACAGGGGGCTTTGTCTTATGCCTTAGGTACCAGCACTGCCACAGAGGAGTAGAGCAACAAGCAAGCTCTTGGGGTCCCCGATCCCAGGACTTGTCTCTTGGACAATATTTCTGGACCTGCCCTGGGCCAGAGGGGAGCCCACTGCCCTGAAGAGTGACTCAGGCCAGGCAACATTCATGAAAAGCTGACTTAAGAGACCTTGGGTCTTAAGGGAACATCAGCAGTAATCTGGCAGTACCCTTCATGGGCTGGGGATGGTGGTAGCTTCAGGGTGAGGCTGCTCTGCCTTTGGAATGCAAAAGAAAGAGTAGGAAGAACTGTGTCCTGTGGTTTGATTGCCAGCTCAGCCACAATACAATAGAACCCCACTTAGACTTCTAAGGTTTTTGGCTCTAGTCGCTGACTCCAATCGCCGACTTCTGGACCCACCTGGGGCTTAGGGAACCTCACTCCCCTGAAGGGAATGACAAAGGCCTGGCTGGCTTTGCCACATGCTGATTGTAGTGCCCCAGGGCCTTGAGCAAACATAGGCAGTAGCCAGGCAGTGGTTACAGCAGGCCTTCGGTAAGACCCTGCAATGTGCTTGCTTGTCTAGCCCAATGCAGTCATAGCGGTGGTGGCCACAGGGGTGCTTATGTCACTCTACCCCCAGCTTTAGTTGGCTCAGGACAGAGAGATTCTATGTTTAAGAGCAACTAAGGGAAAAGAAGAAGAGTCTGCCTAGTAATCCAGATAATTCTCCCACATCTTGTCCAAGACCATCAAGGTGGTACCTCTATGACACTGCAAAAACCAAAGCATTACTGGGTTTGGGGTGCCCACTAAAGCAGATACAGCTTAGATCACAACACCCAAGTCCTTTTGAATATCTGGGGAGCCTTGCCAAGAAGGATGGTTACAAGTAAGCCCAAGCAGTGAAGACTACAATAAATGCCTAACCCTTCAATGCACAGAGACTACAAGAAGGAGAAATAAAAATCAATCAACATTTCAGGAAACAATGGACACACTTACATAAATGCAAAATGCTCTGGAAAATCTCAGCAATAGAATTGAACAAGTAGAAGAAAGAAATTCAGAGCTCAAAGACAAGATATTTGAATTAACCCAGTCCAACAAAGTCAAAGAAAAAAGAATAAGAAAATATGAACAAAGCCTCCAAGAAGTCCAGGATTATGTTAAATGACCAAACCTAATTGATGTTCCTGAGGAAGAAGAGAAATCTGAAAGTTTGGAAAGCATATTTGTGGGAATAATCGAGGAAAATTTCCCTGGCCTTGATAGAGACCTAGACATCCACATACGAGAAGCAAAAAGAACACCTGGGAAATTCATCACAAAAAGATCATGGCCTAGGCACATTGTCATCAGGTTATCTAAAGTTAAGACAAAGGAAAGAATCTCAAGAGCTGTTAGACAAAAGCACCAGGTAACACATAGAGGAAAACCTATCAGATTAACAACAGATTTCTCGGCAGAAACCCTACAAGCTAGAAAGGATTGGGGCCCTATCTTCAGCCTCTTCAAACAAAACCATTATCAGCCAAGAATTTTGTATCCAGTGAAACTAAGCTTCATATAAGAAGGAAAGATACAGTCTTTTTTAGACAAATGCTGACAGAATTTGCCACTACCAACCCACAACTACAAGAACTGCTAAAAGGAGCTCTAAATCTTGAAACGAATCCTGGAAACACATCAAAATAGAACCTCTTTAAAGCATCAGTCTCACAGGACCTATAAAACAAAAATACAATTTAAAAGACAAAAACAAAAAACCAAGATACACAGGCAACAAACAGCACAATGAATGGAATGGTACCTCACATCTCAATACTAACATTGAATATAAATGGCCTAAATGCTCCACTTAAAAGATACAGAATTGAAGAATGGATAAGAATTCACCAACCAACTATCTGCTGCCTTCAAGAGACTCACCTAACACATAAGGACTCACACAAACTTAAGGTAAAGGGGTGGAAAAAGACATTTCAGGCAAATGGACACCAAAAGCGAGCAGCAGTAGCTATTCTTACATCAGACAAAACAAACTTTAAAGCAACAGCAGTTTAAAAAGACAAAGAGGAACATTACACAATGATAAAAGGCCTTGTCCAACAGGAAAATATCACAATCCTAAACATATATGTACCTAACACTGGAGCTGCCAAATTTATAAAACAATTACTAATAGACCTAAGAAATGAGATAGACAGCAACACGACAATAGTGGGGGACTTCAATACTCCACCAACAGCACTAGACAGGTCATCAAGACAGAAAGTCAACAAAGAAACAATGAATTTAAACTATACCCTGGAACAAATGGACTTAACAGATATATACAGAACATTCCATCCAACAACCACAGAACATACATCCTATTCAAGAGTGCATGGAACTTTCTCTAAGATAGACCATATGATATGCCACAAAACAAGCCTCAATAAATATTTAAAAATTGAAATTATATTAAGCACTTACTCAGACCACAGTGGAATAAAACTGGAAATCAACTCCAAAAGGGACTTTCAAAATCATGCAAATACATGGAAATTAAATAACCTGCTCCTGAATGAGCACTGGGTCAAAAATGAAATCAAGATGGAAGTTTAAAAATTCTTCGAGCTGAACAACAGTGACACAACCTATCAAAACCGCTGGGACACAGCAAAGGTGGTGGTAAGAGGAAAATTCATTGTCCTAAATGCCTACATTGAAAAGTCTGAAAGAGCACAGACAATCTAAGGTCATACCTCAAGGAACTAGAGAAACAAGAACAAACCAAACTCAAACCCAGTGAAGAAAAGAAATAACCAACATCAGAGCAGAACTAAATGAAACTGAAACAAAAAAAAAGAAATACAAAAGGTAAATGAAACAAAAAGCTAGTTCTTTGAAAAGATAATAAAATTGATAGACCATTATCAAGATTAACCAACAAAAGAAGACAGAAAATCCAAATAAGCTCAATAAGAAATGAAATGGGAGATATTACAACTGACACCATAGAAATACAAAAGACCACTCAAGGCCACTATGAACACCTTTATGCACATGAACTAGAAAACCTAGAAGAGATGGATAAATAACTGGAAAGATACAATCCTCCTAGCTTAAATCAGGAAGAATTAGATACCCTGAACAGACCAATAACATGCCATGAGATTGAGATGGTAATTACAAAATTACCAACAAAAAAAAGTCCAGGACCAGACAGATTCACAGCAGAATTCTACCAGACATTCAAAGAAGAATTGGTACCAATCCTATTGACACTATTCCACAAGATAGAGAAAGAGGGAACCCTCCATAATTCATTCTATGAAGCCAGCATCACCCTAATACCAAAACCAAGAAAGGATATAACCAAAAAAGAAAACTATAGATCAATATCCCTGATGAACATAGATGCTAAGATCCTTAACAAAATACTAGCTAACTGAATCCAACAACATATCAGAAAGATAATTCACCATGATCAAGTGGGTTTCATACCAGGGAGGCAGGGATGGTTTAACATATGCAAGTCAATAAATGTGATACACCACATAAACAGAATTAAAAACAAAAATCACATGATCATCTCAACAGATGCCAAAAAAGCGTTCGACAAAATCCAGCATCTCTCTATGATTAAAAACCTCAGCACAACCGGCATGCATGGGACATACCTCAATATAATAAAAGCCATCTATGACAAACCCACAGCCAACATAATACTGGATGGGAAAAAGTTGAAAGCATTCCCTCTGAGAACTGGAAAAAGACAAGGATGCCCACTCTCACCACTCCTATTCAACACAGTACTGGAAGTCCTAGCCAGAGCAATCAGACAAGAGAAAGAAATAAAGGGCATCCAAATCAGTAAAGAGGAAGTCAAACTGTCACCGTTTACTGATGGTAAGATTGTTTACCTAGAAAACCCCAAAGATTCCTCCAGAAAGCTCCTAGAACTGATAAAAGAATTCAGCAAAGTTTCTGGATACAAGATTAATGTACACAAATCAGTAGCTCTTCTATACACCAACAGCAACCAAGCAGAAAATCAAATCAAGAACTCAACCCCTTTTACAATAGCTGCAAAAAATAAAAAATAAAATACTTAGGAATATACCTAAACAAGGAGGTGAAAGACCTCTACAAGGAAAACTACAAAACACTGCTGAAAGAAATCATAGACAACACAAACAAATGGAAACACATCCCATGCCATTGATTCTATCCATTGATAGAACCCATCACCATCCCATGGATGGGTAGAATCAATATTGTGAAAATGACCATACTGCCAAAAGCTATCTACATATTCAATGCAATTCCCATCAAACTACCATCATCATTCTTCTCAGAATTAAAAAAAAATCTAAAATTCATATGGAATCAAAAAAGAGCCCACATAGCCAAAGCAAGACTAAGCAAAAAAGACCAAATCTGGAGGCATCACATTACCTGATTTCAAACTATACTATAAGGCCATAGTCACCAAAACAGCATGGGACTGGTACAAAAAATAGGCACATAGACCAATGGAAAAGAATAGAGAACCCAGAAATAAACCCAAATACTGATAGCCAACTGATCTTTGACAAAGCAAGCAAAAACATCAAGTGGGGAAAGGACAACCTTTTCTTTCTTTCTTTTTTTTTTTTGAGACAGAGACTTGCTCTGTCACCCAGGCTGGAGTGCAGTGGTGCAGCTGCGGCTCACTGCAACTACCTCTGCCTCCCAGATTCAAGCAATTCTCCTGCCTCAGCCTCCCAAGTAACTGGGATTACAGGCGCCTGCCACCATGCCCAGCTAATTTTTTGTATTTTCAGTAAAGATGGGGTTTCACGATGTTGGCCAGGCTGGTCTCGAACTCCTGACCTCATGATCCGCCCACCTCAGCCTCCCAAAGTGCTGGGATTACAGGCATGAGTCACCACACCCGGCCAGGACATCCTTTTCAACAAATGGTGCTGGGATACTTGGCTAGCCACATGTAGGAGAATGAAACTGGATCTTCATTTCTCACCTTACACAAAAATCGACTCAAGATAGATCAAGGACTTAAATAAAGACCTGAAACTATAGAAATTCTAGAAGATAACATTGGAATAACCCTTCTAGATATTGGCTTAGGCAAGGATTTATTGACCAAGAACCCAAAAGCAAATGCAATAAAAACAAAGATAAATTGCTGGGACTTAACTAAACTAAAGAACTTATGCACAGCAAAAGGAACAGTCAGCAGAGTAAACAGACAACCCACAGAGTGGGAAAAACTCTTCACAATCTATACATCTGACAAAGGACTAATGCCCAGAATCTACAACAAACTCAAACAAATTAGTGAGAAAAAAACAAACAATCCCATCAAGAAGTGGGCTAAGGACCTGAACAGACAATTCTCAAAAGAAGATATACCAATGGCTGACAAACATGAAAAAATGCTCAAAATCACTAATGATCAGGGAAATGCAAATCAAAACCACAATGTGATGCCACCTTACCCCTGCAAGCATGGCCACAATCAGAAAGTCCAAAAATTGTAGATGTTGGCATGGATGCGGTGAACAAGGAATATTTCTACATTACTGGTGGGAATGTAAACTAGTACAACCACTATGGAAAACAGTGTGAAGATTCCTTAAAGAACTAAAAGCCGAACTAGCATTTGATCCAGCAATCCCACTACTGGGTATTTAACCAGAGGAAAAGAAGTCATTATACGAAAAAGATACTTGCACATGCATGTCTATAGCAGCACAATTTGCAACTGCAAAAACATGGAACCAACCCAAATGCCCATCAATCAATGAGTGGATAAAGAAACTGTGATATATATATAAATATATATATATATATATGTTCGAATACTACTCAGCCATAAAAAGGAATGAATTAACAGCATTTGCAGTGACCTGGATGAAATTGGAGACTACTATTCTAAGTGAAATAACTCAGAAATGGAAAACCATACATCATATGTTCTCATTCATAAGTGGGAACTAAGCTGTGAGAATGCAAAGGCATAAGAATGACACAATGGATTTTGGGGACTCAGGGGGAAAGGACGGGAAGGGGTGAGGGATAAAAGACTACAAATAGGGTGCAGTGTATATTGCTCAGGCGATGGGTGCACCAAAATCTCACAAATCACCACTAAAGAACTTACTCACATAACCAAACAACACCTGTTCCCAAAGAACCTATGGAAATTTTTTTTAAAATTGTTTTAAAGATGTTGAACATCATTTGTCATTAGGGAAATGCAAATTAAAACAATGATATGCCACCATATGCCTGTTAGAATGACTTTTTAAAATGACAATACCCAATGCAGTCAAGGATACAGAGCAACTAGAGCTCTCATTACTGTGTGTATAAGTGTCATACATCTGTTCTGGAAAGCAGAATGGCAGTTTCTTATAAAGTTAAACATAGTTACCATATGACTCAGCAATTCCACTTTTAGATATTTATGCAAGAGAAATGAAAATGTGTTTACACAAAAATCTGTACACAAATATTAATAGCAGCTTTATTCATAATTGCCAAAATGGAAACAACCCAAATGATCTTCACCTAGGGAATGGGTAAACAAACTGTGGTACATCTATACAATGGAATAGTACTCAACAATTTAAAAAAAAAAGAATGAACTACTAATACATGCAACAAATGAATGAATCTCAAATGCACTTTGTGGAATAAAAGAAACCAGGCCCAGGATTCCATTTACATAACACTCTGGAAAAGGCAAAATGATAGGGATAGAGATAGGGATAGATCCATGATTGTCAGAACCTGGGGATGAAGGAGAAATTGACTACAAAGGGCAGCAGAGGAAATATTCAGGGGTGATTAAACTGTTCTGTATCCTGATTGTGGTAGTAGATACAAGGCTGTATGCATTTTTAAAAACCCATACCACTGTAATAGTTATAAGAGTACATTTTACCATATGCAAATTTTAAGGTATACTTAAAAAAAACAGAAGTGTGGGTAAGGATGTGGAACAAAGTAACATTTATATAGTCTGGCATAAAACGGAAAAAGTTTGGCATCATCTTATAGAGTTGAATATGAACATATCTTATGAACTGGCAATTTTACCCCATAGAAAGGCTTATACATCTATAACAGAAAACATAAATACATAACAGCACTGTTTGTAATGGCAAAAATCTGAAAACAACCCAAATCTCCACTGGCAGGAAGATGGATGAATATATTGAAAAACATTGAGGATTAATACTCAGTCCATGGGGAGCTGATAACAGATTGTTCCTGTTGCATAACTTTTGCGGTAGTGTCTGTTGGCCAGCTCTTGATTCTACAAACCTCCCATCAAATTTGTGAGCCCCAAACCTTGCAGCAAATTTCCTTTTTTCTTATGATGACCTGATCTGGTTTATGTTTCTAGCAGCCAAGAACCCCTAAAAGTTCAAAACCCAATCCAAACTTAACATCTCCCTTCAAGAACCCCTAAAAGTTCAAAACCCAATCCAAACTTAACATCTCCCTTCAACACACATGGACCCATCACCTTCCAAATCATTAACACTCAAACCAGGCATCACTTTAACAACTTCATGTGCCTTATCACCCTCTTCAACATGTCACACACCTGTCTGAAATAAATGCAGACCTCTGTGAAATCACAGCAGCAGACAAGTCTGTTTATCCTGCTCATTCTTCAAGAACTAGTTCAAAGTCAGTTCTTGTCTTATCCCCATCTCCTGTGCCTAGCCAGGTATAACTACTCCTCATTCTTAAGTTTTATACCACAATTTCCCTACTTTCCTGCCCTTATTAATTCATCGACTGATGTTTATTACGTACCTACTATGGGTCAAAAATTTTTCTTAAGGCTGGAAATACAGCAATAAATCAAATAGACATTAATCTTTGTGTAGTGTGGAGACAGGTCATGAACAAAATAATAAGTAAAAGGTATAGTAGGTTAGAAAGTGGTAGGTACTAAGGAGGAAATAGTCAACAGAGAAGGGCCTAGCAAATGGCATGGAGTGTGCCATTTCAGATAAGATGGGGACAGAAGGCTTCAAAGAGAAGGTAACATTTGAAAAAAGGCCAGAAGCAACTGAGGAAGTGGACCAATTGGCTGTCTTAGGGAAGATCATTCAAGATGGAGGTAACAGCAAATACAAAATCCCCAAGTTTGAAATATGCCAGATTTTTGGTAAAAGAATGAAGAGGCAGAGTGAGCAAGGGAAAGAGTAGTAGGAGAGGAGGTAAGAGAGGTAATAAAGGACCAGCTCATGGAGACCCTATTGAGCCTACAAGAATCCAGGCTTTTATCTGATTCCGGCTGAAAGTCATTGAAGAGTTTTCAGCAAAGACGGTCTAACTTAGTTTTAGCAGGCTCATTCAGGGTCAAAAATAGACTGCGGGGGTGAGGGCAGAAGGAGGGAGACAAATAAATAAGTTAGCATCCTTTAGCAAGGTGTGGGAAAGACAGTAGATTTTTAATCTCCCTAAGCTCCTCCCAAAAGTAGAAAAAGGAACTAGGGTAGTATATGAAAACAAATAAAAATTAATTCAAAGACAATATCATTGACAAACAAAGTGACAAACGAATCCCTCAAATCCAGAATACAAGACGGATGTAAGGAGAATGTGGGAGCTCTGTGAAAAAGGAGGGAAGATAGAGATTTTTGATGGTCCTAAGAGCTAAGGAACTCAGAAATTACCAACAAGTCATCACCATGAAGAGGAGGAGTCCTTGATGGGAATGGAAAGCTCACTGAGCCACTCCCAGAAAAACAGTTGAAACAGGAGGTGGCTTCTCAGCCCCCAACCTGAGGTGAGTGCAGGAGGGCTGCAGGGAGATTTCAGTTGCTGGACAGCCTGGTCCCAGAGGCTCTCTGAGAAAGTAAAGAACTCTGCACTGAGTACATACCCCAAGGTAGGAACTCTAGGGTTTATAAAAAGGGGAAAAAAAGAAAAAGAAAGAGATAGTCCATCCAGATTCAAGGGGGTGGAAGCAGGGGAAGCCAATAAAGGAAATTTTCAGAATAAATGAAGAAACAGCTGCACCAAGCTACATTGTTTAGTTCTACCATGTTCTTTAAATATTTCAAAGTAACCATAGAAGGGGGAGCCCCAAGAGCTTTGAAGTCTGGGCAACTATTCTGGTTGAACCGTCAGGCAGCTCCTTGCAAAAGTACAGGTACATTTACTTCACTTAAACATGAGTAACAGAAGAGGAAAACATTTAATTTAATATGCAAAGATATTGGATTTTTAAACATTTTCTCCTTTACATGGGAATAAAGGTGACAGGATAGCATGTAATCATTATATGCTTTGGTGATGTAGCGATAATAAAGCTATCCATTTTGAAGGAAGAAGGGGAGATGGTAAGAAAAGCAGAATAAGCTTGTTGGTTGCCTTATAAAGGTAAAAGTAAATTACTTTAGAATATACATTCTGGGAGAGGGTGGGGTGGCAAGAAAAGGTTACTAACCAACTTAATACTCCTTATGGAAGATAACCAGTAGACAGCAGCCAAGAATCTCTATAGCCCTGGGATAGGGAGGCAAGGAACAGTTTGCATTAGAACCCTAGCACCTCTGCAAGAATGATAAGAGCAATGTTGGAACTGTAAGTCACACTCCAAGTCAACAAGCCACATTAACAAACACTTGAATAGCTTAGGAAAAGTGCCCTTGGTAAGGCAAGGAACTTACCCTGCAGTAAGGAGAAGGCAGAAACCATATGTGCAGCATTTGGGGGGACACAAGTCAGTGTTAGTTTAGGAAGCAGATGGAGATGTGACAGGACCAGCTCTTCCATATGTTTCCACGAAATTAAATCTAATTTTTTTATGGGGCAGACAAAAGACCTGTTACATAGAAAACACACTGTCTATTTTTGGACACAAGAAGTGTCAAAAGCTTCTGTGAATAGTAATATGGCAGAGTAGGAAAAAAATATGTGCTTGAAATCAAACAGACAGACCTAATTTGAATTCTAGTTTCACCAGTAACTGAGTTATCTTGGGTAAATTCCTCATCTTCTCTGAACTTCAATTTTCTCATCTCTATAATATCCCTAATAATATATACCTCACAGTATCATTGTAAGGATTGGCATGTTGAGGGATTAGATATATCTTAGTGTTCCCCTTCCCCCTAGCCATTCTTTAAAGACATTGAGATAAACTCTCTAATCACCTTCAAAGATCAAGTATAAAAATATCCTGACACATTGGAAGACTACTCGTTCTGTCCTCAGAGTTTAAAACAGCTAGCTCTTAGGCTCCAGGAATTTATTTTTGTTAAAATTTGATTTTTTGTATCAAATAACACTTTCTATTCTAGAGAAATATTAACAATGTTTTTAACAGCTTCTTATAGCTCCTGGTCTACTGTCTTGTCATAGACCATTAAGCAGTTGTTGCATTCCATTTGTGGTTGATGTTGTCTTTGCTTTGCTTTTACTGTGCCATACTGGTCTGTAAACCCTGCGAGAAAACTCCCAGATGAAAGGCCCTTCATCAATGCAAGACATTAGTATTCTATCTTTTAGAAGAAGAGTTTACTCTCTAGGCATATGGAATTGAATCTAATTAAGGGCATTTGCATCATCTAGTTCTACCAAAAGTGAGGCTGTCATTCTGTCATATTAATTTTATTTTTGTCACCTCACTGTTTAATAGCTGGATCTAAAAAGCTAGGCCATGCGGGAGAATAGTGAGGAAGACGTTGGGAACAGTATCATCAACTAATTCATATTTTTGGCAATCTGAGGGGCTCTGTGCACCAACCTCTGGTGTTTACACAGCCACATGAGTCCAATAGCCCAGTTTTCCACAATGTGATGCAGCTCCAGGTGACAGAAAAATCACACTCAGTAGACAAATACACAAAATAGTCTGATTGAGGGAAATTAGAAACAGTGGTACTCTTTTCTGGCCAAAAAGTGAAGGGGGAGAATCACAGACCTGCCAGACAGCAAATAACCACTACTTCTAGCTTGGAAGAAGTAACTGTGTGCCAATGAGCACATTATCTTTACAGGAGCAGAATACTATCCCCTGCAAGCCAGTCAAATTTCCATGACCTCATACCATGTCACTCCCCTGCTTAAAACCATCCTCATTGACCTTAATGTTAAAACCAAAATCCTTAGAAGGACTTACATCAAGGATTTCAAACTCAGGCCCGATACTAGATGATAAATGACAACTGATCCCAGGCCTGTATGTCAGGAAGCATTAGGAAGTGATGGAGACTATGGTGAATGTCAGGGCACAAGGCCCATATCACAGGAGTAGCCTTCCTGCAGTTCTACCTGATTTGTTGGACATGGAATCGAACAGTACTGCCAGACCTTCTGACTGTTCAAGGGAAGCCAGAAAGCTGGATTTTAAAATTTGATTTTTTAAATAGTTCAAATTTCAAATACTGTGTGAGTCAATAGTCTGAAGAACAAACATAAGCAAAGTTAGCCTACAGACTACCATTTTGCAACTTTCACACATGCCCAGAACTAAAGAGAGAGAAAGATTAGATATGGATATAGATATGAATAGACACAGATGTAGGCATTAAAAAGATATATATAGAGAGATACATCTCTATATATCTCACGTGTAGACACATAGTAGACAATTTATATATGGGAGAATTTTCAAACCAAGACAAGAATAAAAAACCAGGACAATTTGCATCATCTATCCTGTGTTCCTTTGATCATTTGGACAGGGGCTGAGCTGAAGTGTCACTTGGTACTGATTATAAAAAGAGAAGCTCATTAGGCAAATTTATGGTATCATCAAGACTATAGGTGTTTTTTTTTGTTTTTTTTTTGTTTGTTTGTTTGTTTTTTGAGACGGAGTTTCACTCTTGTTGCCCAGGCTGAAGTGCAATGGCATGATCTTGGCTCACCGCAACTTCCGCCTCTGAGGTTTGAGTGATTCTCTCCTGCCCCAGTCTCCCGAGTAGCTGGGATTACAGGCGCCCACCACCACACCCGGCTAATTTTGTATTTTTAGCAGAGACAGGGTTTCTCCATGTTGGTCAGGCTGGTCTCAAACTCCTGACTTCAAGTGATCCGCCCGCCTCGGCCTCCCAAAGTGCTGGGATTACAGGCGTGAGCCACCGCGCCCAGCCAAGGTGTATTCTTAACTTATTAAAATTACTTGATTCAAGAAACTTCTGTGTATATACTAATACACAAGGCAATTATGTATTAGCCAATATAAAAACTTCATTAAGACATATATTAGATTATTGTTTTTGTTCTATGTCCAGAATACCTCAGTATTCTGAATTGTTGCTGTTTTTTAAAAATAGCAACAATTCATGGCCAGGTGCAGTGGCTCATGCCTGTAATCCGAGGACTTTGGGAGGCCGAGGTGGGCAGATCACCTGAGGTCAGGAGTTTGAGACCAGCCTGACCAACATGGTGAAACCCCATCTCTACTAAAAATACAAAAATTAGCTGGACATGGGAGTGCACACCTGTAATCCCAGCTGCTTGGGAGGCTGAGGCAGGAGAATCGCTTGAACCCGGGAGGCGGAGGTTGCAGTGAGCAGAGATCGCACCACTGCACTCCAGCCCTGGGGGATAGAATAAGACTCTGTCTCAAAAAAAAAAAAATGTTAACGGTAACCTATACAAACTAGAAGTTCACTCCTGCTACATTTTCATATCTTAAGAAATGCTGATGTATATCAAACTGCCCTTAGAATTTCAAAAGAATCTGTATGTTTAGAATTTATAAATATTTTTTCTTCTAAAGTTGTCATATCTTAGATACCTATTTTTTTCTCTAAAGAGGTTTTTTTTTTTTAACCTTTAGATATCCATCATTCATCGTAGAGTTGTTAAGCATTTATTATGGGAATGCAGCATCTAACAAGACTGATAAGGCCCCTGTCTCCAATGAGCTTACTGTCTGGGATAGGGGCAAGAAATAATAAGTAAAGAAATTAACAACACATCTTAAGATTCTTTGGATTGGGTAGTCAAGGAAAGCCACTCTGAGGAGGTGACATCAGAGTTGACATGGAAAAAACCGATAGGATCTTAGCCTTGGGAAAATGAGAGGGTCTCTTTCCCTACAACCATAACAACAGAATGTGTTACCAAGTCATTTTAGTTTGGTTTGGTTTGGTTTTGAATAAGAAATCATTGTAAGTTTATTTTTGCCTAGAGGAAATGCTAAATTTTCTTTATTTTAAAAAATGTGTATTAATTTTACTTCAGTATATTTTGGAATTGATCATTCTGGATCTATTTTCAAAGTACATTGTCTTCTAGCAATGACAGCATGGGACTTTTGTGGCTTTCTATTTTCTTCTTTTTGATCTTTATAGTTTTTATAAGCCATGTAATGTAAATGAATTCTAGTTTAGATGGTTACAATTACCTCACTGTATTGCCATTCTTGTCATAGAGAAGCTTCATCTCACATCAGAATTACTATACTTCTCATAGAAAATCTCCTTCCAATATTCTAAAACCTTTTACACCTTTTCTTACCCTGATCAGAGTGGGACCTAGTAGGAAGACAGAGGAGTAGAAAATAGGGATCTAAGACCAATACAAAAGCTATTACAGTTTCCCAGAAATGCATTAATTTGTCAAAAATGAATAATAGTAGTAAGTTTTTCCTACAATGGGATTAGCATTTTATAGCAGCCTTTTAATAATACTAATTTTTTATATACCTTCAAAGAGCTTTCACATCAATTGAATTATTTACTTATGAATTAGGCACTAGTTCTTATAGGCTTTCTGGCTATCACTTAGTGCAAAGATAAAGCAGGTAATTCAGGCAGTATTGCTCTATTCCTAGATGCTTGTTTGCAGCCCCTGTAAACATTGGCTGGAAATAATTTCCCTGCCTTATTTATCACTGTGCCTTTAACATGTATTTTCAAGTGGGAAATGTAATTGGTTGAACTATAATACACAGTCTTTGAGAAAGTGACTTCATATTACCAGTTGTCTTTGGGAGTGTGAAAATAATAGAAAGTATTTGATATGGTTTGGCTCTGTGTCCCCCCAGCAAATCTCATGTTGAATTGTAATCCCCAGTGTTGGAGAAGGGGCCTGGTGGGAGATGATTTAATCATGGCGGTGATTTCTAATGGTTTAGCACTGTTCCTCTAATGTTGTCTCATGATAGAGAGTTCTCATTACAAAAATAAAAAGATTAGCCGGGCATGACAGTGGATGCCTGTAATCCCAGCTACTCGGGAGGCTGAGGAGGGAGAATTGCTTGAACCCAGGAGGTGGATGTTGCAGTGAGCCGAGATTGTGCCACTGCACTCCAGCCTGGGTGACAGAGTGAGGGAGACTCCATCTCAGAAAAAAAGAAGAAGAAAATGTGTAACACTCCCCCATCCCGATCTCCCATAGGAAGATGTGCCTGCTTCCCCTTCACCCTCCGCCATAATTGTAAGTTTCCCGAGGCCTCCCCAGCCATGCTTCCTGTACAGCCTGCAGAACTGTGAGTCAATTAAACCTCTTTTCTTCATGAATTACCCAGTCTCAGGTAGTTCTTTATAGCAATGCAGGAACAGACTAATACAGTATTGGCATCCTATTCCTTTAAAATTATACTTCACTGTCATTTAAAACAGTATTTTTTGGTAACATTACTCTGATAATTTTGCTTATTGGAATATCATTAGATAGACTAATTATCTTCCTAAAAGACTAGTGTGATACAATTATTTTCTTGATGTGATGAGCTTGTAACTATGTTTTAACCACCTTAAGCATTTTTAAGTGTATAGTACAGTAGTGTTAAAAATATTCACATTTTTATGAAAGAGATTTCTGGAATTTTTTCATCTTTCAATTCAGAAATCTATATTTATTAAACAATAATTCCTTGTTTCCCCCATTTCCAGCCCCTGGTAGCCACCATTCTACTCTGTTTTTATGAATTTGACGACTTTATATACTTCATATAAGTGGAATCATACATTTTTCTTTTTGTGACAGGCTTATTTCACATAGCATAATATGTGGACATGTAACATTAAGAAAGACTTTTATATTGTCTACCTTTATAAACTATGGGGCAAAGAAGACGACCATGTTAAGTTAATTAATAATGAGAGGATAAGCCTATAAATTATATACTAACAGTTTAATTCTAGTTAACTGTTGGTCATTCTCAATATTATTTACAATTTACAGACTTTTGGGTTAATTTCATAAAATAGAGATACTCTATCATAATTAATATTAAAGGCCAATGAATGAATTTTCTGAAGCTACATTCTACACTTACCTAGAATTCAAGATAGCTGGCTAGATATAGCTAGGTTGTGCCTCTTCCATGCAGAGGAACCAAAATATCAACAAATCTTCACACGTCAAACAGACCTTTTGTGAGAAAGCACTGAAATTCAACAAAGAGGCAATGGAAGAGACCATGGTTAAAGAGAGGCTGCCCGCTCAGAGTTGCTGCTGGGTGCCAGGACCAGCCACCAGACCTAGACCTGGACCCAAGGAAAGGTAAGTGAAGGAACACCACAGCACCACATTCCCATCATGAACCTGAGTTCCTAGCTACAGGAGAGTTCCATGACTACCACAGACCTTTGCATTGGCAGAGGGAGATACCTGGAGACCACACGGAGGCACTGCTTGAAGTCACGTGGACCCCAAAAAGTTTTAGTGTACTGGACAGTTGCAGCAAAGCATGACGCTGGGCTCCCACCCCCTAAGGCTCTCTATCCTGCCCTAAGCAGCTGCAGACACTGCTGTCTGCTACGCTGAGAAGTGATCAGGGCCCAGGCACACTCATATGCCCCATAGACAGGCTCCACCACCATTGCTGCAGGACTAAGGTGCATCTGAACCATATGTCTCATACCTGCCAGTTCTTCCCAAGATCACCTGCCTGGCTGTTTCTGCAGGGAATCTCCACAGCATACATTCTATTGCCCTGCCTAAGTATTTTGTTGGTGACCTGGGAGCAGTTCTCTCCTCCCTACCATATCCAGTGCTTGAGCCTGAGGGGCCAGAGGAGAAATCCACTGGCCTTGTCCTGGTTCCCCAGGACATGAGCCCACTGCCCAGGGGTATAGAGATGAGACTTGTGGTCTAATCTCTAGCAGGGGAGGACCCCTCAATGTCAGAACACAGAGAAGAATGTGGTGTGGGCTTGTGTGGTGGCATGAAATCTGGGTGCTCCTCCCTTCATGAAACTGGACCATAAAACTCTTAGAAGAAAATATAGAGCAAAAGCTCTATGATATTGGATTTGGCAGTCATTTTCTGGATATGATACAAAAGGCACAAGCAACAACAGAAGAAATAGATAAATTGGGCTTCATGAAATGAAAACATTTTGTACATCAAAAAATAATATCAACAGCATAAAAAGGCAACCCACAGAACAGGAGAAAATATTTTCAAATCATGTATCTGATAAGGGAGTAATATCCAAAAATATACAGAGAACTGCTAAAACTCAACCAAAAAACCCCAAATAACTCAATTCAAAAATAGGCAAAGGACTTGAAAAGATATTTCTTCAAAGAAGCTATACAAATGGCCATTAAGCACATGAAAAGATGTTCAACAATACCAATTAGGCAAATGCAAATCAAAACTCAATGAGATATTGCCTCACACCCATTAGGATGGCTACTATTTAAAAAAAAGCAGAAAATAACAAGTGTTGGTGAGGATGTGGAGAAATTAGAACCCTTGAGCGTTGTTTCTAAGAATGTAAAATGGTACAACCACTTTTACACATGGTGGCAGCTCCCCAAAACACTAAAAATAGTATTATCATATGATCTCTCAGTTCTACTTTTGTGTATGTACCAAAACAAATTGAAGGCAGGGTCTCAAAGAGATTTCGTGCATCCATGTTTATAGCAGCATTATTCGCAATGACTAAAACATGGAAGCAATCCATCTGCCCATTGTTGGATGAATTGGTAAGCAAAATACCTACAATGGAATATTATTCAGCCTTAAAAGGACTGAATTTCTGACATAATGCTACCACATGGATGAACCTAGAGGATATTATGCTAAATGAAATAAGCTATTCACAAAAACAAAAATACCGTGTGATTCTCTTAATGAAGTACTTAGAGTAGACAAAATTATGACAGACAGTAGAATGGTGCCAAGGGGCAGGGGGAGGGAGAAATGGGGAGTGATTGTTTAATGGGTATAGAGTTTCAGTCTTAGAACATGAAAAGTGTTAAGGTGGTGAATAGTGGTGATGGTTGCACAATATTATAACTATTTAATACCAATACCACTGTACACTTAAAAATGGTTCAGATGGTAAATTTTATGTGTATTTTACCATAAAAATGGGAAAAATAGATCTACAATAGTAAGTACTTTTAGAAATATAATAGCAGAGAATAAAACTGTACTAGAAATACCTTAGGCAAAGGAACATTTAAACTTTGAGCCATTTTTAATCTTCAGGACCAACATGACAAGATGGTAATGGTTTAGAATAATAATTTTTTTCAAATCAAACAAATATGTATTTTAATATGTCCAAGTTTGGCCTAAAGAGGAAAAATACACTTTTCCCTTTTTGTTATTTCTAAGAAGGAACTCAAAATAATGAAATATATCCTAAAACTACTGGGAGATTTAAGCTACTTTTACCTGGATGTATTCCACTTACACCCCTGTTAAAGGGCTGATAGGTGTTACATGGTTAGGATAATTGTAGTATATTATCAGGTTGGCAGATGCTCAATAATCATTTTTATCCCCATTAGGCAACAATAGATACAAAATAAAAGGACACCTGTTGGTGTTCTTACAACTGTGTCTGAATTAGAAGGCACTAGCACTCATTATTCCAGACGGTGGGTGACTCAGAGGAGTTCTGACATTTTTCATGATGATAGCTACATGTAAATACTTGGATCATCCTGGCGAATCCTACTGCCCAGCTCAGTGTTTCTGTTTAGGCAGTTCCTTCTCCTGCTGTATTTGTAAGCACCAGAGAATATTTATAAAGCTATAGTACAGGAATTAGATTCAGGAAACACAGGTCACTCCAGTACTATTTCTGCATTTGTAAGGCACGAGAAGCAAGTATTTTAAAACTTAGGAATGTATTATTTCAGCTTTAGTACATACCGCTACATAATATGCTAGGTGGCTTATTCAGGCCAATAGTTGATTATCCAATGACCTAGTCATAAAAATTTCATTCATGAGGAAATAGTAAGAACCCTTACCTTTGTGAGGGTTGGTTTGTTGTTCAATTTTACATAGATTTGTATACCCACATAGCAAAGATAATACAAAGTGGAATTATTCCATTTCACTTCTATTAGATTTTGCTGCATGAAATGTAACTATAAATAAATATTTTTAAATGTTGCCTGTAGTCCCAGCTACTTGGGAGGCTGAGGCAGGAGAATGGCGTGAACCCAGGAGGCGGAGCTTGCAGTGAGCCGAGATCACTCCACTGCACTCCAGCCTGGGCGACAGCGCAAGACTCCGTCTCAAAAAAAAAAAAAAAAAAAAAAAAGATTTTACCTTGTGAGAAGGCATGTATTACATGGAAGGCACATCATTACATTAATGATGTTATCATTGCTCAAACATTTTTGAAAGTCATTTTCTGGAATTTCCTAGAAGCTACTTTATGAGTCATGTGAAAAAGAATAGTCATATCTTACATATCAGAGAGCTAGTGAATGGATATACTGATATCTCTTATTAAACTTAATTACAGTTTTCTAATCTTCAGAAGCAAAAACAAAGTCACCTTAAACAATTTTGTATTTCAAGCATAGTAAGTATAGATTGAAAGTAGTAAAACCATATTTAGCCAGTAGTCTCTATTTTGAAATAATTCCTAAGGATATCTATGTAAATTAGCAAGAAGTTTGAATTGTTATTTTTTTCTATTTTTTTCTTTTTCTTCTTTTTTTTTTTTTTTTTTTTTGAGACAGAGTTTCACTCTGTTGCCCAGGTTGCAGTGTAGTGGCGCTATCTTGGCTCACTGCAACCTCCGCCTCCTGAGTTCAACTGATTCTCCTGCCTCAGCCTCCTGAGTAGCTGGGATTACAGGTGTGCACCCTCACGCCTGGCTAATGATTTTTGTTTTGTTTTGTTTTTTGTTTTTTTGAGACGGAATCTCGCTCCATCACTCAGGCTGGAGTGCAGTGGCACCATCTCGAATCACTGCAACCTCTGCGCCCTGGGTACAAGCGATTCTCCTGCCTCAGCCTCCCGAGTAGCCGGGACTACAGGTGTATACCACCACACTCAGCTAATTTTGTTGTTGTTGTTGTATTTTTAGTAGAGACGGGGTTTCACCATGTTGGCCGGGCTGATCTCAAACTCCCGACCTAGTGATCCACCCGCCTCAGCCTCCCAAAGTGCTGGGATTACAGGCATGAGCCACCGTGCCCAGCCAATTTTTATATTTTTAGTAGAGATGGGGTTTCACCACATTGGCCAAGCTGGTCTCAAACTCCTGACCTCAGGTGATCCACCCACTTTGGCCTCCCAAAGTGCTGGGATTACAGGCATGAGCCACTGCACCTGGTCATGAATTGTTGCTATATTTTGGAAATAGCAACAATTCAGAATACTGAGGTATTCTGGACATAGAACAAAAACAACAATTTAATATATGTCTTAATGAAGTTTTTATATTGGTTAATACATAATTGCCTTGTGTATTAGTGTATACTCAGAAGTTTCTTGCATCAAGTAATTTTAAGAAGAATTCACCTATAGTCTTGATGATATCATAAATTTGCCTAATGAGCTTCTCTTTTTATAATCAGTACCAAGTGACACTTCAGCTCAGCCCCTGCCCAAATGATCAAAGGAACACAGGCCAGACGATGAAAACTGTCCTGGTTTTTTATTCTTGCCTTGGTTTGAAAATTCTCCCACATATAAATTGTCTACTATGTGTCTACACGTGAGATATATAGAGATGTATCTCTCTATATATATCTTTTTAATGCCTACATCTGTATCATATCTATATCCATATCTAATCTTTCTCTCTCTTTAGTTCTGGGCATGTGTGAAAGTTGCAAAATGGTAGTCTGTAGGCTAACTTTGCTTATGTTTGTTCTTCAGAATATTGACTCATAAGTATTTGAAATTTGAACTATTTAAGAAATCAAATTTTAAAATCCAGCTTTCTGGCTTCCTTTGAACAGTCAGAAGGTCTGGCAATACTGTTCGATTCCTGCCACCATACCCAGCTAATTTTTGTATTTTTAGTAGAGACAGGGTTTCACCATGTTGGCCAGGCTGGTCTCGAACTCCTGACCTCAGGCAATCCTCCCACCTCGGCCTCCCAAAGTGCTGGGATTACAGGCATGAGCCACCATGCCTGGCCACCTTTAACATTCTTGTTTCAACTTACAATTCCTTTTTCTTACTAAGTGGTCATGATGTATTGTAATTATAAACCCCGAGAATCATATATCACCGCATCTTCAGAAAACATATAGTAAGATTATTTCCAAGTGGTGAAATTATAGACTTTTGGTTTTTTTTTCTTTGTTCTTGGGATTTGTGGCATTGACCATGAATTATTTTTGTAATTAGAAAAAAAATCAATAAATATTATGTTTTAAAGAAGGAAAAGAGGTATAGACCAGGAAGAAGCAAGAAGGATTGTTTTTGGTGTAAATACGTTTTATCCCAAACACTCTACCAGCCCAAGCAGCATAATTGGAGATAAAAGGCCAGGTGTTTGCCTTTCAGCTGCTCAATTCAATACAGGGAGCTTTTTTTTTAAATGTTTTCTCCCAAATGCTGAGACCTGTATTCCCAAGCCTATGTGTATATATTCACATTCATGTAGGTGAATCATGTCAACCTAAATCAAGCTGGACAAGAAGGAAATCTGAGTACATTAAAAATAAACTTTGCTTTTGAATATACACATAAGTGATGTTGTCCAAACTAGCAGAATCAAGTTTGCAACTTGGGTGCTTGTTAAAAACACAGATTCTCGAGTCTCATCACAGAATTCCAACCGGAATCTCCAGGATCAGTCTAGTTTGGCATATAAGAAGCTAGAACTGGGCTTAAGCTTGCTCCTGCACCCCCTTCATCTCAGGAACCCTGGAGGAATTAATATTTTTTAAAGAGCCTGTATTTTTCTCCAAATGAAGTGCTCTATCATCACTCCAGAGCCCCACATGTGTCAAATGGCATTATCACAGCCAATACCAAAAGGAAAATAAATATGAAAAACAGAGGCTTTGAGCTCACCACACTAGCTAACTAATCATATGTGTCAGGAAAGTGATTTTGTGCATTTTATTATTATCTGACTTCTTTAAAATTGTTGTTGGAGTATTTGGTCATGTTTTCTGTGAGCATTTATAGCATTATGGATTCTTTAACAAATCAATATTATTTTATCAATCTTCCTAGGAGAGAATTAAAATTGTGATTAGTTATCAACAGAGCATTATGCCATAGTGATACCTTCTTCTCAAATATCTACTAACAAAGATAGTGCTTCCAAATGCTTATCAGTTCATGTTTTGCCAAAGCTGCTCAGGGAAAGGAAAAGCTAAGCTTATCCATTTCTCCTTGCTGCCATTATACACTCTTTGAAACCCACATGTTTACATGTGCCCTGAAAGAAAACTAATGAATTCTATTTCCTCCACTGACGGCAATCCGAGCTGAGCACAGGCGGCAGTGATGTAATCGTTGTTTGATTCATCCTGCCCACAGTTCTGCACCTGTGCCATTGCCAGCAGGAGCAAAGCTGTGGAACATAACACTTTGCTCATCCACATCCCCAGGGATGAGCAAGCGTACACACCAAGGAAAACAAACTCATAATGCAAGTCATTTATATTAACAATTGATATGTACAGTTTATACAAACCATTTCCTAATATATTGTGTCTTATTATAATGTTTAAACAATATCATATAAGTATCTATAGTTTGTCTGCTTATCAGAAGGATAAAATCCCTCAGGGCTGTGAAGCTTCTCTTTTCCTGGCCATCAACAAGGCAACCAGCAGCTTAAAGGCCAGAGCAGATGGAACACCATAGCTTCCCCGGATGCTTCTCAGGATTTAACCAGGGGCCCTAACCCCATTTGGACTCACTAATCAGTTCCATTTTCTTTGAGCCAGTAATTAAAAAGGCTCTTCCTCGTTGATTACTTCTAGCTCACCACCTCTCAAACCTCCTGTCTCAGCCACATCTCTAATATAGGATCCTGAGGGAAGGGTTCTTAAGAATGCCAGATCCCATTTGCTCCACATGCCAGTTAGTCCTGCCCACATCACACCAACCTAGCCAGCCAAGACACCTGAGCCCCTCACAGAGCCAAAAACCAATATGCCTGCCAGCATGACTAGGCCTCCCTTTCCTACACTCTATTCTTCCTCCCCTCAAATCCAATCAAAGCAATTCAGTTGAGGAACAAAAACATACTGAGGGTTTAAATTAGCTAGAAACTCGAAAGAAGTTGTATCATTCCAGTCAGGAGACAGAAATCAAACCAGTAATTTGAACGGGGAAAATATAATATAAAAAATTGTTAACTAGTAAAAGATGGTTAAGTACCAAAGGGGTAAAAGAGAACTCTAAAGAATACAGGAATAGTTTGTGACCATCCTGGCCAACATGGTGAAATCTCGTCTCTACCAAAAATACAAAAATTAGCCGGGTGCAGTGGCGGGTGCCTGTAATCCCAGCCACTCGGGAGGCTGAGGCAGGAAAATTGCTTGAACCTGGGAGGCAGAGGTTGCAGTCAGCCAAGATCACACCACTGCACTCCAGCCTGGGTGACAGAGTAAGACTCCATCTCAGGGAAGAAAAAAAAAAAAAAAAAAGGATACAGGAATAGCAAATGATGTAGGGAGAAGCTGGAGAAGCTATTCTCTCTAGGGCTGAGGGAGATTATCCAAAACTGAGATTTTGCTCCCACTGGAGAAAGTTTGAATGTAGCCCACTGGATGGCAGAGATCACTAGGATGCCTTAGGCAGAGCTGGTTCACAGTCAGTGGTTCAGGATGGTGAGCAAATCCCACCCACGAGTGTGCTGGAGAAACTCCCTGCATGATGAGTACCATGGAGTCTTTCATATATCACTAGCAGCAATGCCATCATAGCAAGAAGTAAAGCACCCCAAAACCAGCAAGAGAAGCCCCTTCCTCTGTTACATCTTGCAGTATCCCTGCAGTGCCCTCTACTGACAAGGCTTAACTTGTGCCAACTTGTGCCATTCTGCCAACTAGCAAAATAAATGTTTACAGGCTCCAACTTCAATATCAAAAAAACAGCATACCTTCTCACCACTGCTATTCAACATTACACTGGAAGTCCTAGTTAATGCAATAAGAAGAGGTAAACATATTGGGACAAAAGAAATAAAACTTGCTTTGCTCTCAGACAACACAATTATCTATGTAGAAAACCCTCAAGGAAACAACAAAATAACTCCTGGAACTAGTAAGTGATTTTGGCAAGGTTCAGGATACAAGGTTAATATACAAAAGCCAATTGCCTTCCTATACACCACAATGAACAATTGGAATTTGAAATTTAAAATATAACACCATTTACATTAAAACCAAAAATGATATACTTAGGCATAAATCTAACAAAATACCTATAAAATTTATATAAGGAAAACTACAAAACTGATGAAAGATATAAAAGAAGAGTTAAATAAATGGAGACATACTCCACATTTATGGATAGCAAGACTCAAAATTGTCAAGATGTTCCCAACTTGACCTACGGCAAGCTTGTCCAACCCGTGGCCCACAGGCCACAGGCAACTCAGCTTTGAATGCGGCTGAACACAAATTAGTAAACTTTCTTAAAACATGAGATTTGTTTGCAATTCTTTTTAGCTCATCAGCTATCGTTAGTGTTAGTGTATTTTATGTGTGGCCCAAGACAATTCTTCTTCCATTGTGGCCCAGGAAAGCTAAAAGATTGGACACCCCTGATCTATAGAGTCAACAAAATCCCAGTTAAAATCCCAGAAAATTACTTCGTGGCTATTGGCAAACTGATTTAAACGTTCATATGAAGAGGCAAAAGACCAAGTAGAGCCAGCACAATATTGAAGAAAAAGAAAAAAACAAAGGACTGACATTATGTGATCTCAAGACTTACTATAAATCTAGAGTAATATTGTGTGATGTTAGTGAAAGAACAAAGAGATTAATAAGTCAGAATAGACTGATCTTTGACAAAGGAGAAAATGCAATTCAGCGGAGAAAGAATTGCTTTCCAACAAATAGTGCTGGAACAATTGAACATCCACAGCCAAGAAAATGAATCTGTACCCTAACTTTACACCTTTCACGAAAATTAACTCAAAATGAATCGTGACCCTACATGTAAAATGCAAAACTGTTAACTCCTAGAAGATAATATAGGAGAAAATCTATGTAGCTTTGGGTTTGGCAGTGAGTTTTTAGATACAATGCCAAAAGCATGATCCATGAAAGAAAAAAGTGGTAAGATGTCCTCTAATAGGTGATGGGATAGATGAACTGTGGTACATCCATACAATGAAATATTCTCCAGTGATAAAAAGAAATGGGCCATCAAGCCACAAAAAGATATTCAGGAACTTTAATGCATATCACTAAGTAAAAGATGCCAGTCTGAAAAGGTTACATACTGTATTGCTGAGACCAGCTCAGTTGTGGAGACCCTAACCCAGCAGTGCTAGAGGAATTAAAGACACACACACAAATATAGCCTGTGGAGTGGGAAACAGGGGACTCAAAGCCTTCAGAGCTGAGTGCCCCGAACAGAGATTTACCCACATATTTATTGACAGCAAGCCAGTGATAAGCATTGTTTCTATAGATTATAGATTAACTAAAAGTATTCCTTACGGGAAACAAAGGGGTGGGCTGAAACAAAGGGATGGACTCTGGCTAGTTATCTGCAGCAGGAACATGTGCTTAAGGCACAGATTGCTGATGCTATTGTTTGTGGCTCAGGACTGCCTTTAAGTGGTTTTCTGCCCTGGGTGGGCCAGCTGTTCCTTGCCCTCATTCCAGTAAACCCACAACCTTCAGTGTGGGCATCATGGCCATCACGAACATGTCACAGTGCTGCAAAGATTTTGTTTATGGCCAGTTTTGGGGCCAGTTTATGGCCAGATTTGGGGGCTTATTCCCAGCACTGTATGATTCTAACTATGTGCCTTTCTGAAAAAGGCAAAGTCATAGAGACAGGAAAAAGATCAGTGGTTGTCCAGGGTACAAGCAGGAAAAGGAAGAAGAAGAGGGATAAGTAAGTGGAACACAGGGAATTTTTAGGGCAGTAAAACTATTTTGTATGATATTGCAATGGTGGACACATGACATGATATGCATTTGTCAAAACCCATAGAACTGGGTGGGCTCACACCTGTAATCCCAGCACTTTGAGAGGCTGAGGCAGTAGGATTGCTTGAGCCTTGGAGTTCAAGACTAGCCTGGGAAACATAGGGAGACCCTGTCTCTCCAAAAGAATAAAAATAAAAATAAAAAACCTTAAAAATCAGCTGGGCATGGTGGCATGCACCTGTATTTCCAGCTACTTACGAGGCTGAGGTTGGAGGATTGCTTGAGCACTGGAGGTTGAGGCTGCAGTGAGCCATGATCGTGCCACTGCACTCCAGCCTGGGTGATAGAGTGAGACTTTTTTAACAACAGTTCTCTTTCTTTATGAAGGGCAAAGGGGGAAATTTTAATTTTAAAAAAATAGCTCTTGAGGGAACTAATAGAGTGAGAATTCACTCACCCCCGAAGGAGGGCATTAATCTGTTCATAAGGTATCCACCCCCATGACCCAAACACCTCCCACTACGTCCCACTTCCCCATACCGCCACACTGAGGATTAAATTTCAATATGAGATTTGGTAGGGACAAATAAACATATCCAAACCATAGCACCAAGGTACCACACAAATGCATGATGGTAATAATGAGAAAACTATCTATGGAAGGGAGAGGACATATATAAGAACTCTCTGTACTTTTTCCTAAATTTTTCTGTAAACCTAAAACTGATCTATAAAACAAAATCTATTTTTTTTCAAAAGCAGACAACGAAAGGTGGATTTAGAATAGAGAGGCAATAAATTGATAACTGGCACAGAGGCCAATAGGGTGGTTTGACTATTCATAAAGCTAATAGAATCTTAAATCAAGGAAGAGAAATGTCATAGTGTACTCTTGTATGGTCAGACAATGACTAAAGTATTATAGCCAGTTTATGCAGGACATTGGCCCTCTGGAAAGTATTAAAGACAGTCGGAAGTCTAGAAACTCTGACCTGTTAGGAAATTTAAGGAAAATGAGATGTTTAACTTGAGAAAATGTAATTTTAAAGAATATAACAGCTATCTTCAAATCCTAGAAAAGTTGTCACCTAAAGAAAATAATCAATTTATTGTATATTTCTTTAGTGGTCAGAACAAGGTTTCATGGAAGTTACAGTGAATCGAACATAACATTTATAATTGCCTAAATATTGGGCAGGCTGCCTTGGAAAGAATTAGGTTTAAGCAAGTCTGGAAAATCACTTATCGGAATAAATGCAGAAATAACTCCTATATGACTTTCTGGAAAAGACATGAAGGTGAACTAAATGTAGATTATTTCTAAGGTCCCCTACAACTCCAAAATCTATGAAAAGTGACAAAAGTCATATAAGGCTTTGAAAGATAAGTAGGAGTTAAGCTTACTATGAAAGAGGCAGAGGACACATATGTGTATTATTTATGCTATAGTGAAAGAGTAAAATATAGCAGAGTAAAAGTTGTGTATTTCCTTACAGTGCTGTATACATAATAGGAGACAAATAACAACCTGGAGACTACTGAATTCAGTTTTGAAAGGTGTATTTGTTTAATTTATTTTTTATTTATTCATTTATTTTTGAGATGGAATCTCACTCTGTCGCCAGGCTGGGGTGCCATGGTGCAATCTCAGCTCACTGCAACCTCTGCCTCCTGGGCTCAAACGATTCTCCTGCCTCAGCCTCCCGAGTAGCTGGGATTATAGGCGCATGCCACCACGCCCAGCTAATTTTTGTATTTTTAGTAGAGACGGGGTGAAAGGTGTATTTTCAATGTTATCAGGGATCCTGAATAAAATTTGGCCTGTCCAAATTCCACCCCCCACAGGCTACAACTACAGGGGATGGAATCTTGAGAAATGTAGGAAAAAGGTGAGCTACGAAAAAGGAGGTGTCACCCAAGACAAGAGCAATATTTCCATAAAAAATGAGTGGTCAAGAGTGGCAAATATAATTCGACAGTTCGAAGTAACACAAGACTGAAAAATGTCCTTTGGATTTGACAGTTAGAAGTTATACCTTAATTTCAGTAGTATGTTGGTACAAGCTAGATTTTCGAAAATCAAGGCAGTGCACCAATCCATTAAGAAAAGTGAACACCTCCAGCAGGCAATCTGAAAAACGTTGAAAAGAGTACCCATGCCAGGAAATTGTTGTGGATCGCCCCCTTCTCTGTTCCTTGGCTTATTTACAGATTATACTTCAGACTACTCTTGTGAATGTTTATCTGCCTATTCTGGATTTTTTGCTATCCTGTTGACAATTTACCACTAACTGCCACCTGACAAACCCTTTAATGTGGCTTTGTTTTACCAAAGCCCTTGACAGAAACAGTGGCAGCTCTGCCCAATCCAATTTCTCCAATGAGCCTCTAGGTCTATCTCTGCACCCAGTAGGTGAGTGTAGACTATGTTTAGAAGCAGATTGGCTGGGAAAGAAAAGATAAAGATGAGAAAGGCTTGAAGAGAATATTTTGGGACACATTCATAGGCTGAGAGGAATGGTCCTGTGGAGAAGGAATGGAGAGAGGGTCTCCCTGTTCCCAGCAATTCTTCCAGTGCCACTGAAAATTTTCTTCCTTAAAATTAATTTTGTATCACTCTACAAAATTTATGAACGGGGTGGCGGATTGGGGGGCAGGGCCAAAATGGCCGACTAGAAGCAGCGACATTCAGAGGCTCCCATCAGAAAAAACCATAATAAGCGTGTGAATCCTTTATGGGCAACCAAGTATCCAGGTTCTCTCATCAAAATTGACTTGAAGGCTGGTGTAACCCATGGAGAGAAGGAAGAGCAGTGTGGTGCGGCAGTCCACCTGAGAGCCACACAGGGAAGGGGAACCCCCTCTCCCCAGCCAAGGGAGGCGGTGAGTGAGTGCGCTACCTAGCCAGGGAAACTGTACTTTTTCCACGGAACTGTGCAACTCACGGATCGGAAGATTCCACTCACAAACCCACACCACCAGGGCCTAGCGTCCCAACTCTGGAACATGCAGATGCTTATAGCCTCTTAGCTGGAATCTGCTTAAGCCTACCCAACTCCCAGGGGTGGGGTGAAGGGACAACCAGCACCGGATGTGGCTGCGGCTGCCTGCTGTCTAAGCCCTTTGAGCTCCTTGTGGGAGGGGCAGCCACTGGCACTGGGACTCGCAACTGCCTAACATGCTAAGCTCTGTAGGTGAGGAAGGGCAGCACCCATTAGATACTCCACAAGAAGATCAACCCCAAGACACATACTCATCAGATTCTCCAAGGTCAAAATGAAGGAAAAACTGTTAAGGGCAGCCAGAGAGAAAGGCCAGGTCACCTACAAAGGGAAGCCCATCAGACTAACAACAGACATCTCAGGAGAAACTCTACAAGCCAGAAGAGATTGGGGGCCAATATTCAACATTGTTAAAGAAAAGAATTTTCAACCCAGAATTTCATATCCAGTCAAACTAAGCTTCATAAACGAAGGAGAAATAAAATCCTTTCCAGACAAGCAAATGCTGAGGGATTTCGTAACCACCAGGCCTGCTCTGCAAGAGCTCCTGATAGAAGCACTAAATATAGAAAGGAAAAACTGGTACCAGCCACTGCAAAAACACACCAAAATATAAAGACCAATGACTCTACAAAGAAATGGCATCAACCGGTTTGCAAAATAACCAGACAGCATCATGATGACAGGATCAAATTCACACACAATATTAACCTTAATGTAAATGGGCTAAATGCCACAATTAAAAGACACAGGCTGGCAAACTGGAAAAGGAGTCAAGACCCATCAGTGTGCTATACTCAGGAGACCCATCTTACACGCAAAGACACACACAGGCTCAAAATAAAGGGATGGAGGAAAATTTACCAAGCAAATGGAAAGCAAAAAAAAAAAAAAAAAAAAGCAGAGGTTGCAATCCTAGTCTATGACAAAACAGACTTTAAAACCAACAAAGATCAAAAAAGACAAAGAAGGGCATTACATAATGGTAAAGGGAATGATTCAACAAGAAGCGCTAACTTTTCTGAATATATATGCGCCCAATACAGGAGCACCCAGATTCATAAAACAAGTTCTTAGAGACCTATAAAGAGACTTAGACTCCCACACAATAACAGTGGGAGACTTTAACACCCCACTGTCAGTATTAGACAGACCAACGACACAGAAAATTAACACGGATATTCAGGACTTGAACTCAGCTCTAGATCAAATGGATCTACTAGACGTCTACTGAACTCTCCACCCCAAATCAACAGAATATACATTCTTCTCAGCGCCACATGGCACTTATTCTAAAATTGACCACATAATTGGAAGTAAAACACTCCTTAGCAAATTCAAAAGAAATAAAATCATAACAGTCTCTCAGACCATGTTGCAATCAAATTAGAACTCAGGATTAAGAAACTCACTCAAAACCACACAATTTCATGGAAATTGAACAACCTGCTCCTGAATGACTCTTGGGTAAATAAGGAAATTAAGGCATAAATCAAGAAGTTCTTTGAAATCAATGAGAACAAAGAGATAACGCAGCAAAATATCTAGGACACAGCTAAAGCAGTGTTACGAGGGAAATTTATAGCACTAAATCCCCACATCAGAAAGCTAGAAAGATCTCAAATCGACACCCTAACATCACAATTAAAAGAGCTAGAGAGACAAGAGCAAACTAATCCAAAAGCTAGCAGAAGACAAGAAATAACTAAGATCAGAGAAGAATTGAAGGAGATAAAGATATGAAAAACTCTCCAAAAAAAATCAACAAATCCAGGATCTGTGTTTTTTTTGAAAAAGTTAATAAAATAGACAGACTGCCAGCTAGACTAATGAAGAAGAAGAGAGGGAAGAATCAAATAGACACAATAAAAAAATGATAAAGGGGATATCACCACTGACCCCACAGAAATACAAACTACCAGAGAGTACTATAAACACCTCTATGCAAATAAACTAGAAAATCTAGAAGAAATGGATAAATTCCTGGACGCATACACCCTACCAAGACTAAACCAGGAAGAAGTTGAATCCCTGAATATACCAATAACAAGCTCTGAAATTGAGGCAGTAATTAATAGCCTACCAACCAAAATTTTACAATCTACCACCCATCTGACGAAGGTCTAACATCCAGAATTTACAAGGAACTTAAACATATTTACAAGAAAAAGACAATCCTATCAAAAAGTAGGCAAAGGATATGAACAGACACTTCTCAAAAGAAGACATTTATACGGCCAACAAACATATGAAAAAAAGCTCAACGTCACTGATCATCAGAGAAATGCAAATCAAAACCACAATGAGATACCATCTCATGCCAGTCAGAATGGCAATTATTAGAAAGTCAGGAAACAATAGATGCTGGCGAGGCTGTGGAGAAATAGGAAGATTTTTACACGTTGGTGGGAATGTAAGTTACTTCAACCATTGTGGAAGACAGTATGGTGATTCCTCAAGGCTCTAGAACAAGAAATACCATTTAACCCAGCAATCCCATTACTGAGTATATACCCAAAGGAATATAAATCATTCTACTATAAAGACACTTGCACACATATGTTTATTGCAGCACTATTTACAATAGCAAAGACATGGAACCAACCCAAATGCCCATCAATGATAGACTGGATAAAGAAAATGTGGTACATATACACCATGGAATACTATGCAGCCACAAAAAGGAAAGAGATCATGTCTTTGTAAGGACTTGGATGAAGGTGGAAGCCATAATTCTCAGCAAACTAACACAGGAACAGAAAACTAAACACTGCATGTTCTCACTCATAAGTGGGAGTTGAACATTGAGAACACATGGACAGAGAGGGGAACAACACACACTGGGGCCTTTTGCGGGTTGAGGGGGTAAGGGGAGGGAACTTAGAGGATGGGTCAATAGGTGCAGCAAACCACCATGGCACACGTAGACCTACATAACAAACCTGCACATTCTGCTCATGTATCCCTTTTTTTTTTAAGAACAAAGAAAAAAAATTACGAACCTCCCAGTAAAAGTCAAACCCACAATTTTAAGGCTAAAATCCTTAAATGACTTAATAAGATGTAACTACACCATCTACAAGATGGCACCCCATCAGTGATCAGATACAGGCAGGCGTCAGCAGGCAAAACCAAAGAGGAGCTCAGCGAGTGGTGTTAGTTTTGCCCAGTTCCAAAGTTCCCTCCAACTCATGGGGCAAAACTAGCCAAATGATCAATAACAGATGGGTTCTAAAACATGGAGGGACCACGAAGTGACTTCTTCAATCACTCTAAAGCAGTGGTTCTCAAATTTTGGCATCTATCAGAACCACCTGGAGGCCTTGTTAAACATAGACTGATGGGTCCACTCCCAGTTTCTGATTCAGCAGCCCTGTGGTATCAGAAATTGCATTTCTAGTAATTCCCAGTTGATGCTAATGCTGCTGGTCTGGAACCCACACTTACAGAACCAGTACTAGTCTATAGCAGTAATTCTCAACATTGCTGAATATCAGATTTTTTAAAAATCCCAATTTCCAGGTGATATTCCAAACCCAATAAAGCTAAGTCACTGAGATAAGATGTAAGTATCAGTGTTTGTAAATCTCCCCCAACTGATTCCACTTCCAATATGCAAACAAAATTGAGAACTACTACTCTGAATTCTTCTTCCTTATGAGTAGAGCACAGCTGGCACTTGAATGACTTGTTTATATGTTTGGATAACTGTCTTTGTGAAGCTTATGATCCTGAGACCTCATCACCTAAACTTCCACTAGCAGATCTGGGTTAGAGCATAGAAATCAGCATTTCAACATTCACACCACCACCACCCACAGTTAATTCTTTTGCACATAGTACAAGAACCACATTTTGAAATTAGATGATAAAGTTGAAGCTCCTTGTCAAAGGATACAAAGATGGCTGTAATTTGGCTCCTGTATCCCTCATAATCTCCCTCCTTAATCTTTTTTTTTTATACTTTAAGTTTTAGGGTACATGTGCACAATGTGCAGGTTAGTTACATATGTATACATGTGCCATGCTGGTGTGCTGCACCCATTAACTCGTCATTTAGCATTAGGTATATCTCCTAATGCTATCCCTCCCCCCTCCCCCCACCCCACAACAGTCCCCAGAGTGTGATGTTCCCCTTCCTGTGTCCATGTGTTCTCATTGTTCAATTCCCATCTATGAGTGAGAATATGCAGTGTTTGCTTTTTGTCCTTGCGATAGTTTACTGAGAATGATGATTTCCAATTTCATCCATGTCCCTACAAAGGACATGAACTCATCATTTTTTATGGCTGCATAGTATTCCATGATATATATGTGCCACATTTTCTTAATCCAGTCTATCATTGTTCGACATTTGGGTTGGTTCCAAGTTTTTGCTATTGTGAATAGTGCCACAATAAACATACCTGTGCATGTGTCTTTATAGCAGCATGATTTATAGTCCTTTGGGTATATACCCAGTAATGGGATGGCTGGGTCAAATGGTATTTCTAGTTCTAGATCCCTGAGGAATTGCCACACTGACTTCCACAATGGTCCAACTAGTTTACAGTCCCACCAACAGTGTAAAAGTGTTCCTATTTCTCCACATCCTCTCCAGCACCTGTTGTTTCCTGACTTTTGAATGATCGCCATTCTAACGGGTGTGAGATGGTATCTCACTGTGGTTTTGATTTGCATTTCTCTGATGACCAGTGATAATGAGCATTTTTTCATGTGTCTTTTGGCTGCATAAATGTCTTTTTTCAAGAAGCCTCTGTTCATATCCTTCGCCCACTTTTTGTTGGGGTTGTTTGTTTTTTCCTTGTAAATTTGTTTGAGTTCATTGTAGATTCTGGATATTAGCCCTTTGTCAGATGAGTAGGTTGCAAAAATTTTCTCCCATTTTGTAGGTTGCCTTTTCACTCTGATGGTAGTTTCTTTTGCTGTGCAGAAGCTCATTAGTTTAATTAGATCCCATTTGTCAATTTTGGCTTTTGTTGCCATTGCTTTTGGTGTTTTAGACATGAAGTCCTTGCCCATGCCTATGTCCTGAATGGTAATGTCTAGGTTTTCTTCTAGGGTTTTTATGGTTTTAGGTCTAACATTTAAGTCTTTAATCCATCTTGAATTAATTTTTGTATAAGGTGTAAGGAAGGGATCCAGTTTCAGCTTTCTACATATGGCTAGCCAGTTTTCCCAGCACCATTTATTAAATAGGGAATCCTTTCCCCATTGCTTGTTTTTGTCAGGTTTGTCAAAGATCAGAAAGTTGTAGATACGTGGCGTTATTTCTGAGGGCTCTGTTCTGTTCCATTGATTTATATCTCTGTTTTGGTACCAGTACCATGCTGTTTTGGTTACTGTAGCCTTGTAGTATAGTTTGAAGTCAGGTAGCATGATGCCTCCAGCTTTGTTCTTTTGGCTTAGGATTGACTTGGCGATGCGGGCTCTTTTTTGGTTCCATATTAACTTTAAAGTAGTTTTTTCCAATTCTGTGAAGAAAGTCATTGGTAGCTTGATGGGGATGGCATTGAATCTATAAATTACCTTGGGCAGTATGGCCATTTTCACGATATTGATTCTTCCTAGCCATGAGCATGGAATGTTCTTCCATTTGTTTGTATCCTCTTTTATTTCATTGAGCAGTGGTTTGTAGTTCTCCTTGAAGAGGTCCTTCACGTCCCTCCTAAGCTGGATTCCTAAGTATTTTATTCTCTTTGAAGCAATTGTGAATGGGAGCTCACTCATGATTTGGCTCTCTGTTTGTCTGTTATTGGTGTATAAGAATGCTTGTGATTTTTGTACATTGATTTTGTATCCTGAGACTTTGCTGAAGTTGCTTATCAGCTTAAGGAGATTTTGGGCTGAGACAATGGGGTTTTCTAGATATACAATCATGTCGTCTGCAAACAGGGACAATTTGACTTCCTCTTTTCCTAATTGAATACGCTTTATTTCCTTCTCCTGCCTACTTGCCCTGGCCAGAACTTCCAACACTATGTTGAATAGGAGTGGTGAGAGAGGGCATCCCTGTCTTGTGCCAGTTTTCAAAGGGAATGCTTCCAGGTTTTGCCCATTCAGTATGATATTGGCTGTGGGTTTGTCATAGATAGCTCTTATTATTTTGAGATACGTCCCATCAATACCTAATTTATTGACAGTTTTTAGCATGAAGCGTTGTTGAATTTTGTCAAAGGCCTTTTCTGCATCTATTGAGATAATCATGTGGTTTTTGTCTTTGGTTCTGTTTATATGCTGGATTACATTTATTGATTTGCATATATTGAACCAGCCTTGCATCCCAGGAATGAAGCCCACTTGATCATGGTGGATAAGCTTTTTGATGTGCTGCTGGATTCAGTTTGCCAGTATTTTATTGAGGATTTTTGCATCAATGTTCATCAAGGATATTGGTTTAAAATTCTCTTTTTTGGTTGTGTCTCTGCCCGGCTTTGGTATCAGGATGATGCTGGCCTCATAAAATGAGTTAGGGAGGATTCCCTCTTTTTCTACTGATTGGAATAGTTTCAGAAAGAATAGTACCAGTTCCTCCTTGTACCTCTGGTAGAATTCAGCTGTGAATCCATCTGGTCCTGGACTCTTTTTGGTTGGTAAGCTATTGATTATTGCCACAATTTCAGATCCTGTTATTGGTCCATTCAGAGATTCAACTTCTTCCTGGTTTAGTCTTGGGAGAGTGTATGTGTTGAGGAATTTATCCACTTCTTCTAGATTTTCTAGTTTATTTGCATAGAGGTGTTTGTAGTATCCTCCGATGGTAGTTTGTATTTCTGTGGGATCAGTGGTGATATCCCCTTTATCATTTTTTATTGCGTCTATTTGATTCTTCTCTCTTTTTTTTCTTTACTAGTCTTGCTAGCGGTCTATCAATTTTGTTGATCCTTTCAAAAAACCAGCTCCTGGATTCATTAATTTTTTGAAGCATTTTTTGTGTCTCTATTTCCTTCAGTTCTGCTCTGATTTTAGTTATTTCTTGCCTTCTGCTAGCTTTTGAATGTCTTTGCTCTTGCTTTTCTAGTTCTTTTAATTGTGATGTTAGGGTGTCAATTCTGGATCTTTCCTGCTTTCTCTTGTGGGCATTTAGTGCTATAAATTTCTCTCTATACACTGCTTTGAATGTGTCCCAGAGATTCTTGTATGTTGTGTCTTTGTTCTCGTTGGCTTCAAAGAACATCTTTATTTCCGCCTTCATTTCATTATGTACCCAGTAGTCATTCAGGAGCAGGTTGTTCAGTTTCCATGTAGTTGAGCGGTTTTGAGTGAGTTTCTTAATCCTGAGTTCTAGTTTGATTGCACTGTGGTCTGAGAGACAGTTTGTTATAATTTCTGTTCTTTTACATTTGCTGAGGAGGGCTTTACTTCCAAGTATATGGTCAATTTTGGAATAGGTGTGGTGTGGTGCTGAAAAAAATGTCTATTCTGCTGATTTGGGGTGGAGAGTTCTGTGGATGTCTATTAGGTCTGTTTGGTGCAGAGCTGTGTTCAATTCCTGGGTATCCTTGTTGACTTTCTGTCTCGTTGATCTGCCTAATGTTGACAGTGGGGTGTTAAAGTCTCCCATTATTATTGTGTGGGAGTCGAAGTCTCTTTGTAGGTCACTCAGGACTTGCTTTATGAATCTGGGTGCTCCTGTATTGGGTGCATATATATTTAGGATAGTTAGCTCTTCTTGTTGAATTGATCCCTTTACCATGATGTAATGGCCTTCTTTGTCTCTTTTGATCTTTGTTGGTTTAAAGTCTGTTTTATCAGAGACTAGGATTGCAACCCCTGCCTTTTTTTGTTCTCCATTTGCTTGGTAGATCTTCCTCTATCCTTTTATTTTGAGCCTATGTGTGTCTGTGCACATGAGATGGGTTTCCTGAATACAGCACACTGATGGGTCTTGACTCTTTATCCAATTTGCCAGTCTGTGTCTTTTAATTGGAGCATTTAGTCCATTTACATTTAAAGTTAATATTGTTATGTGTGAATTTGATCCTGTCATTATGATGTTAGCTGGTTATTTTGCTCGTTAGTTGATGCAGTTTCTTCCTAGTCTCGATGGTCTTTACATTTTGGCATGTTTTTGCAGTGGCTGGTACTGGTTGTTGCTTTCCATGTTTAGTGCTTCCTTCAGGAGCTCTTTTAGGGCAGGCCTGGTGGTGACAAAATCTCTCAGCATTTGCTTGTCTGTAAAGGATTTTATTTCTCCTTCACTTACGAAGCTTAGTTTGGCTGGATATGAAATTCTGGGTTGAAAATTCTTTTCTTTAAGAATGTTGAATATTGGCCACTCTCTTCTGGCTTGTAGAGTTTCTGCTGAGATGTCTGCTGTTAGTCTGATGGGCTTCCCTTTGTGGGTAACCTGACCTTTCTCTCTGGCTGCCCTTAACATTTTTTCCTTCATTTCAACTTTGGTGAATCTGACCAAAGTTGTGTCTTGGAGTTTCTCTTCTCGAGGAGTATCTTTGTGGCGTTCTCTGTATTTCCTGAATTTGAATGTTGGCCTGCCTTGCTAGATTGGGGAAGTTCTCCTGGATAATATCCTGCAGAGTGTTTTCCAACTTGGTTCCATTCTCCCCGTCACTTTCAGGTACACCAATCAGATGCAGATTAGGTCTTTTCACATAGTCCCATATTTCTTGGAGGCTTTGTTCGTTTCTTTTTATTCTTTTTTCTCTAAACTTCCCTTCTCGCTTCATTTCATTCATTTCATCTTCCATCACTGATACCCTTTCTTCCAGTTGATCACATCGTCTCCTAAGTCTTCTGCATTCTTCACGTAGTTCTCGAGCCTGGGCTTTCAGCTCCATCAGCTCCTTTAAGCACTTCTCTGTATTGGTTATTCTAGTTATACATTCACCTAAATTTTTTTCAAAGTTTTCAACTTCTTTGCCTTTGGTTTGAATTTCCTCCTGTAGCTCGGAGTAGTTTGATCGTCTGAAGCCTTCTTCTCTCAACTCGTCAAAGTCATTCTCCATCCAGCTTTGTTCCATTGCTGGTGAGTAACTGCGTTCCTTTGGAGGAGGAGAGGCGCTCTGATTTTTAGAGTTTCTGGTTTTTCTGCTCTGTTTTTTCCCCATCTTTGTGGTTTTATCTACTTCTGGTCTTTGATGATGGTGATGTACAGATGGGTTTTTGGTGCGGATGTCCTTTCTGTTTGTTAGTTTTCCTTTTAACAGACAGGACCCTCAGCTGCAGGTCTGTTGCAGTTTGCTAGAGGTCCACTCCAGACTCTGTTTGCCTGGGTATCAGCAGCGGTGTCTGCAGAACCGCGGATTTTCGTGAACCGCAAATGCTGCTGTCTGATCGCTCCTCTGGAAGTTTTGTCTCAGAGGAGTACCCGGCCGTGTGAGGTGTTAGTCTGCCCCTACTGGGGGGTGCCTCCCAGTTAGGCTGCTCGGGGGTCAGGGGTCAGGGACCCACTTGAGGAGGCAGTCTGTCCGTTCTCAGATCTCCAACTGCGTGCTGGGAGAACCACTGCTCTCCTTAATCTTTTCCTTTTGCTTCCGTCAACCTTATTTCCTCCCCTTTCCAAGTAGCACCTATGCATTTCCAGCCACATGCCAGTCTCCTGGTCTACAATGCCCTTTCACCTTTCATCACATTTAATCAGTTTATATCCACCCACAATGAATATACAACAAATAAAATAAGAAAGATGCCAAAGGCAGGAAATATTTTTTAAGGTATAACATTTTAAAACTTGCATATATTAAAAACATTAATATGAAAAATGTAAATCTGAAGAAACATTAGCAACTTAAATGTTAGAAAAATTTTTATCCTTAATTTTAAAAGAAAAAAATTCTCGCAGAGCAGCAGGAAAATGATAAAAGCCATAATAGAGAATAGGCAAATGAAAATTAAAAAGAGGTAATTTAAAAAACAAAAAAGGTAGCCAATAAGCACATGGTAATAGTGTTCAACTTCATTAGTAAACAAATAGATACAAGTTAAAACAACTTGTCAGGTTGGCAGAGACAAAAATGCAAAGCACCCATTGATTATAAACAGGTGGGAAAGAGGCATTCCTACATACTTCTGATTTGGAGTGGAAATTGGCATAAACTTTCAAGACACTAATTTGACTATATGAACAAATGCCTTTAAAAAGTTATTTCCTCTAGAAATATTTTTTACAGAAATAATCACGTACATTATGCATGGGTTGCTCAATTGGGATTTTTTCTAATAATCATTTATAGTAGCCTAAATTTGAAAATAGCTTAAATAATCAACAAGAAGAGATAGAATGCTATATATCAAGGAAAGAACAATGGAAGTATCTAATGGCATAGAACAGAGGTTGGCAAAATTTTTCTGTAAATGGCTACAGAATACATATTTCAGACTTTACAGGCCCTACAGTATTTGTCACAGCTACTCAACCCTGCCACGGTAGCATAAAAGCAGCCACAGGCAAGATGTCAATGAAAGGATGTGGCTATATTTCAACAAAAGTTTATTTTAGGACACCAGAATGTGAAATTCAAATCATTTTCATGTGTCATAAAGTCTTCTTCTTCTTTAGATTTTTTTTTCAACCACTTAAAATGTAAAACCCATTCTCATCTCACAAGCTCCACGGAAACAGGTGTAGTTTACCAACCCCTGGCATAGGAAAATGCTCATAATATTGTTAAGGGATTAAAGTAGGTTACATAAAAGTCAATATGGAGAAAAGACTGGAATCAGATATCTGGGGATGGAACCCTAAGTTTTTTCATAGCTCTCTAGGGACAGCCAGGTTTGAGAGTCATTGCAATAAAACGTTAAATAGTGGTTATTTCTGAGGATTGGAACTATGAATGACTTATTTCTTCTTTGTGCTGTTTGTATTTTCCAGATTTTTTATGATGAACAGGCATTACTTTGCCTATCAGTAAATTATTAAAATGACTTTAAATTTTTTTAGCTTAGATCAGAGCTTTTCAACCTTGCCACTATTGACATTTGGGGCTGGATCATGATCAATACTTCGTCATGATTGCAACAAAAGCAAAAATTGACAAATTGGATCTAATTAAACTAAAGAGCTTCTGCACAGCAAAAGAAACTATCATCAGAGTGAACAGATAACCTACAAAAAGGGAGAAAATTTTTGCAATCTATCCATCTGACAAAGGTCTAATATTCAGAGTCTACAAGGAACTTAAACAAATTTAGAAGAAAAAATAACCCCATTAAAAATAAGCAAAAGACATGAACAGACATTTCTCAAAAGAAGACATTCATGCAGCCAACAAATATATGAAAAAAAAGCTCAACATCACTAATCATTAGAGAAATGAAAATCAAAACCACAATGAGATACAATCTCACACCAGTCAGAATGGCGATTATTTAAAAATCAAGAAACAACAGATACTGGCGAGGTTGCAGAGAAAAAGGAATGCTCTTCCACTGTTGGTGGGAGTGTACATTAGTTCAACCATTGTGGAAGACAGTGTGGCAATTCCTCAAAGATCTAGAAGCAGAAATACCATTTGATGCAGCAATCCCATTAGTGGGATTTATATATCCCAAAGGAATATAAATCATTCTATTATAAAGATACATGCACGTGTAGGTTCTTTGCAGCACTATTCACAATAGCAAAAACAGGGAATCAACTAAAATGCCCATTGATGATAGACTGGATAAAGAAAATGTAGTACATACACACCATGGAATACTATGCAGCCATAAAAAGGAGAGAGAGAGAGCATCAGGAAGAATAGCTGATGGATGCCTGGCTTAATACCTAGGTGATGGGATGATCTGTGCAGCAAACCACCATGGCACATGTTTACCTATGTAACAAACCTGCACATCCTGCACATGTACCCCAGAACTTAAAACAAAAGTTGAAGAAAAAAAAATACTTTGTCATGGGTGGTTGTCCTGTGCATTTTAGGACGGTTAGCAGCATCTCTGGCCTCTACTCACTAGATACTACCAGCACTTCCCCAGTGTGACAACCAAAAACATCTTCAGATATTGCCTAACGTCACTTGGGGGATAAAATCACCCTCAGTTGAGAACCAATGACAGAAGATATATCTGACCTCTAGCATTTTTTTTTTGAAGGAAGAAAAGATTGAGTACTGCACTTGTTTTTCTAATCTTTAGGCCTCTTTGAAAACCCTTATGTCTGAGTCATACAGGAATAATATATTAATAATGATAGTGCTTATGAGAGTAAACATTTGTAATTAAGATTGTACTGAGGCATATTTATGGTCAAGTGATTTTTTACAAAGGTTCCAAGAAAACACAAGGGGAACGGACAGTCTCTTCAATAAATGTTGTTAGGATAACTGAATATCCACAGGCAGAAGAATGAACTTACCTCACAATGTATACAAAAATCAACTCAAAACAGATTAAAGACTTAAACATAAAACCTGAAACTATAAAACTACTAGAAGGAAACATAGGGGGAAAGCTCCATGACTTTACTCTGGACAATAATTTTTTGGATATGACCCCAAAAGCACAGGTAACAAAACAAAAAATAGACAAATGGGATTATATCAAACTAAAAAGCTTCTGTGCAGCAAGGGAAACAATCAACAGAGTAAAGAGACAACATACAGAATGGGAGAAAATATTTGCAAACCATATATTTGATAAAAGATTATCATCCAAAATATACAAGGAACTCACAATAGCAAGAAAACAAATAACCCAATTACAAAATAGATAAAGAACCTGAATAGACATTTCTCAAAAGAAGACTTACAGATGGCCAGCAGGTAAATGAAAAATGTTCAACATCACTAATCATCAGGGAACTGCAAATTAAAACCTCATACCTAATAGAATAGGGATTACAAACCAGGTACAGTGAATCATACCCTGTAATCCCAACAACTCAGGAGGCTGAGGCAAAAGAATTGCTTGAGCCCACGAGTTTAAGGCTGCAATGAGCCACGATCAAGCCACTGAACTCCAGCCTGGATGATAGAGCAAGATCCCAACTCTAAAAGAAAAAAAGAATAGAGATTATCAAAAAGACAAATGATAGGTGTTGACAAAGATATGCAGAAAAGGGAACCCTTGAACACTGTTGGTGGGAATGTAAATTAGTATAGACATTATAGAAAAAAATACGGAGGTTCTTCCAAAAATTAAAAATAAAACTACCATATGATCCAGCAATCCCACTACTGGGTATATATCCAAAGGAAATGAAATTAGCATCTCAAAGAGATATATGCACTCCCATGTTCATTGAAGCATTATTCACACTAGCCAAGATATATAATCAACCTGTGTCCATCAATGAATGAATGGATAAAGAAAATGTGGTATGTATACACACAACGGAATACTATTCAGCCTTTTCAAATAAGGAAATCTGTCATTTGCAACAACATAGATTAACCTAGAAGACATTATGTTAAGTGATGTAAGCCAGTCCCAGAAAGACAAATAATGTATGATCTTGCATACGTGGAATCTAAAAAAGTTGAACTCATAAAGGCAGAAAGTAAAATGATGGTTACTAGGGGATAGGGGTTGGGGGGTTGTGGATATATCGGTCAAAGGATACAAAATTTCAGTTAGACAGGGAGAAATAAGTTCAAGAGATCTATTGTACATCGTGGTGACTATAGTTAATAACAATATCTTATATTCTTGAAAAGTGCTATAAGAATAGATTTTGTGTTCTCACCACAAAAAATGCTAAGTATGTAAAGTAATGCATATGTTCATTAGCTCCATGTAGCCATTCTACAATGTATACATATTTCAAAACATCATGTTGTACATGATAAATATATATAATTTTTAATTGTCAACTTTTTAAAATAAATAATTTTGAAATAATTGTAGTGGCACTTGCCACATAATTTCATTTTTACTTTTTCACAACTGTTTGATTAATCAATATTCTGGCCCTAAAAACCCTTCAGAAGGGTGTATTTGTTGACTTCTTGAGATAAATGTATTGAATCACATGAGTTTTATAACTACAGTTATAAAATGAGCGTTTTTTTCACAGTTACAATGAGGTGACTTAGGCTCCTGCAAATGACAATGTAAAAGTGTGTTTTGTAAGCTTATTTTTATATGACATGAGGAAATGTTTTACACCCAAACTTTTTATTATAAAATATTTCAGACATACAAAACAGAAGTGAGAATTATATACCAGCCATGGACTAGCCACCAGACCAGCAGAAACCTTATACATACAATACAAAACCTGTACTGCCCATCTAATACATTTTCATCTTCCCGAAAGTAACCACTCTCCCAAGTTATCACCCCACACATTTCTTTATACTTTTTAAAATGGTTACACAGTCTGGTTTTAGCTATATAACCAGCAGGGTATATCCCTCAGTAAATTTGTGCCTTAGCTCCCCTGAGACCAAGGTACCTCATATCTTAGCTAATAGATCTTAGTGGGTTAAAATCAGAAGGTGAAGTACATCCTGTGTGAATAAGGGCTCTGAGAACTGCACCTGGAAGGCTCAGCTTTCTCTACGAGCATCTGCATTTTCTTTATCCTGCTGTGCCATATCTTTATCTTTCTTAAATCCTTACATGAGTAGAGTCTTATGAGTCCTTTCAGTTATCCAACCTAGTGTAAACCTTCAATGATATTTTATCCGTGTTCATAGAATTGGATTACATTTATTCAAGGTAGATGAGGTGTATTTTTTATATGCCTTTTGGAAAGAGGATTTAAATTTTTTCTCATCCTTCATACTGAAAACTGTTTAAAAATGTATACAGTCACTATAAAACAACAATAGATAGCGCAGGTGATAATGATAAATTTCCCTCCTTGCCAATTTGTAGTATTTCTTCATTTTTGAAAACCTAAATGAATGTGCTTTCCCTTAATAAAATGTTTATATTTAAAAAATTGCTTTTCTTATCTCCAGTTGTAAAAACTGATTATTGTGCAAATGTTCTGATGAACATAATTTACACTCATAAATGGATTTCTGGTTTTTAAGATGAAAGCCTGAAAAAATCATTTTGACAATGTGCAGTAAGATCCCCTGGCCATGTCTTGATCTTCTCCCAGCTTGATTATGGCTCATGGTACGTTCTTCCTTTGCCTCAGGGCCAGTCTGAAATGCCCTCCTCCATCTCTCTGCTGATATAAGTTCTAGTTTCCATTTAAGAATAATCTCAATCATTTAGAAGAACTATATTTGTAATGTATTTAAATTATTGATGTGAAAATTTTGAGAGAAAAAGGAGAAAGAGGAAGGGAGGGAGGAAGGGATGGAGGGAGGGATGGAGGGAGGGAGGGAAGGAGTGGGGACAGGGAGGGAAAAAAAGAGGGTAGCTGAATCCTGAAGCTGTAGACATCTAGAGCTTGTACTAGATTGTTAGATTTATGGACAAACCCTTACTTTCGTTCTTTCTTACTTCTTCATGTATCTTTGTAATAAACCCTCATTAAATGAGGTAGCCTGAACATAGTTCTATTCCTTGCAAGCTAAAAAGGCTAATTAACAGAGATGTATAGGCTGTGCAGAGCATCAAAACACAAAAAATACTGAAACTGATTTAAATGCGACAGTAGGATATTTAACATAAATGTTTTTCTTCTCCCTCCTATCTGCACCCCTTCCCAGAAGTAGATATTAAATAGTTTGGCATATCACCTTTCAGTCCTTGTTCAATGCATTTCCTTAAATATAATTAATTATGTTCATGTTCCATTTTCAATTTTTAATAAATGAGATAATGAAAAGTAAAAAAAAAAATCATCTAAAGTTTCATCTTCTCCATAAAAGTCTTACTGGACTGCCCCAAAGCTTTCCTATAAATTCCTTTAGAACACTATACCAGTGTCATTCAGTTGGCACTTAATGTGCATAATATTAGTACGATATTCCATTAGATAGACATGTAGCCTTTACAGAAAAATTTTAAGTTCTAGAAGAACAGATATCTTGGCTGGTCATGGTGGCTCATGCCTGTAATCCCAACACTTTGGGAAGCCAAGGTGGGAGAATCATTTGATGCCAGGAGTTTGAGACCAGCCTGCACAACACAATAAGATCCCATCTCTACATTAAAAAAAAGAATAGATATCTTATCCTATATCTCTTGCTTTATATAGTTTTATTTTGACAATGCCTAAAAATCACTTTGCATATATTAAGAGCTTGAATAACATTTATAGATTTGTTTGATAATAAAGAACACAAAGGAGAACATTGTGTTCAAGAATTTGGGTTCTGCAAAGGAATATAAATCATTCTACCATAAAGACACATGCATGTGCATGTTCAGCACAGCACTATTCACAATAGCAAAAACATGGAATTAACCTAAATGCCCATCAATGGCAGACTGGATAAGGAAAATGTGGTACATATACACCATGGAATATTATGCAGTCATAAAAAAGCATGAGATCATGTCCTCTGCAGCAACATGGATGGAGTGGGAGTCCATAATTCTAGGCAAATTAACACAAGAACAGAAAACCAAATATCACATGTTCTCACTTATAAGGGGGAGCTAAACAATGAGTACACATGGACACAAAGAAGGAAACAGAAGACACAAGGGCCTATCTGAGGGTAGCGGGTGCGGATTGGAAAACTACCTATTGGGTATTATGCTGGTTACCTGGGTAACAAAACAATCTGTACACCAAACCCCCATGGCATGCAATTTACTCATGTAACAAACCTGCAGGTGTACCCCTTGAACCTAAAAAAAAAAAATGCAAAGAAAAAAATCCTTGGGTACTGGATCCAGGATTGGTTGCATTGCTTACTACGAACTATTTACTTAACCTCTCTGCCTCTGTTTTCTCATTCACAAAATAAGGATAATTATAAAGTCTACCTCACTGATTGTTTTAAAAATTTGTAAAGATTAAATGAGATAATGCAAAGTGGCTTACCACACAGTAAATCACTAAGATCAGTAAGATCAAGAAGGGTATTTCCTCTTGCCCAACAATTATACTAGCTTCTTCAAGATGAGGAGATGATATTAATATATAAAATAAGAGCAACTCTACAGAATATTTGTTCCTATTCCCCAGGAATGAATCGGTTTGCAAAAGTTAATTTTTAAATCCACTATTTAGAACATCCAAATAAGCATCAGCAAGTCTGAAGGGACTGAAACCTGTAGACAATATACTGGATGATGCTGGTAATATTCTTTCTATATAATTCTGCTTTTCTTCTATCACAAAACATGTATTGTATCTAATACATAAATATAAACAATCCCAACAAATCAGTCCACACCAGAGAATTATAATTAGTTAATTCATTAACTGGGTGCTTTAGTACTTCATTATCAAATATATTTTTGGTTCATATTACATGTGCTTACTTACTAAATCCACTACTATGAAGGCATTTTTAAATATTTAGCCTTCTTGCATTTATATTCAGTGACTAATGAGCACAAATTAGATTCAAGGCACTGGGTAGGCTATCTGAGGCATTTAAGAATGAATAAAACATATTAGATTCTCTTAAGAATCTGTATTCTCTTACAGGAGATTAAACCCATACACAAATATCCATAATATAATGATGGGTAGGATAGCTGTCAAGAAAGAACTAAAAGAATTCAAATAAGGAAGAAATCACTTCCAGGTAAACAGCAGGGTAAACTGGCAGTAGCATTTGAAGTGACTTTCAATCCACAGAGAAGTATGGAAAGATAAGAAGACATTTCACAACTGGGGCACTATCTCAAATAATATATTCAACCGTTTAAATTTGGAAATACTGAATTACTGATACCCATAATTAATATATAGGATCTAATTGAAACTAACAAATTTATTTTTTGAAAATAGAAGAGAAACAGAGCAATAATCATGAATTCAATTATTCCTTATTATGGACTTGATAATTCAAAGCCTTTGGCACTAGTTAGTAAATACACAGATTGCAAAGATTTATAACAGGTCCTCACTAATAGCAAACTTTTGGGTCAGAATACACATACACACACACCTTGAATTATTTGCACCTTGTACTTAAAACCTGGGAGAAAATATTCTAATTTCCAACATCTTATTCCTTAATCTTCGAGTGCTTTAGAATATGAGAACACATGGACACAGGGAGGGGAACATCACACACAGGGCCCTGTCAGGGAGTGGGGGGACAGCGGAGGGATAGCATTAGGAGAAATATCTAATGTAGGTGACGGGTTGATGGGTGCAGCAAACCACTATGGCACATGTATACCTATGTAACAAACCTGCACATTCTGCACATGTATCCCAGAACTTAAAATATAATTTTTTTAAAAAAGATATTATTCAAATGCAACCAAAAACAGAATATACCATTCCCACCAAGCAATGAGCCATGCAGTGTACAGACCATATTTGGAATGTCACGTCCAATTTTGACATGTGACAATTTAAGGAGAACATTAACAAATAACCATTTGTACAGAGTAGGGCAAACAGAACAGTGAGGGTCCAGAAATTATAGTTTATAAAAGCTGGATACAACACTGGAACATCAGATTGATAAACCAAGTTCTTAGAGATCCACGAAGAGACTTAGATAACCACACAATAATAACAGAGGACTGCAACACCCCACTGACAGTATTAGACAGATTATTGGAGTAGAAAACTATTCAGGGCCTAAACTCAACACTTGATCAAATGGACCTAACAGATATCTATAGAACATTCCACCCAAAAACAACAGAATATACATTCTTCTCATGTGCACATGGCACAAATTCTAAAATCAACCATATGTTCGACCATAAATCAATTCTCAACAAATTCAAAAACAACAAAAGCATATCAACCACAGTCACAGACCACAGCACAATGAAAATAGAAATCAATACCAAGATCTCTCAAAACCATATAATTACATGAAAATTAAACAACCTGCTTCTGAATGACATTTGGGTAAACAATAAAATTAAGGCAGAAATCAAATTATTTGAAACTAATGAAAACAAAGATAAAACATTTAAGAATCTATGGGACACAGCTACAGCAATGTTAAGAGGAAAGTTTGTAGTGCTAAAGGCCCACATCAAAAAGTTAGAAAGTTCTCAATTAACAACCTAACATGACACCTAGAGGAACTAGAAAAACAAGAGCAAACTGGGGGTGGAGCCAAGATGGCCGACTAGGAACAGCTCCAGTCTGCAGCTCCCAGCGTGAGCGACGCAGAAGACAGGTGACTTCTGCATTTCCAACTGAGGTACTGGGTTCATCTCACTGGGGAGTGCCGGACAGTGGGTGCAGGACAGTGGGTGCAGCACACCAAGCGTGAGCTGAAGCAGGGCGAGGCATTGCCTCACCCAGGAAGCACAAGGGGTCAGGGAATTCCCGTTCCTACTCAAAGAAATGGGTGACAGACGGCACCTGGAAAATCAGGTCACTCCCACCCTAATACCGCACTTTTCCAACGGGCTTATCAAATGGCACACCAGGAGATTATATCCTGCACGTGACTTGGAGGGTCCTACACCCATGGAGCCTCGATCATTGCTAGAACAGCAGTCTCAGATGAAACTGCAAGGCGGCAGAGAGGCTGGGGGAGGGGCGCCCACCATTGCTCAGGCTTGAGTAGGTAAACAAGACGGCCAGGAAGCTCGAACTAGGTGGAGCCCACCACAGCTCAAGGAGGCCTGCCTGCCTCTGTAGGCTCCACCTCTGGGGGCAGGGCACAGACAAACAAAAGACAGCAATAACCTCTGCAGACTTAAATGTCCCTGTCTGACAGCTTTGAAGACAGTAGTGGTTCTCCCAGCACGCAGTTGGAGATCTGAGAACGGACAGACTGCCTCCTCAAGTGGGTCCCTGACCCCCGAGTAGCCTAACTGGGAGACACCCGCCAGTAGGGGCAGACTGACACCTCACACGGCTGGGTACTCCTCTGAGACAAACCTTCCAGAGGAACGATCAGACAACAGCATTTGCGGTTCACCAATATCCGCTGTTCCGCAGCCACTGCTGCTGATACCCAGGCAAACAGGGTCTGGAGTGGACCTCCAGTAAACATCAACAGACCTGCCACTGAGGGTCCTGACTGTTAGAAGGAAAACTAACAAACAGAAAGGACATCCACACCAAAAACCCATCTGTACATCACCATCATCAAAGACCAAAGGTAGATAAAACCACAAAGATGGGGAAAAAACAGAGCAGAAAAACCAGAAACTCTAAAAATCAGAGCGCCTCTCCTCCTCCTAAGGAATGCAGCTCCTCACCAGCAACGGAACAAAGCTGGATGGAGAATGACTTTGACGAGTTGAGAGAGGAAGGCTTCAGAAGATCAAACTACTCCGAGCTAAAGGAGGAAGTTCGAACCAATGGCAAAGAAGTTAAAAACTTTGAAAAAAAATTAGATGAATGGATAACTAGAATAACCAATGCAGAGAAGTCCTTAAAGGACCTGATGGAGCTGAAAACCATGGCACGAGAACTACGTGACGAATGCACAAACCTCAGTAACCGATACGATCAACTGGAAGAAAGGGTGTCAGTGATGGAAGACGAAATGAATGAAATGAAGCGTGAAGAGAAGTTTAGAGAAAAAAGAATAAAAAGAAATGAAAAAAGCCTCCAAGAAATATGGGACTATGTGAAAAGACCAAATCTACATCTGATTGGTGTACCTGAAAGTGACGGGGAGAATGGAACCAAGTTGGAAAACACTCTGCAGGATATTATCCAGGAGAACTTCCCCAATCTAGCAAGGCAGGCCAACATTCAAATTCAGGAAATACAGAGAACACCACAAAGATACTCCTCGAGAAGAGAAACTCCAAGACACATAATTGTCAGATTCACCAAAGTTGAAATGAAGGAAAAAATGTTAAGGGCAGCCAGAGAGAAAGGTCAGGTTACCCACAAAGGGAAGCCCATCAGACTAACTGCTGATCTCTCGGCAGAAACTCTACAAGCCAGAAGACAGTGGGGGCCAGTATTCAACATTCTTAAAGAAAAGAATTTTCAACCCAGAATTTCATATCCAGCCAAACTAAGCTTCATAAGTGAAGGAGAAATAAAATACTTCACAAACAAGCAAATGCTGAGAGATTTTGATACCACCAGACCTGCCCTAAAAGAGCTCCTGAAGGAAGCACTGAACATGGAAAGGAACAACCAGTACCAGCCACTGCAAAAACATGCCAAAATGTAAAGACCATCAAGGCAAGAAAGAAACTGCATCAACTAACGAGCAAAATAACCAGCTAACATCATAATGACAGGATCAAATTCACACATAACAATACTAACCTTAAATGTAAATGGGCTAAATGCTCCAATTAAAAGGCACAGGCTGGCAAATTGGATAAAGAGTCAAGACCCACCAGTGTGCTGTATTCAGGAAACCTATCTCATGTGCAGAGACACACATAGGCTCAAAATAAAGGGACGGAGGAAGATCTACCAAGCAAATGGAGAACAAAAAAAGGCAGGGGTTGCAATCCTAGTCTCTGATAAAACAGACTTTAAACCAACAAAGATCAAAAGAGACAAAGAAGGCCATTACATCATGGTAAAGGGATCAATTCAACAAGAACTAACTGTCCTAAATATATATGCACCCAATACAGGAGCACCCAGATTCATAAAGCAAGTCCTGAGTGACCTACAAAGAGACTCAGACTCCCACACAATAATAATGGGAGACTTTAACACCCCACTGTCAACATTAGACAGATCAATGAGGCAGAAAGTTAACAAGGATATACAGGAATTGAACTCAGCTCTGCACCAAACAGACCTAATAGACATATACAGAACTCTCCACCCGAAATCAACAGAATAGACATTCTTTTCAGCACCACACCACACCTATTCCAAAATTGACCACATAGTTGGAAGAAAAGCCCTCCTCAGCAAATGTAAAAGAACAGAAATTATAATAAACTGTCTCTCAGACCACAGTGCAATCAAACTAGAACTCAGGATTAAGAAACTCACTCAAAACCGCTCAACTACATGGAAACTGAACAACCTGCTCCTGAATGACTACTGGGTACATAATGAAATGAAGGCAGAAATAAACATGTTCTTTGAAACTAACGAGAACAAAGACACAACATACAACAATCTCTGGGACACATTCAAAGCAATCTGTAGAGGGAAATTTATAGCACTAAATGCCCACAAGAGAAAGCAGGAAAGATCTAAAATTGACACCCTAACATCACAATTAAAAGAACTAGGAAGGAGATCCAAGATGGCCGAATAGGAACAGCTCTGGTCTACAGCTCCCAGCGTGAGCAACACAGAAGACAGGTGATTTCTGCATTTCCATCTGAGGTACCGGGTTCATCTCACTAGGGAGTGCCAGACAGTGGGCACAGGACAGTGGGTGCAGCACACCGTGTGCGAGCCGAAGCAGGGCGAGGCATTGCCTCACTCGGGAAGCACAAGGGGTCAGGGAGTTCCCTTTCCTGGTCAAGGAAAGGGGTGACAGACGGCACCTGGAAAATCAGGTCACTCCCACCTGAATACTGCGCTTTTCCAATGGGTTTAGGAAACGGTGCACCAAGAGATTATATCCCGCACCTGGCTCGGAGGATCCTATGCCCTCGCAGTTTCACTGATTGCTAGTACAGCAGTCTGAGATCGAACTGCAAGGCAGCAGCAAGGCTGGGGAAGGGGCGCCCACCATTGCCCAGGCTTGCTTAGGTAAACAAAGCAGCCAGGAAGCTCCAACTGGGTGGAGCCCACCACAGCTCAAGGAGGCCTGCCTGCCTCCGTAGGCTCCACCTCTGGGGGCAGGGCACAGACAAACAAAAAGACAGCAGTAACCTCTGCAGACTTAAATGTCCCTGTCTGACAGCTTTGAAGAGAGCAGTGGTTCTCCCAGCACGCAGCTGGAGATCTGAGAACGGGCAGACTGCCTCCTCAAGTGGGTCCCTGACCCCTGACCCCCGAGCAGCCACATAGTTGGAAGTAAAGCCCTCCTCAGCAAATGTAAAAGAACAGAAATTATAACAAACTGTCTCTCAGACCACAGTGCAATCAAACTAGAACTCAGGATTAAGAAACTCACTCAAAACCGCTCAACTACATGGAAACTGAACAACCTGCTCCTGAATGACTACTGGGTACATAATGAAATGAAGGCAGAAATAAAGATGTTCTTTGAAGCCAACGAGAACAAAGACACAACATACAAGAATCTCTCGGACACATTCAAAGCAGTGTGTAGAGGGAAATTTACAGCACTAAATGCCCACAAGAGAAAGCAGGAAAGATCCAGAATTGACACCCTAACATCACAATTAAAAGAACTAGAAAAGCAAGAGCAAAGACATTCAAAAGCTAGCAGAAGGCAAGAAATAACTAAAATCAGAGCAGAACTGAAGGAAATAGAGACACAAAAAACCCTTCAAAAAATTAATGAATCCAGGAGCTGGTTTTTTGAAAGGATCAACAAAATTGATAGACCGCTAGCAAGACTAGTAAAGAAAAAAAGAGAGAAGAATCAAATAGACGCAATAAAAAATGATAAAGGGGATATCACCACTGATCCCACAGAAATACAAACTACCATCAGAGAATACTACAAACACCTCTACGCAAATAAACTAGAAAATCTAGAAGAAATGGATAAATTCCTCAACAAATACACTCTCCCAAGACTAAACCAGGAAGAAGTTGAATCTCTGAATGGACCAATAACAGGATCTGAAATTGTGGCAATAATCAATAGCTTACCAACCAAAAAGAGTCCAGGACCAGATGGAATCACAGCCGAATTCTACCAGAGGTACAAGGAGGAACTGGTACCATTCTTTCTGAAACTATTCCAATCAATAGAAAAAGAGCGAATCCTCCCTAACTCATTTTATGAGGCCAGCATCATCCTGATACCAAAGCCAGGCAGAGACACAACAAAAAAAGAGAATTTTAGACCAATAGCCTTGATGAACATTGATGCAAAAATCCTCAATAAAATACTGGCAAACCAAATCCAGCAGCACATCAAAAAGCTTATCCACCATGATCAAGTGGGCTTCATCCCTGGGATGCAAGGCTGGTTCAATATATGCAAATCAATAAATGTAATCCAGCATATAAACAGAACCAAAGACAAAAACCACATGATTATCTCAATAGATGCAGAAAAGGCCTTTGACAAAATTCAACAACGCTTCATGCTAAAAACTGTCAATAAATTAGGTATTGATGGGACGTATCTCAAAATAATAAGAGCTATCTATGACAAACCCACAGCCAATATCATACTGAATGGACAAAAACTGGAAGCATTCCCTTTGAAAACTGGCACAAGACAGGGATGCCCTCTCTCACCACTCTTATTCAACATAGTGTTGGAAGTTCTGGCCAGGGCAATGAGGCAGGAGAAAGAAATAAAGGGTATTCAATTAGGAAAAGAGGAAGTCAAATTGTCCCTGTTTGCAGACGACATGATTGTATATCTAGAAAACCCCATTGTCTCAGCCCAAAATCTCCTTAAGCTGATAAGCAACTTCAGCAAAGTCTCAGGATACAAAATCAATGTGCAAAAATCACAAGCATTCTTATACACCAATAACAGACAAACAGAGAGCCAAATCATGAGTGAGCTCCCATTCACAATTGCTTCAAAGAGAATAAAATACTTAGGAATCCAACTTACAAGGGATGTGAAGGACCTCTTCAAGGAGAACTACAAACCACTGCTCAATGAAATAAAAGAGGATACAAACAAATGGAAGAACATTCCATGCTCATGGCTAGGAAGAATCAATATCGTGAAAATGGCCATACTGCCCAAGGTGATTTATAGATTCAATGCCATCCCCATCAAGCTACCAATGACTTTCTTCACAGAATTGGAAAAAACTACTTTAAAGTTCATATGGAACCAAAAAAGAGCCCACATCGCCAAGTCAATCCTAAGCCAAAAGAACAAAGCTGGAGGCATCACGCTACCTGACTTCAAACTACACTACAAGGCTACAGTAACCAAAACAGCATGGTACTGGTACCAAAACAGAGATATAGACCAATGGAACAGAACAGAGCCCTCAGAAATAACACCGCATATCTACAACTATCTGATCTTTGACAAACCTGACAAAAACAAGAAATGGGGAAAGGATTCCCTATTTAATAAATGGTGCTGGGAAAACTGGCTAGCCATATGTAGAAAGCTGAAACTGGATCCCTTACTTACACCTTATACAAAAATTAATTCAAGATGGATTAAAGACTTAAACGTTAGACCTAAAACCATAAAAACCCTAGAAGAAAACCTAGGCAATACCATTCAGGACATAGGCATGGGCAAGGACTTCATGTCTAAAACACCAAAAGCAATGGCAACAAAAGCCAAAGTTGACAAATGGGATCTAGTTAAACTAAAGAGCTTCTGCACAGAAAAGAAACCACTGTCACAGTGAACAGGCAACCTACAGAATGGGAGAAAATTTTTGCAATCTACTCATCTGACAAAGGGCTAATATCCAGAATCTACAATGAACTCAAACAAATTTACAAGAAGAAAACAAACAACCCCATCAAAAAGTGGGCAAAGGATATGAACAGACACTTCTCAAAAGAAGACACTTATGCAGCCAAAAAACACATGAAAAAATCCTCATCATCACTGGCCATCAGAGAAATGCAAATCAAAACCACAATGAGATACCATCTCACACCAGTTAGAATGGTGATCATTAAAAAGTCAGGAAACAACAGGTGCTGGAGAGGATGTGGAGAAATAGGAACACTTTTACACTGTTGGTGGGACTGTAAACTAGTTGGACCATTGTGGAAGTCAGTGTGGCAATTCCCCAGGGATCTAGAACTAGAAATACCATTTGACCCAGCCATCCCATTACTGGGTATATACCCAAAGGATTATAAAACATGCTGCTATAAAGACACATGCACACGTATGTTTATTGCATCACTATTCACAATAGCAAAGACTTGGAACCAACCCAAATGTCCAACAATTGTAGACTGGATTAAGAAAATGTGGCACATATACACCATGGAATATTATGCAGCCATAAAAAATGATGAGTTCATGTCCTTTGTAGGGACATGGATGAAGCTGGAAACCATCATTCTCAGCAAACTATCGCCAGGACAAAAAACCAAACACCGCATGTTCTCACTCGTAGGTGGGAGTTGAACAATGAGAACACATGGACACAGGAAGGGGAACATCACACACCAGGGACTGTTGTGGGTTGGGGGGAGGGGGGAGGGAGAGCATTAGGAAATATACCTAATGCTAAATGATGAGTTAATGGGTGCAGCACACCATCATGGCACATGTATACATATGTAACAAACCTGCACATTGTGCACATGTACCTTAAAACTTAAAGTATAATAATAATAAAAAAAGAAAAGAAAAACAAGAGCAAACCAACATCAAAGCCAGCAAAATAAATAAGATAACCAAAATCAGAGATGAACTGAATGAAATGGAGATGAGAAAAACCATACAAAAGATCAATAAATCCAAAAATTGGTTATTTGAAATAATAAATAAGGTTGATTGGCTGCTAGCTTGACTAATAAAGAAAAAAAGAAGATCCAAATAAACACAGTCAGAAATGACAAAGGGAATATTACCACTGACCCCACAGAAATTTTTTTAGAAAGGCCTCAGAGACTATTACATGCACACAAACTAGAAAACCTAGTAGAAATGGTTAAATTCCTGGAAACATACAACCTTCCAAGATTGAACTAGGAAGAAACTGAAATCCTGAACAGACCAAAAATGAGTTCCAAAATTGAATCAGTAATAATAAAAAACACTACCAACCAGGAAAAGCACGGGACCAGAGAGAGTCACACCCGAATTCTACAAGACATAGAAATAACTCATACCAATCCTACTGAAAGGATTCCAAAAAAATTGAGGAAGAGGGATTCCTATCTAACTCATTCTATGAGACCAGCATCATTCTCATGATGTACCAAAACCTGGAAGAGGCACAACAAAAAAAGAAAACTTCAGGCCAATATCCCTCATGAACATAGATGCAAAATTTCTCAACAACATACTAGCAAACTGAATCCAGCAGCACATAGAAAAGCTAATCCACCACAATCAAGCAGACTTTATTCCTGGGATGTAAGGTTGGTTCAACACACACAAATCAATAAATGTGATTCATCACATAAATAAAACTAAAAACAAAAAACACATGATCATCTCAATAGATGCAGAAAAGGCTTTTGATAAAATTCAACATCGCTTTATGTTAAAAACCCTCAACAAACTAGGCATTGAAGGAACATACGTCAAAATAATAAGAGCCATTTATGACAAACCCACAGCGAACATTATACTGAATGGGTAATAACTAGAAGCATTCCCCTTAAGAACCAGAACAAGACAAGGATGCCCACTCTCACCACTCCTATTTAACATAGTACTGCAAATCCTGGCCAGAGTAGTCAGGCAAGAGAAAGAAATAAAAGGCATCTAAATTTAAAAAAAAAAAAAAAAGAAGTCAAACTATCTCTCTTCACTGACAATATGATGATTGTATACCTAGAAAACCCCATAGTCTCTGCCCAAAGGCTCCTCAATCTGATAAACAACTTCAGCAAAGTCTCAAAAAACAAGATCAATGTACAAAAATCAATAGCATTTCTATATACCAGTAAGGTCCAAGCTGACAGCCAAATCAAGAATGCAAACCCATTCACAATAGCCACAAAAAGAATAAAATACCAGGGAAGTGAAAGAGCTCTACAATGAGAATTATAAAACACTGCTGAAAGAAATCAGAGATGACACAAACAAGTGGGAAAACATTCCATGCTCAGATAGAATTAGTATTGTTAAAATGGCCATACTACCCAAAGCAATGTATAGATTGGATGCTATTCCTATCAAATTACCAATGACATTTCTCACAGAATTATAACTATTCTAAAATTCATATGGAAACCAAAAAGAGTCCAAATAGCCAAAGCTATCCTAAGTAAAAAGAACTAAGCCAGAAGCATCATACTACCCAAATTCAAACTGTGCTTCAAGGTTACAGTAACTAAAACAGCATGGTACTGGTACAAAAACAGACACATAGACCAATGGAACAGGTGAGAGAACCTAAACATAAAGCTGTACACCTACTGTCATCTAATCTTCAACAAAGCCAGCAATAACAAGCAATAGGAAAAGACTCCCTATTCATTAAATGGTGCTGGGATAACTGACTAGCCATATGCAGAAGATTGAAACTGGGCCCCTACCTTTCACCATATACAAAAATTAACTCAAGATGGATTAAAGACTTAAATGTAAAACCTGAAACTATAAAAACTCCAGAAGAAAACCTAAGAAATACCATCCTGGACATAGGCCCTGGTAAAGATTTCTTGACAAAGACACCAAAAGCAATTGCAACAAAAACAAAAATGTACAAGTGGCACCTAATTAGACTAAAGAGCTTCTGCACAGCAAAAGGAACTATCAACAGAGTAAAGAGACAATCTAAAGAATGGGAGAAAATATTTGCAAACTATTCATCTGACAAAGATCTAATATCCAGAATCTATAAGGATCTTAAATCAACTAACAAAAAACGAACAATCCCATTAACTAGTGGGCAAAGGACATGAACAGATAATTTTCAAAAGAAGACATACACATGGCCAACAAGCATATGAAAAAATGCTCAACATCACCAATCATTAGAGAAATGAAAATCAAAACCACAATGAGATACCATCTCATACCAGTCAAAATGACTATCATCAAAAACTCAAAAAATAACAGATGCTGGCAAGGTTGCAGAGAAAAGGGAACACTTATTCACTGCTGTTAGGAATGTAAATTAGTTCAGCCATTGTGGAAAGCAGCATGGCAATTTCTCAAAGAACTTAAGACAGAAGTACTATTTGACCTAGCAATCTGAGTATTGGGTATATACCCAAAGGAATATAAAACATTGTACCATAAAGACACAGGCACATGTATGTTCACCAAAGCACTATTCGCAATAGCAAAGACATGAAATCAATCTAAATGCCCATCAGTGGCAGACTGGATAAAGAAAATGTGGCATATATACACCATGGAATACTACACAGCCATAAAAAACAACAAGATCATATCCTTTGCAAGATCACGTCTGTGTTGCTACACAGATAGAGCTGGAGGCCATTATCCTAAGCGAACTAACACTGGAACGGAAAACTAAATACCACATGTTCTCACTTAAAAGTGGAGATAAACATTGAGCACACATGCACACAAAGAAGGGACCAACAGACACTGGGAGCTACTCGAGGGTGGAGAGTGGGAGGAGGGTGAGGATCAAAAAACTACCTATCAGGTACTATACTTATTACCTGGGTGATGAAATAATCTGTACACCAAACCCCCACGACACACAATTTACCTATGTAACAAACCTGCACATTTACCTGTGAACCTAAAAGTTTAAAAATAAACAAATACCGGAGGCTTTAAAAAATCTTTTAAAGTGAAGTGAATAAAGCATTTTATGTAGCATTAAAAAAACATTAAAAATGGGCAAAGCACATGAAGAGACACTCCTGAAAAGAAGACATACACATGGCCAACAAGCATATGAAAAAATGCCCAACATCACTAATCCTTAGAGAAATGCAAATCAAAACCACAATAAGATACCATCTCATACCAATAAGAATGCTTATTATTAAAAGTCGCAAAATAACAGATGCTGACGAGGTTGTAGAGAAAAGGGACTACTTATACACTGCTGGCGTGAATGTAAATTAGTTCAGCCACTGTGGAAAACAGTTTAGAGCTTTCTCAAATAACTGAAAACATAATTACCATTCAACCCAGTAATTCCATTATTGGATATATACCCAAAGGAATATAAATCATGCTCTCATAAAGACACATGCACATGCATGTTCATCACAGCACTATTTGCAATAGCAAAGACATGGAAACAACCTAGCTGCCAATCAACAGTGGATTGGATAAAGAAAATGTAGTACATATACACCATGAAATGCTACACAGCCATAAAAAAAGAAATCATGTCCTTTACAGCAACATGGATGGTGCGAGAGGCCATTATCCTAAGCAAATTGATGCAGGAACAGAAAACTAAATACTGCATGTTCTCATTTATAAATAGGAGCTAAACATTGAGTACACATGGACACAAAGAGGGCACAATAGACACTGGGGCCTATTTGAGAGTGGAGGGCAGGAGGAAGGTGAGGATGGAAAAACTACCCATCAGGTACTATGTTTATTACCTGGGTAACAAAAGAATCTGTACACGAAACCCCCGTGACACACAATTTACCCATGTAACAAACCTGCATGTATACCCCCAAATCTAAAATAAAAGTTGGAAAGAGAATAAATAAATAAATAAAAATCTTACTCTCAACAGATAAAATAAAAACAAAAAATAACAATAACAATGGGATGGCATAAAAGGGCATAAATAGCCCAAGGTGAGAAGACTAAGGGTGGACTATCTGAGCTATATTTAAATATTGGATGAACTCTTGTGTTTTACTCTGGCGATGAGTAGCAAATAATTTGTTATTTTTAATTATTGAAGTTTGGACATTTGCAAGTGATTTATATAAACCAGAAAGGGGTCAATGTTACCAGTTGTTCACTCCCTCATTTGCATTTCGGTGTTTACTTAAATGATCCAAAGGTGTAGTTATAATATAGCCAGTTACATATATTATCTATAATCCCATATATGTGTCAGACAGTGACCTCTCTAAGGCTAAAAGACCGTTATACAAAAGGGCTGACATCTGCTGTTCTAGAGCTAATGAGTAGAATTAGAAGTAGGCAGATATGAACTCAACCTAAAAAATCACTTTAAAGCTGTTCATCAAGGAAACAATCTTCCTAAAAAGTATTAAGCTGTTCAGTACTGAAAGTGTCCAAGCCAAATCTACAGGGTTCCCTGACTTGTTCTAATAGGACCACAGGGATGACTTCTTAGACCCCTTGTAACAATAAGAACCCATGGAATAGAATAGATGAAAATGTCTGGAAAACACATTGTAGTTTTTTTTTTGTTTTTTTTTTTTTGAGACAGAGTTTCGCTCTTGTCTCCCAGGCTGGAGTGCAATGGCACAATCTCGGCTCACACTCACTGCAACCCCTGCCTCCCAGGGTCAAGCGATTCTCCTGCCTCAGCCTCCCAAGTAGCTGGGATTACAGATGCCCACCACCACGCACAGCTAATTTTTGTACTTTTAGTAGAGACGGGGTTTCACCATGTTGGCCAGGCTGGTCTTGAACTCCTGACCTCAGGTGATCCACCCACCTGGGCCTCCCACAGTGCTGTGATTACAGGTATGAACCACCACACCCGGCCACATCGTAGTTCTTTAACTCCAAAACAAATATTTGCCAAGGCCAAAAAATTGCAACAATCTTTCCTCTCTCTGAGGGAGCTTTCTAGGAACACAATCCCTTCCATAATGGGTATAGTAGAGAAAACCCTGAGAACTGTGAGTCCCATCCCCTACATGGAAAATTCTTAGACTCACTTACAAATTCAGGATTATAGGAAATGCTATCACTCACAACTTATTAGAAGAATAGGAACAAGGTTTCTCTAAGGAAAAATCATACACAACTAGGATAAAAAAGCATTTGAATAAGGGACAACTCATAGATAATTTGTTTAAAATCTTAATTGTTTTGTCAAGCATAGAGAGCTGAATTAAAGACAGGCAATCAAAGGCAGTGATTATAAAGCACTTATCTAGTTGGAGTCATGCTAACAATGGGATCCCCTAGCCATCATGTAGCACTGATATTATTTTGACATTTTTATAAACAATCTGTGAGAGGAAGACATCTCCATATTTGAAGAATAAATTTTGCTTTTCCAAGTACTGAGCTGTCAAACTGGTTGGGGATAAACTGCCTAAAAATGTCACATGATTGAAGGAGTGGGCAGCAGAAAAGAGGAAGATGGGCTTCAAGGTGAATGCCAGGTAATACTTTTAAGCAAAAATTACCCCAAGAATCAACCACTTAATAATGAATGACTCTCGAATCTCTATATCTATTTCTGACCTCCCTTCATGAAGACCAGGCTTTTATAGCCATCTGCCAATTATATATTTCCACCTGTATGCCTTGCACACACATCAAACTCAAGATATCCCAATCTGAACTCTTTATCTCCCCTTCTCCTCTCACTTCAAATCCTCCTTCTGTATTCTCTAACACATTTGCTGAACCATCAATCATCAATTGCTCAAACTAGAAACATGGGAGTCAACATCCACCAGTCTACCTATAGCAAAGACTGCCAGCTGTCCACCAAAATCTATGTGATATATACCATACATCCCAGTCTCACTTGTGGTTTAGGAGTTGTCTTATGACAAGGTTCTCACACTTTCCCCTTCCTAAGGATGAGAATGGCAATAATCAAAGCAATCGTGGAAGCTATATGTTGAAGGTGGTCTAGGTGAGATCACCTGGGATCCCTAAAAGATGAATCAGATCTATCCACCACCGCCATCAGCAGCACTCTAAAACACACACCAAACCTAAGAGAGGAATAAACTTTGAAGGTTTGAGCTATTCGATTTTGAGATCTCTTTGTTATGGCTGTTTGGCCTAGCCTGACTAATACATTACCCTTATCTCCCCATAATCATGAATCACTAAGTTCTGCTTCCTACATATTTCTCAAGTTCATTTCCTTCTACCTCTCCCTACTTCCATGAACAAAGTTCCTTATCACTTTGCTGTTTCATCACCTCTTTATATATGTCTCTCACTCCAGGCTTGCTCACTTCTCTGTCACGGAGGATATCTGTTGAGTTTCTAACCAGCCTAAATTTATCTATTACATCTTCCTAACAGCCTGTGGGGAGGCTGTCCTAAAGGGAACCATGTCTCCCTCATTGATGTAGCAGCCTTCTTGAGTTAAATAAACACCATCCCCTAGCCTCAATGGAGGTCCTTGATGAAATAAACCATTCAAATAATTCCATCCCCCTTGGGACACTGGTTCAGTAGTGAACATGTACAATCAGAAATCAGGTTGAGAGCATGAGAGGTGCTCTATATGTTTTTCTTTCTTTCTCTCTCTCTCTCTATCTCTCCCTCTCTTTCTCCCACTCTCCCTCTCTCCCTCTTTCCTCCCACTTTGGACATGGTCAATGAAGTTTACAGTCCCAGGAGCTGTTGGCAGTCATCTGGCAACCAGGAAATGGTAGAGATAACGCATGAAATACAAAGCTGAGGTGGAAAATGTGTTTTTGGTGACATCATTGAGCTGCTTGGTCAAACCTACCTTTCTACCTCTAGGCGTTCCACTCCTGTGTGTCAATAAATTCCCTTCTTATTTAATTCAACTTGAGTTTGATTTTCTATTACTTATAATGCAAAGGGTACTAATTGAAACACTCCTTATTCCAATTTTAGTTCATCCTCCACATAACCCACCAGAACAATGTCTTTAAAATGAAAAATTGATCAAATAACTCCCCACTTAAGATCATTCAAAGCTTCCAACATATTGGGCCCTTCATCCCATCTACCTCTCCAAATTCATGATATGGTCTTCCTACCTGCATAATTCACACCCAGAAATAGTAAGAAACTTTTTGTTCCAAGAACAATAAACTGTTACCCTACACCACACTACCTTCTCAGAACTGGTTTCCCTATGACTCAGTAATTTCCTCCTCCTAGATGGATGCAGTAGCTCTTGGAATTACATACCTCCTTATTCACGTTAAAAGAGAGACAGAGACACATTATTAGGGGACATTCATTGCAGTACCGTGTGCATTAGTATAAAGCTGGCAACTCAAATGTACATCCATGAGACAATAAATTAATTATGACATTTATATAGAATTATAAGACAATAAAATAAATAACATATATCAACATGGAGAAATCTCAAACACATGATGTTGAGGAAAAATGTCAAAGAAGAACTCACACAGTGTCACCAAAACATGCAAAACAATAATGTTTATTGTAGAAGTAAAAATACGCTTGAAAAGGATATTCCTGGGGAAAGAGAGAGACAAATGATATTAGGGAGAGTATACAAGCAGCTTCAAATCTGTATGTAGTACTCCACTTCTAAAACAGGATGTAAAAGAAATGTTGCAAAAAGGATAAAGTACAACACGGTGGGTGGTGTTGTACAAGAATGTTTGTTCTAATACTCTTTAAAATTTTTGCATGCTTGAAATATTTTCTAATAAAATATATTTGTATCTATTATATAAAATATATTTAAAAGCTTTCTTATCTTCCTTCTCCAACCTCATTACCTACATTAAAGCTGGCTCCATAGCAATTGGTCTATGACTAGGATAATGATAAAGATCTGGTCTCTAAACTTCAAAAAAGATACAATCAAGCTAAGGAAGGTTCACAAAAAGCAACTGAAATAGCACACTGTGTTGGTGGGACAGTAAAGAAACAGCTTCTTGTAAGCCGCTTGTAGGACTATAAATTTATACACTCTGTGAGAATGCCTTAACAATGTCTATTAAAGGAAAGGAGAAAGGAAAGGTGAAGGAGCCTGAGTCAGTTTATGGGGGATTTTTAGTAATGCTTCTTGAGGAACTGTTTTGATGACCTCAAGCTATTAATAAAGGTTTCTGGGCAACTCAAATGCATAATTTGCTAATCAGTATGGCAGGAGGTAAGACAATTTTATTTCTTTATTCAAAGTTTTACTTCAGATTTCTTTTTTTTTATACTTTAAGTTTTAGGGTACATGTGCACAACGTGCAGGTTTGTTACATATGTATACATGTGCCATGTTGGTGTGCTGCACCCATTAACTCATCATTTAACATCAGGTATATCTCCTAATGCTATCCCTCCCCCCTCCCCTCACCCCACAACAGGCCCCGGTGTGTGATGTTCCCCTTCCTGTGTCCATGTGTTTTCATTGTTCAATTCCCACCTATGAGTGAGAAGATGCGGTGTTTGGTTTTTTTGTCCTGGCGATAGTTTGCTGAGAATGATGGTTTCCAGCTTCATCCATGTCCCTACAAAGGACATGAACTCATCATTTTTTATGGCTGCATAGTATTCCATGATATATATGTGCCACATTTTCTTAATCCAGTCTATCATTGTTGGACATTTGGGTTGGTTCCAAGTCTTTGCTATTGTGAATAGTGACGCAATAAACATACGTGTGCATGTGTCTTTATAGCAGCATGTTTTATAATCCTTTGGGTATATACCCAGTAATGGGATGGCTGGGTCAAATGGTATTTCTAGTTCTAGATCCCTGAGGAATTGCCACACTGACTTCCACAATGGTCCAACTAGTTTACAGTCCCACCAACAGTGTAAAAGTGTTCCTATTTCTCCACATCCTCTCCAGCACCTGTTGTTTCCTGACTTTTTAATGATCGCCATTCTAACTGGTGTGAGATGGTATCTCATTGTAGTTTTGATTTGCATTTATCTGATGGCCAGTGATGATGAGGATTTTTTCATGTGTCTTTTGGCTGCATAAATATCTTCTTTTGAGAAGTGTCTGTTCATATCCTTTGCCCACTTTTTGATGGGGTTGTTTGTTTTCTTCTTGTAAATTTGTTTGAGTTCATTGTAGATTCTGGATATTAGCCCTTTGTCAGATGAGTAGATTGCAAAAATTTTCTCCCATTCTGTAGGTTGCCTGTTCACTCTGATGGTAGTTTCTTTTGCTGTGCAGAAGCTATTGAGTTTAATTAGATCCCATTTGTCAACTTTGGCTTTTGTTGCCATTGCTTTTGGTGTTTTAGACATGAAGTCCTTGCCCATGCCTATGTCCTGAATGGTATTGCCTAGGTTTTCTTCTAGGGTTTTTATGGTTTTAGGTCTAACGTTTAAGTCTTTAATCCATCTTGAATTAATTTTTGTATAAGGTGTAAGTAAGGGATCCAGTTTCAGCTTTCTACATATGGCTGGCCAGTTTTCCCAGCACCATTTATTAAATAGGGAATCCTTTCCCCATTTCTTGTTTTTGTCAGGTTTGTCAAAGATCAGATAGTTGTAGATATGTGGCATTATTTCTGAGGGCTCTGTTCTGTTCCATTGATCTATATCTCTGTTTTGGTACCAGTACCATGCTGTCTTGTTCTTATAACAGGAAATCTCCTTAACCATAAGGTTTACCTATAAAAACTCTAACATTTACATTTCTACTTACATAGCAGCCAAAGAGTTGCTGGGTTGCTAGAAGACAATTTTTCATAAAATTAAATCTGGCTCACCACGTCTAAATCAAATAATTTCAAAAGGCCTAAGAGAGGTTAATAAAAACCACACAAGTAGAAATTGTACACTTTGCTAACAAAAGCAACTGGATGATAGAATATAGAAAAATAGAGAGACAGACAGTGGACATTTAGGTGCATATAGGCAAGTTTACACTAACCACTATCAGCTTTGTTTCTGATTATGGGAGTGTAAAGAATCACATATAAACATGAAATAAGGCTCTCTACAATTTTTAAGTTTGCAGTTGCAAATTTTCCTAAACACAAATGTCATAGTTAGTATGGTAATTTGATTATATCAGTCACTAATGTTGAATAATCACATCATAAATTAAGAATATACTGAAATTCTGAGTATGTATTGTGTAGGTGTCAAAACTAGTTTAATTATAATCTTACCATGCCTTTAAATCATAGTTCAATTAGGGAATAAAAGATATTTTAAGGAAATTCTAAGAAGAAATAATTTTAAGTTCCTGAAGAGAGATAAGATACCAAATATTCCATGGTATGAAGAGATGGAGAAAGCAGCAAATCTTTTTCTTAACACTGATTAAAGGCACTATGTAGTATAATTTTCAATTCTGTTAAATATCATTAACCTCAAGATTAAATGGAAGCCTAAATATAATGTTTGTTCTGATTCATAAAACACTCACTCTATTCAAGAACACTGGCATGCCACAATCAGATTTGCAATTATTTATTAACTGCTGCACTGCCCATAATCTACAACACAAAGAACCAAGAGTCATACAATGCATTGTTCAGTAAAAGTCATTGACCGCTTGTCAGTAAACTATCAAGCCAAAGCCCTCCAGGAATGCCAAGGGAGAGAGGTCATGGAAATCAAAACAAGTGTGGGTATGAAAATGGTTCATTTACCACAACCCATAATTTATACTAGAAAACTTTTAAGCTATTCTTGTGGTTGCATTTTGAAAATATTTGTTACGTGCCTGCCCTCTGCTAGGGACTGAAAATGCACAGCAATACAAACTTCTCCCTCTCCATCTATGATATGCAATCAGTTGCCACGTTTGATAAATTCTGTCTCCTTGCATGCTTGTGTCTCCCTCGTGTTCTCTCATCGCCTCCTCTTCCTTCCGTTTGCCACTGCTGTGGTTCAGGGCCTTATCACATGCTCACATTTGTGCAAAATAACATATACACATATAGAATATTCACTATAGCATTGTTGGTAACAGCAAAAAACTGAAAGTCTAAATATCTAAATATCCATTAATAAGGAACAGATTAATAAATTATAGTCCAATAATGGAATTCTAGGAAGCTATTAAGAAGAACTAGGCAACATTCTATGTAATGATATGAAATGACCTCCAAGATATAAGTGAAGATAGCAAGATGCAGAATATGTTTGTAGTATGCTACACAGGGAAAGAATGATTTCCTTTCTTCGCCCATTGTTAGGTTTATGGCTGAGGCACCTATAACAAAAGACAAATTAAAAAGAGAAAAACATACAAATTTATTTAAGATGTTTGTCATATGGGAGCCTTCATAAGGAAATGAAGACCCAAAGAAACAGGTAAGCTTGTGTATTTTTATGCTTAGGTTTGAAGAGTGGAAAGTTTTGGAGAAGTATGATTGGAGGACAAAAGGCTATGATCTAATGGCAATAAACTGGAGAGAACTTAGCAAGGCCTGTTTGTTCAGATTCTTCTTTGTGCCTCTGTGTTACTTTTCCCAGAGATAAGGATGTTACTTTTCTCCAGGTATAGGAAAAGCACCTCTCAAATGAACTGCTTCAGCGCAGAAAGGTAGGAGATGGTCAGAGAGTGACCTTCCTAGATTTGATGACCTGCTTCAGGGTAGAAAGGTGGGGGAAAGGTGAGAGTGACCTTCCTGCTTCTGCTGTTTTCTCAAATGCCAGGGTGCCATATTATGAGGTGGCATATCCTAAACCCCATAAACTACAAGTTGATTTTAAAATAATATATATTTGAATACACACATATATGAATATATACACAAGAGATATATTTATATTTATATATAAACACACAAATACATAAACATTATGCATAGACTCAAAATACATAAGAATCTGATAACTATGTTTTCCTCCAAGGGAAGAGAACTAGATGACTGGCAGATAGGAAGGGAAGGACACTTACATTTTACTTTAAACCTTTTGTTCTTTTTGAAGCTTGTGCCATGTGCATGCCTATTCAAAAACTACATAAATATAATACTTTTAAAATAAATACTTTTAAAATGTATCTCACATCAGGACTATCATGGTAGTAGTCTTCTAACTGCTCACTCTTCTATTTTATTTTTTCTATTGAGGTAAAATTTACATGACATAAAATTATCCATTTTAAAGTATACAATTCAGTGGCTTTTAGTACACTCACAATGCTCTGCAAGTATCACAATTATCTAGTTCCAGAACATTTTCATCACTTCTAAAGAAACCCTGTGCTCATTAAGCAGTTACTCCTCATTATCCCCAGATCCCGACAACCAACTAATCTTTCTGTCTCTATGAAATTACCTATACAGGATATTTCATATACTTGGAATCATGCAATATGTGACCCTTTGTTTGCTCCCTCAGTCCATCCTTCATTCTACTTCTGAGTTAAGTGCCCCCTCACACGTGGCCATAGCACCTTATCCTTGTACTCGCCTTTCACACTATATTCTAATTGCTATCTTGACTGTATACATCATAGAGTTTAGATTTAAGAGGGTAGGCCCCATGCCCGTCTTGTTCCCCCATTATATCAATAAACACATGATGTTGAAAATGAATGTTGCTAAAACACAATCTGATCATGATATTCCTTCAATTATTTAACTGGTTTATTGAATAAACTAGACTTAATAGAATGAAAGCCACTTCCTCTTCCCCAGAGAGAAAGTGATTTTCACCCACCATTATTTTCAGATTTGCTTTGTTGGGTCAATCTCCTAGATGATATTTCAGCTTTTTGGAGGGGCAGAAAAAGTCCAATCTAAATCAGGAAAGAAACATGATTAGGGAGCTTAACACAGGATAGAGGCAAAAGGCATCCCCAGAATGACTGCAAAGGGCAGTCCTGAGATGTAGACTATGCAGTGGGCCTGACAAGCCAATCCATCCAGCCTGAGTCAGGAAGATGGGATTTCAGAAAGGACAGTGCAACAGAAAAAAAAATACAACTAATAGATTTTTCCTCATTGACTATATTGATTATTATGTACAAAATTTGGAAGCAGAATTAGTGAAAAGTACATAGAAAACTAATTAAAACCAGGAAGAGTAAAAAGTAGTACACGGAAATATTATTTGCTCAGCTGCAAATCTTCCTGTTTACTAGGCATACTAATATAAACATGAAATACTGATTTAATAAAAATAAATCACAATATAATTATATTGGGAAGATGGATAGGCGTACATGTGTATATTGGGAAGAGAAGAGGCAAGGTGGTAATGAAAGGTATCTAAATCCTCATTTACCATGAAACAAAGTTAATAGAGAATGCTTAAAGTTGAAAAATCAGGATGTAACAGGAATTTTGAAGTAAATAGCAGAAGCAACAGATAAAAATGTTGAGTTAAACATGAGTGCCTCCAAAAAGTAGAAATCAAAAGGCAGAATGGGATAGAGATAGGGACATGTGTTTTTGTCTTAAGTGTGATACTGCTGTTTAAATCATTACTATTTGATTAAGCACATTACTTTCATAAAGTCCAATCTAATCTAAATCAAAACATCCAATTCCCATTCAATTTGAAGCTTCTCCCTTCTTCCAGCTCAATCCTGAATCTGGCCTGGAAACTCATAGCGGGTGTGTGTCCAGACTGGCAATGAAGTCAAGTGGATGAGTCCAGAATGGATTGTGCGCTCTGAGAGCTGCCCTCTCCCATCTCTGCCATTACAACTCTTATTCCTCTTCTTCACTCAAAGTTTCAGCCTAACACACATCTTTCATTAGCTAGAACAGGGCCCCCCAACTCCTCCCTCCACCCCATGCCCACCCCTGCCTCACACCAGTTGGTGAGCAGCAGGCGAATCAGTGAAACTTCATCTGTATTTACAGCCACTCCCCATTGCTCACATTACTGGCTGAGCTCCGCCTCCTGTCAGATCAGCAGCAGCATTAGATTCTCATAGGAGCATGAACCCTGTCATGAACTGCACATGTGAGGGATCTAAGCTGCATGCTCCTTATGAGAATCTAATGCCTATTGATCTGTTCCCAGATGGCACCATCTAGTTGCAGGAAAACAAGCTCATGGCTCCCACTGATTTTACATCATGGTGAGTTGTATAATTATTTCATTATATGTTACAATGTAATAATAATAGAAATAAAGTACACAATAAATGTAATGCGCTTGAATCATCCCAAAACCATCCCCACCCCTCTCCGTGGAAAAACTGTCTTCCATGAAACCGATCCCTGGTGCCAAAAAGGTTGGGGACCGCTGAGCTAGAATAAATGCTTTCTCTAGCTTCTGGCCTGTATATACCCTGGGCTGGAAAAACTCTCTTCCATACCTCCTTTGCCCAGTATGTTTCAATCACACTTTACTTCAGGTCTTAGCTCAGAAAACCTTCCTAACTTCCAAGTCCTAGTAGTGACCCACCTAGGCTACCTCATACTTCCCTTAGCACAACACTGATCATGGTGTATAGTAAGAGCTTAATTGACTATCTCTCTACTAGACTGTAAGCCCCATGAAAGCAAAACTCTGTGTTTTACTCAATAAATACATGTTGAATGAATAAATTATCATTACATTCTCTCTGTTGACAAAACTCTTTAGGAAGACCAATTGTAGTTAAAAGTTTGTTTAGTAAATACAGCATCAGAGTTAGGGGAAGTGGGTTAGGATTTGCCCAGAACAGTCCTATTTGTACTGATACCCTGAATTAATTATTAACAGCACTCCCCTTTCACTTTCTATAATGATGCCCCAATTTGGATGATTCATTTTGTGTGATGAATAAACACTGTAGGGATGGAATATGCCTGCTTCTTAGTAACTAAACCAGGGCAACTTCTCCTCAGGATATGCTAGAGACACATGGTCATTATCCCCCCCGTTTTCTATGCTGCATGATGGACTAGCCCTCCTCACTCTCTACCCTACCCACAAGGATCCAGGTTTTCATTACATGGACTAATGTCTAGCCTCAATTGAAAGGCAACACCACATCTCTTTAGGATGTTTCTGCATAACTCCTAGGATCTATTTGTTGTTTCTTTTATAATTAAACGCTTCAGGCCACCTTAATTCCCTGGGGAAGAGGGAGTGGTCAGTAGTAGATACTGTTACTCCCTAGTTTTACCTACAGAAACCTTGCTAGCTGTACATGCTTCATAACTCAATCACAGTGGAACAGTAGCCAAGTCTGCTAAGATACACTTAACCTGTGGATAGAAACGTGACAGGAACTTTCGAATTCATCAGACAGGGAAAAGATATTTGTTTTGATGTGAAGAACCTCACACACTGAATAACATTTGAACTTCCGTCAGCAAAATTCAAAATTTAAAAAAAAAAAAAAAGAAAGAGGAAATTCCAATCTATTGCTCCTTTAAAATTGCACCTGGGCCTAGCACTTTGGGAGGCTAAGGCAGGCAGACTGCTTGAGCCCAGAAGTTCAAGACCAGCCTGGGTAACATGGAGAAACTCCATCTCAAAAAAAAAAAAAAAAACCCTACAAAATTAGCCAGACGCGGTGGCACACATCCGGAGTCCCAGCTACTTGGGAGGCTGAGGTGGGAGGATTGCTTGAGCCCAGGAGGTTAAGGCTGCAGTGAGCCCTGATCATGCCACTGCACACCAAATGGGTGACAGAGAAAGACCCTGTCTCAAAAAAATAAAAATAAACTGCACCTGGAACAAGAAACCAAAAATGTTTAAATACTGCCAAAAAAAATACTACTTGTTTCTGAATCAAGGAATTCAGTTCCCAATTTAGTTGGATTTGTTTGTGGAGTGTTTTAAACATACATTTATTGTTTTAAGCTTCATGGAGTTATCCAAAATGCAGAGCTGACAAGGTTTCTATAGGTAAAACTAGGGGTAATGGTATTCACTGCTGACCACTTCCTCTTCCCCAGGGAATTAAGATGGCCTGAAGAGTTTAATTATAAAAGAAACAATAAATAGATCCTAGTATAGTTGTGTAGAAACACCCTAAATAGATGGGGTGCCCTTTTGGGGGAAAAGTGATGCTACGATGTAGAAATATATAATTTCACAGTTGGTAGAACTTGGCATGTAGCAGCAGTGTACAGAGGGCTTGGCGGGACTCCAGGAGCAGTCCGGTTATTTCTCCACTTCCTTTCTCAGATGCTTCCAATTCCCATTCCCCTGGCTATTGGGTTTTTTAACCGTCTTCTATCAACCACCTTGGCACAGCAGCCACAGCAGCAGCAGCCTGCTCCTTTGTAAATGATGGGTATATGGTAACTGTGGCTGTGACTGGAGGACAATTAAAGCTGTGAATTCAGTCAGTCCTCTATCCACAGCTCAGTTAGACAAGGCTCTTTTAAAGTATATGATACTGTGTGGTCTCTTTTTAAAGACCTTGTCTCAATCCTCCAAGCAGGAGCTTTATCAGATGTTCTACTTTCTCTTAGGCTCCAGCTGTTTGGAGGCATGAGCCACAAATACCACGTTCAGTAATATGGCTCTATTGATATATAAAATGATTTGAAGGACTTCAGTATTCCAGGACAACCTTCAGACTGAAGGAAATTTCAAAATGTCATCTTAGCCTCCCAAAAACAAAATTCAATAAAAATTAGCAGGCTAGCTTTAAACAAAATATTACTCCCCACCCCATCCCATATTTCCCGATCTCACAAAGGAATTCTTTGCATATGTTGTAATAACTGTTCCCATATAATGTTGAAATTTGGTGACAGGTAGGGAATAGAAAGAACCATATAAGCCTGTTAAACCAAACTGAATTTGGCCTCAGTATGCCTCTGTACTCAAGTCTTTACATTTAAAAATAAAAAATAAAAAACTGCCACCTAACTTAGTACAGAAACTAACTGGAAGACTAACTTAAGAGTAGTGTACAGGTATATTCTGGTAACAAATAGCTGAGTCTCCGTTGATTACAGCAGCTGAGCTTCTATCAGTTGCGGGCATCCAACTGATTCAAAAAAAGCAAAAAAAAAAAAAAACAATGAGGTGCAACCAATTAAGCTGTCTATTTTATTTCCATCGTCTGTCCATAAATGCTGCCTTCCCATGTTGCAGGCCAGAGTTCATAGGACTTGTTCCGGTTCTGAGGGCTGCCTGATTCATGAATCATTCTTTGCTCAATTAAACTCTGTTAAATTTAACTTGCCTAAGGTTTTTCCTTTAAAAGAAAAAAGAAAAAGCCAAATACCTTTTTTTATTTAAAAAAAAGATTTCTGTGAAATCATTTCTCTAATACATCACAAAAAAAGGGAAAAAAAATTAGCAAAAAAAATAAGTTGAAATCAAATTAAAGAAAATATTACATTCCAACACCATAAACTGATAGCGCAGAAAAGAAATGGAATTCCAAAATATAACTAACATAATGTGGCAAGGCTTTCCACTTAATTTTTCCTCACCTCTCAAAAGCTAGATTGTGAGTCATAAAGATCATGGAAATTCTCATTCAGATCCACAAATTTGGAGAGTATCTAACTGAGCTGGCATCTTTTCCCACTTTTAACAGGGGCATGATGGAAATGGCTGCTACAGAGAAATAAGTGAAATGAAAGAAGCTTTTTAGAAAGAGGTGAACTTTTGGATGAAGTGATAGGGCTCCAGAGCTGCAAGTTGAATTGGAGAACAGATCCAAAGCCTATGGTATTGCCCTCCCCACCCTCGCCCCATGTTCTCACCATGTGAATGGGATATACTTCTTATCTAGGGGAAGAAACCTGGTTCAGGGCACTTAATAAAGTATCAGAAGCCCAGGGATTTTAACTAAAATACTCCCTTAACTGAGTCTCCCATCCCTTGCCATGTCCCCAAATTATAAAAAGAGGTTAAGTACTAAATGCCCAATTTTCTGTGATTTTTAGTACAAATAACATTGATCTCAATAAAGTGGAAAGTGATAAGGAAATTATGTACACTAGATGAGAACAATCAAAAGCCATAGATGGAGCTGTCCAAGTAAAGTATGAGAAAAGTAAAAAATAGCAAGGAAAATATGCAAGAACATTACAGCAAAAAAGGCAGAGAAAAGGAAAGAACAGAAAAGACAAAGAAATCAGTCCAAGCAAAAATGTTATCTAAAGAAGAGAAAAAAATTATCACCACAAATAATTAAACGATATAAGCAAATAATATGAGCTCCATGTAACAAAAGCTCTTTTTAAAAGACTGTATTTTTATTTTTGCTTGAATGTACATAAACTCCAAAAGGGCACAGAACTCATGAATAACACTGGTTATGTATGGGGGAGGTAAACTGGATGGATGGAAGAAGACAGTGAGTATTTTCACATAGAGCTTTTCTTTGATTTTTGAACTATGTAACTATATTACCCATTTTTTAAAAAAAACTAAGCAAAAATGAATTCTCGTTAACAAAAAAGAACAGAAGCTCAAAAGCAAAATGATAAAAGGAGATGAAAAGGGAGACTGCAGATATAAGAAACTAATTGAGGATCAAACCATGCCAATAGAGAACTAATAAATAGAATGGAGGGAAGAAGGCATAGAATTGATAGGGCCAAGATTCACATAAGAGGCAATGAAAAATAAACTTGTGATAATCAAATGATTGCAAATTAAAAACTCAAAGCTATCAGAGAAAGCTAACGGTAATGAAGGAAAGACAAAAACAATCCAAAAGAAAGACATTTGATGCCCCTAAAGCAGAGAACTCATCAAAGAGATCAGAAAAGCATCTAAAAATGTAATAGGAAATTTTCCTGAAGAAAAACATAAATATGCAAAACAAAAAAGCACACAGACCAGGAAAAATGGTTCCAGAGCACTCATCATATTCTGGTGAAGTTATTCAACTTTAAAAATAAGGAAAGAATTTTTCAGGCATATGAGGGGGGTGGATGGAAGCAAATTGGTACAAAGGATGATAGGGTAGGTGGGGAGGATCAGGCTGTGATCAGTCTTCTCACAATAATATTCAAAGACAAGACAGTAGAAATGTGTCTACGACATTCTAAAGGAAAATATATCCAAGAATATTATACCCAGTCATGATGACATTCAAATAAAAAGGCAACAGGCAAACATTCTAAACCATGAAAAACTCAGGGAATACAATACACATGAACCTTTCTTGGAAAACAAGATATGAGTTTTCAATCTATCCAATTGAGATGTATCAAAATGAAGAACACATAATAAAAGAATTAGTAGTAAAAGTCCTCCCATTTAAGGCCAGGCACGGTGGCTCACACCTGTAATCCCAGCACTTTGGGAGGCCAAGGTGGGTGGATCACCTGAGGTCAGGAGTTTGAGACCAGCCTGGCCAACATGGTGAAACCCCATCTCCACTAAAAATACAAAACTTAGCTGGGCGTGGTGGCATGCACCTGTAGTCCCAGCTACTTGGCAGGCTGAGGCAGGAGAATCATTTGAACCCAGGAGGTGGAGGTTGCAGTGAGCTGAGATCATGCCACTGCACTCCAGGCTAGGCAACAGAGTGAGACTCCATCTCAAAAAAAAAAAATAAGTCCTCCCATTTAAATATATATAATTTTTTATAACTGTGTGAATTATCAAAATAGGAAACAAATACAGTATAAACCATAACAATTCAAAAATAATAATATAATAAGATAAAAAGGAGGTGAGGAAGTGGAAGAATAAAAATGATAATGTCAGCTGGGCGCGATGGCTCACACCTATAATCCCAGCACTTTGGGAGGCCGAGGTGGGCGGATCACCTGAGGCCAGGAGTTCGAGACCAACCTGGCCAACATGGTGAAACCCCACCTGTACTAAAAATACAAAAATTAGCTGGGCGTGCTACCAGGTGCCTGTAATCCCAGCTACTCGGGAGGCTGAGGCAGGAGAATCGCTTGAACCTGGGAGGTGGAGGTTGCAGTGAGCCGAGATTACACCACTGCACTCCGGCCTGGCAACAGAGTGAGACTTCATCTCAAAAAATTAAAAAAAAAATAGAAAAATGCTAATGTCTTCATATTTCATATAAGGAATTTCAATTAATACTATATAAAACTAAAGCATGTGTATATATAAAACTAAGGTAGATCTAACTACACACAAATAAAAACCTTAATTTTTCATATTCTCTTATGTTAAAAGGGATCATGGGATAATTTAGAAAATAATAACTCTTGTGATTAAATTCAAACATTAAGTTAAATTGAAACAATTCTTTTAGGTTTACTTCAATGTATTTTAATTTTCTTAGATTCAGGTGAAATTAAAATTGTATCTAATAAAATAGTTTGTGTCATATAATCCTATTTTTAAAGTAGATTATCTTTCTATATAGGTGTACAAAATAATATTTGAAATGATGGTTACTAATGTCAATATCAATTGTTTCAGGTACAGTAGTGGGATTTGGGGCCGTTTCTTTTCCTTTCTTTACTGTTTAAATTCTTTATAGTGAGCAAGTATTAATTTTACAAAAGAAAGTGATATTTTAAAAATACAAACCAAGGTTCACATAGATCAAATTGGTTTTCAATCCAATTCTATGAGTATTTTTATGAGCACTTACTATATGCCAAGTCCAATGCTAGGCCCTGGGAATAGATTGGTGGAGAACATAAACACGACTCCTGCCATCACACCGCTCTTTGTCTAGTGAAGGTTTTTACTTCATTCAGATCCACTTATCTGAAATCATTTGGACCTTAGTCTCCACAGACGACAATGTTTAATGGCAACTTTATAGAAGTCCTTCTTTGGGCTAAATTTATGAGGAGGCCATGCAGACAGATACCTTTAAGGACAGCAACATTTTTGTTTCAGTGTCAAAATCATTTTAATCTGCTACATTTTGCCCACATTGATTTGGGTACTTGAGAGAGGGTGGAATAGGAAGCTGGTTATGAATTCATATTCCAGCCCCAACAATTAATGCCACTGAGACTTTGACCAGTCATTTAATCTGAGCCTCCATTTCTTTTCCTGTGAAAATTGGGGACATAAATGTATTGTTATAAGGATACAATTAAGTGTTAAAATACATAAAGCATTTAGAAAAGCATCTCAAACACAGTAGGAACTAAATGTTAGCTATCGTTATTTTTAAATTGCATTACTTCCATCAAAATCACGATTTATTAAGATATTTGTCATCGTTGGTTCTATTGTCATCAAGGTGGTCTAAAATTAATTTTAAAACTTTTCTAGACTGTGTGAGCAGATAATTAAAACATTTAAAAGTAGTGAAAGTTCTTTTTGGGTTAAGAGTTACCTTAAAGTAAATTAGCTCTTCTAACCTTTTTGATAAATGAAACTCCAATATAGTCATATTACAAATGACTAAAGGCATATAATAAAAGGTTTGTAGCCACCAAATTACAAGGTATTATTACAAAAGTATAGATTATGTGTCTGATTAGCCTTGAGGCAAGGAGCTTGAAGTATCTTAATTGCTTGTTACTTTTCATCCACCTTCTATTGATAAACTTGAAGATAAAAGAGGGTAAATTTGATTTACTCAGGCAAAGAGAACAGATGTTCCATGTTATAAATTATACTAAAAGCCAGTAAGATAAGAGAATGCATATACATGGTTGTCTAAGTATTTCCAATTTAATTTATGTGGTACAAGTAGAAACATTAGGGAAGTTTTTGCTTCTTCCTGCCCAGTACTGATTAAAGCAATATGAAGAATCTCCCACTAAATTAATCACCCCGAAGACAGTGTTCTTTATGACTTCTAAGTTATTGTGACAATAAAAATACTAAGAATCATAGATTTCTCATAACAAAACCAGGGAACAAACCAAGAAAACAGAAGGATACATAAAATAAGTGAGAAAAAATTATTATAGATTAGATAACCATGACTTAGGGTTAAAAGTCTCAAATATTAGCTCTGTGGAGGAGAGGATATTCTTACTAGTTTGGTGAAGAATTATCATCTATATACAGCCTAAAGGGGAAAAGAGACAGGAAATCAGCAAAACATAACACATAGAAAAAGAGAACATTTAGAGGATGGGTTGGTTTTTATCATAATGTGAGCTTCAAAAGGGACTCCTATGTTACCAAAATTGCCATACTCTAAAATTCTCCTCAAAGGCAGAACTATAATCTACAGGTTTCACAGATACAAGAAAAACAAAAAGCAGATATTCTTTCTTCTTTCAATTTGAGCCTAGACAGAAAGGATATCCTACAATGTTAAACACCCAAACAGGAGCAGGTCAAACGGATGCAATACAGCTGAAGTTATTCAATTCAAACCAGAGGCTTGATATTGCAATTCTGTTCTGAAATTCTCTAGGAATCTTAGAAATCCAAGGTTTTAATTAACTTTGTTCCATGTCTTAGTTTAAACAGTTAAGAAAAATAAAATGGGGCCAGGCACATTGGCTCACGCCTGTTCTCCCAACACTTTGGGAGGCCGAGGCAGGTGGATCTCATGAGGTCAAGAGTTCAAGATCAGCCTGGCCAACATGGCGAAACCCTGTCTCTACTAAAAACACAAAAATTAACCCAGCATGGTGGCAGGCACTTGTAACCCAGCTACTCAGGAGGCTGAGGCAGGAGAATCACTTGAACTTGGAAAGCAGAGGTTACGGTGAGCAGAAATCATGCCATTGCACTCCAGCCTGGGTGACAGAGTGACACTCTGACAAAAGAGGGAAGGGAAGGGGAAGGGGAAGGGGAAGGAGAAGGGAAAAAGAAAAGAAAAGAAAAGAAAATGGAAGTTGAGTAAGGGGTCAGGCCAGGCCAAGTGTTTATTATAAATGCAGATATAATAATACTAATTACCACATATAGAGCACCTAGTATGCTTCAAGTATGAGGCTAAATCCTTTACTTACATCATATATGTATTCTTTTATAAAACTCCTAGTAGGCAAATATTTCTGCTTTACAAATGAAAAAGCACAGGATCATAACAAGTAAGTAAACAGAGGTTGCACAATTCCCTGTGATCTCACAATTTCATCCCTCAGGCCCTTGTTCTCTGGCTAACACCTTTGAAGGCCTACATGGCACTGAAATCTTCAAATAGAAACAGCTTTATGAAAACAACATTCTGTAAAGGGGGTTTTCTTTACTGCCTATTTTCCTCCATTTAAGGCCCAGGAATCTCACCTTATATAGCCTATTAGTTTCTCCCACTCTAAATGTCTATTTCTAACCGTTTCTGGAGGACTTAATAAAGCAGCACTTTGTTGAAAACAGTAACAACAAAGACTGGATCCACGCTATGGAATGAAACAGTTGATCAACAATCAGTTGATCAAGCAAAGTGATTTAACAAACTACAAATGGAATTTGTTATGCTTCTTATTTTCACTTCTAGTCTTCCGAAGCCGTTAGGAAGTGTAGATGAGAAAAAAGGTCTCTACTTTCACCCTGTTCATCTTTCTCTTCCCTTGTTGTCCAGATTCTGTGGATCTCCTTCTGTATGGCTGACATACTTCCGGTCCCAGACCAGTCCTCACTGGGATGAGACTGTATTCCATGTGGACCTGCAATAATAACTGCAGATTCTCTCAATCTGTCTGGAGTCACACAAAAATCACTTGAAGCAGTGAATCTTTACCAATGGCACACCTTCACTGTCTCTGCAGAAATGTCTGTTACTAATGAATTAATCCCTACCACTTCACCTGTACTGGCTTCCCCCGGGACCTCTAACCTCCATGTTTTCAGCATTCTTCCTGGCAGCCAACTGCAGGAGTGGTGTGTTGTGGTTCCAGCTTTCTCAAAGGAAGAGTAACTTCCTGACAGAGGTCCAACTTAAAAATTCCTTCTTCACTGGTCAAATTCTGGGTGCCATAGTACCTCTACTGAAGACAAGTGCTCAGATTTGTAGTTTTTAAATCACTTCCCCCACTATCTTCTGGGTTTCCCTTCTTGGTTCACCATAGGCTCTGCTTTAAATGTTCTTCAAGATGGCAAAGATTTAAATCCAATCTAAATGTTAGAAAACTTCCTTAAACTTTGCTAACTACAAAATAAGGAAGAAGAAAAGCAGAGCGGCAAAAAGAAGAAGGAAAAAGAGAGGGGAGTTATACTCAACAGAGAAATGCAGACATCAGGAATCAGTCAGAGTGAAATGTGATCCCAACAGCACTGTAACTCTCTGCCTGTACCTTGACAGCCCAGGCATAGTTCCAAAGTCATCTCTGCATCAGGTCAGTGCATTTGACATCCATCCTGCCTTGAGGATCCCCTCTATCCTCCCACCAGCCCAAAGTTCCCAAATACCATCAGCAGACTTTCAAGCCCAACATCTGAGTCTAAAGGCATAGCAGCATAACACTTAAAATCTCTGTCATTCAGAGCCTCACTATGGCACTCATACAAAAAAATATCAAATTGGAAGCTTTTCAATCATAATTTAATTCCAGGCATGCTCATATTTGAAGAGATTAAAATTATTTAATTGAGTTTGCTTGAGATTTTTAACAAAATTAGATAGTAGAAAGAAATGTGAGAAAACAAAATCATCCCTATTTACAACTGATATGATTGTACACCTAAATAACCTAAGAGAATCCACTGGAAAATAAATAGAAATGAAGTGGAGTATAAAGTTAATACGCAGAAACCAGCAGTCATCCTACATCCAAACAACAGCCATAAGCCAACATAATGGAAGAGATAATCCTGTATATAAGAGCAGCAAAGAGGATTAAATATATGGAAATAAACTTAACAAGAAATGTACAAAATCTATATGAGAAAGACCTTGAAATAATCTCAAAAGACACAAAAGTAGACCTGAAAAATAGATATACCATGTTCTTGGAAAGTAACTCTCAGCATTATAGATACATCAATTATCCTAATTAATCTATAAATTTAATATAATTCTCATAAAATACTAATAGATATTCTGAAGTAGACAAGCTGGTTCTAAAGTTCTACAGGGAAAATTGAAGAATAACCAGAAAACTCTTAAAAAGAAGAAGACTGGCACTACAAGATATCTTAGTAGATACCTGAAAAAAACTGCTGGATCTACATTTTACACTACATGGAGATAAGTTCCAAATGTATCAAATATTTAATCATAAATCTTAAAACCACTAATGTGCTAGAACATGTAAGTGAATTGCTTTATAACCGTGGCATTGTGAAGGCCTTTCTAACTTACCTTTTAAAATCCTAAAGCCTAAAAGAAAAGGTAAAAGTCAACAAAATGAAAACTAACAATTTTTTCACAGAAAAAAAAACACATAAGCAAAGTCAAAAGACAAATAATGCTAGAGAATTTACTTGAAACATACCACTAAGTACTAATCTCCACTTTATGTTTTTAAAAAATATCCAGAAATTGAGATGGAAAAGATTAGCATCTCAATGGAAAAAAATGGACAAAAACATGTCTAGCTATAGATGAAACATATGACCCTTAAACGTGATCATAAGCTCAATCTCACTCATAAGGTCCCAAAATATGACAAAACACACCGTCTGTTAGTGAGGCTTTGCAAGTAATTCATACACGGCTGGTTAAAGTACAAAATTTTAAAACTCCCAGGAAGAACAATTTAGCAATATCAAAATTACAAATAAATTTGCCCTCTAATTTAGCAAACCCACTTCCAAAAAATCATTTTATAGGTATACCTGCACATGGAATAAATAACACATATACAAGATCATTTCATAGCACTGCTTACAATATCAAAAGATTGGAAACAATCCAAGTATGCATCAAGAGGTTGCTGACTAAATAAACTATGATACACATTCACACAATAAATGATTATGCAATCTGGAAGTTCTCCACGTAATTATTCAGAAAAATTTCCAAAAATAATGTTAATGAAGAAGGATACAGAAGAATGCATATAGTATATTAGCCTCTGTATAAGAGAGAGGACAGAAGAAAATATATTTGTATCTGTATCTACATAAATACTGGAAGAATAAATAAGAAACTCATAGGAGGCAAGGGCGAGGATCAGGGAGAACAAGGGCAGGAATGGGAACATGACTCCTGTTATGGTTTGAATGTATGCTCCCATAGTTCATGTGTTGGAAACTTAATCCCCGATGCAACAGTGTTGGGAGGTGGGGCCAAAAGGGAGGTCCTTAGGTCATGAGGGCCCCAGCTTCCTCATAAATGGATTCATGCCAATTATAAAGGGCTTGGGGCTGTGAGTTCAATGTCTTGCATGTGCTCACTCTCTCACGCGCTTTCTCTCTCTCTCTCTGTCTGTCTGTCTGTCTCTCTCTCTCTCTCTCTCTCTCTCTCTCTCTCTCTGTCTGTCTCTCTCTGTCTCTTTGTCTCTCTGGCCATGTGATGCCTTCTTCCATGTTATGATGCAGCAAGAAGGCCCCCACCAGATGTGGTCCCTCAGTCTTGGACTTCCAAGCCTCCAGAACTGTAAGAAATAATTTTCTTTTTTTTTTTTTTTTTTTTTTTTTGAGACGGAGTCTTGCTCTGTCACCCAGGCTGGAGTGCAGTGGCGCGATCTCGGCTCACTGCAAGCTCCGCCTCCCGGGTTCATGCCATTCTCCTGCCTCAGCCTCCCGTGTAGCTGGGACTACAGGCGCCCACCACCATGCCCGGCTAATTTTTTGTATTTTTAGTAAAGACGGGGTTTCACTGTGTTAGCCAGGATGGTCTCGATCTCCTGACCTCGTGATCCACCCACCTCAGCCTCCCAAAGTGCTGGGATTACAGGCGTGAGCCACCGCACCCAGCCAAATCTTTGCTCTTTATAAATTACCCAGTCGGTGGTATTCTGTTACAGCAGCACAAAACAGACTAAGACAACTTCTGAATGTATACTTTTCTGTATTGTTCTGAATTTCAAACCATGGGAATATACAGAAAATTAAATGTAAATTTAAATAAAAAATATTAGCTTACAGAAGACCATTAAATACTTTTTAAAAACTTAATTCTCCAAAATGTCTGAAGTTCCCAAAAGAAACCATATTTCAAGGGCTCCCATGGTGTGGTGGAAGGCAAGTCCCAACTTTCTTGCCTTCCCCACAAGTTGGTCCCAAACCACTTACCCAGCTTCAATCCCGCAAATGTACCCTTCATTCCAGCCATTTACCAGCTGTTAATATGTGTGATAGGGTCTTATAGAGGGAAAAAAAAAAAACAAAGGGTTAGAGGTTATGAAGAGGAGACAGCCAACTACAGGTATGAAAGGGAGTATCTATAAAGAGAGATCTCCTTGGGTGAGCCTGTGTTAGGACTGAGTGGGTCCAGATACCTGAATGTTTGTGACATGGGCCCACAGACTCTTCAACAACATCAACCACAAGACAATATTAAGACTACATCCTCTACATTGGAGCTGGTCTCAGTTCTTTCACTTAGGAAAGGAGATTTCAACGCTAAGAGCCTGTAGATAGTCTCTATGAACTCCACTAGTTCAGTAAGTAGCACATTGCATTATTGGTCCTAAATTTTACCTCTCTGTATCTATACCCTTTGCCAAGTTACTAACAGTTGACCCACCTGTTTGCTTATACATTGAGTTCTGTTTTGAAAGAAAAACATTTTTTATTTCATAATTTAAAATGAATGTCTCAAAATACAAATGTTATTTGGAGGTAACTGCTATGGGCTGAATTATATACTCCGAAATTAATATGCTGAAGTCCTAACCACCAGTACCACAGAATATGACTGTATTTGGAGATAGAGGTTCTAAAAGGTTAAAGTTAAATGAAATCATTAGGGCCGGCACTAATCCAATATCACTGATCTCCTTATAAGAAGAGGAGATTAGGACACAGACAAAGACCATGAGAGGACACAGGGAGAAGACAGCCATCTACAAGCTAAGGAGAAAGACCTCAGAAGAAATCAACCATGCTGACACCTTGATCTTGGACTTCTAGCCTTCAGGACTGAGAGACAATAAATTTCTATTGTTTAGGTCACCCAGTCTGTGGCATTTGTTACTGCAGTCCTAGCAAACTAATACAGATTTTGGTACCAAGAAGTGGAGTGCTTCTTTTACAAATACCTAAAAATGTGGAAGTCACTTTGGAACTGGGTAATGGGTAGACAGTGCCTTAAACATCATACTTCTATAAGAAAGTGCATTAAGTAACAAGGTGAGGTGCCAGGAACATACCTTCTCTGGTATGGGGAAATTGAGCTCTCTGTTCCCACCATGCCTATATCTCTTCAGTTTAAAAATTGATTGTGATTCAGCCTTGGACGCTACAGATAGAGAATGGGGAACTATCCTCACACCGGTCAGTCATCAGGGCAAAGCATAGGGTTAGGTGCCAGAGCTAGTTGTCTGAGGTGAATGCTTCAAGAACTTAACCTCCAACCTAGAGTTGCCAGATAAAATTACAGGACACCCCGTTAAATTTTATTTTTTTCAGATAAATAGCTCATTTTTTAAAAAATAAAAGTACATCCCAAATAGTTCATGGAACATTCTTATATTAAAAAAGTATTTATTGTGTATTTGAAAATCGAATTTAATTCTGCATCCTGTATTTTTACTTGTTAAATCTGGATAAATATCTCTCTACTTCATTCTTGCCCAGGATTGAATCTATAATATTAATAAGAAACAGTGATGGGGTGGTTTCAGACAAACACCAGTCAAGAAAGGGGGGCAGAAGAAAAGAGATGTCACAAAATATACATTTCTTATCGACAGACGAATAAATGAAATGCGTTGTATACATACAATGGAATGTTATTCAGCCTGAAAAAGAGATGAAATTCTGAAAACATGAATGAACCTTGAAACCATTGTGCTAAATGAAATAAGCCAGACACAAAAGGACAACTTTTGCATGGTTCTACTTACAGGAGGCACCTAAAACAGGCAAATTCATAGAGATTACTAGGAGCTGTGGGTAGGGGAGGATGGAGAGCTACTATTTAATGGGTACAAAGTTTCTATTTCAGAGGATAAAAAGTTCTAGAAATGCATAGTGGTGATGGTTGCACAATATTGTAAATGTATTTAATGCCAATGAGTTGTACATTTAAAAAGAGTTAAAATGGTAAATTTTGTTGTGCATATTTTACCACAATTTAAAAAATGTACATTTCTAGAAAAGAGAATCCCCAAGCCTCCTTGCCACTAACTGGAGCAGTTTTTCACAAGCCAGTCAGTCATTTGTCAGTAAGGGATATACATCAGTTGAGAGCTAATACGTTACTTTTTAATGACTTGCATGTCTTAGTCCATTTTGTGCTGCTATAACAGAATACTGCAGACTGGGTAATTCATAAAGAGTAGAGATTTATTTCTTACAGTTCTAGAGGCTGGGAAGTCCAAAGTTGAGAGGGCTGCATCTGCTATCATCCCATGGTGGAAGGCAGAAGGGCAAGAGAGCATGTTGAGGGGGAATGGGGCCACACCTATCCTTTTATCAGGAACCTACTCCCACAATAATGGCATTAATCCATTCATGAGGGCTGGGCCCTCATGATCTAATCACCTCTTAAAAGTCCCACATCTGGGCCAGGTGTGATGGCTCATGCCTGTAATCCCACACTTTGGGAGGCCGAGACAGGCAGATCACGAGATCAGGAGTTCGAGACCACCCTGGACAACACAGTGAAACCCTGTCTCTAGTAAAAATACAAAAAAAGTAGCCAGCTATAGTGGCAGGTGCCTGTAATCCCAGCTACTCGGGAGGCTGAGGCAGGAGAATTGCTTGAACCTGAGAGGCAGAGGTTGCAGTGAGCCAAGATGGTGCAAGTGCACTCCAGCACAGGCAACAGTGCGAGACTCCGTCTCAAAAAAACAAACAAACAAAAAGGCTGGGCGTGGTGGCTCATGCCTGTAATCCCAGCACTTTGGGAGGCCAAGGTGGATGGATCACTTGAGGTCAGGAGTTCGAGACCTGCCTGACCAACATGGTGAAACCCAGTCTCTACTAAAAACACAAAAACTTAGCCGGGCGTGGTGGCGGGGCCTGTAATCCCAGCTACTTGGGAGGCTGAGGCAGGAGAATCGCTTCAACCCGGGAGATGGAGGTTAGAGTTAGCAGAGATCATGCCATTGCACTCCAACCTGGGCAACAAGAGCAAAACTCCGTCCCAAAAAAAAAAAAGGTCCCACATCTGAACACTGTTGCATTGGGGATTAAGTTTTGAACACACGAACTTTGGGGGATATATTCAGGGCATAGCAGTATATATGACTAGATCGTGCACTCCTTTTTGTTACAAAGTCATGCTTCTTTATATCTACCCCAGTGTTATGCGCATAGTAGGTGCTGAAATTACTGATTAAAACAATTAACGCCTTTGGCCATACACAGTTGTCCAGCAGTATCCACAGGGGATTGGTTCCAGGACCCACTGTGGATATCAAAATCCAAGGATTCTCAAGTCCCTTATACATAATAAAATGGTATAGTATTTGCACATAACCTATCTCCATCTTCCCGTGTATGTTAAATCATCTCTAGATTACTTATAATACAGAGTACAATGAACATGCTATATAAATACTTGATATACTGCATTGTTTAGGGAATAATGACCAAAAAAATTCTGTACATCTTCAGTACAGGTGCAGCTAATCTTTTTTTTTTTTTTTTTTTTTTTTTTGAGACAGAGTCTCACTCTGTTGCCAGGCTGGAGTGCAGTGGCGTGATCTCAGCTCACTGCAACCTCCGCCTCCTGGGTTCAAGCAATTCCCCTGCCTCAGCCTCCCAAGTAGATGGGACTACAGGCACATGCCACCACACCTGGCTAATTTTTTGTGTGTATTTTAGTAGAGGCGGGGTTTCACCATGTTGGCCAGCATGGTCTCGATCCTCTGATCTCATGATCCACCCACCTTGGCCTCCCAAAGTGCTAGGATTAAAGGCATAAGCCACCACGCCCAGCCAATCCATTTTTTTTTTTAATATTTTCTCTCCATGGACGGTTGAATCCACAAATGCAGAACCCACAGGTACAGAGGACTGACTGTGTTCCTTTTTGGTCAGTGCAAATTAGCTTATGTAAGCAGCTTCCCATCTACTGAACATTTTTACTAATGACTCATTATGACTTCTGAGTGGCTCTTCTGGACCAATTTTTACTATCTGAACAGATTTTAAGACATTACATTAAACTAGTTTCATCAAGCCTACATCACAGATAAAATCCCAAGTCCTTCTTAGACTGCTTGCTGCTATTACAGTAGCTTATAGAGCAATAAGTAATTTATACATCAAATACTTAAGAGACCGATGTCTACCAAAAGAACTTCACAAGAACTTTGAACCTGGAAAATAATATCTACAATGTTCTTGTAAATATTGATCTTTTAAGTGTTCAGGTAAAAAAAAAAATCCTCATTCCTCTATGAACCCGACATCAGATGAACGGCTATAATAAAACACAATGAAAAAAGTTTATTTTATTACATCTTTAAATATGAAAACAATATCCCCCCATATGACAACTGTGAACATAACTTATAAGAAGGAATTATCAAACTGGATTGACAAGTGAAAAACCACTGTATTAGCTGTCAGAAGATGAGTCTCTCCCCACATCATTTGTTTCCTTGTGTGTAAAAGAGATTCAAAAATATCTAACTCATCTACCTCACAAGTTTGTTTTGAGTCAGATAAGACAGAAACTTTGGAAACCTGTAAAGTACTATTCAATATTATGTTGATGCTATAAACTTCAAGAGTGAAACTGAACTTATCCCAACCATAGATAAGGAGCTAAACCATCAGCAAAACTTTTGCATTAGAAAGTCCAACATGATGTCTAATCCTTAGGAGATTATATTCATATTCCAGTAAACACATTAGATTCTAGGGCAATAATTAATAGGATAGTAAATAGGACCACGTGTCTGGACCAATTTCAATTATTTATTCAAAAAATTCACTGAAGTAACCAACATTTGGTTTGGGAGTATTTGAAGAGGGTGTTTGACATATTCAACAGATAAGAAGTACATAATTTTCTAGAGATGAATTTAAAAACCACGTTTAAAAAATATGTGAAATAACAAAGTCATCAAATAAGTTGTAGACAAGCTAGTATCTTATAAACTACATACTGTGCCAAGTACAGACAGCTATTATCTAATATGATCTTTTTCCTTCGTGGACTCTAGATACTATGGTAAAAGTTATGTTCATTAGAAGTCTGAATGTTGGAAACAATTTCTGCTAACTGAGCCAAAAATGTTAAATGGTTCCTGACATAATTGTATTGCCTTGGCCTCATCATTGTTTCATTCTAGCCAACTAAGCTGAGAGTCTCTCTCTCTTTCACTAATGACTCTCAAAAATGTAAGCAAGAATCTCCCCTTTTTTGAGAGCATGATGTAGGCAGGTAAGGACAGAATAAGTAGGAAGAGGCTTATAGAATATCAATTTCAATGTTGAAAAAGAAAGTTACAAGGATCATGGACTTATTCAATTTCTAGGAAAAAAAAATATATCCCCAGACTCCACTAAGGAAGCACAGAAAATGGTGTAAAAGTTTTGAAAATTATATTTGTTTGCCCTGAAAGATAAATAAACAGAGTTTAACACCCAACTTTGGAAGTTCTTAATGATTCTCCAATTTGGTTAGAAAATTAAATTAATTTACTTCAAGATTCTCAGGGTTTAAAGATTTATTCTTAAGAAGCTCTCTATTTGAATTGTTATTGTTGAGGACAGATTTAAAATGCATTAGGTATATTCAGAAAACTAAACGGAAAAATAACAACACTAATTAGGCTGACCCTCCTGCCTCCAGAAAGTTAAGATATATGTTTGACAGGTAATTAAATGCAATATTCTAAAATGGGAGTGAAATCAACAGAGAATCTCAGCAGAATACCAATAGCGGAGCAGCTTATGTTTCTCTTACGTTCTCTGACTCCCACAGAATGTTTTCCACTAAAGTGCCACTAAAATGGATATTAGAACCACTGCCAAAACAAAGAGCTTCTCCTTGGGAATAATGCATATTTTGCATATGGTTACTGAGGTAATTTGGTGCTGAAAAAATCATGAGCTTTAACATTTTATACACAGGGGCCCAAATTCTGGTTTTGTCACTTACCAGCTTGTGATGCTGAGTTACTTAATCTCTTCAATTTTCGAGTTTTTTCTTCTGTAAAATGTAGACAACAATATCTACCTTGCAAGACTGTTAGGAGAAAAGGAAGTTTTATAAATATTTATATAGCCCATTACAGTGCTGGAGCATAATATATTCACAATAAAAGTTTTTGAACTGCATACATGGTAAGAATGTCAATCTCAGAAGTAATCCCTGAAAGAGAACATCATAATTACAATGATAATAGCTATTATTTTCCTGAAAAGGATGTAGTTAACTTCTCTTGGGACTATTATTAGTGCTAACACAGATCTAACTTTGCTCTGAGCACTCAGGCCCCAACCATAAGCAGATTTAATCCACATCATTATTCTCTTTTAAAAGGGTTACAATAGTATGAAACATTGAAGGTTTTGATTGGATAACTAAAGGGATTTTTTACCTGCTGTGATTCTAATTGGCTGAGAGGAAACAATAAACCAATCACATGTAGGTTGACCTACAAAACTCATTTTCCAACCAAAAACAAATGGACATTTTAGAAAAAGAATATCATCTCCAAATGGGAGGAGAGAGTTGTGTTTTTCCGTCACATTAATCGTTTCCCTCCTGTTGTATTTCTTTAGGACCACTCGGAATAAGATTTGCAAATAAAATGAAAAAGGAATGCTCGTGCCTCATTTAAGGGCTTGCAAAATGCTAATGAAATTTTTGAACTCAAAAAATCCTCATAGAAATAAAAAAAATTAAAAGGAAATCCACAAAAATTAATCAAGATAAGTGCAGAAAAAAAGTTCAGAGACTGAATACATATTATATGTCAATGAATAGGTCTGCTTGGGTTTAACACAATAAAAAAAAAAGTCTGGCCTATTTGTGGTGATTTCCTTTGGTGTGAGCATGGACAAATTTTCTCTCCACTAAGAATGGGTTCTTTTATTCTCAGTTTCATTCAGGTAATAGTGGACTCAACTTTCCTTAGTATTGTGGAATACCATGCTGGGGAAATGGCTTCAAATAATGAGCACTGGGCTGGTGAATGAAATGCTGCTCATGTTTACACTGGCACACAGGCACAAACAAAAGCTCCAGCACACCAGCAGCATTCTGCTGATCTGCTGATTTTCTCCGATATGGTTCCTGCGGAGACACAATAACAAGGGAAAACAACAAAAAGTCAGCTAAAAGATCTGTTATGTGGATGGCGAGCAAAGTCTTTTCAAAATAAGACTATAATATGTTCATATAGTGCTGAAATTCACCCATACTGGTCAAAATAATTCATAAAGATGAAGTTTCAGCCAGGCGCAGTGGTTCACGCCTGTAATCACAGCACTTTGGGAAGCCAAGGCAGGTGGATAACCTGAGGTCAGGAATTCGAGACCAGCCTGGCCAACCTGGTGAAACCCTGTCTCTACTAAAAACACAAAAAAATTAGCTGGGTGTGGTGGCAGGCACCTGTAATCTCAGCTACTCGGGAGGCTGAGGCAAGAGAATAACTTGAACCCAGGAGGCGGAAGTTGCAGTGAGCCGAGATCACACCATTGCACTCCAGCCTGGATGACAGAGCGAGACTCCATCTCAAAAAAAAAAAAAAAGAAGTTTCAAGTCTATTGGAAATATTGCCACAGGGAACTCTATTGGTGCACATCAAATAATAGAGTCCAAGTGCGTTAGCCAGTCTAAAGGAGATGTTCATTATCTGTGCTACCCCATTCTGCCCACCCTTCTTACCCACTACCCTACTGAAAGGTATTGCTGGAGGCAGCCAGTAGTAGGTCACGTGGCCAGAAGTGGTCACAGTTCATAACGGACATGTAGTGTAAAACATGAACAGGGTCATTTTATGATCTGTGAACTTCACCACTATCCTCCCCACAACTTTTTATGAAACAATCACAATTTTAGATTAATTTATGAGATTTCCTATTAGAAGACTGAAGTCAATACCAGGTATCTAATTGACCTTCCCATCCAAGAGAACATTAATTTTATATTAGCATTTATTAGAGATTAAATTCCCATAAGCTTTAGAAGAAAGTAAAAGAAATGATCTAACCTGGGATTCCCTTAATTAGTTATAAGGTTTTGTATTTCTAAAAATAGCCTTGAACCAAAGCCTTCAACATCAGTTACCAGAATGGAAGGCACAGCACATTTTGCAGTGATTTGTTTTGATATCTCAGTAATGAATCAACAGCATTGCAGCATGCCATGGTGCTGGTAGGTACATTACAAAAAGAAGTCTAGGTGTAGGGAAATGGCTGGCCTTAACCCTCAAATTGTTAATGGAATAAAAGTAAAAGCAACAGAAAAAGCCACATAATGAATTTAATGACACTCAAATCACTTGGTCTCTGCTGGATGCCACGGGCCTCCCTCTAAACATCCTATTCATGCCCCTCACAATACCAGCAGCATCACCAACAATTTTCAATTTGCCCTGATTCTTTGGACCAATTCTTCCATTCAATCACTGGAACTGAGAGTTGGAACAAAGGTAAGTTAATGACTCAAAATAGTTTTTTCTTTAATTTATATGTCACTTCTTCCCCTGCCACCATGACTCTCCCCTCCCCACTACCCAACTCCTATCTTCCTTTCTATATTTACGTATTAGGTAGAGGAAAGTTTAAAGAGAAATGGAATGGAAGGGCTGGGAGGAGGAGAGAAATTAAGGCCCAGTACCAGAACCTGCAATATCATTCCACCGATGACATGCAGATGGGAAAAAACTAGAAAATAATTCATCAGTGAAACCACACTGGGAAGCAGTCTTGACCTTAGATGACAGAATTTGAATTCAAATACTCCTATCTGGAAAAGCAATGAAACCTAAGGGAAATTAAGTGTAATAAAGATTATAAGGAGTGGATTCATCAGCCATCTTTTAGTTGCAATTGACAAAAATCTAATGCAAGGTAGCTAAAACAAAAATAAATGAGATTTTTTTCTAATTATGTAATTAAAAGGCAAGGGAGAGTCTAGCTTCAGGAGTGGTTTGAACCAGGAGCTCAAACACCATCTTTAGGATTCCTTCTCTATCTCTGCATTCTTCAGCTCTATTTTTCTCAGTAGGTTCTTTCCTGTCTTTCATCCTAACAACTCAACTGACCCAGTAGAAGAAAAAGAAAACTTCACATTCTGAATATTGCCAAAACAAACAAACAAAAAACCACCCAGGTGTGAGTCCCACTGGTCACCACCCAAAATTTCATGGCTTAAGAATTTTCCAAAGGAAAATTAAAGCGCTATTACCTCAATCAGAGGAATGGACACAAGGCAGGACAAAGCACAAGCTATTCACCGACATAGGGCTACATGCATAAGGAGGAAAAGTCATCCAGATATATATAATTTAGTTACCATAACAGAAATAGCAAATTGATGCCCAGTATCTGATTTTTCTTTCTTTCTTTCTTTTGGTAATAGCCTCCCCAAATTTCATCTGATACATGACTACCCTTACAGCTAGGTGTAGCTGTTTGACTAACTTTGGGCTGACGGGATGTGAAAGTCTCACATGCAACTTTCAAATCATCATCTCAGAGATGAATATATTTCCAGGATCTAGATCCACAACTACAACTGTCACCTTGGACCAAGATCTGGAAACCGCATACTGAAGATGGCAAAGTTGACCCACTAGCCTGGGTCACTGAATGGCCTGGTGGAATAGAAACATTTGCCCAACGTAAACAACTTATCTACCTTTAGACTTTTATCTGAGCAGAAATAAGGACCTTATCTATCTATCTTATATGTCTTACTTAAGCCACTGTATTTTGGGGTTATCTTCTGTTTAACCTGCACCCCAACTAACACACTAAAAGACTCACTCTGGCCAAGTTCTAGAGAAAAATAGCCAAAAGTGCTTTAAAGTAATAGATCCATAAGGTTTGTGAGTACATTTTATTACATATGTAGTATTTTATGTAACCACAATATCGGGATATATAATAAGAACATATTTCTTAATCTTGATAATGTTAGCTCCTTACACAAGTAAAAAGATAATAGTTATCTCTGGGTTATAGATTAAACATTGTTTTTACTCTCTTCTTCCTGCTTGTCTTCACTTTGTAATTTTTCTAACATTAACTTATAATATGTTTGAAGTAACAAAGAGGTTATTATGAATCTTACATAAGGGAAGAAAATGGCTTTCCAAGAGTATTCTATTTGGGAAATTAAGGTACACATACAGCTTGGTAAGAGATGATATAGCACTGGTCAAGGGCCAAGGAAATAATCTCAGATACCACGGCAAAAATGGCCACATATTATTTACATTTGTGTATCCATACTCCTTTCCAATATGACTTTGTAACTCCTCCCATCAAGAACTGGAACCTATTCCTCTACCCATTGAAATCTGAGTTTGGCCATGTGACTTGCTTTGGCCAATGGGATATTAGCAAATGTAATGTAAGCCAAAGCTTGAAAAGTATTTGTACATTGGATTTTGCTCTTTTTGCTGCTCTTGGGAACCCTGAAAACACCACATGTGATCAAGCCTAGGCTAGCCTGCTGGATGACGACATATGCCTAAGTCATCCCTGTTACCCCAGATGACATCAAGCCAACCACCAGACATGCTGAATGAGGCCATACTAGACCATACAGTCCTGGCCATGCTGGTCCATACCAGAAGAGTCACCCAAATGATCCACAGAAGAAGTCCATAGCATTGGTTGAAAGCCACTAAGATTTTGTGGTTGATTGTTCTACACCCTGCTCAATCCAGGATCTCCTCTAGTTTAATCATGTTAAAGAGTAAAGTACATATTGTACAGGTTTTTTGTTTTTTGCTTGTTGTTGTTGTTGTTTTTGCTTTTTTGAGACAGACTCTAGCTCTGTCGCCCAGGCTGGAGTGCAGTTGCACAACCACGGCTCACTGCAACCTCCACCTCCTGGGTTCAAGCCATTCTCCTGCCTCAGCTTCCCGAGTAGCTGGGACTACAGGCGCCCGCCACCACGCCCGGCTAATTTTTTTTTTTTTTTGTATTTTTAGTAGACACAGGGTTTCACCATGTTAGCCAGGATGTTCTCGATCTCCTGACCTCGTGATCCACCCTCCTTGGCCCCCCAAAGTGCTGGGATTACAGGCGTGAGCCACCACACCCAGCCTTCTACAGGCCTTATTGGTAAAATGATGAATTTACCAGTGAATACATATCACTGTTTGAGTTCATTTGACCAAAAGCATAGAAAAAATATGACTAAAGCAGGATTTAAACATTGAAAGCAATAGATAATAGCGATAACAAATGAGGCGTTTTTTAAGTTACAAGGTTCATGTAGCATTATACAACATTTTCAAAATTCTTGGAGAAATGTAATGGGAAGGAGGCTCATGGATACTTTAAATAGGAAAGGAATTTAGAATTCATATGATTCATGCACCTTGCTCTACAGTGGTGGAAACTGAGACTTAGAAAGGTATGTTGGTTTCCTATGTTTTACACAATCTATACCAACTCCACAAAATGTTTCACTGGATTGTGAAGGCTTCTTGATTCTAACTCCAAGTTGTAGGACAATTTCAGAACCTCAGGAATGATGGGTTCAGAATTTTGAATCAGAACACCGTCTGACACTTAGTAAGAGCTCAACACATGAAGATCACAACAAGCAGGTAGTTTGTGTGACAAGTTCACAGTTAATCCAAGGAGCTCTCCATAAACATGGGCTCACTTCCAAAATAGCATCCTTGTGATCTTCCTCCAAAATACAGCCAAAAAGAAAATCTAAGGTAAACGCAATTTTGAAAGTTGGGAGAATAGATGCATTTTTATTGGCAATTAGAGATAACAGGAACTTTTTAAAAGCCTTAGATTTCTTTTCTGTCACACACACTTGATGAAAATATGTACATATGAAATGCAAATCCTCTAGAATTGCACATTCAGTTTATTGCTGTAAACCAATTACCTCAAAACTCAGTGGCTTAAACCATCAACAATATATTATTAGACACAATTCTGCAGGTAGACTGGGTGATGTTTTTTGGGTTTTTTGTTGTTGTTGTTGTTGTTGTTTGTTTTTTGCTGATCTATCTAGGACTTATTCACGCAGCTATACTTAAGCAGCAGGTCAGCTGGTGACTGAGTTCAGCTGGGACAGATGGCATAGCTGAACTTCTCTTTCCCTCCATGTGGCCCTTCATCTAAGACGTCTTTATGGAATGGTGGTCCCAGGGCAGTGGTCAAAGAGGATGAAGGCTCTGGAACTCCCACATAACATTCCACTGGTCAAAGGAGGCTACATGGCCAACCCAGACTCAAAGGATGGGACAATATACTCCATTTTTTGATGAGGTGAACTGCAAAACACTGTAGCTGTGCTTTTGAACCTACCACAAACAATTCTGATCCAGGCTCAAATATCCACTTTTCTACCATTTACACCTAATGAAAAATTACAGAGCTGAAATGAAAATCCCCTAGAATTGCACATATAATCTTTCAGCTGCACCAAACTCAAATCTTTCTGCAGGAGAGATACTGTGGTATTTGCCTTATTGTGATTATCAAATGCATTAATAACCTTCCTAAACAAGATGCTGCATTAGGAATTATACTGAATAGTTATCACTATCAGTCATTTCCAAGGTGATTATAAATAATATCACTGATACGCAATGCCACAAAAGGAAGAAATGCTAGAGTCTTTTCCATCTAGATGGATTTAAGATTTGAATGTTTAAAAACGTACCGATAGGAAATATAGGTGAAGCTTTTCAAAAATAATCTTTAGGTTAAGATCTTCCTAAGCATGACCCGCAGGCAGAAACCACAGATGAAAAGATTAATAGATTTGAACATATGCAAATTTAAGATTCTGTATGACATAAATATATCACATTAAACAAACAATAAAAATAACAATTACTTATAGTGTTTACTAAGCACCAAGCGCCATTCTAAGTACTTTGCATATTTTAATTCATTTGATCCTTACAATAGCCCTATGAGGTAGATACTATTAGGTGAGCAAACTAAGGCACAAAACAGTTATATTAGATAACAAACTCATCTGGTAAGTGACGGAACCACAATATTTGAACCCAAGCAGTCTTGGCTCCAGGGTCTAAATTCTAAATCACTGAGCTCTACAGAAAAGTGGGGAAACACAAGCAAAATACATATGATGAAAGCTTAGGATCACTGAAATGTTCAGAATTCATGCAAATGAAAAACAAACAGAAAAATACACCATTTTCTATGGACAAGGCCTATGAACAGACAATTCACAAAAGGGAAATGTAAATAACCTATAAAATAGGAAAAACATTCACCCTCACTAGGAATTGTAAGAACTCTAACAAGATACCATTTGTCTTCTGGCCAATTTTTAAAAGACAAAAAAATGATAATGCCCGTGGATATTATCTCCTTGTTGGTGGTAAGATAAATTGGTAAAAGATTCCTGGAGGATTATTTGAAGATATATATATATATTCTTCATACACACACACACACACACACACACACATATATATATATACACCATTCAACCATTCAAATATGCATAAAGTTTGATCCAGCAATTTTACTTCTAGTAACTTTCCCATAGAAATAATCACGCAAGCACATGAAATGTAGGTTAAAGAAATTTATCATAGAACTGTTCACAATATTTATAAAAATATGAGAAAATGGAAGATTGACTAAATGCTATAGTTCATCCATTAATTGAATACTAGTTACCTTTTAAAAACAATGATGCATATTTATATTTACTGACATGCAAAAGGGGTCGTGAGATACTATTAAGGAAAGCAGAAGGGTTACAAAACTGTATAAAGAGTATAATCTCATTCTTTAAAATCTGTATATACATAGATTGTATATTCTCTATGGGTCATGGGGGTTTTTTATACCTTTATAATGTTATACTTTAGTTTCTGCATTCCTCTTCATGTATGACTTCTATAATCATAAAAAATGCCAATCACCTTATTTCTAATAAGTTTAGGGAACTGAAACTCTTCCCAAGCCCTATAATAATTCTCTTTAGAAAAACCTACAAGCAAGATGACTTTTTTGTTTCCCATCTCAGTGAACACCTATGTGATTGATTTTGCTAGAAACACAGGGAGAACATTTACTATTACACAGTAAGGGCAGTTTGATAGTCAGAACTACCCAGGGGTCATTGCCTCGTGGCCTCCAACACCATATCTCCTGCCTGGTCAGCTTTCTAATCACCAGTCATCTCAGAGCTGAAAATAATGATAGAGATGACATATCACAGCCCCCCCAGAGCTCATGAGCCAATGCAATTCAAGGGGGAAAAAAATCAGCCCAGTAATATATACTATCAAACGGGTTTGGGGAGAGAGGATGAGAGCCCAGGAAAACTCACTTCATAAGTGCAGGCAATTAACAGTCACCACATTGCAGGCCTTCTTAAGCAAAGATGTCACATGCTCCAAGTCAGGGACAGTCAGAAGCTGCAGAATGTCCTCGCCTGCTGACTGATGAAAATGACTGACGCTGGGGCGCCAGCTGAAAAATCAATTATTCACATCTACTAGGCAGTTGCCCCCTATGAGCAGCGGCAGGTCGCAGGAAGGGGAGATTGTTGTGGTTTGTTTTTAACATGCACTATCCATTTCTCTGGTCTTCGAGCTCCACAATAGCAAAATCAATAGGCTGCTCCAAAGTAAGAAACAGACAGACAAATTGGGCACCAGCTGCATTTCAAGCACCTGGAAACTTTCTAACAACGCCCATAGACAAACGGCAAGGGGGAAGAATCTTCATCCCACCATCATCATTGCCCATATTTGGTGCCTTTCCTATCTCCCACAGTAATAAGGAGAACCCAAAGGTTTTTGTTATTCCTAATCGTTAGTTCACTTTTGCTAAAAATGGAAAATAGGTATTCATGCTCAAAAGGCACCTCAGCTGGTTTTCATCCTTTCATCCATCTCATCTCATTGTCTTATGTCATGCTGGCTGAAAACGCCTCTTTTTAGTTGTTTTTTCAAAGAGCGAAACCAAATAAGGCTAAGAAGTTTGGAAAACTCATTTCAGTACTTGCCAAACCTTGTGAAATAAAGAAAACATGAAGCTTGCTTTCTCAAATCATTTATGTTTTAAATGTATTTTAGGAAAATATTTATTTGTATGGTTCTAATGTCTGCTTCTCTTTATAAATGAAAGCCATGCAATTGTGGGGGTGTAAAATGGTACCAACATTTTGGAAAACAGTTTGGCAGTTTCTTATAAGTATAACCTTACCATAAGACCCAGAAGTCCCACTCCTGGATGAAATAAAAAATTTATGTTCACATAAAAACCCCTTGTATGACTGCTTATAGAAGCTTTATTCATAATATCCAAAAACTGGAAACAATGGAAATTTCCCTCCCCTGGGGAATGGGAAATTGGCAAACAAACTGTTTTATATAAATGGAAAGAAATATTGGTCAGTAACAAAAAGGAACAAACTACTAACACATGCAAAGACATGGATAAATCTCATATTTCACTAAGTGAAAGAAGCCAGACTTAAATGTTACAAACTGTATGATTCCATTTATATGACATTCTAGATAAGGAAAAATTATAAAGACAGAAAACAGATCAGTGGTTGACAGCAGTTGCCGGTGGGGAGGAGAAGCTGACTACAAATGGGCAGTGGGCAGGGGAGTCATTTGTAGTGATGGAACTATTTTTTATCTTGATTGTGGTAGAGGTTGTATGACTCTATGTGTTTGTCAAAACTGACAGTTTTCCACCAGAAGAGCGAATTTTACTGTATGTAAATTGTACTTTCATTTTAAAAAATGAAGTAGGAAAAAGAACTCAAGTAACTCCTCTACAGTGATAAACTACTTTATCTCTCATCCCAATACATTTCCCTACTGTTTTAACTTCCTTGCTTATGCGGCATTCTCCCCTGTTAAATCCACATTACAGTTGCAATGCAATTTGGAGCTGGAGTGGACAGGACTCTCCAGGTCATATCCCTCCTTGTAAGCCTCTATTACCATGGACAGAGACACTAGCCAAGGCCAGTGTGGATTTAAAAAAAAAAAAAAATGAATTCACGGCCAGGTGCAGTGGCTCGCGCCTGTAATCCCAGCACTTTGGGAGGCCGAGGCAGGTGGATCACGAGGTCAGGAGATCGAGACCATCCTGGCTAACACGGTGAAACCCCATCTCTACTAAAAATACAAAAAATTAGCCGGGCATGGTGGCGGGTGCCTGTAGTCCCAGCTACTCAGGAGGCTGAGGCAGGAGAATGGCGTGAACCTGGGAGGCGGAGCTTGCAGTGAGCCGAGATCGTGCCACTGCACTCCAGCCTGGGCGACAGCAGAGAGAGACTCTGTCTCAAAAAAAAAAAAAAAAAAAAGAATTCACGGCCAGGCTCGGTGGCTCACGCCTGTAATCCCAGCACTTTGGGAGGCCAAGGTGGGCAGATCACCTGAGGTCAGGAGTTCAAGACCAGCCTGACCAACATGGAGAAACCCCATCTCTACTAAAAATACAAAATTAGCCGGGCATGGTGGTGCATGCCTGTAATCCCAGCTACTCGGGAGGCTGAGGCAGCAGAATCACTTGAACTTGGGAGGCGGAGGTTGCCGTAAGCCGAGATCGCGCCATTGCACTTCAGCCTAGGCAACAAGACTGAAACTCCACTTCAAAAAAGAAAAGAAAAAAGAATTCGTGGCTGCTCAAATCTCAATGCCTTTCTTCCAAAAGCTCCCTGAAAGGGTTAGAACAAACAGGCAGGGATGCCATGTAGATAGAGTACTAGACTAAAAAAATCCAGGGTACTCAGTGGAGTCTTAACAAATCTGACACCAATTCACAATATGATTCAATACAAATTACTTCACATTTATACCTGTCAAGGTCTCAGCAGGAAAAAACTCAAGTCAGGTGGCTCAAGAGACTTCCAGAAGCACAGACGGGGGAAGGGAATCAATAAGGGGTGTTGAAACATCCAGACATTTGTAATAATTGGAAGCTATTACCACCCTCAGTCCGGAAAATGCAAGAGGAGGAAGTGATGGTTCTACAGGGACCCAGTGATATAAGAAGCTGTGGTCATGAAAGACTGACCAAAAGCCAAAATCACAGCCCCAAACAGGAAAACAGTAGAGAAGAAATAGTCTACCATTTCTCTCCTCCCCTCCCTAATTTTTTATCGGTGCCTCTCATTGGCTAAACCCGACAGAAGGCCAGCTGGAAAGGGAGCATAAGCAATGCAGGCCTTAGTGGTCAGCCTCCAGAGTGCAACTCAGGGAAGAGAGGAACAGAGAATGGATTCTAGAAGGAATGGAATGGAAAGGACGAACTAAGAACAACAAGGACCTCATTCTTCATTAAAGCCATGTAGTTTCAGAACTTCTAAAATCCTTGATGTTTAAATAGTCTATAAATGTACCTGATAGTCAAATGTTCAAGCCCCCCTCCATGTTCCCTAGGAACCACACTTTCACATAGAGTAATTCCTATTTCCTCACTAATGCAATTGCCTTCAACCATTGGGCTAAAGTCTGTCTTTCATCCTAAATCAAACGCTACCCAGTGGTGGATGGTAAATATCCTTAGTCAAGCAGAACTCCTTTAGAAGAATTCCAGTTGCCTACCAAAACTTTAACCAACGTGCTTGAAAGGAGTAAGTATATGAATAAATTCTTATAATTAAAGAGTTAAAAATCCTAGAGATTTACTCTAGAAAACTGTGCAGCCATCTGGAAGGGCTTCCTTCCTCACTCTATCATCTCGAAATACAGAATTATGGATCTATCTCAAAATGTAGAATTATGAATATAGATATGAATAGAATATATACATGAAGCAGAAATACTCTGGAATCCTCCTTCAATTTTTTAATTTATTTTTTACTCTGCATTCAATGTATGCCTGTCCTCACTTCATAACTCTTTAAGGGGGTGTGTGTACATACACACAAACACACACAGAGAAAGTTCCAGAACTAAAACACAAACTACACAGCAAACTAGGTCACTTATAGATAAACATGGTCTGTTTTCAGTCCTTAGAGCACTGCTTAGGACTTATGAATTATGAGACCTGCTTTACTTTGATATTTTTTCACAATCCCCCAAGTGATACTCTTTATTCTTTTCTTACACTCAGAAAACTATTTTATCTCTGTGTATGTTTCAGCTGCAATGGGAATGAAAAACAACTCTGCAACATGAGAAAGAGAGCTATAAAGCGAGGTGAGCCAAGCACAGCCTTAAGAAATGTAACCTCTTGTTGTGCTCCTAAATCCACAAACTATATTCAGCATGGCACTGGTGTTGCCACCCAACAAAACATAAGCCTTGAAGCTCCCCTACTGAACTCTAAGTGGTAGTCATGTTTAGGGTGCTTCTTGAGAGGATATAAGTAGTAATGAGGCTATTCACTCTCTGTCAAAACTCTAATGCTCTTCATCCATGAGGCATTGAGTTGTTAGACTGATGCTGTTTTAAGTCTAACAACGCATTAAGGAGGTCATCTGGAGTTTCCAAATTGAAAGAAGGGGGCTAAGTAACATGTGAATTGCTAACACCTTTACAAGTTAGGGTCCTTCTTCAATTTAAAGACTGCCAGAATCTACTCCCAGGAAACACGGTCAATCAGTGGCTGGGTTTGAGCTACACTGACTTCTGAGCAGTTCCATATAGGGTGACTAACCAACTGGCTCATTTGCCTCACCGTATGAAGGTAGAGGGCCTCTGGCAATATTCAAAGGGCTGCACTGAGCAGATTCTCAATATCATGAATGACTGATACTCTGACCTATCTGTGAGGCCTGAGGCAAAAGGGAAAAATAGACTTTTCGTGCAAGTCTTTCCACCTTTCTGAATTGCCTTTCCTTGTACTTTCAGCCACTCTTTGCCTCTCCTCCCCATCCTTCCCTCATAATGATCTATGGCTCTCCAAGGTCCCAATCTGCAGGACACCCATCAGTGGCTATCCTTTCCCCAGAGAGTTCCTCAATCCAAAATAATTTCCTTCTCCCTAACACCCCATAAGATGCAGATGATGGAGAAACTTAATACTCTCCAGCGATAGCTGAATTTTCAGGTGAAAATTGTAAAACGAAAATATCACTCGATCTCGGCTCACTGCAACCTCCACCTCCTGGGTTCAAGAGATTCTCCTGCCTCAGCCTCCCAAGTAGCTGGGACTACAGGTGCGTGCCACCACACCTGGCTAATCTTTTTGTATTTTTTAGTAGAGACGGGGTTTCACCATGTTGGCCAGGATGGTCTCAATCTCCTGACCTCATGATCTGCTCACCTTGGCCTCCCAAAGTGCTGGGATTACAGGCGTGAGCCACCACGCCTGGCCCCCCATTTCTACTTTATGAATAAGGTTTTAATGAGGTCATTAAATCTATTCCAACAAATTATGTTAAAATTTCATTTCTGGAAATGAGTTTATCAAATGTTTGTCTCTAAGCTCCAAATTTATGCCACTAATTACATTATTTCAAGTTAATGTATTTTAATTAATCCCTCTAACTTTGGGGATCTTATCTTTTTCTTGTAATTATCCAGTTTTACTTCATGTAATCTATCTTAAATACTTCTTTAGAATACGATATAAGTAAATGTCAATAAGAATATAATTATTCTGATTCTAGCAACCAGAATGGAGTTAAATGCTCATATGGGGGTAAGATATTAACTCTTAAGCTGTGAGAGGACTCAGGGCTGAAAAAGCTAATGTATCAATAAAATGTTAACACCTTACTCTGTAGAATTGGACTCACCAGCTATTACAACTCACGCATGTTAAACAGGGTGACCTTTAGAAAGCTGTCCCATACTGAACTATCAACTCTCTTCCTTGATAGACGTCTCCATTTAAAAGGATATCACAACTTCCCAAATGACTCCATCCCATTCCTACTGACAGTATCAGAATGCAGGAAGACCACCATACATCATTTCTTGTTGTGTTGGGTGCTTTTTGAAAGAGGGAGCAAGACTGGCAAACAGCTCCTGAAAATCTATTAAATAATTCTATCAACAAAATGCAGAATAAGCTTGAAAAATAATGAGACCATTGCTGAATGAGGCAGATGGCTTGGCAACCCTAAAAGACTAACATCAAACAAACATTCATCTGAGTCTTCATCTAGCTTCACTAAATTAGTATGTGAATTCAAACATTTGTCTTTTGACATTTCTTTCCCAGTGATGGGAACTATATGAGTAAGGACCACTAGGCAAGAAGAGGAGGAAATGTTAGCCAAAGAAAATGGCATTTGTAAGTCATGCTGACACTAAGCCTTATGGCTTAGTATAATAGAAACTATTGGAGACCTTCCATCTATACCTCAAAGGCCTAAGGACATATTGAGTTCTTCCCTCGAGTGCAATTATCCATAATTATTGCCCCAAGTTCTTCAAACTTTGCCACCACATTATTTGTGCATTGAAGTAGAATCCTTGCAATGCTATTGGTGAACTGATCTTCAATGATATATGTACTTGCAAACAGGAAAAACAGACTTTTACTCTTTATGAACGTTCATGGAAGGGCGGGAGTTGGAGGGAGAAAATCTCTTGTTAATATCATATGAGGGATACAGTCATATTTTTAAAAACACAGCTCTCAAAGAGCTTAATATTTAGAGAGACATTGGCCACCAAACTATGCAAAGACTATACTAAAGATGTGTGTGTGTGTATATGTGTGTGTAAAATCTAAGATTTTACTTAGATAAATAAAATACAAAAAATGAAAAGTTCAAAAATTAAAAGTTTAACACTTGAATATTTATAGAAGACCATAAAAGACAATTAGCGGTTTAAAAAAAATGAAGCCACTACAAAGGAAAGGATTCACCATTTACGCTGGAAAAGTCCATAATCTCTCTTTGAAATCACTCACTGTGAAAATAAAAGACATTCAAAATGCATCAATAGAATATCTGAGTAGGATTAAAGGCACATTAAAAAGACTAGCTTTATTCTCTTTTCAGGGCTGTCAGTCAAAAATATTCCTGTGATACTGGAAAAAAAATCCCTCTAATCACCTCACAAAATTCATAACCCTAACAAGAAATAATATGATGATTCATAAGCAAAGAATATTGACACATGATGTGAAGCTGTCTTCAGTGAAGTAGTACTTTCTGGTTTCACAACAACTGAACTACTTGTAAAAGGAAGAAAGGAATTACAGCCTTTCTTCCCAATCTCCAAGTTGGCCTTCCATGCTAGAATCTGGGCCAAAAAAACCTGAAAGACTCACCCAAGTGATTATAAGAGCTAATTGATTTTTCAATAATCAAGGTGAGGGATTCTTGCTCTAGCATTTTGATGTGCACCTTCCTGAATCTCATCTCTTGCACAACTAAATGAAATGAATTGCCTTTTTGTTTGTAAAATGTAAAAAGTTCATCTTTGTCTTTCCCTGCACTAAAGGAGAATAGGCAAAAAAAAATGAAAAATCTTTCTTTATAATCAATTGGAAAATATTTTTAAATAACATATTCATAATATTGAGCTATCTGAAACAATCTAAATGTCCAACAATGGGAGGTATTTACACGTATTGTGGTATATCCACTTGATTCAATGCCATTTGTGAAGTATTTTAGTGGAATGAGAAGTCTTTTTATATTTTGATAGAAAGTAAAAACAGAGGTCAGCTTGATGGGTGTGTGCAGGGGTCATTACTGCTGTTTGCCAAATTTTTCTATTTCTCTCATTTTCTGACCACATGGTACAATGGCACTTCCTGGCCCACATGAGTAGTTCCAGACACTAAGTCGTTGAGTGAAAGTGGTATTGGTCACCTCAGACCAGAACATGCAATTTCTGAGGTAAGAGCCTCCAGAGCTTTTTTCCCCTCTGCCACAGCAGCTTCCAGGTAATGGCTTCTTATCAGCCCAAGGAGTGAGAAAATGGCACTACGAAGCAGGGTGCTCAATGCATCTATGACAGACTTGAAGCATGAATGAGGAACAAATCTTTGTTGCTTAAACTCACTGAGATTGAGGGCTGTATATTACAGCAGCATATCCTAGTCTTTTCTTACAATTACAGGGTATGTATTTTATAGTATCAAAGGAAAATTTACCTAGAAGGAAATACACTAAAATGTTAATGTATAGTAAATACCCTTGGGTTGGTCATCGACAAATTTTTATTAACTTTCTACAGTTTCCATATTTTTTATAGTGAGCATTTAATAACTTTATAATCAGAAAAGAAGACTTCACATGTTTCCAAAATGGTAAGATAAATTACAGAGTCTTTAAAATGTCTTCCATATTTGCCAGTTAGGTAAATGAGGCCAGCTTTTACCCTGAAGCTCTCATGTGAAACACACTTTTTCCAGTATCACCCAAACTGCTGTTTCTCATCCTTTCAAAACCCATATGACCTGCCAAATCAAGAAGTTGTTTCCCCATTTTAACTCAAAAAATGTCTAAAACATCCTCTGCATATGGAGTTATTAGTCAAAGACTAAAATTACAAAGAGTTTCTTGCTTTAGCTCTATTTCTCAGGGAACAAGGAACCAATAAAGGAGGGGTTAATAGATAAAAGGCTTTTCCTCTAGATACCAATTGTGTTACATCGATTATAATGTAAAACTCATGTGTATAGAAATTCACTTGACAGCTACTAAACAAGACAGCATGAATAAGAGTAATCTAATATATACTAATTTCAACAGAGAAAATAAATGTTTGTGGGAGGGGGAAGTTTAAAGTGGCATTTAGATGTAAGTACTATTGTAAGTATTATTTCACACTAAGTTCCCACTGTGCTTCATACAATGCCCTGCACACAGTAAATAGTCAAGTGGTTTAGTGGAAAGAACATTGGATTGGAAGTCAAGAGGCCTGGATTCTTGCTCCAGCTTCACCACTATGTAATTAGCCAACTTTTAATCTATCATTTTATCCATTTCCTCATCTGTAAATTAGGAATTGAATCTACCTCACCTGCCTCAGAGGACTGTGTGAAGATAATAACAGAAGGAATGGTAATAAATGTTTTTATTTAAATTATAAAGTATGTTGGGGATGACTAACTTATCCCCTTTATATAATCGTGTTATACAAAGAAAACCTTTGTTGTGATATTTCATCTCATCACTGAGATCAACTATAATCAAATTCTATCTGCTTCTGTAAGTAAATATCAGGACATGAAATGGTTTGGGTGTTAATAAAGCATCAAAGATATTGGAAGGGCTGCTCTCCAAATTATTGTAAATTCCTACTTACATAAGTGAGAGCTAAATGATGAGAACATATGGACACATAGAGGGGAACATCAGACACCGCAGCCAACCAGAGGGTGCAGGTTTAAAGGAGAAAAAGGATCAGGAAAGATAACTAATGGGTACTAGGCTTAATACCAGGGTGACGAAGTAATCTGTACAACAACTCCAATGACACAAGTGTACCTATGTAATAAATCTGCACAAGTACCCCTGAACTTCAAAGTTTTTTAAAAATAAATTATAAAATAAAGAAATTCCTACTTACGACAATAAAAACATGCCCTATTCTGAGAATCAAGCCACAGTAGTTGTTTAGGGTTTTGACAATTGGCACAACTCAGAGGACCAAGCAGGAACTCTGTTTCTTCTACCAGACTCCCACTGCTGAAAGTTACAGCCCCTCTCTTTCCACGCAGAGGAGTGGTGCTGGCAAATTCAAAATAATTCATTTTTGTTTCTACCTTGATTGACAAAAAAAAAAAAAAAACACTGGAAAGCGTTAAGAGTGACACGAGTGAACTGAAAAGACTTTGGACTGAAGGCCAAGGAAGCCAGCAGTGCCAAAGCCTGGAAAATCATCAGAACATAAACCACACAATGCTGGTTTACTTTGCACCAGGGATCAGCAAACTGTTTTTTCTATAAAGGGCCAGAGAGTAAATATTTTAGTCCTTGTAGCCCCTGCAGTCTCTATCGCAACTACTCAACTCTGCTATTGTAGTGTGAAAGCAACCACAGACAATACGTTTAAAAATGTGTTCCAATAAAATAGACACTGATATTAGAATTTCATATAATTTTCACATATTATGAAAAAAATTTCTTCTTTGGATTCTTTTCTATCATTAAAAAATATTTTAAAAACCTTCTTAGTTTGCAAGCTGGATTTGGCCCACTGACTATAGTTTTCTGACCCCTATTTTAGACAAAGAAATAGCAATTATTTAGGTCAGGCTCTGCAGAAGTAGATCCTAAGACAAGAATTCTCATATAAGTAATTTATTAAGGAAGCCCTGCCATGGGAAATGAGTAAAGGAGAGGGGGAAGCAGGGAACACAGAAGGAAGAGAAACTGTGAGAGTTAATCCTCAGGATGGCCCCTAATGGTTCCCACCTCCTGTTGTTCACACCCTTGTATAGTCTCCTCCCACAATGTATCAGGGTTGATTTCTGTGTGACCAATAGAACACTGCAAAGATGATGGTATGTGACTTTCAAGATTAGGCTATAAAAGACTTGCTTTTACTCTCTCTCTCTCCTCTCCCCTCCCCTTGTCTGTCTGTCTGTCTCTCTCTCTCCCTCCCTCTCTCTCTCTCTCTCTTTTCCCCCACCCCCACTAGCTCTGGGAGAATCCAGGGGCCATATCTTGAAGACAGCTAGCCCTGTGTAAAGGCCCACATGGCATGGAATTGATTGAGATCTCCAGCCAACAACCTTGTGAATGAGCTTAGAAGCAGATTCTCCAGCTTCAGATGACTACAGCCCCAGCTGACAGCTCAATTACAACTTCTTGAGAGACCCTAAACTAGAATCATCCAGCTAAGCCACTTCCAGATTCCTGGCCTTCAGAAACTGCATGGGATAATAACGTTTAGTTGTTTTAAGACACTAAATTTTGTAATAATTTGTCACACAGCAATCAGAATTCCAAAGCCAAGCAAGGGGGTGATTTCCAGCAGAGTTCCACGGAATGTGGCTTCAGTCTGATCTTGCTGGGGAACTCTGTAGTTTTAGTTAATCCTCAGAGTTGTCCTGACTTCACAGACAAGGGAGCTGGAGCTTTCACACTCTAGCTCCCATCAGGTAAGAACCACGTCAGGGGAACATGAATCTGCAGGCAGTTCCCTCTCTCTGCATGTGAAGGAAAAAGTAGGGGCAATCCTCAGAGAATGGGCCATAGGTGCTGGTGGCTGGAAGTTAAATATTTAAAAAATGTTTTTGGATCTGGATAAAGCACGGACATTACCCACTACAGGCCATTTTTATGAATTTGTCAAATGTACAGATAAATATTTCAAGCTGCATTTGAGTGTGCAGGTTTGCAACATGTTGTAAATGAATTAACTTACCAACAAGGTCCAGCATTCCAATTTCACATTTCATACATGTCCCAAAGACAATTTGAACATTAAGAATGCTCACTAGGTAAATCATGCATTGCCACCTTTTAGATAATTCAGCATGAAGACGATCAATAAAATCACTTTGCCAGTTACAGATGTTAAAATATACGATGAAAAACAGTATAAAGTTTTTTGCAGGGCCACAGATACCAACTTTACCAGGTACAGTGTTCGATCCTCTAAATTCCTAAGTAAACTTAGGGAAGTATTGTAACGTTTAACATAAATTCTTCAATAAATCAAATAACTCTTAAACTAGGGACCTATTATCTAACCAATATTAAAACTTTTAAATCAAACTTGGAAATTTTCAAGGGGAACTGACATAGTCATGATCTCTAAATCTTAAATCTCCTTCCTCATCTCTGCAAATTATCCCACCTTTCATCTAATTCATAACGAACTCAAACTGGATCAAAAAGCTCAGCACAACTGCAATTTTGCCAAGCATTAATCATATCAGAGTCTGCCTGTTAGAACCAGCCACAAGGGGAGAATGAAAATAGCATAGACTTAGCAGGGCCAGACATCTAAGCCATCAAACTGCCAGTATATGGCACTAGTATATGGCACAAAGCTTAGGTCTCCAGGATTATGCAGAACATAAGGGGATGTTGAAGCACCAGGAAAGAAGCCAGTTCATGTAGACCCCATTGAGATCCTTCTCCATCTTCAAGCACCGCGCGTGCGCACGCGCGCGCGCGCACACACACACACACACACACACACAGCCTGTACTTATCATTTCCTATTCACCCTCAGATCTATTTCTTGTAGTTGTTGTACTCTGCTCTGTATCACAGAGGCTGACCCCTACAGACTGACTTCTGCAGTCAACTGGATTCTGTCTCAGTTCTGCCAAGTGGAAGCACAGACAGAAGACTGGAGAGTAGGAGAGAGGAAGAAGCCAGGGTACTTCTTCCCCATTCTCTCTTTGCTACAGGGTAGCAACTATGTCTTCACGGCTCCAGCTCCACTAGAAAACCCCTTCCCTCTTAGCTTCTGCCAAATGATCTCAGCTTATGCTCTCTGGTAATACTACAGGTTCTCATGCCCTTCAGCCACAGGGTGGTAGAGGCTTCCTAAGGTTGCTAATTTTTGTGTTGCCTCACAGCCCTGTTTGGCTTTTCAGCTCTTCCACCATCTGTGTAACCAATTCCCTGTATCCATTTCCTTCTATCTGAAATACCCGGAGTGGCGTGTTTCCTAGACTGAGCTGTCATTCAGATATTGGGTGTGTCTGGACACTGATATGTAGATTTCAGCACTGGTGTGTAGGCTTCGAGAGCCAAGGTATTCTTATGAATTCAATATCTATTTAACAAAGAAGCAACAAGCTGTTTTTGAGTCCCAGCTATGTGCCTGCCATTGTGCTGGACATACAGGTCAGAAGTTCTCAGAGACTTGAGAATCATGCCAGTTACCAGAAAAGCTTTTGAAAATAACTCACTTTGGTGCTTCAGGTTCAGGTCTCCAAGGTCTGCTTTTTTGACCTACTGGAGTCTGCAGTTGTCCTGACCTTTGCTCTCAATTTCTCAACATCTAACTAAGCTTATTCCTATACTAAACCCCTTTGTTCCTAAATTATTTAGGATGACTGTTTTATTGAACAACCCTAGACTGATACACCATGTAAGTGTGATTTATGTTCACTGTGTCTAAACCTAGCCAAACAATCTGCCATCTGAAATCTGAGTTGTCCTTATATGGTATTCCTTCTTCTCTCAAAGCAACTAACATCTTTGAAGCATATACTTTTGATTGTCCAGCTCAATACCCATTCCAACCTTTTGTTACTTGTGTCCTTTTACTATAAAGGCAGGACAGCAGAAAACTCACTTTCTCAGACTGCCTCACATCTAGGGGTGGCCAAGTGACTCTGTTCTGTCCAATGAAATACAAGTAAAAGTCAACTGATGTTCCTCTCCCATTCCTTCTTCTTCTTGTCTAGATATTATATTATACTCAAAGTGAAACAGCCATTTGTTATGATGGTATAGCAAGAGGAGAGGAAAAATCGTATTCCTTGATGGTATCCTTGAGCTGCCTCCCCCCAGAGTTTGTGAAGCATTAGACAAATAATCCCATTAATTTTTAATCCACTGTTTGTCAGCTGGGACTTGCTGCCAAATACAATTATGTATAGAGAAGAAATTGTGCTTTTTAAAAAAAAATCAGATTAGCTTAAATTTATTGAGTCTCAAGATACATTCCCTGCTGGGTAAAAGCCATGTGAATCTCCTAATTTCTCCATTGTAATCATTATTTAGAAGAATGTGTCCTTACCAAGCACGAAAATAACTTACTTTGCAGTTGGAGTTTACTTTTCAAAATAGACATGTTGCTAGTAAAGTCAACTGAAAATGTAATAATGCATTATTTTTTAATTATATTTTAATGAAGGCCAGAAAAGTTACTAAAGTGAACTGTTGGAGAAGATTTTTTTAATAATGGAAACACTGTGTTATCTTAAATCCAAATGTTCAAATATCAGATTAGCTTAACTGGGACCTGACTATATGTCCCTATTTTACAGGTTTTCATATTAAACTAAGAATTAAATAGAAATATGCTTTCTTCATAAAGGAATATCACACAGGTAAGTATACATAGGGGTATCCAAAGGCTATGGCACAATACATTTTCCTACCTGAGAGGCTTCTCAAACTAAGATGCAGTTATGAAGCCACTGGATGCCGGCAACTGCTATTAGGGAGTAATAATTTCTCCTTCCCGTTTGGTTTTACCATCTCAACAAGTCCAGTGAACAAAACTGGTACAATAGTTCAGACAGGGATAGTGCCATTTACATCTCAGAAAGACTTCTTCTTTGATCCTCCATCTCTCACATCCTGGGCATTGGTCTGTCTTCTAGATAAAATATCAGCCTTCTCCTTGATAACATCTTTCATGCTAAGGACTTTGCCCAAATGACATACATCCTGTCTCACTAATAGGAAGTTCTTCTCCACCAGGCCTTATAGAAGGACAGAGAAAAGAAGTAAAAATTAAATCAAAAGTAGAGAGTGATTTCCCCTGTATTAGTCTGTTCTCACACTGCTATAAAGAAATACCTGAGACTGGGTAATTTATAAAGAAAAGAGGTTTAATTGACTCACAGTTCCACATGGCTGGGGAGACCACAGAAATCATGGTGGAAGGTAAAGGGGAAGAAAGGACCTTCTTCACGTGGTGGCAGGAGGGAGAAGTGCAAGCAGAGGAAATGCCAGATGCTCATAAAACCCTCAGATCTTGTGAGAACTCACTCGCTATCATGAGAACAACATGGGGGAAACCACCCCCATGATCCAATCACCTCCCTCCCTCAACACATGGGGATTACAATTCAAGATGAGATTTGGGTGGGGATACAGAGTCAAACCATATCATCCTCTAATACAAGACTGGTCTAGTCCCCAGACCAACCAAATTTTCTGGTTGGTCTTCTTAAATCCAGACTTTTCCATCCTTTATTTTGGCCACCATATCATTCTTATATGAATCTTATCTAAAATGTGATATTCATCAAGATCAGTTTGTTGAAGACTCTTCTGCAGCTCCCTGTGATGTACCACACCAAATCTCAAGTCTTCTATCTGGTTTTCAAGACTCCTAATGACATTCCTCCTTCTGACTTAACCACATTTATTTCCCAGTACAGCCAAATACACACTGGTCTCTGATACATCATTTTGTATGCTTTGGGTTGCAAAATATAAAAAAGAAAAGCCATACAATTCTACTGGCTTTATTAATCAAAGAAGCCTGAAGAGACAGAAGTTACAGTATTGATTAATTCAGTGTCTGTATGTCACTGGGCACCCTGCTTTCTTCCTCTCCTCTCTAACATCCCAGGATGGTAAGTCCATTCTCAGCAAGGAGCTTGTTCTCAGGATCATTCTCCCTCTGCTCAAGGCATCACATGCAACAATGTCCAGAGCAACAGAATAAGGTACTTCTGTCTCTTGTTTTCTTTCCAATAATGAGAAGACCTTCCCAGAAGCCCCCTCAGCCCCCTCAATGTCCCCTCCTGACTCCCTGACTACCATATCACATGTGTAAGCCTGAACCTGATCCTGAGCCATGGTGGAGAGGGACCCTCACAGCTGTGCGAAAGAGGATAGACACATGAAAAAAACTGGGCCCTTCCAACCAAGAAGAAAAAGGAATGGCTGTAGGATAGGCAAATAATATCGGTAATACCTCAGCTTCTTAGCCCTACAGATCACCCTCATTCCAATGTCTGTGCCTTTGTTCTTATTTTCAACATCTAATGCCTTCCCTCCTCCTTTCTACCCATACAAATGATTTCCATTCCTAAAGATCTCAAAGATATAAAAAAGAGACTTTGACACTGATAGGTCATATAGCCAAGATCATATAGCCAGAGAGAGGTCAAGCTGGAATTAAAACCTAGAACTTTCCAATCCCAGCTCATGTGTGCCCTCTTCCACCCTTTAAGACCTACCTCCTCTGTAAAACTGCCAGTTGTCATATCATTCTCTCAGTTCTGTTTCAAGACAAAATCTTGATCCCAGGTTATTCACTTCTTTCTCTCCCTAATTTCCATTATAATAATCAAAGATATAGAAATTATGGGAAAATCTACATCAATTCTGCGAAACATGGAAGGGTGTCATGTTGTATACATGGGACTGGGTTAAGGAAAGGATTTACCAACACATGGGGAATAATGGATGGGATTCCACCAAGGCTCCCAAGGACAGAGCAGCTCTAGATAGGAACAGGTAAGATATAGGCCGCATGGGAAAGAGAAAACTCAAACATTTCTGTAAGTGTGCAAGCACTTACATATGGGGCAGAGTGAGACCAGTGGACATCACTACCAGACTCAGCTTGCTAAGACAAAGGGGCTATGGAAGGCAAAGGCATTGCCCTAGCAGGCTGTTTATAAGGACAATTGAGACCTTGGAAGAAGTGGGACAAGACTCACCATTTGCTACAACAAACATGGAAGAGAAAATACTTGGCCCAGCAGTTCACTTACCTGCCCCATGTCTGTCTCCCTTATAAAACACTCTTTCTATTTCTTCCAATCAAATGAAACCCTTATTTATCAAAGTAAAACAACAGAAAATATAACTTTTCTCATGAAATCTCTGGCATGTCAATCCCAGTAACGGTTAAGCATAGACATCAGGAAGAACAAATACAGGAAACTTACTGAGTGGAAATAAAGGCAGGGGCGGAAAGGGAAAGGGATAAGAAGAGGAAGCAGAAGAGGGAGAGGGAGAAAGAGAGGGACAAGAGAGAGAGAAAGAGTGATTCAATAGTTGAAAATATGGAGACCTTCTGAGGATTCAGAACAAAAAAGTTTTAAGAAACTTCTTTTAAAAAATAAAGAACAGGCCGGGCACAGTGGCTCACGCCTGTAATTCCAGCACTTTGGGAGGCCGAGACGGGTGGATCACGAGGTCAGGAGATCGAGGCCATCCTGGCTTAACACAGTGAAACCCCGTCTCTACTAAAAATACAAAAAATTAGCCAGGCATGTTGGCGGGCGCCTGTAGTCCCAGCTACTCAGGAGGCTGAGGCAGGAGAATGGCGTGAACCCGGAAGGCAGAGCTTGCAGTGAGCCGAGATCGTGCCACTGCACTCCAGCCTGGGGAACAGAGCAAGACTCCGTCAAAAAAAAAAAAAAAAAGAACAATATAAAAACCCACCATTTTGATTTATAATAAAATGTGAAATGACATTTCATCTGCAAAAACAGAAACACCTGAGGTCAGGAAAGATTGCTTTCAGATGAAAAAATATACTGGAGCCAGGTGTGCTACTGCAGAAAACTACACTAGAGAATTAGGAGTTTGAGAAAATTTCCCCACACTCATAGGAAATGTATAAAGAGATAAATATCATGGAAAAATGTAGGAGACATGCAGGATAAATCTAGGAGATTAAATACCTTAAATGTAAACCAAATGTCAGCTGGGCCTATTGCTCCTTAGGGATCGGGGTATGATTGGCTGCTTAGACTCTGCTACTTCCATCAGCCGTGAAAGTCCAATGCAATCCACTCGATTTCTGCTTACTAGGGGTTTATGTTTCCAGGGTTCCTCTAGCCCTAATTTCCATATTTTGTCTCTATTTCTTGCCACATCAAACTGGACAGGGACAGGGGACTCAACCCCTTCACCTCCTCCTGCCAGAAGTTCACTCGGTAGATTAGTATATTTTATACTCATGGTCATCTACTCCCCTTTTTTCTTCTGCCAACTCTGCTCCTCCCCACTCCCAAGATTGCCCTCATTCATTTGTTCATTCATTCCGTAAATATCCACTATGCTGGCAATACAAGAGTGACCAACACAGGCAAATGCCTGCCCTCATGTAGTTTACATTCTAGTGGAGGACACAGAAAATAATTATCAAATATATAATGTCAATTAGTGTATTAGTTACCCAGGGCTGCTGTAACAAATTACCACAAACTGTGTGGCTTAAAACAACAGAAATTTTTTCTTGCACAGTTCTGGAAGCTGAAAGTCCAAAATCAAGATGTCAGCAGGGCCGTGTTCCCTCTGAAGGCTCTAAGGAAGAATCCTTCCTTGCTTCTTCTATCATCTGGTGGTGTCCTACAATTTTCTTGGCATTCTTTGGCTTATGGCAGCATAACTACAATCTCTGCCTTTATCTTCACATGGCCTTCTTCCCTGTATGTCTCCTCTGCACCACTCTCTCCTTTTAAGGACACCAGTCATTGGATTTAGGGCCCACCCGAATCCACTATGACCTCATCTTAATTTGATGACATCTGCAAAGACCCTATTTTCAAGTAAGATCACATTCACAGGTACCAGAGGTCAGGACTTCATTATAGGGCAAATTCATATGTTGAAATTCTGACCTTCAGTACCTCGGAATATCACTGTATTTGAAGACAGTCTTTAAGGAGGTAATTAAGGTTAAAAGAGGCCATTGGGGTGGGCCCTAATGAAATATGACTGATGTCATTATAAGAAGAGGAGATTAGGGCACAGATAGACACACGGAGAAGATGGCCATCTACAAGCCATGGAGAAAAGTTCAGAAGCAACCAACCTTGCAACGAACACCTTGATTTTGGCCTTCCTAGTCTTCAGAACTATGAAAAAAATAATTTCTGTTGTTTAAATTGCCCAGTCTGTGATACTTGTTATGGCAACTTGAGCAAACTGACACATATTTCAACATATCTTTTGGAGAAGGCACCATTCAACTCTCAATAGGCAGTGAGAAGTGCTATGAAAATCAATAAAACAAAGTAGGAAGATAGTAAGAGAGAAGGGGTGGGCAGAGAAATTCAGTTCTCCCCATCTCTAATCCCAGCCTTGCTTACCTAAACTAGCAAAGCGTGCAGCAGAACAAAGAGCTTTTTATATAACTCCATGTACTTTGCATGGAAGATGGTTCGAAAAATAGCAAAAAAACTTCTGTTAAATTTAACCTAACATCACACCTAGAGGAACTAGGAAAACAAGAGCAAAGCAACCCCAAAGCTAGCAAAAGAAATAACCAAAATCAGAGCAGAACTAAACGAAATGGAGATGAGAGAAACCATACAAAAGATCAACAAAACCAGAAGTTCATTTTATGAAAGAATAAATAAGATCGATAGGCTGCTAGCTAGACCAATAAAGAAAAAAAAGAGAGAAGATCCAAATAAACACAATCAGAAATGACAAAGGGGACATTACCACTGACACCATAGAAATACAAGGAACATAAAGATGGCAACAATAGACACTGGGAAGGGAGCAAGTGGGGCCAGGGTTAAAAACCCTACCTATTGGGGTCTATGCTCATTACCTTGGTGACGGGATGCATACCCCAAACCTGAACATCAGGCAATGTAGCCAGGTGACAAACCTGCACATATATTTCTGAATCTAAAATAAAAGTTGAAAAAACAGTGTATTTGCCTGTTTTCATGCTGCTGATAAAGACATACCCAACACTGGGCAATTTACAAAAGAAAGAGGTTTATTGGACTTACAGTTCCACATGGTTGGGGAGGCCTCACAATCATGACAGAAGGCAAGGAGGAGCAAGTCACATCTTACGTGAATGGCAACAGACAAAGAGAGAGCTTGTGCAGGGAAACTCCCATTTTTAAAACCATCAGATCTCATGAGACCCATTCACTATCACGAGAACAGCACAGGAAAGACCCACCCCCAGGATTCAGTCATCTCCCACCAGGTCCCTTCCACAACGCATGGGAATTATGGGAGTTACAAGATGAGATTTGGGTGGGGACACAGAGCCAAACCATATCAAACAGAAAAAAAAAATTGGCAAAGGACATAAACAGACACTTTTCAAAAGAAGACATACATGTGGCTGATAAGCAATGAAAAATGCTTAACATCACTAATCATTAGAGAAATGAAAATCAAAACCACAATGAGATACCATCTCACTCCAGTAAGAATGGCTATTATTAAAAAGTCAAAAAATAACAGATTCTGGCAAGACTGTAGAGAAAAGGGAAGGCTCATACACTGCTGGTGGGAGTGTAAATTAGTTCAGCCACTGTGGAAAGCAGTCTGGGGATTTCTCAAAGAACTCAGAACTACCATTCGACCCAGCAATCCCATTACTGTGTATATGCCCAAAGGAATATAAATTGTTCTACCATAAAGACACATGCACGTGTATGTTCACTGAAGCACTATTCACAATAGCAAAGACATGGAATCAACCTACATACCCATCAATGGTGGACTGAATGGATAAAGAAAATGTGGTACATATACATCATTAAATGCTATGCAGCCATATAAAAGAATGAGATCATGTCTTTTGCAGCAACATGGATGGAACTGAAGGCCATTATCATAAGTGAATTAACACAGGAACAGAAAACCAAATGCCACATGTTCTCATTCATAAGTGGGAGCTAAACATTGAGTAGATATGAACACAAGAAGGGAACAACAGACACCGGGGCCTACATGAGGGTGGGGAGTTGGAGGAGGGTGAGGATTGAAGAACAACCTATCGGGTATTATGCTGATTACCTGGGTGACAATTATCTGTACACCAAACCCCGCAACACACAATTTCCCCATGGAACATACCTGTACGTATATCTCTTGAACCTAAAATAAAAGCTGGAAAGAAGAAAAAGAACAACTATTTTTTTTCATAAAAAGCAAGTTCTTAAAAATCTTTATAGTTCTCTCATCATTATTCTTAATTTAATGAAAAAAATGATGTACACTATCTTTATTTTCATTGACCTATTGAAGAAAAATATACTTACTTTCCATCCCAGACATGGTCACTTCTGTGGAAAAGAAGCAGTTTATTCTTAGGGTCCAGAGCCACCCCCTAGAAACCTGGCCTGGTAACCAGTGTACTCCAGGCCAATCCAGTGACTCTTCTCCATGAAAATCTGAAAGATAAATCCACACATTTGGTGTAAAAAAAGAAAGGTCAGATAACCTCATGAAGATTCACAATAGTTTTAAGAAGCTTATGCAGTAATGTCACTAGATGCAAAGAAATGAGAAAGAAAATCAAGCTCTGCTCTACATAAAATGTAGCACATGCACGTGCCAGGTAGCTCCCTGAGTTATGAAATAAAGTGACTATGAACCTGAAAAAAACGTTCTGCTAAATTATATGAACAATTATTGAGCACTTATTGTCAGGCAGTATGTATGATCTTTAATTTAATTCCCTGATCTCATTTGATACTTAAAACAACCCTATGAGTTGCATACTACTATTTTCTCCATTTTAAAGAGGAGAAAACACAGGTTTAAGAGAACCAAATGGTTAACCCAAGGCCAAACAGCTAGACCCGCTACCCTCTAACTCCAAAATCCCCTTCTCAACCACTATGACATACCACCTTTTCTTTATGTACAGGTTATAAATCAGGACATGTTATGTACAACTGCCCTTTGGGGTCAAGAATTTCTTTCAAAGATAAGAGTTTTGTGTCACTGCATATCAGATACATGGATGACTTGCCACAGCTTTCCTTGCTTTCTATTTTCAAATATAAAATGAATTAATGGAAACACTTAGCGTCCTTTCTTATGAATCTATTTCTTTTAGCCTTGGATAATGACCCAATTACCCATGTATTCTCAAAGCCAAAGTCAGGGCTTCTCCAAAGACAAGCTCTTTTTCAGATACTTTGCCCTCCCATGAAGCAAGTGACCACAAGACATAAGTTCTCACCACAGTCTAAACTCTCTTAGGAGCTATCACATGGAGAAGACAGATACCTTCAAAGAAAGTATTTCAATAATCAACCCCATACTCCTAAAGTACATTTATTAAATAGCTTACACTGAAAGAGAAACCCTAACAATGCAGCCCTCCTGGGAGATTCTTCAGCTGATTACATTACTGTGCTGCTGAGGAGGGCTAAAGCAGATCAGGAAACACTAAAATCCCCAGCTTAGAAGGTGCTCTTCGGGAAGCACAAAGCTGGGTCTTCCAAAGGAAGACAAGTTACTCCAGAAACAAGAGAAAACAGAAGTCCTATATCAAAGACCTTGAAAATGGCCCAACCATTGTGAAAAATAATAGTCATAATTAAACAAAAGGAAAGGAGTACATTGGCAGAGAAACCCATGCTGCGAAGTGATGGAACACCAGTCACAGATTCGAACTGGAGACTGGGAAGAAGGACCTCCATCCCAAACCTTCCCACTGAGTAACATTTATAGCTATTACTTTCTTGCTGTTTGTAGCAAGCCTTTACAGATGTCTTGAGAACATATCTAATATAAAAAGGCACCTGTTGTTTTGCTTTCTTACTGCTAAGCTATTGATATTTTAGGAGAGTAATTGAACTTCTCAGTACTAACTTATTTTCCCCATGAACTAGTATCCCCTGAAGGTAAGTGAATTTTCAGGGCATACACGAAAAGTAACCATAAATCCAGTGCCTAAATGGCATTTGTAGTTTATCAGCCTTTGAGGGAGAAGGAGGCAGCCTAGCTGTAAAGCATTTCCTCTAGTTTAAATTCGTCCTTGCCTCATCTTATGCACACATGCGTGTGCACATCTTGCAACTTGGCATTTTTTAAGAACGAGGACAAAAAAGGGGATTTATTTTTGCAAATTAACCAGCAATATTTCTCCAAGAGAACTGCCGTGATCTGTTTGCCTGCATTGAAAAGTTGCTTTCATCCCACACAGTCCAGCTGTTATTCTCAGGTTGCTGAAATAATGAGCAATATTAAATAACAGAGTTGAAATCAGCCACCAAGACTCACGACCACATTTGGTCCTATGCAAATTAGAGCCTCATTCAGAAGGGTGGTGTTATTTTCCACCAGTGTCCCCCTTTCAGCACTATCGGGTTATTAGAACAGCTGGGGAATGCATGGGTCAGCACTCCCTCCAGCACCAACCACCAGGAGAGAAAAATCACAGTCTTACACCTCTCTCATGTTTTCCTTCATGCCTCAGCTGCAAAGTGGCCAGTGTCTGAGTTAATGGAATAGCACTTCTTACAAATTACACCTTTCATCCAGACATACCACTATTAAGAGTCCCGCCCTCCTTCTAGCCATGTGACCAGTTCCCTTGTCACAGTGAGTTCACTGCATCCATTCAGCAACTGTATATCTTAAGCACCTATTATGTGGCAGGCCCTGTGCTATAGGTTAGGGCTAACCATGTTATCATCATTCTAACCAAGCAGTCCCTGACCTCACAGAGCTTACCTTTTAATTGGGAGACGGTCAGTGAGACAAGTAACCACAACAACATGGATATGGTAAAGAAGGTAACAGTGGCCACGGAAGCACATACCTAGGGCACTTAACCTCTTCTAGTTCACTATAGAAGTCAGGCTTTTTAAAGGATGTGGCATCTAAATTGAGACCTGAAGAATGAGTGGGAATCATAAGATGAATGGGGCAAGAAGAATGGTCCAGGCAGAGGTAATGACACAGGCAAAAGCTCAGTGAAGGAGCACATGGTAGGTTGCAGTAATTAAAAGAAGTTCAACATAGCTGAAGCATGAAGTTGAAATGTGCCATGGGTTAATATACTTCTTTTAATAGCTCATTCTCCCACTCTCTATAGCAAGTTATTTCCTCAAATTTCAGAGGGTCTTCTAATCCAACACCCATTACCCACCCCATCTACCTCTCAGAATGTGACCACACCTAATATCTTACAGACAAAATAGAAATTCCAGACAAGAGTGCCCTCAACTTTCTGCTACCATGCATAGAAACCTATGTATATCTGTGTCCATCCCAAGTACTTTCCCCAACCCAACCTTTTACATGAGGGTTAAGGTCTGCCTCCCATGTAAAGCTAATTCCTTGATGCTTTGGATCTTATTTTCCCCTAGGCCTCCCTGGAATCTCACTTTTTCATTATTCCTTATGTATCCACCTCCCCCATAGACAATTCTCATGAGTTTTAAACATTCCCATTTAATAAAACCCTCCTTCTATCCCATATCCTCCAAGTAAATAGTGGCCTATCTCCATCATCTGCTTCATAGAAAAACTTCTCCCAAGAGTTATCTATATTTGTGACCTCCATTTGCCCACCTCCTGGTCATTTTCCCGTTCATTCTAATCTAGTTACCACATCTGCACTCCACTGTGTGCTTCACACTAAACTCACCAATGACATCCTTGTTACTGAACCCAAACATAAAGAGGACATTTTTTAGTCTTCATCTTCTTTGTTGTCTCAGGGACATGTGACACTGTGATCCAATCAAATTTTTTAACAGTCTTTTTCCTTGACTTCCATGACATATTCCCTTTTCCTGGTTTTCCTCCTACACTTCTGTTCAGTCCTTCTAAGTATCCTTTTCATAGTGTATCCTTCACGAAGCCATTAAATGCCTGAGTTCGTCAAGACTTGGTTTTGGGCCCCCTTCTCTTCCCAACATAAAATCATTACACCCTATGTAAAATCATAACCATGACTTTGCTACCCTTATGTATATAATTCATAAATTTATATATCCAGCCAAAAGCTCTCATGCAGGTTCCAAAGCTGTTTATATAGCCATCTGCCTACTTAGTTGTCGCAAATGTACTTCAAACTCTGCATGTCCAACACTGAACTCATAACCTTCCATGCCCTTCCTTCCACACGCAAACACACATTTAAAAATAGTCCTTTTCAAGCACTTCCTATCTCAACAAATGATACCACTATCCATCCATTTTCTCAAATCAGAATTATACAAATCATCTTTTATATTTCTCCTTCATTCCCTGCTTCCAGTTTATCAGAGTCCAATTAATTTTGCCTCCAACATGTCTCTTGAACCCATACTTTTCTCTTCATTTCCACGCCACGTTCTTAATCCAAGTTATCCACCTGTTAACTAGACTACTACAATGATCTACACATAAGCCTCTCTGCATCCCCTCTTATCTTGCTCAATAGATTTGAGTTTTCAAAACACAAATCAGGACTTCCAGTGCTGACCAAGATAGAACAAGCCTTCTACAGTGTCTCCCTCCCAGTGATTACAACAAAATATTCTAGGTATAAAAGGCAACTGCCTAAAGACTCTGCAAAGTAAATAAGAGTAGGAAAATTTAGAAGTGAAGTCATAAAGAATATTTAGAATCAATAATAAGCTGTTGCTTAAACTTTCCAAAGTATCAGATAGGGATCAACCTATGGAAAGAGTACTTTGGTGAGATAAAAACAATTATAAGACAATGTTTAAATCCTCTCAACGTCTTTCCAAAAGGTGAAAATGAAAAGTAGACTTTTAATCTAACCATAAGAAGTGATGAAGAGAGAGGCTGGGCATGGTGGCTCACGCCTATCATCCCAGCACTTTGGAAGGCCAAGGCAGGTGGATCACCTAAGGTCAGGAGTTCAAGACCAGCGTGACCAACATGGTGAAACCCCATCTCTACAAAAATACAAAAATTAGTTGGGTATGATGGTGGGTGCCTATAATCCCAGCTACTCGGGAGGCTGAGGCAGGAGAATCGCTTGAACTCAGGAGATGGAGGTTGCAGTGAGCCGAGATCACACCATTGCACTCCAGCCTGGGCAACAGAGCGAGACTCCATCTCAAAAAAAAAGAAGAAGTTATGAAGAGAGAAATCCTAACAGAAGTACAAATTTTAATAAGCAAATCTCTAGAGATATAGGTCCCATTTACTGTTTCCTTGGTTACCACTAAAGATTGGTGAAAGACATTTGGAATAGGAAAGACGTGACAAGACAAGATTGAATTTACCTCAGATACAGTTATGCAGACACTGTCAATTTCATGGTCCTGCCCTTCCCAATTTATATATTTCACCAATGCACAAATGACTTAAAAGAAAGGTGCATAAAAATTGGCTTCCATATTGCACCACCAAAAATACTAGATAGCTACAAATTAATACAGATTATCATCTCATCTGGTTTCCTAATATTTCCCTCCCAAGGCACTTTAGAGGATCAATGATTTTTCAATTCCTTAAATCATTTCTACTAGCACTGTTGTTTAAGACAACTTGCTAGAAGCTTAAATCTGCCATGTTCCTTTCCTTGATGAAAATGCAAATTTTTCCCAACATATTGATTTTATCATTGTAAAAGCAGAGCATACTGCCTGGCATTCTGTACAGCTCTAAGTCACACTGTGTGGTGGGAATTTTAAAGAGAGATGCCACCACTTTGCCCATCATTATGATTTCTCCTTTCTGATGGTCCTGGCCAGTGCATCAGATCACACCTGGAAAACACCAAAGGTACTTGCCATTCTTTTAAGATTTCATGATTAGGAGCCCATGTGACAGACAGCACTATGACACTGTGGAAAACTGAATTGTTGAATTTGGGGGTGGAATTGAATGCTGATTAGTGTCTGTTTCCTCTTTGGGAGAAGAAAGATGCTGCTAAGGTGTTCTTTTTCCTGACTTTCCCAGAAAGATGAGAGAAAAGGAAGCCTTGTCATAGCTAACGACTCTCTCAGCTCCATTACTCCTGGCCTAGCATCTAAGAGAGGTAAATGATTTCACTGATTAGAAAATGAATCTTGAAAATGCAAGAGCTGCACAGAATACTGGCCCAGAATTGCACAGGTATTTGAACTGATGCTGAAAAATAAATTCATTTAAAATTACCACCAGTGAAAATGCACTATTAATGATATGTATTTTGATCCAGTGATCATCACTGATATGATTAGTACTCTTTCATGGTGCTAAATTCAAGAATTGTTTAGGTATTTAAATATGCACATTTAAAAAAATTAGGAATCTAGCTCCATTCACATCAATCCATAGGGAAAGATACACCTTATTTCTAAAGACAAGTTCCTTTTTTGGTTGAGGAAGTCATATCTTAATAGTATAACAAAGTTGAAGAGAATCTGGAAGAGTGAAATGTTAATAGTGATGGCCATACTGACATTTCTGTAATATGTTGGATGTGATAATATGGGGAATTAGTTGCTCCCTGGGTGTAAGGTAGACATTTTGAGAGGTGTATTGACTTGTTCAGTCTACTAGTGTACCGTTTAGTAAATTTCATCTCCAAGGCATTAAATAGCATCATAACGGTCAGGAACAAAGTTAAGAAAATGGGAACTACCTTATCTACTGTGCTGAGAGTAGTTCAGTCACCCCATGAAATCTGGCCCAATGATTATTTAATCCAGTGTACTGAGAATTACTAATCTGATACATAAAATGTGTACAACATATCTCGGTCTTTACTGCAGTGGAACAAACATTTCCTTTAATAGACACTCCCACATAATACCTAAGAAAGACATTAGACCACAAATGCTGAATAAAAGATAGTTAAAACTGATGGATTCTGTTTCTGTCTCATCTCTATCTCTGTTGTCTTTTGTCTTCCCTCCTTTGTGGAGGAAGCTATAGAACTCTTTCCTCTGGATTTCCTCATTGAGAACCTAGCCCCAAAGGAAGAACCATGTACAAACACCACCAAACAAATATGGACACAGAAACTCAGCGGGATGCCAAGAGCAGTCATGCTGCTTGCTCTCATTAAAGCTATTATGTATCCATTGAGACAGATGTCAAATAATGGTTATTTCATGGTTTACCATGAATCTCAAGTAACATAAAGATAAAATATAGCTCAGCTAAATAAAGAAGATGATAGAAAGGAGTAAAATTACAAATAAATTTGTGACAGTTTTGATGCCAGAGTTATATGGATGTCCAAAAATAAGGGTTCAGATAAGAAAACCAATGCTAGCAATAGAGTTGTAAAGTCACACTTCTTATATAAGATGGGATCCCCATTTTCAATCCCATCATTTATCAAATGAGGAAACTGAGGCTCAGAGGAGCAGAACAACTTGCTCAAAGTCACACTGATTATCAGTTACAGTGATAGGACTAGAAACCCATATTAGTTGTGTCTTTTCCTCTTTAGCATTATATGATGGCAATGAAATGCACAAATTGAGGAAATTCGCTCCCGGCCCTGGAGAAGCTGAGTCTTTCTTCTGACAGAGTTAGAAGACCTTGGACTCCTTCAACATCACTGTCCTGTACCAGAAAAAGTCATATATTATGTACAAAACACATCTCTATTTACACATAATCTTTAAAACACAAGTCTAGTACGTTAGTAAGTTCCCTGAAATGAACTCAACTTCCTGTGTGAGACAATGCAGTTTTATGGCTTTGTTGCTGTACTGTGTATTTAGTCCAGGAAAACAAGCAAAATAATACTGCCCTGTGAAAAGACCCACCAGACTGTATTACTTAATAATCCTGATAGATGATACTCATTTTTGCAAGTGGCATCTGTCCAATAATGCAGATCTCAAAGAATGTCTCAACTGTGCTCAATCGTTGCATCTCCTTCTATTAAAAAACTGTATTGAGATTTCTAGAACCACAGCAATCAATCTGCTTGATTAATGAAATTTTTTTAAGCTTTTGTTTTCCTGGCACTGGCTCTCAAAAAAATTAGGAGTTCATTTCCTCCTCCATTTGTGGTTGCTAGGAAAGTGAGAGATTTGGTGATAAATATTTATTATCTTCCAATTCCTGTCTCCCTTATGGTGGGGTTATTGCTTTATTCAGTTCCAGAGCTAAGGAAAATGTCTGCCGTGTCATTAATAATAAACAAAGCTGTAGTGTGTGTGCAATAATGAATTAAGCTCATCCCAGCCCATCTGTGCATCACCATCCACAGGCATCTTGTCAAGCAAAGGTTCTGCAGAATCCACAGGTCCTTGGTCTTCTTCTCATTATGGAAGTAATCTGTGGGAGGAGGTGGGTTAAGTTGTAAAGTATTATTATACAAAGTGAGCAACCTCTTTTCCCAGAGAAGTTTCTGGCAATGAAGCAAAACTCTAGCTATTCTTGCCCCAAGGGTTGGGGGGTGGGGAGAGAGAAGGAAAAATCACCAAGGCTCATTTGATCTTAGAGAATCAATGGAGCAGCGTCCCTATGGAAATTAAGCAGCTGGAGAGGGGCAAGCCTCAGTCTGGACTTGTTCACTTTTTTTATTTATTGGCCAATTCAGAATGGTTCCCTCAATGTGCCCGTGAGCCTTTTCCAAACTGCTTCATAAGAATTTCACTCACAATATTTCTACTATTTCCCTTCATTAATCATTCTCTAGTAAACAGCATAGTAAGGATTTACTATTCTGACAATAAACCTCTGTTTCCTTGTAGACAAAGGCCTCCACATTTCCTTAACCTATTGCTAACATAACAGATACCCTAAATCAGTGCCTCTCAAATATTAATAAGCATTTGAACCACCTAGAGATGTTGTTACAATGCAGATTCTGATTCAGTAGGTCTGAGATGGGGACTGAAATTCTGCACTTCTAGCAAGCCTCAAGTAATGCCCATGCTGCTGTCTGCAGACTTTCCTCTGAGTAGCGAGATCTTAAGTGAGTCATCTCTCCACTTGGAATTTCAAATAGTCATGCAAAGATAATAAATTTAAAAGCCTACATGTTTCAAAAGAGGAGAGAAAAACAAGTTCTAAAACTTTAAATCCTACATAAAGAAAATATTTTAAAATATTTTACGTATTTTAAAACAGATGAATATGATACTTTTATCCAGGGTTACCTCTCAAAATATTGTTTCTCTTTAAATTATAACATTCTGTGACCGCCCCCCGCCCGACATACAGGTAAGTTCTATAATGAAGTAGACATCAAAGTGATCTTATGACCGGTATTGCCATTAAAGAGTTTTTCTACTGTTTGTTGTCAGTATGCCTTCTCCTCATCTAGATCATAAACTCCCTAAAGCTACAAGAGACATCTTACTAGTTCATCTTAACAGCCCCTCACTTAGGATACTGTCAAATCCAGTCCAACCAACATTACTGAATACCTACTGTACCATCAACACCATGCTGAGCACTGGAGATGTTGGAAAGTATAAGAAAAAATGAACTTGTTCTCACAGAGTTTAGCAGAAAACATAATATTTTCTCCCTGAATCATTTAAATATGGCACATGTTAGAAAGCTAAATAATGTCAACACTAGACAGGCAAGATCATCTTATGACATAAAGGTAAGCATATTAATTTCCAGTTCTAATATTTTAAGTCCAAATCTTCTCCTATGTTTCGAATTCTTTCAAAACTATAAATAAACTTCAAGGATCATAACTCTTTTGTGAATCCAATGCTTTCGCATGTCTATTATATACCAATAAGTAATAGCATTTCAACTGACCAGAGGTAAACAAATGAGAAATAACAAAAATTGTATTCTTAATTCTTGAGAAGATTTGACAGCTCTAATATAGATGAATTCCATACCACTGAAGCAGAAAACTTTCACAAACCATCAAAAGAAAGATATTTTATTCTACTTGTTATTTAGCAGTCAAGTCACACCAAGGTTAAAAAATACAATTTCCATATTCCTCATCTAAGGGGACTCAATCAAGCAAGACTCCTTTCAACCCTCATTGGGACAAGAAGCAACAGATGTAAAAACATCTGCCCCACTTCAAAATGATGAAAACACCAACGTGATATCAAAGACAGCTCTGGGTCACTCCACAAGTCTCTAGTCTCAACATGAAAGTATTTCATTGACTGTCATTGCGAAAATCAAGAATGATACAGACCAACATTTTAATTATCAACCCAGAAACCTAGCTATTGGTCTTCTCTATTCCATCTCACAGCATTGTCACTGATATTCCTAATTGAAGCTTCCTTGTGTGCCTTTTGGGGGACTGAAAAAATGCTCAAATACTTGACATTTTTGGTGCAGCAACAGTGACATCCAGTGGGTAGCAAGATTAACCCCAAAACTCTGTGTAAATTCAGTGAGGGAGGGTTAGGATATCCCAAAAACTGTTTCTGGCTACCCATGGTCACTTCCTATGAGAACCATGCATTTTTAACTCCCTTGGGATAACAATCTAGTTATTATAGTAGCTAATAGACAAAGCAAAACCTGCATCTTGTCTCACCAAGATATTGCTACTATTTCTTCTCACGTCAATACCACTCATTGCAACAAAATAAACTATTAGTAAGAAAAGTCTTGGGCCGGGCGCCGTGGCTCACGCCTGTAATCCCAGCACTTTGGGAGGCCGAGGCGGGTGGATCACGAGGTCAGGAGATCAAGACCATCCTGGCTAACATGGTGAAACCCCATCTCCACTAAAAATACAAAAAATTAGCCGGGAGTGGTGGCGGGCACCTGTAGTCCCCGCTGCTCAGGAGGCTGAGGCAGGAGAATAGCGTGAACCCAGGAGGCGGAGCTTGCAGTGAGCCGAGATCGTGCCACTGCACTCCAGCCTGGGTGACAGAGCGAGACTCTGTCTCAAAAAAAAAAAAAAAGGAAAAGAAAAGTCTTATTAATTTTACAAATAACATTCTTTCAACATTTGCTTAGCTTCTCATTAAGTTGTTTAACCCGGTTGACCACCTCAAATGCTTCCAATTACCAAAAACTTCCTAAAGTTCAAATGAAGAAATATAATTATTAGGTTATCTTTATGTATACTTCTTTATGTCTATCTTCATGAATATAAATACATGTATATAATATCTAATACATATTTTAAATGTATTTACAATAAATCTGCATTTCACGTTGAGTTAGTGGCTAATAGAATTATAGGACATAAATACAATGCTCATGGATTTCCACTTTATTTCAATAATCCATTTCTATCACTACTGCATGCCATTGCTCTCATTTCAGTTTTAAGTCACTAAGTGCACTTCAGTCTAACTTCTGGCAAATAGACACCACAGAAGTGTAACAGCTTTGGAGAAAATAATTGCTCCACAAATAAGAATCCCTCAGGCTTAGTGAAAAAAGGTTAATTATATAGAGAACCTATCAAGAGAGAAGTGGATATTGCTGAAATTCTTCTGAGAGTAGAATTAGATTTTAAGGTGTTTTGTAGAAGAAAAGAAAACAACTAGTGAATTCAGCTCATTAGCCCAAATGGGCTCCTTTTGCAAGAAAGAAAGCAGAGGCTCTGAAACAAAATAAAGAGTACTCAGCAATTCATCTGCCTACACTCTAAAAGAGTGATCCATAAAAAAAAAAGATCAGATTCACTGTATAGAAAAATCAAAATTTATACAATTTCAAAACCAGCAGGAAGCCCAGAATTCCTGGACTCTGCTGTTAACACAACAGGCTTCATAAGGCATTGGAATAGGCCCATCAAATCTTTTAGCCAAACTAAATGACAGTGTATGATGTACATGCAAAAAAAGGCAAAGAAACTCTAAAAATGCATGGAAACATAAAAAATAAGGTCACTTCTATGACATTTAGTCTGTTGAGCTCATGCTGTCCAATATGACAGCCAGCAGCTACGGTCACCAACTACATGTGGCTATCAAGCACATGAAATGTGGCCAGTCTGAATCGAGATGTACTTTAAGCATAAAATACACACCAGATTTTGAAGATTTAGAATGAAGAATATAAAATAACTCATTAGTAATTTGCGTATTCAATGATTTACAAAAAGTTTACTCCTACCATCTCTTCCAGGCTCACCCCCTTCCAGCCACAATGGACTTCTTAATATTCCTTGAATATTGCCAGGCACACTTCCATCTGAACACATATATATTTCATCTCATTCTTCCTGTAAGGCTTTTCTACCTGGTATCTCTATGACTTGTTTGCTCACTTCTTTCAAGTGTTTATTCAAATATTACCTCTCCAACAAATATTTCCTTATTCACTCGACCTAAAATTATAACACCTCATCTTTATCATCTATTATGCTTTATTTTTCTCTGCAACCTCCACCAAATAACATTCAACATATTTAACATATTAAATGTGGTTATTTTTAAATTTACCATGTAAGCTTTTTGAATGCATTGAGTTTTTTTCTGTTTTTCTAACTATTTTATTGACTGTGCAGAGAACATGCCTGGCACGTAATATGTATTCAATAGTTAATTGTTTGCTGGTTTGAATAAATTAATAAAAGTTTGAAAAAAATAATTTGTGTATTGATTACATGTTACAATGAAAACATTTTTGATGCATTTGGTTAAATAAGATATATTATCAAGTTATTTCACCTGTTTCTTTTTTAATGTGGGTACTACAAAATTTAAATTACATATGTGCTTTGCATTATATTTCTATTAGACAGTGCTGCCCTAAGCAATATGCAAGGATGAACACAAGTTATTTCACATAAAAACCTCCACCATCATTTTGTATACCATCCTGTCTTAATATATTTATCCACTCTTCAACTCTCCTGGCTGTCCTTCTTGCCTTTTCAAATTCACATACCTGATTTAAATATATTTTAAATTAAAATTAGTGATTACAGTTTCTGCTACTACCCATTCATCATTTAGGCACAATATAAATAGAGGCCTAATTCAGAGGTTAGACTTGCAGGTTCTGAAGCCATATTGGCCAAATTCAAATCCTAGGTCTGCTCCTTACCAGTTGTGTAACCACAGGCAAGTTATTCAAAACTTTTTGTGCCTCAGTTTCCTCAAATGTAAAATGAGAATAACAATAGAATTATTGAGGGGATAAAAATCACTTATTGAATCACTCACAACAATGCCTAGCCATTAGAAAACATCATTATTAATTTTATATATATATATTTTTTATTACACTTTAAGTTCTAGGGTACATGTGCACAATGTGCAGGTTTGTTACATATGTATACATGTGCCATGTTGGTGTGCTGCACCCATTAACTTGTCATTTAACATTAGGTATATCTCCTAATGTTATCCCTCCCCCCTCCCCCCACCCCACAACAGGCCCCGGTGTGTGATGTTCCCCTTCCTGTGTCCAAGTGTTCTCATTGTTCAATTCCCACCTATGAGTGAGAACGTGCGGTGTTTGGTTTTTCGTCCTTGCGACAGTTTGCTGAGAATGAGAAAACATCATTATTAATTATGTAGTTGATTTACTCTTTATTATTGACAGCTAAAAAAAACAATGAACATCTGATACTTCAAATATTCTGGAACTTTAAAAAGCACTGACTATAAATGCCTTTATAATTTTACTCTTCAAATAATATGACTCATACAATAAGCTTTCCTAAAGAAATCAGTCACAATGTTGACTATTTCTTCATTTTTTTCCTTTCTAAGAAAATCCATAATATATTTTCTTCAGGCACACTAATATTTTTTTCTATTAAATCCTGCTTTCCCTTTCCTTTGGCTAATCTTTTATAACCATGTTTTCCCTTCTCATTACCCAGAACTCAAAGGTCACTCATTTGGACTCTTCATTTTTCCATCTGAGTCTAGCAAGTCGTTTCCTTCTATTCCTTCCATTCCAATCTTCAAAATCCCTCCTTCCTAATCACATCAGCCATGTTTCAGACCTGGTCCAAGTTCCATCTCTCCTTTAGGCCTTCTCTATCCACTTCAGCCTGCATTGTTCTCCTTCCTAAACTCTCACATTGTTGCCTGTTCATTCAACTATTTATTGCCTGCCAACATCAGAGAGGCAGGCTCAGAAGATACTAAGAAAAATGAGATACACATATATCTCATTCTCAGGGAAGTTACAGTCTTCATGGGAAGACACACATCAAATAAGTCCTCATAAGATAGATGAGTGTTGTGAGATATAAGCCAGACAGCTAGGGGACTAATTTACTCACATGCCCATGCTTTGCTTCCTTACTTGGCCTGTAAACTACTAAGTATGTATTTTATTTCCTTCATAACCACTCCAGCATCCAGCACAATACTAGGCACATAGTGGGGGTATAAATATTGGTTGAACGGATGAATATAAACAATATTTTTTTTATTTAGACCCCATTTCTTTCTTTCACATTACCTGTCATTTTTGCCCACTACAGTTTGACGTTTACTCTTCATTATTGCATGGCATAGAAGAAAGATCACTCTACTCAGATGACTTAAGTTAGACTGCTGCTCCCAAACCCACCAACTGTATATTTAATCTGTTAGCCAAAGTGTTGTGCAAATATAGAATACTGGTGTTTTTGGTCCATTCCTGAAACAACTTCACCTCTTTAGAATTCAGCAACTATCCCCTAAGTCCTTATTTTATATAGCTTTTTAAAAAGTAACTGCAATTCGAAAACCCAAATATAAGCACTGTTGACATTTTCAGGTAGATTTTTCCAATCTTTTTCTCCATGTACATATATACATATATTTTGCTTTCTAAAATTGGGGTCCTATGGTAGATACATTCTTATAATCTGATTTTTGTTTAATATACAATGAATGTTTTCCCATATCATTGAATCTTAATCTATACAATGACTTTTTAAAGTACCATCATCTTTATTCTACAGATCAAGAATCAAGGCCCAGAACGGAGAAGTGACTTGCACAAGGTCACATGGTAAGCAGGTGGTGGGACTGAGGTGCAAATCTTTTGGTTTTTCCTTTGTTTGTTTGCTTGTTTTCAACTCTATTGAGGTATAATTGCAAATAAAATTGTATACATTTAAAGAATACAACATGATGATTTGACGTGAGTACCGTGATCAAGTTAATAAATATATCCATCACCTCATATATTTGCCTTTTTTGTGAGAATGCTTACATTCTACCCTCTCACAAAATTTCAAGTATACAATACAGTACTATTAACTACTAATACAATTAATATCTATACTTTAGATACCCAGAAGTTACTCATCTTATAACTGAAATTGTGTATTCTTTGGCCAACATAGCTCTATTTCCCCCACCCCAGACCCTGGCAACCACCACTCTGCTTTCTGTTTCTATCAGTTCAACTCATATTTTTTAGAGTTCACATATAACTGTTACCATACAGTATCTGTCTTCCTCTGCCTGGCTTATTTCACTTAGGACAATGCCCTCCAGGTTCAACCATTCTGTGCTGGCACAAATGACAGGATTTCCTTCTTTTTATGTGGCTGAATATTACATTATAAACATGTGTGTATATGTGTATATAAGGGGACTTCAAAAAGTTCATGGAAAATGGAATTTAAAGATAATAACTAAAAATATAAACTTTATTTCTCAACATAAGCTCCATCAAGTTCAAGACACTTTTGTAAGTGTTGACACCAGTCATTTAGTCCATCCCTAAGAAACTGATTATCCTGGGGATTTAACCGGGTCAATGCAGTCTTATTTACATTATTAACTGAAGAAAAAATGGTGGCCCTTTACAGATTTTTTTAAGATTAGGAAACAAAAAGAAGTCAGAAGGAAAGTCAGCCAAATCATGACTGTAAGATGGATGCCTAATGATTTCCCATCAAAACTCGCACAAGACCGGGCGTGGTGGCTGACGCCTGTAATCCCAGCACTTTGGGAGGCCGAGGCGGGCGGATCACCTGAGGTCAGGAGTTCAAGACCAGCCTGACCAACATAGAGAAACACCATCTCTACTAAAAATACAAAATTAGCAGGGTGTGGTGGTGTATGCCTGTAATCCCAGCTACTCGGGAGGCTGAGGCAGGAGAATCACTTGAACCCAGGAGGTGGAGGTTGCAGTGAGCCAAGATCACGCCATTGCACTCCAGCTCCAACAAGAGTGAAACTCTGTCAAAAAAAAAAAAAAAACTCGCATAAAATTGGCCCTTGTTTGATGAGGGGAATGAGCAGGAGCGTTGTCATGGTGGAAAACACTCTGATGAAGTTTTCCTGGGCATTTGTCTGCTCATGCTATGGCTAACTTTCTCAAAACACCCTCATAATAAGCAGATGTTATCATTCTTTGGCCCTTCAGAAAGTCAACATGGGAAATGCATTGAGCATTCCCAAAAAAACTATTGCCATGACCTTTGCTCTTGACGGGTCTCCTTTTGCTTTGACTGGACCACTTCCCCCTTTCAGTAGCCATTGTTTTGATTGCGCTTTGTCTTCAGGGTCATTTTGGTAAAGCCATGTTTCATCTACTGTTATAATTCTTCCAAGAAATGCTTCAGTATCTTGATCCCACATAGTTAAAATTTCCATTGAAAGCTTTTTTCTTCTTTGTAGCCAGTCAATCTGGGTGCAATGGTTTTGGCACCCATCAAATGAGTGCCATTTACTCAACGTTAATTTTTCAGTCAGAATTGTGTAAGCCGAACCAATTGAGATGTCTGTACTGTTAGCTATTGTTTCTGCTCTTTTTTTTTTTTTCTTTTTGGAGACAGAGTCTCACACTGTCACCCGGGCTGGAGTGCAATGGTGCAATCTCGGCTCACTACAACCTCTGCCTCCCGGGTTCACGTGATTCTCCTGCCTCAGCCTACCAAGCAGTTGGGATTACAGGTGCACACCACCACACTTGGCTAATTTTTTGTATTTTTAGTAGAGACGGGGTTCCACTGTGTTGGCCAGACTGGTCTCAAACTCCTGACCTCGTGATCTGCCCACCTCAGCCTCCCAAAGTGCTAGGATTACAGGCGTGAGCCAACACGCCTGGCCTGTTTCTGTTCTTTTTTTTTTTTTTTTTTGAGACAGAGTCTCACTCTGTCACCCAGGCTAGAGTGCAGTGGCGCGATCTCGGCTTACTGCAAGCTCCGCCTCCCAGGTTCACGCCATTCTCCTGCCTCAGCCTCCCGAGTAGCTGGGACTACAGGCACCCACTACCACCCCCGGCTAATTTTTTTTTTTTTTTTTGTATTTTTAGTAGAGACGGGGTTTTTCACCGTGTTAGCCAGGATGGTCTCGATCTCCTGACCTCATGATCTGCCCGCCTCGTCCTCCCAAAGTGCTGGGATTACAGGCGTGAGCCACCGCGCCCAGCCTGTTTCTGTTCTTAATCATCAGTCCTCTTCAATAAGTGCATGAACAAGATTAACTTTTTCCTCACAAATTAACGTGGATAGTCAGCTGCGGTAGGCTTCAACATTGTCTCATTCTTAAAGTGAGTTATCCATTCGTAAACTGCTGAATTCTTTGGGGCATTGTCCTCGTAAATTTTTGGTAAAGCATCAGTGATTTTCATCATTCTTCCACCCAAGCTTTACCATAAATTTGATGTTTGTTCTTTCTTCAACTTTAGCAGAATTCATGTTACTCTGATAGGGGTACTTTTCAAACTGATGTCTTATCCTTCTTAGTGCCTCAAACCAGATTCTGTTCAGATATGTTATAACAAGTCATTATGAGTTTATTTGGGTGCAAAAAAAATGAAATCAATGCATAGTCTTTTCATAATATGCATTTTTCATGAACTTTTTGAAGTTCCTTTTGTGTGTGTGTATCACAATTTCTTTATCCATTCATCCACTGACAGGCACTTAAGTTTTTTCTATATCTTGGCTGTTCTGTACAATACTGCAATGAACATGCAAATTCAGATATCTCTTTGAGATACTAATTTTGTTTCCTTCAGAGATATACCCAGAAGTAGGAATACTGGATCACACGGTATCTGGTATCTCTATTTTTAATTTTTTGAGGAATCTCCATACTGTTTTCCATAATGACTGTACCAATTCACATCCCCACCAACAGTGTACAAGGGTTCCCTTTTCTCCACATCTTCACCAACACTTGTTTTGGCTTTTTGGTACTAGCCATTCTAACAGGTATGAGGTGATATGTCACTGTGATTTAATTTGCATTTCCTTGATGATTAGTGATGTTGAGCATTTTTTCATATACCTCTTGGTCATTTGGATGTCTTCTTTTGAAAAATGTCTATTCAGATCCTTTACCCATTTTTTAATTGGGTTGTTTTCTTGCTATTGAGTCATGTGAATTCCTTACATATTTTATATATTAACCCCTTATCAGATATATAGTTTACAAATATTTTCTCCCACTCTGTGGGTTATCTCTTCACTCTGTGTATGGTTTCCTTGGCTGTGCAGAAGCTGTTTAATTTTATGTAATCCCATTTGTCTATTTTTTATTTTGTTGCCTGTGCTTATGGGATCACATCCAAAAAATAATTGCCCAGATCAATGTCATGGAGCTCTTCTTCTGTGTTTTCTTCTAGTAATTTTACAGTTTCATGTCTTATAACTAAGACTTTAATCCATCTTGAGTTGCTTTTTGCATATGGTATAAGAGTCTAATTTTATTCTGCATGTGGATATCCAGTTGTCCCAACACCATTTATTGAAAAACTAACCTTATTCCATTGTATGTTCTTGGCACTCTTGTCAAAGATTAGTCAATCGAATATATGTGGGTTTATTTCCAGGATGTCTATTTTCTTCCATTGGTCTGTTTTTCTGCTAGGACCATACTGTTTTGATTACTATGGCTTTATAATATAGTTAGAAATCAGGAAGCGTAGTGCCTCCACATTTGTTCTTTCTCAAAACTGCTTTGACTATTCAGGGACTTTAGTGGTTTCATAGAAATTTTAGGGGTTTACCTTGAATGTGATGTTAGCTGTGGCCTTCTCATATATCACTTTAATTATGTCCAGGTACATTCCTTCTATATCTAATATGTTGAGAGTTTTTATTATGAAAGGATGTGGAATTTTGTCCAGGTGTGGTGGCTCACGCCTGTAATCCCAGCACTTTAGGAGGCCGAGGTGGGTGGATCACCTGAGGTCAGGAGTTTGAGACCAGCCTGACCAACATGGTGAAACCCTGTCTCTACTAAAAATACAAAAATTAGCTGGGCATGGTGGCGGGTGCCTGTAATCCTAGCTATTCGGGAGGCTGAGGCACGAGAATCATTTGAACCCAGGAGGCAGAGGTTGCAGTGAGCCGAGATCATGCCACTGCACTCCAGGTGACAGAGTGAGACTTTGTCTCAAAAAAAAAAAAAAGGAAATAAAAGAAATCTATTGAGTGTTCATATGATTTTAATATTCTATGAATGTGGTGTCACATTTATTAATTTGTGTAAATTGTTCTATTAATGTGGTGTGTCACATTTATTAATTTGTGTAAATTGAACCATCCTTGCAACTCAGGGATAAATCCCACTGCAATATGGTACATGACTCTCTCAATGTGCTGTTGAATTTGATTTGCTAGTATTTTGTTGAGGATCTACAACATTCTACACAATTTTTTGTTGACGATCTACATCATTCTACACAGTTTTTCATGGCCACGTAATAGGAATGTAAAGTAAGTAATAAATGAGCAATAAATGAGCATGAGGATTCTTTTTGTTTTGTTTTGTCTTTTGAGATGGAGTCTCGCTCTGTCGCCAGGCTGTAGTGCAATGGCACGATCTCAGCTCACTGCAACCTCCAACTCCCTGGTTCCAGCGATTCTCCTGCCTCAGCCTCCCAAGTAGCTGGGATCACAGTCATGCGCCACCACACCCAGCTAATTTTTGTATTTTTAGTACAGATGGGGTTTCACCATGTTGGCCAGGATGGTCTCGATCTCCTGACCTTGTGATCTGCCTGCCTTGGCCTCCCAAAGTGCTGGGATTACAGACGTGAGCCACCATGCCCAGCCAGGATTCTTTTTACTCCACAATCTTCTATGTTTCTATCATGTTGGGCTCCCCACCAGCTAATTCTCAAGCTTTAGGACAAAGGAAGGAGTAGATAATAGTAAATAAAAATTAAATTATTTCCCCTAGTCTTCAGTTTAACCCAAGTGGTGAACAAATATTTATCCCCTAAAACTTTATTCCCCAACTGAGGGCAAACAAGCTACATGCTACTCTTCTCTAGCTGTCTTCATTCATGTCCCTTCATTATCAAATAAGATAATGGCTATGGAAGCATTTTGTAAAGTACTTAATGAATCTCAATTAGAAGCATAAATAATTGATTTTTCTGAGTTAAAAATAATGGCGTGTTTAAGATGAAGTGTTAAAAATAAGAACTTGTTACAAAGCCAATGTGTATAGTATAATTCTATTTGGGGAAAAAATTATCCATTTTGCATAGAAATGCTAGCAGGCTATTCCACAAAATTTAACAGTGATTATCCCTGGGTTCAGAAAATGTGGTAATCTCTAGTTTCTTCTTTTATTCCTCTTTCTTTCCTTCTTATTTCTTTCCTTTCTTCCTTCTTTTTGCTTTGCTTATCTTCAATTCCACCAATAATAGCTATGTATTATCTGTGTAAAGAGAAAGGCTATTTTGAAATATTATCTAAACATGATTTTTTGTGATGCTGCTGTTTTATAATTCTAGGTATTATTTAATTTCTTTATCTTTGTGCTTATACCCTTAAATATTAAATACTGATGGTATGAGCTTCCTAGGGCTGCCATAACAAATTACCACAAACTGGGTGACTTAAAACAACAGATATTTATTGTCTCACAGTTCTGGAGGCAAGAAGTCCAAAATCAGGGTGTCAGCAAGACTATGCTCTCTCAAATGCTCTAAGGGAGAATCTATTCCATGTCTTTCTCTGAGCTTCTGATGTCATCAGTAGTCCTTGGCATTCCTTGACTTGGAGCAGCAAAACTCCAGTGTCTGCCTCTATTATCACATGGCACTCTTCCTCTATGTCTTTACATTGTCTTCTTATAAGTATGCTGATTATACTGGACTAAGGACTCACTCTACTCCAGCATGACCTCATCTTAACTAATTACATCAGCATGACCCTATTTCCAAATGAAGTCACATTCTGAGCTACTGGAAATTAGGACTTCAACATATCTTTTTGAGGGACACAATTCAACACAAAATACTGATCAAAGAGGTTTGTTCTTCATTTTTTTAAATTTTTTAATTTTGTGGGTATATAGTAGGTATATATGGGGTACATGAGATATTTCGATACAGGCATTCAATGTGTAATAATCACATTATGGAAAATAGGGTATCAATTTCCCTCAAGCATTTACCCTTTGTGTTACAAACAATCCAATTATATTCTTGTAGTTATTTTTAAATATACAATTACATTATTTTGACTATATTTGCTGTGCTGGGCTATCAAATACTAGGCAGTATTCATTCTTTCTAAATATTTTTTGTACCCTTTCACCATCCCTACCTTCCCCCCAACCCTCACTACCCTTTCCAGCCTCTGGTAACCGTTCTTCTACTTTCTATCTCCATGTGTTCAATTGTTTTGATTTTTAGATCCCACAAATAAGGGAGAACATGTGATGTTTGTCTTTCTGTGCATGACTTATTTCACTTAACATAATGACCTTCAATTCCATCCATGTTTTTGCAAATAACAGGATCTCATTGTTTTTTATGGCTGAATACTGATCCACTGCATATATGTACCACATTTTCTTCAATCATTAATTTGCTGATGGTTGTTTCCAAATCTCGGCTATTGTGAATAGTGCTGCAACAAACATGGGAGTGCAGATATCGCTTCGATATACTGATTTCCCTTCTTTTGGGTATATACCCAGCAGTGGGGTTGCTGGATCATATGGTAGCTCTATTTTTAGCTTTTTGAGGAACCTCCAAACTGTTCTCCATAGTGATTGTACCAATTTACATTCCCACCAACAGCGAACCAGGATTCCCCTTTTCTCCACCTCCTCTCCAGCATTTGTTATTGTCTGTCTTTTGGATATAAGGCATTGTAACTGGGGTGGGATGATATCTCATTGTAGTTTCAATTTGCATTTCTTTGATGATCAATGATGAGCACTTTTTCATATGTCTGTTTGCCATTTGCATGTCTTCTTTTGAGAAATGTCTAAATCTTTTCCCCATTTTTAGATCGGATTATTAGGGTTTTTTTCTTTTTTTTTTAAGATGAAAAGCTTTTTTATTTACATACAAATAAAAAAGGCCTGCATCTGTGTCATTTATGACAAAAGCATAACATCCCTAATATAAAGAGCCATTATAAACCAACAAGACGACCTTAAAGTAAAATGGGCAAAAGCTAAGAATGAAGAATTTGGTCACAGAAAAGAAGTACATACGACTGGCACTAAATGAAGCAAATTAAAATAATAATTAGAAATGATTTTTCACCTATTGGGTTGCCAAAGATTTATAAGCCTGTTAATATTAATTGTTGCTGAGGTTGGCAGGAAACAGAGACACTCTCATACACTGTCTGTGGGAGTATAAATAGTTAGAAACATTTAGAAGGACAATTCGGCAGCATGTATCAAGATTTTAAAGCTATGTACCTTTGATCCCACAATTCCACTTTGAAGAGTTTGTCCTACATTTACTTAAGTAACTGAAGATTTCTGAAATGTGTGCTTTATGTGGCATTTTTGTAACAGAAAACACATACACACACACACACATCCTAAATGCTCCATCAATATGAACTAGTTAAATGCATTTGAGTACATACAAATAATGGAATAGTATTTAAAATATCCATATATATCAATATGGATAGATATCCAATGGTTTTTTTCTTGTAGAGTCGCTTAAGGTCTTTATATATTCTGGTTATTAATCCCTTGGCAGATGGGTAGTTTGCAAATATTTTCTCCCATTCTGTGGGTTGTCTCTTCACTTTGTTGATTGTATCCTTTGCTGTGCAGAAGCTTTTTAATTTGATGTGATCCCATTGTCCATTTTTGCTTTGGTTGCTTGTGCTTGTAAGTTATTGCTCAAGAAATTTTTGCCCAGACCAATGTCCTGGAGGTTTTCCTCAATGTTTCCTTGTAGGAGTTTCATATTTTGGGGTCTTAGATTTAAGTCTTTAATTCACTTTGATTTGATTTTTTTTATATGGTGAGAGATAGGGGTCTAGTTCCATTCTTTTGCATATGGATATCCAGTTTTCCCAGCACCATTTATTGAAGAGACTGTCTTTCTCCAGTGTATGTTCTTGGCACCTTTGTCAAAAATAAGTTCACTGTAGGTGTGTGGATTTGTTTCTGGGTCTCTATTCTGTTCCATTTATTTATGTGTCTGTTTTATGCCAGTGCCATGCTTTTTGGGTTACTATAGCTCCGTAGTATAATTTGAAGTCAGGTAACGTGATTCCTCAAGTTTCATTCTTTTTGCTTAGGATGGCTTTGGCTATTCTGGGTCTTTTGTAGTCCACATAAATTTTAGGGTTGTTTTGTCTATTTCTGTGAAGAATGTCACTGGTACTTTGATAGGAATTATATTGAATCTGTATATGACTTTGGGTAGTATGGACATTTTAACAATATTGATTCTTCCAGCCCATGAACATGCAATATTTTTTCCTTTTTTTGGGCAGGGATGTCCTCTTCAATTTCTTTTATCAATGTTGTCGAGAACTCTCACTACTTTAGTTAATGCCTACTTTTTAATTTCTTTTATTTTTCAGATTTTTTACTGTTGACATATAGAAATGCTACTGATTTTTGTATGGTACCTAAAGTGCAAGACAAAGTCCTCTACTTTTCTCCCTCTGCTTCTCTCAAACAGAAGGAGTCTTTCACCATAGTCACCATACCTGGGAATGTACGGGGTCACACCTGTAGTCAGCACATCTCAGACCCCAAGGCCCATGGTGTACTACCTGGGTATCACTGCTGGTTATTCATGTCCCAAGAGCTCTTTAGTCACAGGTGAGGAATCCTGCCAGGACCAGGTCCTTCTCTTCATGGCAATAGGTTTCCTAGCAGGGTTTATCTAGATATGTAGTATGAGAGCTGGGGCCCGGGATGGGGGCCTCATGACTGTCCAGTGCCCTATTCTACTGTGGCTGAGATGGTATCCAAGATGCAAAACAAAGACCTCTTTACTCTTCACTCTCCTCCCCTTAAACAGAAGGAAGGAGACACTTTTTGCTGTGAGCCGCACACTGCTGGGGGTGGGGGAGGGATGATACAAGGACTCCTTTAGCCTTTCTAGGTCACGTGCCACCCTAGTCCTCTGGCTCTGAGCCCAGCCCAGCATTAAGAGTTGCCTAGGAATTTCAGGCCTTGTGTTACAGACTGCCTTTCAAGTTTACCCAGGACCCCAGGGCACTTTGGTCTGCAGTGGCGAGGCTTGCTGAGAAACTCAAGTCCAAACGATGGAATGGGCAATTCCCCTCTGGCTAGGCCTAATCCAAATGTTCTTTCCATGTGTGGACACTGGCTGAGCAGCATTGCTTTGTTCTCCGCTATGACAGGGCAGCACTGGGTACAATGTGATGTCCCCCAGTCACAGTGGTCTCTCCTTCAAGTGCACAGACTCCTCTCTCTCGGTGCCACACAGTTGCTGCAGGTGAGGGGTTGGGGGTACACCGGTGACTCAAGACTGTCTCCCTGACCCTCCTCAATGCCTCTTTCAATGACAGGAAGTTAAAATGAGCTACTGTGATTGCTCACCTGATTTTTGGTCCTTGTGGTGGTGCTTTTCTATATGTAGATGGCTGTTAAAACTTGGTGTTCCTGCAGGGGTATGAACTGTTCCTGCAGGCTTCTATTCCGCTATCTTGCTCTGCCCTCCTGTCCTTCATTTTAATTTTAAAGCCTACACATATTAAGTAAATTGTGCTATTAGTTCTTTATAGGTCTTTTTTTCAAAAATTGATATAGTAAATATAATACCACTTGAATAAGTTTAAATTTCTTAGAATATTATTCCAGAAGTGTTGCTGTAACAGTATGATTCATCATTTCTACATAATACATTAGAAAATTATCATCTATACAGAATGAGTTTGAAAACTAAAAATGCCACATATTTGAACCATTTATCAATGCCCTGCCAGGAACAGATACAGCTCTTCTCTCACTTGGAAGACTGAACATTTCATAATGTAACTCCTTGTGAATTTGACATAGATTAACAAGATATTTTTCTTCTTTTACCAAGATTAGAATTTGTTGTTCAAATTCACACTAAAGGATCACAGGAAATAAGACACATTTTTCTCTTATTTTATAGTCTACTCAGAAACAGTTTCTTGCAAAGAAAAAGGATAGAACCACAACTCTTAAGTAATCAAGATGAGCTCTTGAAGAACAAAAAGCTACTGAAGACTAAAAAGCAGTGGATCTACCATACTGTGAACAACTCCCAAGTATATTCGAGCAATCTTTTGAAAAAGTAGCTTCTCATGTACAGCTGATGATGATCACTCTCTGAAAAAGTGAAACCCATATTAAAGAGACACCATTTGAAAAAGTATACAAAACCAGAATTTTTAAAAATCATAGTATTGTTTCAAAAAATAAAGTTACCATTCCCTTTACCCCAAAGTTATCTCGTGATCACCATGGCGACTTGCAAATGATAATAACAACTTATTGAGAAGTTCAATCATATAGTAGGTCTAACTGGTAAGACTTCAACTTGTTGGATTATTTCAGTGAGAAATATAATAACTAAAGGCTTAAGTACTCTGCAATAATAGCGTAACACTTAGCCACTGTCACAATATGCTACATAACAAACACCTGCACAAATCTCAATGGCATTCAACAATAAGCACATATTTCTTGCTCATGCATCTATAGGGCAACTGTATTTTACTAATACAGACTGAGTTCAGATGTGCTTGACTCAAGGCTATGAGTTAGGTCCACGTCTGCTCCACATGTCCCTCCTTCCTTCTTGGACAGGAGCTATCAAAAACATATTCTTCTCATGGTGAAAGGCAGGAGTTCAAGGGAGCCAAGTTAATTATACAAGCACATTTCAAATCTTTGCTTGCATCACATCCACTAACATCTGTAGAGGAGGGCAAATAACTTTTATTTTACCCTCTCATGTTTAGTGGCTGGAGCCTGCCAATTAAACTGACAATATACAGATTAAGAACAAAAGAGGACTACAAGTTGTATTAATATGTTTAATTTTAGGTGCACAGAGACTTCACAGAAAAGAAGTGATAACCCAAATAAGTGGTTAGACTTGGCAGCCTATATACCATTATAACAAAGGGCAAAAAAAATTATAGAGAAGTGATTAGACAAAAGAAAGAAGGTTTGGACTTCTCGGGTCAATAAATTGTGGGAATAAATTATGGGATCCTAGTGGAAGAAAAGGGTTAATTAGTTAGGTTTGTTTGTGCAGACTCATTTCAGTGTCAGCTCTCCAGTGACAGGGGTCACTCTCCTCATCCTGGTGCAGGAGACGGAGGGAAATTTATGCCACCTTCACAAAGGAAATTTTTGCCCCGATTTTAGGCAGCTAAAGGGAGGACAGATAATTTTTCCTGTATTTGTTGATTCTCAATTGTCTTCTGGCTCCAAATAATCCTTATGCTAAAGTGGCATATTGTACAGTGGCATATTCTGGACCCCTTCATATCCCATTCACTTAAACAAGTCATAGAGCCAAGCCCAAAGTCAAGAAGCAGATAATAATTCTGTCTCCCATAAGGCCATAGCAAAGAGATTAAAGAATTAAAACCAATGATTCAATCTGCCACAAAGAGCATAGGAATTTCATAGTTATAAAAATATATATACTCTTTTTGGAATATATGGAATAAAGACCTACCCCTTAAAAGCATTCTGTCCCTCAGGAAGCCAAAAGATCAGAATAACCTATACCATTCTTAAAGATTATTTTGTTTGGTGCTATAAATGTTAGCATCCCTAAAAATTCAATAAAGATTACCTCTATTATTTGCTTTGTATTTTTATTTACATATTTAGAAATCCTGTTGGTCCAGAATAGAAAGCCCAGAAATAAGGCTGCACATCTATGACCATCTGATCTTCAACAAAGCTGACCAAAAAAATGGGGAAAAGATTCCCTATTCAATAAATGGTGCTGGGATAACTGGCTAGCCATATGCAGAAGATTGAAGCTGGACCCCTTCCTTACACCATACACAAAAATCAACTCAAGATGGATTAAAAACTTAAATGTAAAACCCAAAACTGCAAAAATCCTGGAAGACAATCCAGGCAACACCATCCTGGATAGAGGAATGGGCAAAGATTTTCATGACAAACATACCAAAAGCAATCACAACAAAAGCAAAAATTGACAATGGGATCTAATTAAACTTAAGAGCTTCTGCACAGCAAAAGAAACTATCCATAGAGTAAACAGACAACCTACAGAATAGGAGAAAATATCTGCAAACTATGCATCTGACCAAGGTCTAATATCCAGCATCTATAAGGAACTTAAACAAATTTACAAAGGAAAAACAAACAACCCCATTAAAAAGTGGGCAAAGGACATGGACAAACGCTTCTCAAAAGAAGACATATATGTGACCAACAAGCACATAGAAAAAGCTTAACATCACTGATCATTAAAGAAATGCAAATCAAAACCACAGGGAGATACCATCTCACTCCAGTCAGAATGGCTACTATTAAAAAGCCAAAAAATCACAGATTCTGGAGAGGTTGCAGAGAAAAGGGAACACTTACACATTGTTGGTAAGAGTGTAAATTAGTTCAGCCATTGTGGAAAGCAGAATGGCGATTCCTCAAAGAGTGAAAAGCAGAAGTACCATTCAACCTAGCAATCCCATTACTGGGTATATACCCAAAGGAATATAAATCATTCTACCATAAAGACACATGCATGCGAATGTTCACTGCAGCACTATTCGCAATAGCAAAGACATGGAAAAAACCTAAATGCCCATCAATGACAGACTGGATAAAGAAAATGTGATACATATACACCGTGGAATACTATGCAGCCTTAAAAAGAACATGCAGCCATAAAATGGAATATGCAGCCATTAAAAAGAACGAGATCATGTCTTTTGCAGGAATATGGATGGAGCTGGAGGGTATTATCCTTAGCAAACTAATACAGGAACAGAAAACCAAATACTGCATGTTGTCATTTATAAGTGGGAGCTAAATGATAAGAACTTATGAACACAAAGAAGGAAATAAGAGACACTGGGGTCTACTTGAGGGGGAGGATGGGAGGAGGAAGAGAAGCAGAAAAGATAACTATCAGGTACTGAGCTTAATACCTGGGAGATGAAATAATATGTACAACAAACCCCCATGACATGTGTTTATCTATGTGACAAACCTTCACGTATACCCTCAAACCTAAAATAAAAGTTAAAAAGAGAGAAATTCTGTTGGTCCAAAAAGTATTTAATGATCTTTCTAAAGTTATCTGGCTGACACACTCTTACTATTCATATTATCTGTGAATATCCCTATTTAAATCTTCAAAAGATCTTAATTGGTTTGTATAAAAATTAATCATTTTTACATTCATCCGTAATTATTATAGCACCTTAGTCTTACAATACCAAATACACATTTAAACTTCAACTGATGATATAATTTAAATATATCAATATATCTGTTATAGGTTGAATTAGACCCCCTAAAAAATATATTAAGATCCTAACCCCCAAGACCTATGAATATGAGCATATTTGGAAATGCAGTCTTTTCATATGATCATGTTAAGTTGAGGCCATTAGGGTAAGTCCTAATTCAATACAATTGGTATTCTCATAAAAAGGGAAAATTTGCACACAAGGACAGACACCTACAGAGGGAAGATGATGTAAAGACACTGGGAAAATGACATCTACAAGCCAAGGAACACATGATGCTACTGGACGCTAGGAGTGAAGCTAGAAATTGGACAGATTATTTCCTCACAGCTCTCAGGAGAAACTAACCCTAAAAATACCTTGATTTTGAACTTCTAGACCCCAGAACTGTGAGACAACAGATTTCTGTTGTCTGAGCCACCAGTATGAGATACTTTGTTACAGCAGCCTCAGGGCTCTAACACAATATCAAATATAAGACGCTTTTATACTCTAAGTCACCTGGAACACTATATATTAACAAGTCCAAATGGTATGCCTTTTTATTTTATTGATGTTATTTATGTTCATTCTATTTAATGATAACCTATATGATCACATGACCAGTGGTCTCACATAAGATCAGGGGTGCCAGAAATGACACTGAAGTGGCTATTTGGATTTCAAAATGCCAATGACAAAGCCAATTTGGAACAAGTAGTGAAGCAAAAGCTAAATGCTGCTACATGCCTATTTATCACCATCTAATACACTACATAGTTTTACTTTGTGTATAATCTGTCTTCCTGCTATTCCTATTGGAATGTAAGCACCATGGTCCTGCCTCAGCTTCCCGAGTAGCTGGGATTACAAGCGCCAGGAGGGCAGGAATTTTTTTTTTTTTTTTGGCTGTTTTGCTCACCACTTCCCAGTGCCAGAACTATGCCTGGTACAATAGGTATTTGTGATGGTTAATATTATGCGTCAACTTGACTGGATTGAGGGATGCATAGACAGCTGGTGAAGTGTAGTTCTGGGTGTGTCTGTAAGGGTGCTGCCAGAGGAGATTGACACTTGAGTCAGTGGACTGGGTGAGGAAGACCCACTCTCAATGTCGGAGGGTACCATTCAATCAGCTGCCAGTATGGCTAGAAGAAAGCAAGAAGAAGGGATAAGCAGTTTCCTGAGTCCTCTCGCTCTCTCTCTTCCCATGCCATGCCTGACACTTGGCTTCCACTCTTCCTGCCCTTGGACATCAGACTCCAAGTTCTTTGGCCTTTGGACTCTGGGACTTGCACCAGCAGCCTCCCAGGGGCTCTTGGGCCTTCAGCCTCAGACTAAGGGCGGCACTGTCAGTCTCCCTGGTTTTGAGGCTTGCGGACTTGGACGGAGCCATGCTGCCAGCTTCTCTCTTTCCCCTGCTTGCAGACAGCCTATCATCAGACTTCACCTTGTAATCATGTGAGCCAATTCTCCCTAATAAACTCCCTTTTCTATATATGCTATTGGTTCTGTCCCTCTGAAGAACCCTGACTTAATACAGTATTTAATAATTATTTGTTCAAAGAATCAAATAAATCTCCAAGCAAGAGTCTAATAATTGAAAATCCTCTTAATCATGCTGTAGCTATTTTTTTTGTCATGTCTTCATTTCTTCCCTTGATATACATGGACATAGTTTTTGTCCTTTTCCGAGGAAACAGGGAAACCCTGTAACAAAAATACACACTCATTTGCCAATTCCCCAACCATAAACTGCAGAACTAGGTCCACCATACGGAAACTCCCAAGAGAATCAATTATTTCAATACTGTTCTCAGCCTGCAATATTCCTGGATGAGAAATTCTTTCAGATGGACAGCAAGAGCTACAAGGTAGAGTTGGAAGTGCACAGGCTTTGAAGCCAGACTGAACTTGGTTAGGAACTCACTAATAGCACTAAAAGTCTCTGAGTCACAGGTTCCTCCCATAAAATGAGGGGAATAATGCTTCTTCCGTAAGTTGTTGTACTGTTAAACAGGATGTATATAAAGCCCTTACCATTATGTCTGGTAAGATGAAAAATCCAGGCACGAATCTAAGGAGTGATGCTATTATAGCCAGTTGAAGGGAAGCCAGTTCTGTCAAGAGAAAATATATACCATCAATGAATTCCTGAAAGTTTACTGTGTGATTTCTGGCTTTACCCTAAAACTGTTGTGAGCAAAATCTTTGTAGTCTTCACAGTGAGGGCTATTTGCCTCAGAGGTTGGAGGGGGATTAGGGTTTTCTTCCTGCAGTTTCTAGAGACTGCACAGAGATTGCTCTATGTTGAATGGTGACATTAGCTGAAGCAGCATTTAGCAGTTCAACACATGGTTGAGTAAAGCCTGGGGAAGAATTAGATGATAGCATTTCAAGGGGAAATTGCCAATGGACAAAAATAGCAAGGAGGCAGGGCAACCTAGGGTTTAGCAGTAGAATTTTTAAAGAGGCAAAGCCACACAGTCCTGTTCTTTTCAACAAGTATTCTCCTGAGAGCCAGCTCTTTACCTCCAATCAGTGCTGTAACAGCTAAAGGTTTTAGCTTTTGAAAGCTAAAGCAATTGCTATGAACAAGGCTGAACTAACTAACATTTAATGCTGCACTTGTCAATTCTTCCCCTCGGACTCTATGGTGCAAACCCTGCCTAAATGCCAGAACCAGGGATTACACAAAGCTACATTTGTAGATGTGGTATTTACTACTATAAGAGGCTCCAAGAGGAAAAAGATCTATAAACTACAGCTCCCACTTTTGCCACCATGAAAATGAATTCCATAAACTAACAATAACTTGATTATCCGATCCGAGGATGATCCAAGCATCCCCACTGCTCACTTTTGGCCCTTTAATAGTTTTGCAAGGCTTCACAGAGGTTATGCATTAGCCAAAAAATATGAAATTCGAATGAATACATTCTGCTATTTATTAGCGGCTCCAAAGAGGTTTTTAATAGGGGTCATTTCTTGAGTTCTTCTTTGCTCCATTTATTAATGGAGACATGACTGTTATCACCAAAAGTCAGATGCGGCAATTTTACATTTGACTTTCCCTTGACCCTTAGCTTTTGGAAATGGTTTTAGGGCCAAGCATTAAGGTATGAGCTATCACCAGCAAGATAAAATTATTAAGTATCTTAAGACAAGTGACTTTTGTATTCTTTCCCTCTAGTACCTCATTAAAAGAAATAGCCTATGCAAAGTCTCTAGCATTGGCGTGGCACCTAGCAAATACTAAATGAGTATTAGTTTACATTCCCAAGTGCATTTTGTGTTTCCCTCCCCAAACCTATCATCTCATTTTGTTCTCCACATCTATCTCTTCCAATAACTGTCCTTATTGCTAGAACATCTAGAAGGGCCTACTACTAGGACCACTACTTTCTCATTTCCAATCCTACTGAAACTTACCCGGCTTATATACCATTTACTGAGAGCAGGGTCTTTGCTTTCTGAAATACCACCAAGTTAATCTGATAAATTGTATTACAGTTACCCAGAGAAACAGTACCAACAGTATATATACAGGTATCCCTCAGTATCTGCAAGGGATTAGTTCCAAAACCCCCTCCACCCCCTACAGATACCAAAATCCACAAATGTTCAAGTCCCTTATATCAGATGCCATGGTATTTGCATATAATCTAAGCACATCCTCCCGTATACTTTAAACCATCTCTGGGTTAAGTATAACACCTAATACAATGTAAATGCTATCTAAATGGTTTTTATACTGTTTTAAAATTTGTATTTTTTTATTATTGTATTGCTATTTTTATTGTTTTTCCACAAATATTTTTGACCCACAATTGGTTGAAACCATGAATGTGGAATCTTTGGATATGGAGGGTCAACTGTATAAATATATAAGAGAAGACTTATTATGGGAATTGGCCCTGCAATTATGGAAGCTGAGAAGTTCCATGATATGCCATCTGCAAGCTGAAGACACAGAAAAGCTAGTGGTGTATATTGGTCCATTCTCACATTGCTATAAAGAAATACCTGAGACTGGGTAGTTTATAAAGAAAAAAGGTTTAATTCACTCATGGTTCCACAAGCTGCACAGGAAGCATGATGCTGGCATTTACTTGGCTTTGGGGGAGGCCTCTGGAAACTTACAATCTTGTCAGAAGGTAAAGGGAGAGCCAGCACTTCACAAGGCTAGAGCAGAAGGAAGAGGTGCCACACACTTTCAAATGACCAGATCTCAGGAGATATCACTCACTATCATGAGAACAACACCAAGGGGGAAATCTGCCCCCATGATCCAATCACCTCCCACCAAGGCCCACCTCCAACACAGGGGATTACAATTCAACATGAGATTTGGGTGAGTACACAGATCCTAACCATATCATGGTGTAATTCAATCCAAGTCTGAAGACCTGAGAACCAGGGGACTCCCAGTCTGAGGCTGAAAGCCTGAGAACCAGGAGCTCTACTGTCCAAAGGCAGGAAAATAAGGATGTTCCAGCTCACAGAGAGAGATAATTTGACTTTTCTCTGTCTTTTTCATTTATCTGAGCCCTCAGTGGCCTGGATGATGCTACCCACCTTGTTGAGGATGGATCTTCTTTAATTAGTCTACTGATTCAAATGCTAATCTCTTCCAGAAACACCCTCACAGACACACACAGAAATCATGTTTTACCAGCTGTCCAGGCATCCCTTAGCCCAGTCACATTGACACATTAAAATTACCCATCATATACATTATTTGTATTAAGATGAAAATAGTGAAACCCTAGAAGCAGGCAGAGAGGGTGTTAATACCTCTTAATGAGAGATTACATGCCTAGTAGGTAAGAGTTTCTTTGAATATGGGGAAAGGAGAACTGAAAAGAACTTGGGTTAACTGAACTCACCAAGGGTTAAAGAATTATGTATAATAAAGTCTTAGAAATTAAATATATATTCCTTAGTATAATCACCAATACTTCATACTCAAAGGGAATATAAATATCAAAGTAGGACTTCATGTTTTCAGTAATGGTGCATAAGGTTATTCAGATAAAACTATCCTTTGAAAACAGAAATTAAAACCCTGGATAAAATTGTTTTAATCACCTTAAACGCATCAAAATAGCTAAACTCGAAGACTAAATTTTAGGTGAAAGATCCAGAGAGATAAGAGTACTACTAGGCTAGGCGCAGTGGCTCACACCTGTAAACCCAGCACTTTGGGAGGCCAAGGCGGGCAGATCACTTGAGGTCAGGAGTTTAGGACCAGCCTGGCCAACAAGGGGACACCCTGTCTCTACTGAAAATAGAAAAATTAGCAAGGCGTGGTGGTGCACACTTGTAGTTCCAGCTACTCAGGAGGCTGACGTAGGAGAATCGCATGAACCTGGGAGGTGGAGGTTGCAGTGAGCCGAGATTGCGCCACTGCACTCTAGCCTGGGCAACAGAGCAAAACTCCCTCTCAAAAAAAAAAAAAACACACACACACACACACACACACACACAAAAGAGTACTAATAGAGTACCGAAGCCACTTATGCCCAGAAGGCATTTGCTTATACCACACTTGGATATTGATTGAGAGGCGTTAAAATCAAGGCCCATGGTCAGCCAAGAGTGAGAAGCTTTACATACAGTACAGTCTCCACATAATTAAGCATATTAAGCTATGATCACAAAAGGTTAAACACTCAGATCCAAAATCAACCCCTGGCTCCCAAGATTGGGAGGGGAAAGGGGGGAGAAGGAGGAAGGGAAGAAAAAGGGAAGGGAGGGAAGAAAACAGGAGAAGGAAGGAAGGGAGAGATGGAGGGAAGGGAAGAAAAGGAAAGAAGGAAGAAAGAGAAAGCCATTCAGTCAAAGGGAAAAATAGAATCCAGAGGAAATAAAGACAATGCAAAGAACAGAAGAAAATCTCAAACAGATGTAATTAACATCCTCAGAGAGATAAGAGAAGCTATATAACCACAAAAAAGGAAGAGAATGGCATTTTAAAAGAAGAGCCAGAAAGAATAAACCTCTGAGAAATTAAAATTGCATATCTACAATTTTAAAAGTCAAATGGTTTAGATGATAAAGTAAGGAAAATCTCCCCAGAAAGTAGAACTTACAAAGAGATGGAAAATAGAAGAGAAAAGACTGAGAAACCTAAGAGGATTGATCCAGAAGACCCAATATCCAATCAACTGTGATTTCAGAAAAAGAGAACAAAATTACAGGAGGAGAAATTATCAAAGTACTCATATAAGCAATCATCCCAGAAAGGACACATAAGTCTCTAGAATAAAAGAGGCCTCCAAGAATTCAGTACAACAATTTTTGAAAAGACATATACTAAGGGTTATTATATAAAAATTCAGAACAACAGGAAAAAGACAAGATCTAACAGGATTAGAATTAGAATAGCATAATATTTCTTTTTTTTTTTTTGAGACGGAGTCTTGCTGTGTCACCAGGCTGGAGTGCAGTGGTGCAATCTTGGCTCACTGCAACCTCCGCCTCCCGGGTTCAAACAATTCTCCTGCCTCAGCTTCCCAAGTAGCTGGGACTACAGGCACACACCACCACGCCCGGCTTATTTTTGTGTTTTTAGTAGTGACGGGGTTTCACCACGTTGGCCAGGATGGTCTCGATCTCTTGACCTTGTGATCTGCCTGCCTTGGCCTCCCAAAGTGCTGGGATTATAGGCGTGAGCCACCACGCCTGGCCCAGAATAGCATAATATTCTTAACAGGGGAATCTAGAAGACAATGGAGCGATGCCTTCACAATTAGGAAAAATGACTTCTAAAGTAGAATTCAGACAAATTAAAAATTAACTGTGTGGTTAGAATTGTAGATATTTTCAGACATTTATCTCTCATGAATCCTTTCTTAGGAAGTTACAGGGGGAAGAATGTGTTCTAACAAAAAAGGGATTAAACTAAGAAAATGGCATGGGATCCATGAAACAAAAGCTGCAACACAGGGACATAGCAAAGGAAGACTCAAGAGGACAATTGTGCCAGTGGCCTAAAATTTCATCAACTAGAAGAGGATGGAGGCCTCCAAGAATGAGATCCCCAGGAGAAAAAATTCAGTAGTTTAGTTTTTCATTTGGAATACAATTTTGATAGGTATATAACAGATCCGATGGAGCATGCAGAAAAAAATTATGTTTAAAGATAAGGTAATAAAAATGAGTAAATTATTGACCTCAAGATAAACAAGTTATACAAAAAAAGAAAGGTAATCACAGATAAAAATTTGGCTCAGAGGTAAATAATACTTATATACTCATAATATTGTAAACATTGACTCAAGTTATAGACAAACCGTGACAAAACTATATGATAAATGAAGGAGGGGAAGTGTATACAGCATGTATATGTGTATGAATAATATAACAAAATTCTCATCTATATAGCAGGAAGCCAACAGACTTATAAAATTAATGAATCAAAAATATCTGTAAGTATATCGTTTAGAAATATGGAGGAATATCAGAAACAGCTATAATTGTTGAAAGTGATTGTCTCTGACTATCAGGCCTGTGAGGAGAGAAAGGGTAAAGTAAGCTAGTGCTTTTTTATTATAAATATTTTAATATCTTTTGCTTTTTAAACTATGTGCATTGATACAAACAGAAATTTAATTTTTAAATAATTGTAACAGAGGGAAAACAACTATGTTTCATTTCAATCTAGCTCCTTAAGAAAGAAAACAATCATATGCAATATGTCCCAGAACAGATTAACTTCTAAGGTTTTGGGGGTTTGTTTGGTTGTTTTTTCGGTTTTGTTTTGGACAGGCAATAGTAGCAGAGTAGTTACGAGGTATAAAGTTTTTCCCATCCTCCTAGATGATTTGTATAAATTATTACATAGAATCCTCACAATAACCCTATAGGTAAATATTATCGTTTCCTACCAAAATAGGAGGAAGCTGAAACTTGGGTTAAGTGACTTGTCCATGGCTGTGAAACTGCCATGTGAAATGGTAGAGCCAAGATTGAAATTCAGATCTGTCTGTCTCTAAAATCTGTGCCCTTAACCACCATGCAATCCTGGCTCTCAGGGGCACAACTCCACCTCTTCATCTAGCAGCTCATTTGGGTCCATTTTTCTTACTAAATCCTGTAATTTCTTCCTGGTGGAAGTCTAAAGTGTAGCAGGAGAAGATTTTTCAGCCAAATGTTAAGGAAACAAAATAACTCATTATCCCATAATGAAGAAAGACTGTCAAAGTGTTAGGTTTTGTTTGCACTTCCCCAAGAGTTCCATCTGCCCTGGCAGACAGTACTGCTACAGGATGACACTATGAAGACAGAAATGGCTAGGGAAAGGCAGAGACAACAATTTAGGAAAAGAGGCCAGCCTCAAACTGTAAGATAGTTTATCTCTCAGCTTCATGGCTTTTCTCTCATTGTATTTCACCTTCCCCCTGCCACCAACCCACATTCTAGCTGCATTAAACAATTTTCAGCTCTCTGACCACCACATATTATGCTGCCTCTGGAGCCTTTGGATGAGCTCATTCTCTCCTTCCCGCCTGCTTAGCTCATGGCATCTCCTTGATGATGCATTTCCTGGCCCACCCAGGTAAAAATGACCACTCCTCCTTTGGCCTCTACTGTATCCTGTGCACTCTTCTATCAATAGACCTATAACACTTTATTGTACATATTTATAAACTTGCATGTCTCTGACTTAATAAGCCACAAGCTCCCTAACAATAGAGAACATGTGTTCATCTCTGCATCACTAAATATTTGTGTGTGTGCAACTATAATCCTTCATTCATAAAGGAAATGTCATGTCACATATATATGCCATTTAAAAATGACCAAATGACGTGCTAACCATGGTTGTCTTTGGGTGGTAGAATTATATGATATTCATTCTTTCTGTATTTCTAAAGTTTCTGCAATAAACATATAACTTTGGAAACAAGAAGACCAAAAAAACTGACTATAAAGCAAAAGATCAATAAACTTGACGACATTAAAAATAAGAAGGTCTGTTCATCAGAGATATAATTAAAACAGTAAAAAGGCTAGCCACAAAATAGAAGACAATATTTTTACAACACACATAATAGGAACTCCCACAAAACAATAAGGAAAAGGCAAACAAACCAATAGAAAAAAATGAGCTCTCATTAAAAAGAATGAAATCAAGTCCTTTGCTGCAACATGGATGTTTTTGGAGGCCATTATCCTAAGTGAACTAAATTAGAAACAGAAAATCAAATACTGCATGTTCTCACTTATAAGTAGGAGCTAAACTATGGGTACACATGGACATAAAGATGGAAATAATAGATACTGGGGACTCCAAAAGCGGGGTGGGTAGGCGGGGCAAGGATTGAAAAATTATCTATTAGGCACAATGTTCACTATTTGGGTAATGGGCACATTAGAAGCCCAATCCCCACCAGTATACAATATACTCATGTAACGAACACGTGCATACATGTACCTCCTGAATCTAAAATTAAAATAAAAATGTTTTAAATGGGTTTAAACAACCACTTCAAAGAAGAGGAACTGAAATGGCCAAAGAATGTATGTATATGCATGTGTATGTATACATGTGTAACATATTTTTATATATACATATATACACATACTTTAGATTTCAATGAAATGTGGTTAAAGTCACCAGTAATTCAAGAAAATGCAAATTAAAGCCATAGTGAGATATCACATCAGTTTGACAAAAAATTTTAAGCACTATGATACCAAGTGTTGCAAGGATGTAGAGTAACAAGAACTCTTACACACTGCTGGTGAAAGTATAAATTGGTTTAACCACTTTGGAAAACAGTTTAGCATCATCTACTAATAGTAACATGAAGAAATGCATGCTTCTTTAATCAGGATATATACACAAGAATGTTCATTGTTCATAATTGCCCCAAACTAGAAATAACTGTCCACCAACAATAGAATGGGTAAATAAATTGTGGTATAGTCATACAATGGAATGTTACACAGCAATAGCAATTCACAAATTAGAGTTACCACACAGGAAAATGAAGCTTAGAAACACAATGTTGAACAGAGAAAGCAAAACAGAAAAAAATACACGGAGTATGATTTCATTAAAATAAAGTTCAAAAACAGGTAAAATATGGTTTAGGGACATGTACACAGATAATAAAATTATAAAGAAAATCAAGAAAGTTATTCCTATAAAAAAGCGGGATAGTGATTATACCTGGTAGGGAGAGGGATGAAATGATTGACGGAAAGGACATTTGGAAGGTTTCTAGGGTACTGATAATGTTTTCTTTCTTTGTGTAGGTGGCAATTAACATGGGTGTTTGCTTTTTTAAAGTATAAATATAAAAATATAACTAGAAAAGTATAAATTGTACATAATTTCCCTAAAATACTTTTTTAAAACTACAAAAGGTCCTACATGCTGGCAAAAATTAACTATTTAAATTTAGGGACCTGATGCCCCAGAGGCCTAATGTTAAATATAAAATTAATCCAAACACAAGTGATATGAACCTAAGTGGGCTGAAAACTGTGTTCAGCACCTCTCCCCATGACTGCTCTTTAATCTTTATCTCCTCAAAGAAGCCTTTGCCATTGTTCTTGCAATTGCTAATTTCTTGCTTTAGAACATTTCAGCTAAAGTCTGAACTCATCTTTGCTTAGTCCTAGTTTCCTGGGTACAATAAGCAAATGGACCCTGATAGATTAAATTTCCAGTTTTACAATCTTTTACCTATGGCCTGAGGTGCCAGAAAATCTGGCCATAAGCTATTTGGAATATCACAGGCATGACAAGGCCCAGTACCTTTTGTATTATAGGGGTAGCCATGGTGATGGAAGAGATTTGGAGATTTGTTTATCAGTATTGTAAACTTGGAATTATATATGTGTGTGTGTATATATATATATATATATATATATATATATATATATAGTGGATATATATGTATATATATATATAGTGGATATATATGTATATATATATATAGTGGATATATATGTATATATATATATAGTGGATATATATATATAGTGGATATATATATATAGTGGATATATATATATAGTGGATATATATATATATGTAGTGGATATATATATAGAGAGAGAGTGGATATATATATAAAGAGGTGGCTTTATGCAACAGAAATCTGCTCACTTTATATATATATATTATATATATATAAAAAGCTGGGATTGTGTGTGTGTGTATATATACATATATAAATATAAATATATGTATATATATATATACAAATATAAAGTTGGGGTTGATAAAAACTTTGTTGAAATTTTTTCTATCAGAGTCAGGCTGGCCCTGGTACACTGCCTGACTCCAAGTTGTGGCCGTGAAATGTGGCCCATAGAATCTCCTAAAACCTTTGTGTCAAACTACCTCTGCCTCTTCATATTAGCCTTTAGCTTAAAGGGGCCCATCCAATAGATTGGCTAGATTCCACTTATTTGACCTTAGCAATAAGCTTCCCCAAATCTTTTCCACTAAGACTCAAAGGTTGCAGAAATTAACCAAAGCAGTCGGTGGACACATTTAGTTTAGTCAGCATAGAATATTACAAGCAATTGAATTTTATTGATTTTATTGCCTTTAACCAAAGCTCAGCCTCTTGAAGTCCCCATTTGAAACATCCTCGTCTATAATATGGATCAATAGTGTGTGCCTTCTCGGCCCCTTTGGCATCTGAATTTGCAAACTACTTTAGGGGTTGTTGATCTAGCTTATCTTCTACTGAGAAAAAAAAGGGGGGGTTGGGGGGTGCCGGGTACAGTGGCTCATGCCTGTAATCCCAGCACTTTGGGAGGCTGAGGTGGGTGGATCACGAGGTCAGGAGTTTGAGACCAGCCTGGCCAATATGCTGAAACCCCGTCTCTACTAAAAATACAAAAACTAGCCAGGCATGGTAGCATGCGCCTGTAGTCCCAGCTGCTTGGGAGGCTGAGGCAGGAGAATCGCTTGAACCCGGGAGGTAGAAGTTGCAGTGAGCCAAGATCACACCACTGCGCTTGAGCCTGGGTGACAGAGCAAGACTCTGTCTCAAAATAAATAAATAAATAAAAATAAAATAAATAAATAAAACCAAGATGGGGGCTTATTTGTTTCCTGTACCTGCTATAACATATCGTCACAAACTTGGTGGCTTTATGCAACAGAAATCTGCTCATTCACTGATAGTTCTGGAGGCCAGAAGTCTGCAACTAGCATCGCCGTACTAAAATCAAGGTGTCAGCAGGACTGCCCTCCCTCCAGGGGTTTTAGGGGAGAGTCTGTTCCTTGCTTCTTCCAGGTTCTGGTGGCTGCCAGCATTCCTTGGCTTGTGGCTGGATCACTCCAATTTCTGCCTCTGTCTTCACATCACCTTCTCCTCTGTGTGTGTGTCAAATCTCTCCCAATTCTCTCCTATGAGGACACTTGGGATGGCATTTTGGGACAACCCAGATGATCCATGATTTTGTCATCTTAAGTTCCTTAATGTAAACACATCTGCAAAGACCCTTTTTCCAATGGGTTTCAGAAATTAGGACTTAATATCTTTGGGGCCACCATTCAGCCCACTACAAGGTCCAAATATTAAATTCCACCCCACCCCCTTGTGGTACGTTCTTGCTATTCACTCTGCCAAGAATAACTGAGCCAGTTTTCTTCCAATCTATCCATGAATCATCTACACTGTGCCCATGAATCTTTCTTTTTATAATTTCAACTTTTCCTTTAGATTCAAGGGGTACATGTGCAGGTTATATAGGTATATTGCATGATGCTGAGGTTTGGGGTATGATTGATCCCATCACCCAGGTACTGAGCATAGTACCCAACAGTTTTTCAACCCTTTTCTCTTCTCTCCTTCCACTATTCAACTATAGTGTCTATTGTTTCCATCTTTATGTCCATGAGTACCAAATATTTAGTACCCACTCATAAGTGAGAACCTGCAGTATTTAGTTTTCTGTTCCTGCATTAATTTTCTTAGGATAATGACCTCCAGCTGCATCCATGTTGCTGCAAAGGACATGATTTCATTCTTTGTTATGGCTGCATAGTATTCCATGGTGTATATGTACCACATTTTCTTGGTCCAATCCACCATTAATGGGCACCTAGGTTGATTCGATGTCTTTGCTGCTGTGAATAGTGCTGCACCATGAATCATCTTTCCCAACTCCTAGGCCATTAGTATCCAAATACCATTGCTAGTAAGTTTTTATCAGAAAATAAATTAAGTTTGGAAACAACTATTAAAATTTAAAATGTACCTAAATAGAACAAAAAAAAGAAAAGAAATTAAGCATGCTCCCCCAGTATATGTCGTTTATTTATAAATTATGTGTGCCAATATATCACTGGACTATTATATTATCATGCATATAAAAATAGGAATTTTTAAGATGAAAGAAAAATAAATATAAATACAATTACTAACATTTTCTTCCAACACCCAAATGAATGATCTTGTCAGCTCTCTGGGGTACACACATCCCACTACCGAAAACACTCTTGTTGTATATCCTTGCTCCCCAAAATTCCAAGAAAGAGTTTCAAGGACTGTTGCTTATGATAGGAAAGCTGAATGAGTCCTGGACTCCTCATTGTAGCTTTATACACAGCAAGTCAGCTTGCATCTTTGTGATATATTTTGGGGTTTTGAAAATGATTTCAATGGGAAAAATGTTCCTCTGCAAAAAAAAAAAAAAAATTACAAAAAAAATAATAATAATAGGTTTGAAACCCACTTCTCTGGAGCACTCTCTTTTGGTGTGAGCCTCTGGGCGGCCTTTCATGCAGGTGGCACATGACATCACTCGGCCCCAGCTGTTCCTTATTAACTCAGCCTCTCAGTGAAAGATACAGCCTTTTACAATTTGACTTTTTTAAGGAGACAGCCCATTTTGCAAATCAACCAAACACATTAAGCACAGTTAGACCGCCACATTCCATAAATATAAATTTGACAGATAAATCCCGTGTTTTCACAGCCTCTGCTAAGACATGGATCAATCTGAAGTTCTGAAGGACACCAGGCTTGGCAAAAAAGCATCCCTGTTTTGTCACTCTAAAGGAAATGCAGCCAAGTCAACTGCACCCAGAGGGTCAAAGCTCAAAAATCATCCAGGAGCCTATAACCCTCACTGAGGCCTCTAAACCATTTCCCACATGAAAGGACTTTGCAAAAATGTTCTTTGCCTGCTCATAATGCCTAATTAGGCCCTGACCATGAGGCTAAGAGGTGGAGAAGAAAAGCCAGGACGCCTGCAGGCTGCCACTTGAGTTCACAGCAAAATGACAGGCAGCGTGCCTGATCCAAGGGGAAGAATCTGACAGTCACATTTCAGTCTTTCAGCCACATTTGTTTTTTACATGGGAAGGTTGTGGCATCAATAGTGTCATCTTCTAATAGAAAGGACAACTACATATAATGCATAATTGCCGGTCTGAATGACTTGTTATTTTGACTGCCTATTCTAAAATGTCTATAATTGCTTCCAATGAGACTTTGAATAAATGATAAGTCAGCACAGGCAATCACTGGTGGAGGCATAGCATGGCTATGGAAAACTTAATACAAATTATTTTGTCACGTGTCAATTTCCACCAATTCCTGATTATGATCACAAGGCATTTGTACCGCTTTGTTGGGTATTTCTTCCAACCGTGTCCCACTTAAGCAACAGAAGGTGTATCACATGTAGGTGTATAAAAGACATGGCAGTTTATTTTCAAGGGCAATGAGCAGAAGCTGGCTGAGCCTGATAAATTCGTTTTACACAATTTTAGCTTGTGCCAAATCCTGGCCCTTTTTGTAAAACAAAACAAAGTAAGGTAGAAGCACACCTCTCCAAGAGTTATTGCCATCTCTCCAAATGAACTTTTTCCCCCTCATATGCTTGTTTGCCAAGTCCTAAAATAACAAATCACTTCTTTAAAACAAAATTGTCTCCCTGGAATAATAGGCTTCAGTGTGAATTCTGATAGAGCAATAGCTCCTCTAAATGACAGCAAAGGCTTGCAGCAGGGATGCAAGGCACATCTATTTCAGGGCTTCCCATTAGAGAGAAAAGCAGTTCAGTAAGAAGTGAAGTCATTTCCTGACTCATTGGGATGCCATGTTTAAACCACAGTTTTCTGCCTGAGGATACAAAGGTTGGAAAAACGTGGCTGAGCCTAAAAGAGGTGAATCACCCCTTCAGGATTCAAATAACCAACTTTTTAAGGTCCTTCACCCATTACTAGAACATATTAGATAGGGAAAAGGCTTAGCAACAGCCTCCATCTATTCCTTCATAGTAAGAATAAGGTTCTCCATCCTATACCCTTTGTTAAAGTCAGTTTCATAAATGATCGGTTCGCATATGATTAAATGTTTAAGTGTAGGAGCAACAGAAACATGTCAATGTTTAGGCATTATAAACATCAGGAGGTGGAAGAAAAGATAAATACAAAGCTTATTTGATTTTTGTTTGTTTCTAAAATAAGTTAAAGGACCAAAAAAATTTTTTTGTGAAATACTTCTAAAGCCATCACATCATATACTTTAAATTGACATTATTTTATGTCAATTATACCTCAAAAAAACTGGAAAAACTAAAACTAAAATTGCTATTTTTAAAGGATGATACACAACAATTTATTAGGTTGGTGCAAAAAGTAAATTGCGGTTTTTGCCAATACTTTCAGTGGCAAAAACCGCAATTACTTTTGCACCAACCTAATAGTAAGGGTTCCAAGGATTTATTTTACTAGAAAAATTTTCAATGTTCAGTCTCATTAGTAACCAAAGATAATTTTTATAATTTACGATAACGATGAGATACCATTTTAACCTATCAAATTAGCAACAGTTGACAAAATTAGCGGGGAGGTGCATAATACTCAGAGCTGGTAAGGAACTACAAATTGTTTCAACTTTCCAGAAGGTAATTGGGTAATACATATCAAAAGCTTTAAAAATGTTCTCACTCTTTAACCCAGTAATTCAACTTCTAGGAATCTATCCTAAAGCAAAAATCTGATATGTGGCCAAAGATATATTCACAAAACTGTAATTACAGTCTTGTTTAGAGTGAAAATCTCAAAAAGCCACTTAAATGACGAACAATAGGAAAAAAGTATTATTGTGGAACACTACAATGGTGGAGCATCATACAACAAATTTAAACTATATTTAGAGGTTATCTTTAATAATAAGGAATCATACCAATGAAAAGAGCAGTGTGGAAAATTATATATATAGGAAGAAAAAATATGCAAAGGAATCCCTAATTCAGTATCACTCTGGTGGATGGGCAGAAGGATCTTCCCCATCTTAAATATATCTTGTCATTATCAATGTCATATTAATGTATTCACACAGTAAATCTTTGAAACCCTTGTGGTATTTCTTGATGAACCTGAATCTATAAGTATCAGCATAAATTTCTCAAAGAACACTAGAGTGAGCTGTCTCTGCTGGCTGATCCTGCCTCCAGACCTCTGGAAGGAAGCCTGTAGTCAATGAGAAGAGGGCAGTGTTAGGAGAAGCCAGCCAGAAGACTGGCCAATGGATCATAGTCACCCTTTCAGGAATACTTTGACTGACCTTGAGTATTGCCATAGATGCCAAAACTCAATTGAATGGATGCCTATTGAATGTTGGCTGGTGTCTTATAAAATATTAAATATTAGATGGAGATAGGAGGAGAAGTATCAAAGAAAGATATACAAAAACAAACCAAATCCAGAGAAAGAAGCAAATTGATGAAGGGTTAAGAAATGTAGTAGAAAAGAAAGAGGAAAATGCACAAAGGGCAGTGAACTATGGTTTCCTTAAAATTATTGGATTATAGCAAGTTATTTTACCAATTTTTTTAAATGAAGTTAATATTTCAAAACACAACTCTAGAAATTGTATTCCTTAACAATGATTTACTGACTGCTTTTCATGTGTCAGGCACTGGTAAATGAGTCAATGCACATCGCGAAATATTTGTATTAATTTATTTAATCCTTGCAATTGCTTTATGGGATAAGTATTTCTATTGTCCCATTTTACAGAAGAGAAGCAGCAAGGCCCAGAGAGCTTCAGTAGCTTGCACAAGCTCTCACAGCTTTTAGGATGAAGAGTAGGGAACTGATTCCAGGGCCCTCTGGCTCTAGGTCTTCCTTGCTACATATATGGCCTCTACCTACTCAAGTCACAATGGTTCCATCTTTTGAAGTCCTATAGTTCTTACCATCAGTCATGCATATCTAAGATCAAACATTTACAGTTTTGCATGTTTGTTGCATTTTCATGTTAGTACAGCATGTCTTCCCAACTAGACTGTAAAACATTGAATGTAAGAACTGTAAATAATACTTCTCTATAATCCCCACAGTACTTAGCACTATTCCCCACTCATTAAGTAAGATTTAATTGGACCTTCAGCAAAGAAATAATGTTCAAAACAACTATTCTGATCATTTTGCAATCAAATAAACTCTACCAACGTTCTTTGCTAAGAAGCAGTCATCTTTTGAGATTGCTGGAAATTTAAGTTTAGAAAAAAGAAGTTAATGCTTTTTATCTCATTCTATTCCTTTTGACTGATGAAACCAAAAATAATCACATTGCATCTCAAAGTGCTCCACCCCCATAAAGGCAGGGGAAGAGTGAGCCATTGCTAGGACACAAATGTGTTCTGCTCAAGGCAATCAAATAAATCAAGCAACCCCCAAAATATAGTTAAAGCAAAGTGACTCAGACACAGTTCATGTTTTTTGTCACTTACAATCCAAAGTGACTCTGAAACATGAATAGTTTTTAAAGCATTAGTCACTTTGCTTTCTCTGATAAAACTAAAATAATCCAATACAATTATCTGAATGGTTATAATTTAAAGATTTAAAATACACACTAAAAACCTAGCATTTCAAATTAGTGCTACTCTTTAGGACAAACTCTAACTAACTAATAATAATGATCTGGTATAAAAGTATCCTGCAGAAACTAATTTCCTACCATTTTCTTTTTATTAAGCTAATCTGAAAAAAAAGAGCATTCTTCCATGGGCTGTCCTAGAGAAAGCACAGCACTATAGAAACCATATACCTAAAAAAATCATTACTCAAAATTGAAAGTCATTTTCCTTTCTCACCTAAGAAAGCATTTATTCTCCTGCTGGAAGATTAAATATGGCTCAAGACCTTTATTTAGAAATAATTGAGTTTCACCAAATCAATAAACTAAAACAATTTCTAAGTCTCCTTATCAGTAGCTCAAGGATGATGAATAGGTTTAATCACACATGCCAACTCCTACTGGTTAGTAGCAAAGACCTGGATGCTGTGTTGAGAATGATTCTGAAGCCATATCCAAGAGAAAATATGTTTATATCAATTAGCCATATCAGTGATGCATGTGGGAGAAGAAATACCAGTACCAAGAATTTGTGGTAACTACCATAATTTAGAAGTAAAATACAAACTCTCAATTTGAAATGAGAGGTGTGGACCAGGGATTTCAAAGGTGTTATTGGATTGTCTGGCTCATTTTAAGAGAGAGAATACATTGCTGAGATGTAACCCAGATTTATGATGCTCTAATTCAATAGCAATAAAGGAATATGAAAGAAATTGAACATATATTGACAGCCTACTATGTGCCAAGCACTAAATTTGTTGCCTTACCTTAACCACACACTCCCATGGCCATATCTAAGGTTTTTGTCATTACTCATAACAGCCCTCCTCCATTATCTTAATTTTAATCATTCTACTCCCCACATACCACTTCCTATCTTTCTGGCTTATTCCCTCAAGTACTCAATCTCCCAATAATTTATCTACCCCACTTACATGTCCAACCCCTGGGTCCCACCACCTTTTCACTGTTCCTCATCTTCCTACCATGTTCTCACTTTACTCCTTACCCATCATAAACTCCATAGGCCATTATAAATCACTCCCTGCACCATCGTCAACTCTATTGCACCTTTTTCTCTTCATCATAATTGCCTAGCAAAATCACACACTTTGTTAAATCCAGATCTCTGCTGACTCCAGAACTGCATCCATGCAACCTAAACACTGTCAGAGAAAAATTCACAACCGTAATGACTAGTCTCATTCTAAATGTATAATTATCTCACTCTAAATGTATAATTACCTCAAGCAGGTCCTTAGTAAGGCTGGCAGCCTCACTGTATTTCCTTCTTCCACTCACTCTCCTGCTAGACATCTATCTCATACCTTCTCCTCTCTCTTCTCTCTCTCCTCCTCTCTTCTCCTCTCTCAATATCTCTTCCTCCTTTACTCATTCTCCACTGATGAGCTTGTTTCTTGCCTCATGGGAAGCATAGAAAAAATCAGAAGAGAATTCTCATAGACTCTAACTACCCCCACAACCTACCTAACTGCAGCTAGTTCTGTATACTCTACTCTCTCTTTTAATGCCATAGATAAGCTGTCATTGCTCTGATCAAAATCCAAGTCCTCCACTTGCACACCAAATCCCACCTCTCTTCTTTAATCAAGAACATCTCTGGAGCAATTCTCCCCCCCTCCATCCTGGCATCGTCTATTTTTCAAATCATTCCCACCTACATTCAAACATTCTGTAAAATAAAAATCTTAAAATCTTATCTTGAACCCACACCCCTCCAGGTGCTGCCCCATTTTTCTGCTCCATTTTATAGCAAAATTCATTGAAAAATTTCTTACTTTCCATTTTTCTTGCCTGTCCTTCTTGAATCTGCCTTAATCAGGCTTTGCTCCTCGTCCCCACTCTACATATACCAGCAAAAGTGTCCTTGTCCAGGTCACAAATGACCCTTTTATTGCTAAATCCAATGATTGATTCTCAGAACTCATCTCTCTCAACCCATTGATAGCATTTAACACAGTTGGGAGTCCTCCTCTTTGAAAAGAAAAATTATCTTCATCGGCTTCCAGAATACCAAACACTCCTGGTTTTTTTTCCTAACTCACCAATCACAATTTCTCAATATCCTTTGCTGGCATCTTCTTACCTCTCTAATCTCTAAATATTGGAGTGCTCCAGGACCTCATCTATTCTCTATCTAAACACACTCTTCTGATAATCTTATTTAGTCTCATGGCTTCAAATGCTATCTTTATGTTAATTATTTCTGAATACGATCTCCAAACCAGACCTCTTGAACTTCAGACTATTCGTTCAACAGCCAATCCAGTAACTGCATTGAAATATCAAATATGCATTAGAAACTTTCAATGCTCAAAACTAAACTCCTGATATTCCCCCCCAAAAAACACTTATCCCATAGTCTTCCCTATCTCAGTAAATAGTGGCTTCCATCAATCCAACTGCACTTTCGAAAAGAAAGGAAACTTGGGGTTAGGATCATCCTTGAATCCTCTCCTCTCTAGCCCCTCATATCCAATCCATCAGCAAATCCTCTTGATTCTACTTCTAAATCTGACCACTCTGTGTCTGACCACTTCTCACCACTTCATGGGCCAAGCTACCATTATCTCTTGCCAGGTCTCCTTGATGGGCTCTTGTCCCACTACAGTCTATTCTCAACATAGCAGCCAGAGAGATCTTTTTTAAAGAGTAAGTCAAGTCACATCATTCTTCTGCTTGAGACCCTCCAATGGCTTCCTGTCTCACTCAGAAGAAAAGCCAAAGTTATTTTGGAAGCCAAGACCTTACTGTAGGTCTACATCAATATCTACACTTCCTGTAGATACCTCTCTGACTTCAGCTCTCACTATTCCCCCACTCGCTCCACTTGAATCACATTAGCTTCCTTGTTCTTTGAATACAGCATTCATCCTTCAAGGCCTTTGCAAGTGCTATTCCCTCTTCCTGGAGTGCTTTTTTATTTATTATTTTTTGAGGGGGCGGGGAGACAGAGTCTCGCTCTGTCGCCTGGGCTGGTGTGCAGTGGCACGATCTCGGCTCACTGCAACCTCCACCGCCCGGGTTCAAGTGATTCTTCATCCTCAGCCTGCCGAGTAGCTGGGACTACAGGCATGCGCCACCAGGCCCAGCTATTTTTTTTTTTTTTTTTTAGTAGAGACGGGGTTTCACCATATTGGACAGGCTGGTTCGAACTCCTGACCTCGTGATCCACCCACCTCAGCCTCCCAAAGTGCTGGGATTACAGGTGTGAGCCACCGGTCCTGGCCCTGGAATGCTCTTTATACAGATATCCACTCTTTGCCTCTTTTTACCCTTGTAAGGTCTTTGCTCAAATGTTGTCTTCTCAACAAATTCTGAAAAAATTCTGGCATACCCTTTTACCCTACACTGTTTTACTTTTCACCAGAGCATTTTCACCATCAGACATACTATCTATTTTATATATGCATTTGTTTGTCTTTCTACCTCAGCCAGAATGAAAACTCCATGAGGACAGAGCATTTGAACTATTCATTGATATTTATCCAGAGCCCAGAACAGCATCCATTACAGAATAGACAGTAAATACTTGTTGAATTGATGAAGGAATAAATGTTTACCTCATTTTATCTTCACTTACACCCTATAAGGCAGATATTATTATCCCTACTTTACTGATGCAGAAAGTGAAGTTCAAATAGCTTGAATAATTTGTCCAATATCATACATCTAGTGAATACAAGAATCAAAATTTGACCCCCACACCTACTTTCAAAGCCTGTCCTTCTTCTCATGACACTGAAGAATGAAGTATTTATCCTGCCTTTCTTATATGAACTGTGTCACTAAGTAACCAAATATAGATGAAGGGAAGGGTCTTTATTGAAGTATTCCAACTAACAAATGAAGTAGAAATTAGAGAATTAGAACATAACTATTTTGCAGCCACTAATCTAAGCATTGAGCATCAAAGGCTGCTAACGTCACAAAAATAGAGACATCCAGACATATGTGCTTGCTGATGAATCATACCATCCTCAGTCTTGTCAAAAAAAATACTGAATCTGAATCTGAACAAACCTCTAGATTGGGGATTTTTCAACCTCAGCACTAATGACATTGAGAGGGGGCTAATGCTTTTCTGTGGGGGGAGCTGTCCTGTGCCTCATAGGATGTTTAACACTATCCCTGTCCTCTACCCACTAGACGCCAGTGGCACCACCTACTCCTTTTCAAAAATCAAAAATGTCTCCAAACACTGCCAAATGTCCCCTGCAAATCACCCCTGGTTGAAAACCACTCCTCTAGTTACAACTAGCATTCCACAGGTAAAACAGAGGACCATGTTAAACTAAACTGCATGTATACAATCAGCAAAATACAGACTATGGGAAATGTCACACATCAAATGACCCAGTTTCTTCAACAAATAAATTTCCAGGAAAAGAGGCAGGGAAGAAGGGGGAATCTTTGGATCAAAATATATAGAGAAGACATTTTTTTAACCAGGCAAAACTAAACTATAGGGTTTACAGGTACACAGTTGGGTGATAAAATTACAAAGAAATGGAAGAAAGTGATTGTTGCAAAAGTCCCATAGGGAGAAGGGACGTGGTTGAAGTTGGAATGCGACACTTGGTTGGCCTTGGGACTTCTTAGGTGACATGAGATTCTATTTCTTGACTTCTTGACTTGGGTGGTATTTAAAAGGGTGTTGACCTTATAATAATTCATTAAGTTTTATATTCATTTTATCCTGTTCTCTTTCTTTTTCCAGTAAAAAAAAAACACATAAATAAGTGAAAACTGTAATAAATAAACAGAATAATCTGCCTTCCCTTCTACTTCAGTTGAGTTGAAGTTCTGTGGGAACTGTCCTTGAGAGGAGAACTTTGAATTTATTGAGTTCAGGTCGATGTTTATGTTCCCTCAGCCCAGAGGTGTAAATCCTCATCAATGTTTCAGAAATGACTTTGGAAATCATAGCAGGACTTACTACAACTCTCCACAAGCCATATGTGTGATGTCCATATCTTGGAGTTGAAGGAACAACTCACATCAAATCAGCAAATACCTACCAGAAAGCCTGTTGTGATCCAGGCGGCCTGCCAGACACTGTGAGGGAAGCAAAATGCAAAGCAGTGAAGTCTTGGCAGATGTGAGCAAGGCTCATGAGAACTGTGTGGGCTGAGTAGAGATTTGTGGGACGATGACTTTAAGAAGGATTTGCAGGCCCAATAGAGAGACACTCCACAGGTGTATCTCCTTTCTTGCAAAAGATACGCTCCTGAAGAGTTCTGTCATGATTAAATTTTTATAAATTTGATTATATTTTCTCATTGACTTACATTATAATCAGAGAGTGGCTTTATCTACATTTTGGATTAATCTTCAACTGGCGATGGCTCCCAACAGTTTAAGTTTCCCTGCTTCTCTGTCAAGTAGTTAATAGTTTATAAACAAACATTTAAAGGCACTATTTAAAGGAACCCTTGAGTGAATCCTTTTGAACAACAAAGGATTCTTTGGTAAGATTAATAAATAATCATTAGATTGGAGGCTCATCAAGCTTTCTTAAAGTACAGCATAGCTATACGCAAGACTCCAGTGTCCTTTGATAGGATTTCATTGCAATTATCTTTTTACCTAAGAGTAAGAATCTATTTTATGTGTATTTTAGGACAACATCTTGCATTACTGGTCTTCCCACTTTTTCCAATAGCATTTGGAAGAACATCTTGTCCAGAGACTCGTGAGAAACACTACTAAATGTAGCTCATATTACTGAGTTGCGTGATGCAATAGGACCTTGGCTTTCAGGCTGCAGTTTAAAATTACACTGTAAAAACAAAATGCTTCTAAGTCCAGGACAGAGGTAATTTGAAATGACTGGCCTACTGGTTGGATTCTCTGGGACAAAAGATGCTCAAGCTACTCCCCTTAGAACTGCCTCTTGAAAAGTGGGCTGCCTGGAAATCTCAAGTAGGTCACTGGAAAGCTGGAATGAGAATGGAGCTCACTGACCCCACCTTTGCCAACCACATCACCACATCTCTCCCCTACTCCTCCACACTACCCTGCCTGTCTGCCCACCACGACTCCTCCTCACCTCCCTGTTTTCCCCATCACCATTCAACTCTTAGCCCTCCTGATAACTTTTCTTGGACAAACCAAAAAAGATGTTTTCCTCAGTGCCAACAGCATTTCACATTGGTCAAGTCACACTTGGGTCTACTACATGGCAAGAGATTCCCAAGCTGCTAGAGAATGGCAAAATCCTAGGGCTGCTGATGCTCCTCCAGTTGGTATAAGTAAGGTTGCTCTCGTACTTCCCCTTGACTGGAATTTGTGGACTGGTTTTTAACATGATAGCTCACCCTGCTAGTTACACACACCCAAAGAAATGTGATTTATGTTGAGTTTCAGAAGGGCTAGCTTTGTTATTTCTAATTGAAGACCCCATTTATTTTGGAGTAAATGGGTAAGGGTTAGTTCACTTTTTTTGTCTTTGGTGACAAGAATATAACTTATAATTGGTTTATTTAAAAAATATACTGGAAATAAAAAATGGAATACAGCACAGAAGAATATATTGAGTCAGTTTTATTGTAGAGGGAAAAACAATGCTCTTTCCAAATTCATTACTGTCCACTGCTTCTAGGACTGCTTCCTGAGGACAGACACTGTCTTCCTTGCTGTGTTCAAGAAGGTTTATCCATAAGGCATTTATCTGAGTGTAGTGATATGGCCTAATAGGGTATAGTTATGGAGCACCTATAGAATTCTACAGCTATTGGCAAGCATTTCATTATAGCCTTTGTGGTAGGCCAAATTCTAAGATGACTCCCAATGACCTACACCCTATTATAATCCCTTCTCCCTCAGCATAGGCAGAACTTGTAAATTGCATCTAACCAATAGCATATGGCAAAGATGGAGGGATTCTGCAGATGTAATTAAATTGCCTAATCAGTTGACTTCATTAATCAAAAAAGATTACACTGAATAAGCCTAACCTCATCAGGCAATGTGTTTAAAAGAGGGTCTAAGAGGTCAGAGACTTGAAGCAGCAGAGACTCTGTCTCCATTGCTGACTTTGAAAATGCAAGCTTCAATTAATTCTACAGCCTCAAGGGAATGAATTCTGCCAACAACCACGTGAGCTTGGAAGTGAATCCTTCCCTAAGGGAGTCTCCAGATGAGAACTCGACCTAGCCAACACCTTGATTTCAGGCTTGTAAGACCCAGAGCAGAGAGCTCAGCTAAACTGTGACAGACTTCTGACCTACAGAAACTGTAAGATAATAAATGGCTTTTGTTTCAAGCGTCTACGTTTGTGGTAATTTGTTATGCAGCAATAGAAAACTAATACAGCCATGAAGAATCAACAATGAAATAAAAGCCTCTGCTAAATGGATCCCTAATCCGTAAGAATCAGTGAGTAGATAAACAAAGAAAAAGAGCATCACAAACCAGAACATGTGCTTCCACTCTCACCCATCCCCCATCTACCTTTCCATGTCTAAGAGCAAAGGATGTAGAAAAATGGAGACAATGTCTATTTCAGAAAGGTTTTCCCTGCCCCAGCACTGTTGGTTTACTACAGATCATTATTCTACGTCCACTTTTTTCTTGCAAAGAGTCCACATGTACAGCCCTTAAGTGAAAAGAGATAAAAGAATCAAATATGCTTCCAAAGAAATAAGAAAATCCTAGCCTCTGTAGGTAACTATAATTGCCCATGAAATGCATGCAAATATCAAAATCAACCCCCAAGGGCAAAAACAGAACCAAGAATAGCATTGCAGGCAGCAAAGCAACTATTGCCAATGGTGTCCATGGCTGAAAAGAAAAGGCTTAAATGAAAAAAGGAAGACTGCCCGTTGCATATATTAGATGCCCAGGATTTGTCTGAAATCCATTTGAATGGATGAATGAATGAGAATTAAAAGGGATTAACGTTGCAAAAGAACAAGAAACTAGAGAAAAATGTAGTAGTGACCAAAAGCCAGGACAAGGTCAGAAAAATTCTTAATGCAAGAAGCCATCGAGAGTTGATGTAACCATAGAGCAGTGGTTCTCAAAGTGCGGTCCCAGGAACAGCAGCATCAGTGTCACCTGGGAGCTTGTTAGAGATGTAAATTATCTGGCCTCACCCCAGACCTACTAAATAAGAAACTGTGATGATGGGGCCCAGCAACTGAAGAAACCCAGGGGATTCTGACACACGCTCAAGTGTAAGAACCACTGACCAAGAAAAATAAAGAAATCCTGTGGAGATGGTTTGAAAGAAAAGCCCAAGGGTCTTAACCCTGGCTGCACATCAAAATCAGCTGAGGACCTTTAAAATTACGAATACCCAAGCTGGTCCATCACCAGAGATTCAGATTTAACTACTGTGAGATAGGAACCAGGCATCTAAATTATTTACCAGCTCTCCAGGCGATTCAAATGTGCAGCCAGGGCTGGGAAGCTTTAATGTAAAAGGTGAAGCAGTGTGAGAGGGCCACATTCAAGATTGCTACATAAATGACCTCTAAAAGAAGGTTTGACTCTTCAGATATGGTGTTCTGCTGCCTCCAAAGTATTCACACATATATTCTCAGCTGTCAACACGTCTACGCTTTAGCACAGGGCATGGAAATTGCTTTTATTCAGCAGCACAGAAAAAATAACACTTTTCACGGTCCCTGCTCACCTTCTGTGCTGGTTTTGTACAAGCAACACTTTCCCTCCCTGCCCTCAGTATATGGGGTGCCCCTAAGAAACAGGAAGAGAAGCTGCACTTTCTTCTATTCATGGTAGCAGCAGTCACCACAGGGTCACCACCTTACTTGACCCACGGACCTCTCTGAGGACCCAGTATACACAGGCAGATGTCCCAAGACGTCTAGATATCCCTTCAACTCTAAGCTACACAGTCCCTCAGCTACTCTGAGGGCATCTTCTCCTGAACCTGGAAGGCGAATGAGGATCTCCAGCTGAGAGGGACAATAAAAGAGGCTTTCAGGTAGAGAAACCCGGGACCGGGATCATGGCAGCTGAGACTTGGAACGTGGCCGAAGCAGAGGCCCCGCAGCCCCAGAAGCGCTACTACCGGCAATGTGCTCAATCCAACCCCATGGCAGACCACACGCTGCGCTATCCTGTGAAGCCAGAGGAAATGGACTGGTCTGAGCTATACCCAGAGTTCTTCGCTCCACTCACTCAAAATCAGAGCCACGATGACCCAAAGGATAAGAAAGAAAAGAGAGCTCAGGCCCAAGCGGAGTCTGCAGACATAGGCTGTGGCTATGGTGGCCTGTTAGTGGAACTATCACCACTGTTCCCAGACACACTGATTCTGGGTCTGGAGATCCAGGTGAAGGTCTCAGACTATGTACAAGACCGGATTTGGGCCCTACGCGCAGCTCCTGGAGGTGGCTTCCAGAACATTGCCTGTCTCTGTAGCAATGCCATGAAGCACCTTCCTAACTTCTACAAGGCCAGCTGACAAAGATGTTCTTCCTCTTCCCCGACCCACATTTCAAGCAGATAAAGCACAAGCGGCAAATCATCAGTCCCACTCTGCTAGCAAAATATGCCTACGTGCTGAGAGTTGGGGGGTTGGTATATACGATAACCCATGTGCTGGAGCTACACGACTGGATGTGCACTCATTTTGAAGAGCACCCGCTGTTTGAGCGTATGCCTGTGGAGGACCTGAGTGAAGACTCCATTGTGGGACATCTAGGTACCTCAACTGAGGAGGGGAAGAAAGTTCTACGTAATGGAGGGAAGAATTTCCCAGCCATCTTTCGAAGAATACAAGATCCCGTCCTCCAGGCAGTGACCCCCCAAACCAGCCTGCCTGGTCACTGACTGCTTACTCTACCTTAGCTGGACCTTGTCTTCCAGGGACTAGAGAGAAGAGCAGGATCCCTGGGTCTTCCCAGTTGAGACTGCTGGAGCTGAGACACAGTACTCTCAAAGAAGGTGGGGAGCTGCCCAGGGCAGAACCCGCTGGTGTTGATGACTACCCCTGGCTCCTCTCACCTTGTCCCTCCACTCCCAACAGAAAACAAAGCAGCTGACTGAGGTGGTCAAAGGACTTCGGACCATAGGGGATCTTTGGAAGGCTGTGGGGTCTTGCTCTGCCTTAGCACTCCCTTCTCCTTGGGAGATCTCTCCTCAGCTGGAATGAGGAATGTAGTCCATCTAAACTGCTTGCTAGGCTTAAAAAAAAAAAAAAAAAAAAAAGCTTTCAATTACTTGGGAGCACATGACCCTCCCCCTCCCAGGGCTCAGCAATAGAGTCATTTCACTGTCTGCATAACCTAAGTCCACTTGGGCCAGTGAGTGAGAGGGAACACTCAGAAAAGTTTAAACTTCCAAGATAGAAACTAAACATTTAAATTGTCCAAGAACACCACAGGATCTGTGTACTTATATGCAACATACAAGCAGATTCCCTCCCAGTTATATGCATGTGCATGGGGCCTTTATGAGTTCAGCTAAAGGAGATGCTCCACCACTAAATGGTACAGTAGTGACTTGATTGAGCAGGTTCACACCACACAGATGACAAGTAGGAACAAGCAATAATGCCTTGTCCCAGAACCTCAGAATGCTATATCTAATAGATGACAATGACAACAATGATGGTCACCAGATTCATCACTGGAAATTTAAGTTTTCCAAAAAGCTTAAGCAAGCATTCCTTAAAGAGGCTGAGAGAACCTCCAAGTATTTTGGAATCTATAAGCATGTTGTCTCAATAAAAACGCCCAAGAGTAGCCAAGGGGCAGATGCCAGAGCAGGAAATGGAGATAGGGCAGGTGGAGTATCAGGTCTTACATTTTTTCCAAAACTGATTAGACAAATTCTCATGTTCAGGACTGCTACCTAGAGCAGCGGTTCTCAACTGGGGTCTATTTTGCACCCCAGGGGACATCCGGCAATTTTTGGAGACATTTTTGGGTTTTACAATACAGTAAAAGAGTGCTACTGGCATCCAGTGGGTAAAGGTCAAGGATGCTGTTGAACATCCTATAATGCACATGACAGCCCACGAACAAAGAGTTATCCAGCCCCCATGTCATTAGCACCAGGATTGAGAAACCCTGATCCAGTGAAATGCCCTCTCAACAAACAGCAGAGAAGGAAAATAGTAATGGATTCTTTTTCCATAAAGGCCCAGATTCTACCCACAGTTTCCATTAGCATCCTAGAAGAACAGAGCTTGTTCTCTTCAAGGAGACAGGTAAATTGATCCTGACAGATTATCTCACCCACCCCCTGCTTTCAGGAAACTCAATAACTAAATCACCCAGGACAAATAATTCTATAGACTCTTATCAAATATATTCACAAATAAAAGCCCCCACAGCATCCCTGTAGCCACTTGTTCCAATGTTTGTCTTCCTAATGGACAAAATGTTAGGCTGAATCATTTGAAATTGCCAACATTTGATGGATTTTGGCCTTCAAAATGGCCATTTCATGTGGCTCAACCTAACATTATTCCCTTCAACAAAAATGTGTCCTACTTTTAGAAGCCATTTTCTTGTGTTGACTCTTCAGTCAGCACCCAAACAATGAATGTTGGTGACAATGATACCCGGCCATCTGCTGTCTGGTAGATACTCCTTCCCCACCCACATTCCTCACACCCAGTCTTGGTTGGCTCTTTCTCCAGAAAAATTATTCAGTTTTTTTCCACATCAATTGTTACTTTTTTTTTTTTGCACCTTTAGCTATAATTTCATTTTATCTGATGGGAAGGAGCTGAAATTAAGTTGCTATATATTGCTATACACATAGGGCCTTAATACCTGAGCAGACATGAAAGAAAAGCCCAGAAGGTCTAGCTTTCTTGGGTCTTATTTTCATATACACTGTGATTTATTTAATATAGGCCTTAAATAGCATACTTTTAGTTAAAAGAAAACCAGACCTCAACCTCAAACTGCTGCTGCGTACTTAAAAGAAGGAGGAACTCACCGTTATTAAATGGCTGTGAGGTGCCAAGCAGTATGCTACAAGCTTTCATATATACTATCAATTTAATATCTAAAACAAGGCTGTAATGAAGAATTCTCATGCCATTTCACAGACCACAAAACTGAGGCAGCTCAACAAGGTTAAATAACACTTCAGTGCTGGTTTTTATGAGCCATATTTTACACCTATGTCCATTGGATACCAGTGCCCACATTTCTACCATTACCCTAAGCAGACTGAAATAAAGGTCTATAGAGATTCAGAGTTTCAGAATAACCACTTGAGGAACACCATAGTGGAGCGTCCGCTTACCAGAAGAAAAAAACACACATTTCATAGTGTATATGATCTCTCAAGATATCAGCATCATCTCCTCTTCTCATTTCAAGATTAAAAAAACAAAACAGCCAGTAAAACTGCCTGTGAGCTTTTTTTTAAAAACAAGTCTTGCTATATCCGTTTTTAGCTGAAAATATTATTCGTTGCTTTTCATTCAGCTATTTCATAAAAAAACATAAATTCACTGATTAAAGATGAAATCATATGTATTCTTGTCTTCCAAAAACACTGCTTAATGTACTTAAAATTCCCCTCATGTAAAAAGGGGTGGGGAGCAGCAGAAGCATTTCTGCGCAGGTGAAGGGATGAGCTGCGGCCACCTTGTGGCTAATTGTTGAAGGAAACACTTTTCTGACAACAGAAGGGACAAAGGCAGAATGACACCCCCTCCTTTGGTCCCCTGCATCTGCAAACTTGCTTATTATTCTTAATCGATTTCTGGGTGCAGTAAACGGGCATTTATTGAACAGAGCCATACTCTCCATAATGGGAGACAGAGAAGCAGCGGGGCTTTGTCAAGTTCTAGTCATCACCTTCTTAAAGTTTTGTAGCTTAGGGTGTTCGATGCAATCTATAAGGGGCATTTAAAAGCAAATCAAATGTGCTTCTCATGGCTGCTAAGGACTTAAATTCTGCTCATCATTGGGTATAATTTTTCTTTTTTCTAGAATAGCATGTGTTATTTGCCCATGATCTGAAATAAGAATATATTGTGTACATTGTATGTGAAACAGTACATATACCATATTTACAATTATGTATCAGTTTAAAATTTTAAAAAACATTTCTAATGTAAAAAGTATCTCTCAAACTGTGTAGGTTAGCTTTTGATTTATATTTAAATATGAATCTTAAGCAAAATAGTAAAAATAACCATCCTGATTTAGTGTTTTTCTCCCATATGTGAATTGCATATACTTAGGTGAGGACAATAAAATCAACTGAACTATAAGCTTAGAATAGGCCTGAGGGATAATTTCACACAGCAGCTTTACTAATGGTACATTGTTACACTGTTGCTTCAAAACACACACACACACACACACACTCTCTCTCTCTCTCTCTCTCTGACTTAGGAAACAAATGGCCAAAAGGATTCGTACTTTACCTTTGGAGGGCCTCAAAGTGTTATTTGGAGTTGATAATACTTCAGCTAAAACCAAGAAGAATCTGTTTTTTTCTGAGGAGTATCGGTAGCATAACTGTGATTATAAACAAAGTACACTTAAGATATGTATGCAATGACTGCTATTTATACAAAATTTAAATCTGCAAATGGAATCAACATGCTTATGGGTTATTAAAATTGTCTAAGTTCTTAGATTCTGTATAGTACACGTGTATTGATTTACAAATAAATGATTTATTAAGTGATAAAGAAGAATATATTGTGCACGAATGTGTAGTACAGTCATCCTAAAGTAAATTCATTTACTTCTAAATGTCAGTTAGACAGAAAGAATCATTGTACCTCCATGAAAAGTCACTGGTCAGAGGAAATAGAGAATCTGACTTCCACCACACTCCATCACTAACTAGCTATGTGACTTTAATTCATTCATCCTCACTTTCCTTATGTGTAAAACCTGGGATTATAAAAATCAGTAGATTTTCACAGACTTTTAGCAATGAAGCGCTTTTTTTCCAAAAAGAGTTTCCAAAACCCTCATATAGCAAAGTGAACAAGAGGCAGCTGCTATGGCTAAATCTGAACAGGCATGCCAGACCTACCTACCACCACCATCCCCCTCCCTTCCCTCTTCCCATCCCAACCCCTTAACACACTTCTGCAGGATCCTGGGTGTCAGAAGTTGAAGATCATTGGACCAAACTATTTCTAAAGTCCCTTTGTGCCCTAAGTGTCTATCAGGCTAAACGACCAAAGTTTTAAAAAGGCAAACGTTTTATGAAGACATTTTATAGACATGCTTCCAACCTTTCAGCCTGGAAAAGATTATGCACACTGAGCAATTAGAGAACAATTTAATTCTCTACATTAAGCTATGTGCCCCTAGCTCACAATACAAGAGAAGGTCCTTTGAAGAGCACTAGATGAATCATTCTTACAAAGTACACACAGTACTTGTGGCCCAGGCAGAATCACTGATTATTTCCTCCAGCTGCCATCCCCATTGGCCTCATGGTGGCCACTGTGCAGGCTGTGTGAACCAGGAACCAGATAAGGCCTGATCCATCAGCGTTGATCTCCACTCAGAACTGTGCTTGTGCTGATGCCTCCTTTGAACCCAGTGCCTTCCTTACTCAATTGACAACAGCTGCCTTTATTAGTGGCTGTTTCCTTGCCTGAATGATAAAATGTGTTTGCATTTGCCCTTTAGCTCCAAAACCTAATTATTGAGTGATCTAAGGTGGGGTGAATCATATTATCTTGATGGACTATGAAGCCCCAATGGAGGACTTAATATGAGAACAAAATTAAATTAACAGAGACTTGATGGAAATTAGCCAAAGGTATTCATTAAGAAAGATATCTACCATTGAAGCAAATCAAAAATATTTTTCAAACAAATTATAATTAATTCACTTAATAATTAATTCAAGCAATTTTTTTGAACATCAACTATGGTCCAGGCACTGTGTTAGGTGCCAAGGATACTATAAAGAGTAAAACATTGTTCCTATCCTCAAGTCGCACACCCAAGTTCCCCACTGCCACTCATGTAAAGAAATAAGTGAGACAGAGCACGGTAAGTACCACAATTGAGGAAAATATAGTGGGGCTACAAAGACAAGAGTTCCAAGTTCAAGCTACAAAGGTTGGGAGAAGTGACTCCCGAACTAGTTTTTAAAGGATGAAGTGGCAAAGATTGTTTCTCTTTTGCTCATTGTGGCAGAAACCACCAGTGTTCCTCTTCTTTGGGGGAACATGGCCAGGTTCAAATTTTAAGCTTCCCTTGCAGATTGCTGTTAGATGTTGCCACATGACTAAGTTCTGAATGTAAGCTGAAGTGATGTGCACCACTTCCAAACCTGGCCCATTAAAAACCCTCTCACATTCAACCTTCATCCCTCTTTTCCCATCCACCATTTGGCTGATTGAAAAAAAACTCCAAGGATCTAGACAAAAATAGATCCACAAGATGTGAAGAGCTAAATGCATGCCACAGAGCCCCCTCCACACTCTCATTGTTAAAGAAGGTGGAGGGAGATATTTATAGTTCCAGTAACCAAGAAATACTAGCACTGAAAAACTTTGTTTGCCACACATGAGATTGATGAATAATCCAGAGATTATTCATGAGGCAGTGGGAAACCTTTGAATTGTTTTATACAAAGAAATAACATGATCAGATTTGTTTTTAAGAAAAAATCAATCTGGTGGCGATATGGAACATGGATGGAGAGGTAAGGCAAAAGTAGAAGCAGAGAGAACAAAACAGAGTTTTGTGCCATAGTAAATGCTAGAGAAGATGTGTATTTGAACTAAATCATTAGTGATGGGGATATAGAACAAGGAAAAGGCTCGAGTGACACTTTTAGAAGTAAAGACCCATTAAAACATGGTTGGGCCAGGTAGGAGAATCAGGAGCCACATATAACTTTTAGATTCCTGGCTTTTGTGAGACTTCATTCACAAGGAAAGGAAACACAGGTAGTGAAGGTTTGGGGGACAGATTAATGAGCATTTTTCATATGTTGAATCCAACATCCAGGCAGAGATATCTAGAAGATAGTTGGATATATAGGTCTAGAACTCAGAAGAGAGATCTGAACTGAAGCTCAGATTTGAAAATCACTTGATTAACACCATTGAATCTGATGAGGTAGCCCAAGGAGAACATGTAAAATGAGAAGGTTAAAATCCAAAGAATATTTAAGAGAGGGTGAAAGAAAATTAGCTAGAGAAAAACTGAGAAAGAATGGTCTGACAGGTAGGAGAAGAACCAAGAGAGAGAGACAACATATAAGCCATAGAAGGAAAGTTTACTAAGGTTAAAAACAGTTTTCAACAAGGTTAAATGTAGTAAAATAAAGTAAGTAAGAATTGAAAATTATTGATGACTATATCAGTCAAGGTCTAATCAGGAAAAGAGAAGCCACCTCAGGCAGTCATAACAAAATACCACAGAATGGGTGGCTTCAAAAACAGAAATTTATCTTCTCACAGTTCCAAAGGCTGGAAGTCTGAGATCAGGGTAACAGCACGATCAGGTTCTAGTGAGGGCTTCTCTTTCTGACTTGCAGATGGCCACCTTCTTAACATGTCCTCACATGGAAAAAAGAGAGAGAGAAGAAAACTCTCTAGTGTCTCTTCATATAAGGGCACTAATCTACTCATGAGGGCCCCACCCTCATGACCTCATCTAACCTAATTACCTCCCAAAGGCTCCATCTCTAAATACCATCACATTGGGGGTTAGGTCTTCAACATATAAATCTGGGATGGGGGCACACAATCCAGTCCACAGTACCAGGTATTTCAAACAAAGAAAATGCAATACAGCGAAGTGGTTACACCAGTGATGGAAAAACTGAAAAGCCAAATAGGGAATGATAAACCAATCCAGAGATTATTAACAGCAAGAAGCTATCATTATCCCTACGGCTGCAGGACAATGAGAGGAGGGATGTTACCCTAGTCTAGATCTGGGGTCACCCCAGCTAAAGTTAGAGTGCTATGGGATTGTCCTACAGTAACTGATACCACAGAAAGGGCTTTGTGAGGGGCTGTAGCCAAAGAGAAGACACAGCCATGGCCAAAGATAACAACAAAAGTAGGAGAGAAAGAGAGAAATACCCTGGCTTCTCTTCTCCTCCTCCCCTCCGATCTTCTGCTAGTGCACCCCGTAGTTGAACCTACCTGGAAGCCAGCGGACAATGGCAGTGTTCACTGCAAAATAGAGTTGAAAGGGAGAAAGCAAAGAATGGATTTGAGAGCAAACAAGTAAATGACCTAGTCTGGCCTCCTCAGGAACAGCTGCAGTGAGGCGCAGTATCTTGCAAAATGGCTAGGAGATGGGGAGGTAGAGACAGTTATTGCAGACTTTTTTTTTTTCTTTTTTGAGATGGGTTCTCACTCTGGCGCCCAGACTGGAGTGCAGTGGTGCAATCTAGGCTCACTGCAACCTCCACCTCCCCAGTTCAAATCATTCTCCTGCCACAGCCTCCCGGGTACCTGGGATTACAGGAGTGTGCCACTACGCCTGGCTAATTTTTGTATTTTTAGTAGAGACGGGGTTTCACCATGTTGGCCAGCTGGTCTCAAACTCCTGACCTCAGGTGATCTGCCCACCTTGGCCTCCCAAAGTGCTGGGATTACGGGTGTGAGCCACTGCTCCCAGCCTATTGTAGACTTTTTTAAAAATTAGCACACATGGTGGGAGGGATAGATATATAGAGTAACTGCTAAGAAAAAGATATGAGGTACAGGAAGAATGTTTTTAGGATGGAACAGACCAAGTGCTGAGGGAATATAGGCAATAGAAAGGGAGAAATAAAAGAAACATGACACAGTGAAAGAGTATTTGACAATGGGAAGACCCAGAGAAGACAGAAGTAGACTTATGGAGAAAAAGCCACTTTCTTGAATAGATTCACTCATTCAGTAAATACTTATTGGGCACCCACTATATGCCAGGCACCATTTTAAGTGCTTGTGATATACCAGTGAACAAAACAAATAGAAATTTTTGCCCCTGTGGAGTTTGAATTCTAGTGCAGGGAAAGACAGGAAAAATAAAGTGAACTAGCAGGATATGTGGGGGAAAGTTGAGTGAGGTCATTACCTTGAATTAGTCAGAGTAGGATATGTGCTGCAACAAACAATCCCAAAATTTCAGTGGCTAGACAACGTTTATTTCCCCCTCCACAAGATCCAGTACAGGTGTCCATATAGTCGGCCCTCCTCCAAGTAGTGACTCAGGCACCCAGGCTTTTTCCATTTTATGGCTTTGCCCTTTTCTGAGTTCTCAAGAGTTCTCTCTATTCCATTGGAAGATGGGAGAAAGAATGGAGGATCGAGCTTAGAATGGTTTTTATTAACCAGGGTTGGCATTGAAATAAATCACTTGTGCCCACATTACACTAGTTGGAATTCAGTCATATGGCCACACCAGACTGCAAATGAAGTTGAAAAAGTGTTTCCAGTAGGAAACAAGAAATGTTTTGGTGAATAACTAACTAGTCTCTGCCACAAACCTCTTGGCCTCGATTTTCTCAAGGATATAGGAGGGAAGGATTAATTTTATGATAGTTTGCCAAAAATGTGCAAGCTCAGAGATTAAGAGTGGGCTCAAAGAGAGTGAAGAAGAGTTGAAATAACTTTCGGAGAAGAGTTCACCAATAAGTCAAAGGAATGACAAGAGGCATTAAGGGATTGACTAAGACTGGAAGTCCTGAATTTCTACTGGCAAAAAACAAGTATGTGATACCCTTGAATGTCTAGATTATAAAACACAGAGCTCTAAAACACAGAGCATTTAGTACCTAGCACAAAGCCTGATACATTGTAGATACTCAGAGTTTCATGAGTACATGGATGAACAGATGGACAAATGCTGCAACCTTAGCCAGAGAGCCTCTGAGGTTGACACTAAGTCTACAGGACTCATCAGTCCCTAAGAGAATCTGCATCTTGGGGTCTCTAAGGATGTGAGAAACCAGGTGGCAGCATCCTGATCCTCTTAGGTCCTTCCTGCTTCTAATGCTTTGATTTAAAGGTTCTACTTACTGATGGCAACATTTCTGCTCACTTGCTGAGTGTGGAAATGGCCTGTTTGAAATTTCCCTATGGGGATGCTCATTCTAGACCAAGAAGTGCCTTGACTTCTCAGCTACTGTCAGATTGTCTCTAAATGCAGTGAGTTTCGAAGCCCCTCCTGCCTTAGTTTGCCTATGTTTCTTAACTTCCTCAGATTTTCAGAGTGAACCCCCAAGGAAAGCATTACTGGAGAATTCAAATCAGGACTACTTTATAAGCTCAAGGTACTCTCAGCACACAATAACAACTCAGTACAGTTAGAGGCGAGTTCCTGAAAGCAGGTAAATAGTTAACAGGAATCCACACACTATCTCTTATACTAGCAGCCAATATTCTCTGCCTGGAGTGTTGGGATCTCCGTTTGACATTGTAAGAATCGACCCCCAAAACATAACATAACCTTATCTTGTAGGTGGATCACACAAAGCAAACAAAAGTAGAGCTATTGGGATTGGAGGAAAGGGCATTATAGGAGGAAAAGCATTTAAAATGGTGTTGCTGTAATTTTTTGACAACATAATTTAAAGGCTTTTCAGTCAAGTACATCTACACCTCAGTCCCTCTCCACCTCCTTTCCCCCATGGTGTTGTCTTGGCTGTCAATTACGGGGAGAGAAGGCTGTTCCTTAAAGGGCGTTTAAATGGTATTAGAAATGATTGGAATCTTACCTAAAAGCTCTTGAAAAAAAAAGAATAAAATAATTTTTCACCCTCTGCTTGTGTTGCATAAAATGCAAGATCCCATTCTGTTTATTTATTTGTCTGTGTAAGAGCTGGAAGCAAAGACTGACTACAGTTCAGTAGGTTAAGTGAGAAACTAATAGCCAGCAGTATTTCTGACCTATGGACTGAGGGACCTCTCTGACCTTTTGTGAAACAAGAATTCAGGGAACTGTGTAGGCACACCTCTCTGTAGAATATCAGTGTGTCACTGAAATATCACATGTAACCCTATTCCTACCAAATGCACTAAGGAACATCTTGCTATATAAAACAGTTGCTTCATAAAAGAAAAAATTCATCCATAAAACAAATTGTCCAAGTAATCACCACCCCCCGCCCCTGCATTTGTGTTTTATTCCAATTTCCATCCATCAGGGTGAATGGTGGTATCTGCAATTGTCAATGCACCATGACCACTGGTGGTAGTGTTCACACTCAACTTTGCACCATCACCATGCGTGTGTTACTTGCAGTTACTGATGCTCACACTCTCTACCTTTTTCTTGTGATCAACGCCTTTGAGAGGGCTGGCAGGGAGTGTACTAAATGGTACAGACTCTCTCAAGGATACTTGTTGGACTAGCCCTTCCCTCTTGTCCACCCAGTAAGCTCTTCACTTTACAAGATATTCAAAGGTTGCCTGCATGCCTCCTAATAGGTTATCTCAGGAAGTGTTGGGCAAGGTCCTCTTCTGTGCTTGAACAGTTCTCATGAACATTTACTGCATTGTTGCAATCACTCATTTGGTTGTCTTGTCCACTGGACTCTTTTAAGGAGTGATTTTGTCTTACTCTCCTTTGAATCCCCACAGCTAGCACTTCAATGTGGGAAGAGAGAGCCCCCGCACCAACTAAGAAAGATTCACCCAACCTCCCCTCTGGGATGAGTGGGTCCCTGTTTCTGGCCTGGTCTCAGGATCAGCCATGCCGGCCTGCAGCAGCAGACTGGGAACAGTGGGGAACCGGAAGGCAAAATAAATTGCATACCTGTGGTGACAGGAGGGAGACAAGATGTATTTCATTATTGAACGTTACATTGTTAAGAATCGTTCAATATAAACCACACCAATCCATGCAGTCACTGACATGCAAAATGTCAGAGAGATAATGCCCACAGAGATAATGCCTTATTATCCTAGGAACACAGACAAACTCTGTGAACCCAAAATGAACTTCAGAGCCATGGAGAACACAAAGGATATGATGCATTTACTACGTAAACATCTAGACAGATATTCATCTGTTAATTCCTTTATCCAATGAACAAATATTCTTTAAGCAGACTGTACTGGGTGTGTAAGTTCTGAAGATATACAATTAAAAGGGACTAAGTTTCTACTTTCAGGATGCTTATATTCACACAGGTGACGCTTATGTGGAAGTGTATCCCTGTCTTCTATAACCAGGACATTTTAGGGTTGGTGATACCAGAGGTAAGCAGTTGAGGCACACTTCTAATGAGAATCCTGTCTTCTTCACATTACCAGTCATTCTAATAACTTCTATTTCAAAACTTGATTTATTATCAAAAGTTAAACAATATATCAAGATGATGAAACCCAAATCTTAGAGTAGAACACAGTAGATTTAAAAGAGGCTTCTTCAGTTCCAGACACTTTACACACATTAATTCACTCCTCACAACAATACTAGAAGTTGACATTAAATACGATATCTGCACTATGCAGAATAGGAACATGAGGCTTAAAGAGGTCAGGTTGCTTTCCTCAAGCTGTATGAAGCTAAGATTCAAACTCAAGTCCATCTGGTGCCAAAATCTTCACTTTTCCACTATACCTTTTTAAAAGTGACTTTCAAGTCACCCATTTTAATGCTCGTTTTTATCAAGGGAACACTACTAAGTGCTTCTAATGTATACCTATTTGCTTCAATCTTCTATTTAGTTACACTAGTTTTATGAACTACACCTTATAATGTCCTTCTGGCTCGACAATCAATGAGAGTATTAAATGGATTGAGCATCTGCCCTCAGTATTATTAGTCTAGATAGAAAAATGATTACCAAATTTATAACTATGAGTTCACCTTTCAACATTCATTTAATCAAGATAAGTAATTACCCTAGCAGGCAGTAATTAGGTAATTAGTAAAACTAGTTAATACAAATAGCATATTAATATAACCAAATAAATGCTAGTATAATTTTTATAATTATTATGGCATATAGGTCTACCTGATCTTTTTTAGTAAAAGACACATAATTTCTGAGCTATGTATTGCACAATTTCCACTTGCATGTGGGAATGCCTTTCGACATCTGTGACCCTGCAGAGTAAAAAGGAGATTGAGACAATTATCTCGGGTACTGAAGCAAAAGCCTGCTTGCACTAAAATTATCTGCCTAGTCTTTGCCTGATTTTCTCTAAATGGTTGCTCCATTAAAAAAAAAAAAGACCCACCTTATAGCATTGTGCCTAAATATACTCCTCTGTTTAGAAAATGGAAATACGGTATTCTAAGAATAATTTACTCCAGATAGACAAGCACTATGCACATATGCAGATTGTTCTCTGATTCTGCAATATAATGCTAGCTTTGATACTTCTCTCCCGCAAGAGAAATGATTTATCATTATCAATATCACCCTGTGGATTCCCCATCCCCTGCCCACACACATAACCTAAATCAATTGTAATGAATAAACATATTCACGAGAAAAAGTAAATATCTCCTGATATTGTGGTACACACACATTATGCACACAACACTAATCTATGTCTGTATTTTCAGTGGCATATATTATTAAACAGCATATCCTGTGATGGTTTTACTCAAAATGGTTACCAATCATAGCATACTCTTGTGATAGATATTGATCCATACCCAGGATATGTAACAATTTGTGAAGAATATGTAGGAAAAATTTTGTTTCCCCCTAACAATGAATGGCCAACTGATTTATAAAGCCTGTGGGCCAACTATGACCAGTTAATGCCCAATGCCAGCAGCATGAAAAATAATTTGCAAACTTCCTCATTGGAGTCTGGTTTACGGTTCTCTTGTTTGAGCTAACTTAACACTCCATTAGATTTCATTACTGTCCATGAACATAAGATAACATATTTGAGGTCCAGGCTTTAAATGGCAGAAACCCTGGCTCAATCAGTAACAACATATGTAATGAAGACATATATGGCCAGGCGCAGTGGCTCATGCCTGTAATCCGAGCACTTTGGGAGGCCGAGGCAGGTGGATCACTTGAAGGTCAGGAGTTCAAGACCAGCCTGGCCAACGTAGTGAAATCCCGTCTCCACTAAAAATACAAAAATTAGCCAGGCATGGTGGTGTGCACTTGTAATCCCAGCTACTTGGGAGGCTGAGGCACGAGAATTGCTTGAACCTGGGAAGCGGAGGTTGCAGTGAGCCAAGATCATGCCACTGCACTCCAGCCTGGGCGACAGAGCGAGACTCCATCTCAAAAAAAAAAAAAAAAAAAAAGACATACACATGAAAAGTAATTCATTAATTTTCTTGGTGTTATTCCTTCCAACTGGCCAAAGTTTCATCTTTAGCCATCACTGTGTATATGATAATATACAAGTAAATTAAAACCCCTTTTTCTTTCTTACAAACCCAAGTACAATTATGTCCGACGTTTCAATTGCGATTTTCCTAAAAGTAACTGACCCCTTCTCTGCAATCCAATCTTGTCATTCACTTTCACTCAAACCTCACTGATATATAAAGCAACCCAGAATTTTGCCTGGCTTCCTAAGCCCATGAAGTTCCATTTTTACATGTTTTTTTTTTCTGTTTCCAAGAAGAGTGATCATTTCTGGAACTATAAGCTATCCATTTGAATTTCCAGTCTGTAAATTGTGAAGAAGGCTTGTGGGTGCAAAACAAGAGAAGATAAATTGCAAATTGGAGCTAAAGAGAAAATAAATACAAGATTTTAGTGGAATCTAATTGTCTTCCACATATCATAGTAACAGCTATTATCCTTCCTTCTAAATTTATGTCATCTGTGCATTTATCTATATTCCTATTTGTCTGTCATCTATCTGTCTTCCACCTGCCTGTTAGTGTCTATTTATTTGGCATGGCAAGTTGTGCTGTCTTTGTCTGTAGAGAAGAAAAGAAGGGAGAAAACGATGAAAAATCTTGGTATAGCATGAATAGCAACGAGGTAAGGCTGATGCCTGATGTGCAGATGAATCCTGTAAATGAAGTGGCCCTTGAATTAAATTAATTTAAAATCTGGCAAATATTACCCGGCATGTTTGTCAATGTGCTGTATAATTATTAATTTGTTCATTGAAGCAACTGTATAAATAAATAGAAAGCAGAATGCCATGATTAGGCAAGCATTGAAAATCCAGGGTCAAGAAGTCCCGCAGTACGAGGATCTCAATAGCTTTCCTGGGTCCTACTTTTACATCTCCTCATAAATCCACACGTCAATAACAGCAAATTAATTGGCCCACATTTAGATGCCAACAGGGCTTTTGTATTCTCAGTGCACATTTTTGTCTTCTCAGAGTGAGATGTTAGTAACGGGGTTTTTAATATTACCCCTAGGGGAGCACCAGAAAATCTTAACAATTTCCTTCACTAGAGTATTTTCATTAGCGCTAAATGCCATGCAATTTACATTTGAAATCAGGTGTAGGGGTGAGCAGAACGTGACAAGACATGATGCAGTGGTGCCTTTTTTTTTTTTTTTTTTTTTTTTTTTTGTTCCAATGTTCTTTATTTACTGCATGGAGTTTCAGGAGAAAAGCATGCAAGTCAAAAAAGAAATATTTCTTGCTTTCTCTTTACCCTAACTTTTAGGAGATGAAAATTCTGTTTTATTTGAATACTCAAAGCACACATTTAAAACAGCCCACTTTCACCAAGAAAAAAAGAACACCTAAAAAAAAATTAACAATAATGTACCTAAAGTAGAATGAAACTAAACATCCCTTGACAGCTGTGAGCAGATATTCCAGTAAGGAGCAAAAATCCTGGAAGGGAAAGGATTAAAGTTAACACAAACATTACGCTTCTAAATTTATGTCTATATAGCTCAATTACCTGACTGATTCTAACCTAAATTAATAAAAAAAATTTACCTACCAATGTTTTTTATTATAAATCTGGACCACAAGTGGAATTCATATTGAGGATGTGAGGGTAAGCTTAAACTCTAGCTAATGTCATTTCAACAAATATCTGGATACCTCTCCAGGAGAGAAGAGCAATTAGTACATATGTTAATATATATTTATGTTATATATGTTACACCTGGGATTTCTTTATATTTTGCGCACTAACCACTCGTCTGAGTAAGAGCTTATGTTTTGATTGGGTGTTTCGGTTCCTGAATGCCTTAGTTGAGCCTCAAGTCTAACGAGGAACATAAAGCGAGGGGACTAGCTGTAATACCCAGCACTTAGAAAAGAGCTACTTTTTGTGCCAGGAAGTGTTCTACGTGCTATATAAAAACTTATCCCATCTAACTTTCCCACTAGCATTAAGAGGTTGTTGTTATCCCTGTTTGGCAGGTGCTGAGACTGAAGCACAAACATATTTATAAAAATTCAAGAACAATTTCTTATTTTATCCACTAAGGAACAAATAAAAGCCCCTTTGAGGATGGCAGGAATTAGCCAGCATTAGGTCTTTAGCTAGGACGGGCTCGGGAAGGTCTCTGGATGAATGAAAGATGATAACCTCCAAACTTGACTGAGTGTGGAATTTATGTTTCCCATTTACATGTGTTTGCCAGGCTACTCCCTGGCCTGCTGTTATGCTAACAGATTAATGAGGGTGCTTTGTCTATGGCCTCATGTTCCCAAAAATGTTCCCAAAAGAGAGCAAGGGCAAGATAATAAAGCAAGAGAGGGAGAATTTTCCAGTCCAGTAGTTCTTACTTTATTGCGCATCAGGATCACCTTTTAAAAGTCCCAAGTCCCAGGCCACATCTCAGATCAGCTAAATCAGGATTTCTTAGCTAGGACCCAGGCATCAATAAACAGTTCTTTAAATCACTAAGCCTAAGTATTAACCATTATTAGTACCAATTAATATAAAAGAAATACATAATTCATAATAAGATTTTATTATTTACAAATCCCCACATATATTTAGGTACTGTGGTATAAGAGAAAGAGTCAGAAGATTCTAGTCCGCTCTGCTACTCTATCATCTCCAGGATCTTGGGTAAATTCCAGAACTTTCTTAAGCCTCGGTTTCCTCTCTATAAAATAAAATCATACTTGTCTTACTTCCCTCACAGAGAAAGCAATATGTCAAATAAAACTTCTCAAACTTTAAAGCCTCGCTTTTTAAATTTCTTCATTTTTTCATACCTTTCAAGCGTGACCAATCACTGCTTAATCTAGACATGATTCCTTCCCCAGGCCTTAGTCAATCTAACTCACCCTGAAACTGTCTTGGACTTTACACCTCCAGGGACCAGGAGCCAGTTAGCATTAAAACTACATCCAGGATTACTTCCTCAGCTGTCAGCTTGTCTCCTTCACAGCCACTGATGGTTTATTGACTCTGCTTAAACTACTTAAGAACAAAATAACCTCATTTGGCCTTCTGATCACCTAGCTCGCCTTTACTGTCTACCTTCTGCCTTTGTTCCTTCCTATAGTGGTTTTTCACCAACTTGCTACAAAAAAAATTCCAATGTTATTTTTTTTCCTCAATCACAAAAACGCATAGAGAGGAAATTCCGAGCTTAAAATTTATTTGAAACAAACAAACCCTACGTTCATATCCCAGGTTCACCACTTAAAAGTACAAACAATTTACTCAATTTCTCGACTTCCTTTGCTGTGAAATGGGGATAAATATACCTGTCTCCCAAAACTCTCAGAGAGCACACAATTCTTTCGAAATTAGAGCTGTATTGTTGCTAATCTTAAAACAGTGATAAGATCTACCCAATACAACCTTCTCCAATGAGTCTTGCAACCAGTTTCTATTATCCAAAAGTTGCCAGAATTTAAACATTAATGACACATTATACTGAACCCAATAAAACTTGAAATAAAAATGAAGTTGCTTCTTTACATTTCTGTCCCCTCTTATCTTAACACAAGGTCAAATGCACTTAGGAAAGAGATCCAAAAGATTCCCCATTTGTATAGCTTTTCACCGTTTTCAAACCCAGGGACATGTTGAAGGTTCATCTAGAATTCCCAACTTTTCTGCTTGCTTTTCAGTAGTTTGTTAGAACCTAGTCAGCTTTTATTTTTGTCAGGACTTTATGAGCAGTTCACAGAATCAGCCCCTGACCAAAAGTGCCCCACTTGGGTTTACCGAAATCATTGTCAATCCCTCCTCCTACCCAGACTAATTCAGCCGTTCAAAATGTGTTGCCAAGAGTGGTGAAGGGAACTTGTTTAATAGATGTCCAGACTCTACCCACCCCGTCCCCCAGAATCTGATTCAGTATGAGGTGGGACCTGAGAATCTACATTCTAACAATGTACCCCAGGTGGTTCTGAACTGAGGGTCGCAGTGTTCGGAAACTACTAGGTGAAACACTTTCCAATAGCAGTTCTCTACTGACAATCCTACAAGAGTTCCATTAGATGGCCCATGTTTGACTTCTGAGAATCCAAACTGGAATGTACTGATCTTCACCACAAATGCAGATCTCAGATCCTGTTGAATCCCAGCCTACCATCCTATGGGTATGCCTCTGCCCACTGGCTTAAACCAGCCACATTCCCTGTAAGTGAGGGCAGACACATAGAGCCCCTTAATAAACTATTAACCGTCTGGTTTTCAATGCTGGCTGCACTTTTCAATGACCTGTGAATTTTTTAAAGTCCAGATGCCCAAACCTCACCCCCAGACTGGACTTTAGCTCCATCAGAACCAGCTGGGGCACTTACTACAACACAAATCGCTAGACCTCACCTCTAGAGTTTCTGATGCAGCAGGGCCTGGAGTGGGGCCCAAGAATTTACATTTCTGACAAGTTCCCAAGTTATGCTGCTGGTCCAGGAACCGCATTTCGGTAATCCCTCACCAAACAAATTAAGTCTGAATTTCTGGGATTGGAAGCCAAGCATTAGCAATTTTTTAAATTCTCCAGGTAATTCCATTGTGCAGCCAAAGATAGGAAACACTGATCTAGACTCAGGTCACATGACAGTTTCCTCAGGCTAGCAATACCAAAAACAAAGAGGTTGCGGGGGACAGGTAAATACCAATCTTAACATCAGTTATAGCAGCAACATCCGGTTTCCAGGACAAGCAGGGCCAGTGGTACCAGCAATGGACTCAGTGCAATGGTGTGCTGATAAACCAACTCTCAAAAACAAAGCCCTGATTTGTAGCATTTGCTGATTTCTGGGTTGTAAAAACTCCCACCACAGCTGATTTCAAGCTTCCAAATGGACTACACATCAGTGACTGCAGAATGGGAAGAGAGGCAGGCAACTGGCCTTCACAAGCTGTCTTCAGAATACAACATCCTACTGCCTCGCGGTGACATCTGTGGCCTCAGTGACAGTGGCAGCAATGTCCCTGCCAAACCGGTTCTATGGTGTTGTTTGGGCTGAGGTCCTAGCTAACTAGCAGGCTTGTTTCAGTTTCTCAGCCTGGTTCCGCATCCTTCTCAGTCATTCTGAGAGCTATGCAATAGCCTTTCTAATAAATCACTTATTAGAATGTTTCTGTTGCTTACAGCTAAGAACTCTTACCTTCTAAAGGTCGGATGTGGAGGTTAAGAACAGAAGACCTAGAATCTAAACTCCTGCAGTCCTAGGAAGGATTTTGCTTCAAACCATTTGCATCTGAGGAGGGATGAAACTCTTAAACCAGTGCGTCTCAAACTTTAATGAGAATCACCCGGTGATCTTGTTAGAAATGCAGATTCTGATTCAGTAGAACTAGGGTGAAGGCAGAAAATTTACATTTCCCACAGGCTCCCTGGAGATGCTGATGCTGCTGGTCCAGGAACACAGCATGGAACAAGCCCTTCAACCACAGAATTAAGGGGCTATGGATTCCTCCCAGACACCCCTGATTTCAAGCCACACAAGGGCCTGCCTACCCTTCTTATTCTGGTCAGTGCCCCAGCTGACCCGGAATATTTGTCATGGCTGTTGCGGGCTGGTCCCAGCTGCTGTGACAATCTATCTCCGAATGCCTGAGATACCATGATCAGTGTCACCTGACCAACCCTGACCACCCTTCTCAGTACACAAGCCATACATCTGAATTCACTTATTCATCCATTCAACAAATATTTGTTGTTTACCTGTTACGTGTGATGCTCTCAGCTAAGTTTAGATCATTCTAGATTCTCCATCTGTGCATTGGAAATAAGCTGAATTGGGAGCATTCCCAGTGCCATTAAATGAGTACTGGATTTAGCACATGTAACAATAAGTTAAAGGTCAAGGGGATCTGTGTAGGCAAGGAAAAGTTCCAAGCCTGTCAGCAGTTTGGCTGTGGGAAAATGTGACTTGATAATCTGTCAACTCAAGATGTCAATCAAAGCCCATTATTAATATTATCCCACCCATCTGACACTAGATCAATAGGATAAGTACTTTCTGATGTCAGATCAATGGTATGACTAAGTTTGGGGGTGACAGCTAAACAATTACACCCATCTGAAGTATGCGAATGTTATTACCAGGAACATCAATGCAAAGTAAAATGATAAACCACTTCCTGCACAGTATTGTGAAAGAAATGTTCAAATCCCCAGAAATTCTTGGTGCTCCCACCTACTAAGATGGAAAAGGTAAAGTGTGTGTTTATTTCTAAGATTTATAAAGTACCCATTTTGCAACTGAGCTTATGGGGAAGATACATTTCACAGAGTCACAAGCTAACAATTTAAGCCCCTGGGGCTGATAGGATAAGAGACTCTTGTCATGCCATAGAATTTGAAAGAAAGTAAAGAAATTCACATAAACTGTGAAGATACCTTTTTATTTCTTTTTCTAACTGTAGCAGTTTCCTTTCTGTAAGCAGCTTCCATCCTAGGGGTCCAGGAATAAATTTTAACCAGGAATTAGAAGAGGTGAATAAATGAATCCATTGTTAGTTTCTTTCTCCCTCCTCTCAACTCTCGCTATCCACATAACACTTCCTTATTCAAGAGCAAATAGTAACACATACTATGTGCTAAGCACTGTGTTAAGCTCTGGGGATATAAGGGTCAAAATGTAGGACAAAGTACTACAGGGCACATGGTAGAGACACAAGCCTAATCTGGAAGAGGCCAGTGAAGTCTCCTTAAGGAAGTGATATTTGAGCTAATGCCTGAAGGGTAAAACATAGGTAGGCCAGGAGTGTGAGAAGAGTATTCCAAGCAGAAAAAAAACCAGCATGTGCAAGGGCTCTGAGTTTAGAGAAAATGTACCATCTTGAAATAGGATGCATGATGTAGGAGCACAGAGAGCAAAGGGGAGCGTGAAACTGGCCAAGGCTGGTGAGGCAAGCAGGGGCTAGATCAGAGGTCTCTGCCAACTCCACGTACATTCCCCTGCTCGGACAACTGAAGACCCATGTCCAAAGATGTGAAGGACAAGATTCTAAGAGACAGAGAAATAATCATGCTGAGAGTCAACATGTACCACCAGGACAAAGTGGCCTCCCCTCCACTCTGTGACAGTCCTGAGCACACTTTGAGGGAGGCAAGCACCAACTGGAATCTGCTTCCATATCCCACTCCTGTTCTCAAATGCTTTCCTACAGCCACTGTGCCCTCAGAGCCTGGTGCTCTGAATGTCCCATCCCACTCCCCTACCCCACATCACAGTGAAGCTCAGATGGGTAGAGAGAGACCAATCCCAAGGACATTAGTGTTTTAATGAGGATGATTGCCTTAAGGCAAATGTGACAATGACAGGGAAAGGTGTGTGCAGAGAGGGAAAGGAATGGTTTGAGGTATACCTTGACCTGATCATTCCAATACATGGAATAGCCAGTCATTTGGCCATATATTAATATATATGTCTGTTCATATGTCCATTTTATATGTATGTATATGCATGTATATATGTATGTATACATGCAAGATCATATACATGTGAGTGTTTACGAATGTATATGTGTGTGCATGTGTGTGTGTAAAGTCACATCCACATGTATAAATTTTAAGTGGCTCCCAATTACTGAGCACATTCATGATTGCTGACACTCTGCTAAGTACTTTACATTCAGAATTTCACTTGGTTTTCACAACAACCCTAAGATGTAGATCCCTATATTATACCCACTTTTCAGATAAGGAAACTAAGGCTTAAACAGGTTCAGTAACTTGCTCACAATGGCATAGTGGTTAAGTAAATCTCGTCTCAACGTACATCTCTTCCAAAAAGTATTTCTTTTCTTTAGTAGCCTGGCCCACTTTCCAGACCACGAAAATTGTACTTTAACATTATCATTAATTACAAATGTTCCTCATTTTTTGAGAGGGTTGTGTCCTGATAAACCCATTGCAAGTAGAAAGTGCATCTTTCACTTAATAGTATTTTCAACTTAACCACAGGTTTATCCAGATGTAGCCCCATCATGAGTCAAGGAGTGTACTGAATGCATCTCATTCTCACACCATCATGAAGTTGAGAAACCGTAAGTGGAACCATCTTAAGTCGGGGACCATCTGTATATATCTGGCCTGTTAGATTCTCATAAGAAAAAGAAAAGTTATGAATACCCTCAAATGTATCCTAAATGCCGGGATGGCTTGGCCTGCAGCCAAGGCCAGCATTTCTCCAGTGTGTATTAACGTTCACAAAATGGACAGTGGTCTGACCTTTAAGAAAATAACTTTACATGGGGCTTGGTGAGCCTTTGACTCTAACTGCTTATGCTCCTTGTCGTTTGTTCATAGGACAATCCAAATCCAAAGGACACAGCAGAAACAAGGCCCTGCCACCATGTTGCAGTCACAAAACATTCTGCAAAGCACAGGCTGGGATTCCAAACCAATTTAAAGGGTGTATAATAATAGACATGAAATGTTCTGATTTGGAGAGGAGGGGAGAGTTAATCAGAGTGAATGCTCCAGCCACACAATCAGAGTAGCTACAAGATGGATACTAAAGAGCTTGTCTCCCTTTTTGTACATGCCTTTATATCTACACTTACCAAGAAACAGTTTCGCTTACCTTTTCAACAGCCAGAATGCCACTTTATCATTACGCAGAGATGCCAGAGAAGAAATGAGCATTATTTAAATTGCAAAAAGAGTGTAAAGGATGGCTGCCAACAAACAGCTCATCCAGATGCCTCAAGCTACTGCTGTCTGCTGCTACAGAAAACCTTTAGGAGATAAAGTTTGCAAAGGCCTATGGTTCTCAAAAAACTTTGGCATGCATCAGGATCCCCTGGAGGACTTGTTCAAGTGCGTGTTGCTGGACCACAGCCCCAGAGTTTCTGATCCAGCAGATCTGGGGTGGGGCTCAAAAACTTGTACTTCTAACAAGTTCCCAAGGATGCTGCTGCTGCTGCTGCTACCGGTGATCCCAGGACCACACTTTGAGAACTACCAGGGCAGGCATTGTTAAGTACAACCCATTCGCATTGCTAACAGTTCAATCTAAAAGGTGACTGAAACTATCCTGCACCAGAGCATCCTCTGACCTAAAGAGACATGTCCAGATCATAATGGAGGCTACAGATCCCTCAGATAAAAGTTAAATGCCTTCCTCCGGGAGGCCCAACATCCTCCAATCCCCTGGTGTTCAGTTCCTCCAGAAAAAGTAAAGCAACTTTTTGGGCTAGATAAAGGCTGGTGATTACATTAAGCAAACAGGAGGAAAGAGGCCTCATTGAATTGCAGATATCACAGAGAAATCCCTAGAGTAATCTATATGATTTTCCGAAGTAGAGCATAGAAACAGAAACCCCAGCAGAGGTTTGGCCTCTCTTCTTCCTCTAGGCTATTGTGCCTAGGAGATGTCTGATAAAGAACTATCTTTCCTCCCTACCTCTTTCAAATAAAGCTTGTCAAAGTGTGCTTGAGTGCCAAAGACAGGTTTGGTCCCTAACAAACAACAAAACAGTTGAACTCCGGAAAAATTGACATTTCCTGCCATCCTGTTCCATGAGAATCCCCTGTCAAATCACGTTCCTATCTTGTATTGCCCTGTCGTCCACAAATTAACCAGTCCTGGTGTTAAACTGGTTGCAAAGATGCCAGGCTCTGAATAGTATGTCTTACAGTATCGTCCACCTGGAGAATTGCAAAGGGAGAGGCCACCATACAGGGCCTTTGCAAGTGGATCTTGGAGAAATACAGAGAACCATACATGGCCTTGGAGATCTAGGATAAGTGTGACACCCCTTGGGTTTAGCTGAGCCCTGTTAATCCTTCCTACAATGAGTGTCTATCCTGTCAGGATTTGTGATTGAGAGCTGCTTAAACAGGTGAGAAAATTTCAGGAAGCTAATATGTCCCATCTAATCAAGGTTAAGTGTTCTCTCTTTGCCCAAGCCCTCTTATTTGCACGAGTACCACATGGTAATGGGTAAATAATTTTTTTCAAGGTTGCTTGAGATGCAGGCCTTTAAATAAGTGATCTAGTGCTCGGTTTCATCTAAAGAGAGGATACCCAGCAAGCCTCAAGATTCATGCCCTCATCAGAACGATTTCCAGCTCGACCTCATCTTTCAGAAATCCAATACTATAAAATTAGCTATAGCAGACTTATAAACTGAAAGATGATTTCTTCATGCACACCCAGAAACTCACTTTTCTCTCTAAGACCTATAGCAATCAGCTTTAGTCACTTAGCACTCCCATCTATTAGTTCTTTTATAACTACATTTTTAATTTATTTTTTTTCTTTGATTTGTGGCTTTTTCCCTCTTTGGTCCAGATATATTGTTTATTTACAAAATTTGCCTCTTCCACATAGCACTTGGAAACAGACTTTGAGCAAAGTGTTTTGCAGGTGAGGGTAGTAGCTCTCAAAGTGTGGTCCCAGAATCCACAGCATCATCACCTGGGAACTTGTTAGAGATGCAAATTCTCAGGCCCCACCCATCTAGACCTACCCAGAAATTCTGGGGTCGGAGGAGACAGTTACCTATTTTTAAAAGTCCTTCAGGGTATCTGATGCCTGCTGCAGTGTGAGAAACACTGGAATAGAGGATATGAGAATAAGGAGTAAGTTATGAGAAACCCAGTTCAGAGTAAGGGATTCTCTTGATCCATGGACTTTGTTTTTTCTTTAAACCTTTATGTTATTGTGCCAAGTAAGAAATAACCCTGATACTACATCTATGTTACTTTCTTACAATGATGGCATGCTGGAGCCGGCTCCCACCAGCTTGTGAGGGCCAATACTCACGAATTTTGCAAGCCAGTTGTTAAACCATTGGTATCTTGAAATCAGCCACAGTGAGAGGCTTTTTACACCATGGAAATTTACACCATGGAAATCAGCAAACACTACAAATCAGAGCTCTTATTCAGGAAACCAATTTACCAGCGCACCACTGGCTGATTTTTAAAACGGTTGCCACGGTCTGTGTTGGGACATAAGGAAATGACAGATAAAAGATCGCAAGGGAAGAAGCCAGGATTTGGAGCTTGACAAGAGCGCAGGAGGGAGTATGCACAGAGGAGCAGCCCAGTCCCAGGGGAAGGCCAGAAAGCCAGTAGTCAAGACAGAATTGGATGCTTAGAACAGTGCTCCCCAGCCAGAGCTGGGGCAGGCAGATTACAGACTGAGGCAAAGCATGCTTAATATATATAATTTTATTTTTGGAAAGTAAAAATAGACCTTTTTAATAATCTTCTTGACTGGGGGTGCTGCACTGATTCGTTCATTTACTCATCGAATGTTTGATGTGTACTGTGTACCAGGCATTGTGCTTAGGCTCTCGTGATACAGCAGTGAATACAACAGAGAAAGTCTCTACCATCACAGAGCTTACAGCTTACAGACAAGAACAACAAAAAACTAAGTACACACAGTTTAGTATTCCAATGATGATTAGGAGTTATTTTATATAAGTGATCATAAGTGGCTATTTGATATAAGAAGCTCAAAGTAAGCTTCATTAACAAGGTGACATTTGAACAAAGACCCAAAAGAAGAGAGAGAGAAAGTCATTGTTAGGATACAATTCTCTACAGGTCTCTTGCATTTTTGTGCAATTTAGGAGTGGAAGCACTGGCTGCCTTTGTTCTGAATAGCTTTTCAAGGATGTTTATCTAGCAAACATCTATGGAAAGTAGAGATGTCTCTCTGCAAAGTAAACAGAAGATTAACTTACTGTCCAGTATAATAAAAACAGTACCTCCCCTCTGGAGGAAAGGGCAGCCATGCTTACTGCCCATTTTAGGTGACTCACATTTCCTAATCTCGGGGTTCCTCTCCTATAAGACAACCCACTGCAAGTTTTGGTGTCACCTGGCCCTCTTCGTATCTCCTTGTGGGAACAGGGACTCAGGGAAACAGCCAAAGAAGATTCTGATCCTCTGAATACTACTATTGCTGTGAATAATAAAGTCATTCATCTCTGACCCAGGAGTCACAGATCTTCTGCCAGCATCCATGGCACTGTGGCAGGCTAACTTGTTAGCTTGAAAGCAGGGTCAAATCTCAGGTTCTTTAGAGTTCATGACAATCATGAAAATAACTGAGCGAAGGGTGTTCCAGGCAGGGGAAACAAGTGCAAACGCTTTGAGAAGGATGATAGTGTCCTTCAACCCTGTGGCTTGCCTTGGCCCTTGATAGCTGTCTAAGTTGACTCGGTCTTATTCAACTCATTCTGCCAAACTCTAACTTTTGGAATGTCATCATTTCTTGCAGCAAGATCAGTGAGCGCCAATACAGAAGGAAAGGGGGAGCATCTCCCATGCCCCACCTGGACTCCCAGTCTCAAGGGGGGTCATATCACATACAGGAACACTTGAAATTTATTTAATTTATAGGTTGAGAAAAGCGACCTAGAATGACTTGTAGGGCCCAGAACAAAAAAGGAGAGCAATGAGCAACATCCCAAAGCAGCAGCCAAAAACCTAGAGACCAATGAGAGAAAAACTGAAAAGTACAGTCATACTCCTCACATAGGAAGGGCTCAGCCTCAGAACTTCCGTGAGTAAGGCCATAACAAATCACAGCAAAGCTAGCCAAGGTCACAATGGCAAAAAAAAATAAAATAGGACAATCTGACATATAAAAAGTATATGGATTGAAGAAAATAGCATCTGGTATATGAATTCTGAGAGCCACATTTAATTCATTTATAAGATTTTTTTCAGAACACATCTCCAAAATGATCATGAAAGTCACTGGAAAAACAGAATTCTATACACAGACATTTGCATTGTGAATCACTCATTTCCTGAAAATTAAATAGGTCAGCACCTCATGAGGAGCAACACTTCTAAAAATTCCTGCTTTTATTTTTAAGAGAAATGTGAACTTGGCTTTAGTCTTTCGGTGCAAAAAAAAAAAGAGTGTAGTCAGCTAAGTCTGAGAAAATAGTCGATACTTTTCTTGTGTATCGTGATTCAATTTGCCAGTCACACTGATCCTGATAAATCATAAATGACAAAAGCAGATTGACATTGTGAGTCCTGTCTTAAAACACTTTATTTTCTCTCCTATCTCAAAAGAATTTTCTTCCCTCCTCCATAACTTTTACAAACTCACCATTCCAATGAGTAACTTTAGGGTGCAAGTAGCTTAAAGCCATATATATACATATAAGGTTTCAAGCCCAATTTGATCCTGAGGTCATCAAGTCCACACAGGACTGCAGCAACACTGGCTAAATCAGTATCTGTCATGTTTGCAAGACCTTCAGTGAGTGACATCTTGCCATCTCTTGTAGTAGTCTCCTTCTTAAAAAATTCCTGTGAAGAAGGATTTAGTTACGATCGTGATTATTGCTATACTATTGGAAACAGGAAAAACTGGAAACAACTTATATGTCCCCAAGTAGAGAAATGGTTAAATACCTGAGATCCCATACATACAGCAGAACACCTTGCTGCCATTCAAGTGATAGTGTAGAATATTAATAACATGAAAAGATTGTCACAATATTTTGTTAAAATTAGGGGAGTTACAAAACAGCATATATAGGGTGCTCCATTTTGTATAAATATTATATGCATATGTATTCTTCATGTATGCACAAAATATTAAGCACCTTTTATATGCTAGGCACTGTGTTAGGCTCTGAGAACGCAATGGTGAAAAGACAAACATAATTCCCACCCTTCTGAAGCTTACAGTCTAGCCAGGAAGATATATTAGATAAATAAGTATACAAGCCATTAGTTAATTCCAACCATGAGAAATGCTGCAAAACAAACAAACAAACAAACAAAACCAAACAAAAAAACAAAAAACATAATGTTGCAGTTTCCCTCTAAGAAAACCCTCGCCCCAGACATTCTGCTCATCCTCTTCAAGTGAGCTTTGTGAGCCCCTCTGGGTGATAAAGTTTTAGTACGTATTCTCCTTCTCCTTCCTCATGTGTGCTTCCTAACTTTTCCTATGAATATATTTTTATAATAAGACCAATAAAAGAGAAATGTTAGGATTCCTGGGGAAAAGTTTCTCATTAAGCATGCCATCTTGCCAACAATAACCTTGCATTGTCTGGAAATCCTCACTCCTCAAATCCTTTTTTACCAAGCTAATAATGTGAATTGTTTTAACCTTTCCTTTAAGGCTTTATTTTCCAAGCTTTAAATCATCTTCATTGTCCTTTTATGAACTGCCTCCAAGTTTTACGTGATTAATGCCTGCTCATTAGATGCCGAACAAACTTGGGGACGGATGCACTACAGTAACTTTAAAGGCTTTGGTTTTGTCAAAGAGCTGCAGCCAGTGCACAATATATATCATCTGCAGCTATGATAAACATACCTCTTAATGTTGGGTTCTCCATAAAAGCATTCAATCTTCCCATTTCTTTCTAATTAAGATCTTCTTACCGACTTCAAAGGCCTGGATTACATCCACAAACCCTAAATAATGTGTTTCATTTCTTTAAAAATAGCATTTCCCTGAAGCAGCATTACACAGACGTTTCAACGTGGTTGTTGTTGTTTTTTTTTTGTTTTTTTTTTTTTTTTTTTTTTTTTGGTCTGTCCAAGCCTGTCAGCAGATTTGCTACTGCTCTGGGCATCAAATACAACACATCAGGTCCAAGCAATTTTACCAGCTCAGCGTTTTTATTTTACCCCTGTAAGACAAGTGAAATGCTGTTTTTAAGATACAAATTGGCCTGGACAATTTTTTTTAGTATCTAATATTTCTTGGGCACCTCATATGTAGGTAATATTTCTCTAGTACAACTAAGCAAGAAGATGAAGTTCCTAAGTTCCAAAAGACCGACACCTAAATGGAAAGATAGTACAAACAGGTGGGTTTGCATATGAAGATTCAGTGCCCTCTTTAGTACATATTAAAAGGCCTGGGTCACTGGAAAAATACATACCAATGCCTGGCAACCCCATACAACCCCAGCAGAGCATCAAAATTAAGCTCTGCTCAGTTGTGGGAAGCTTCCATGGACTAAATGACTTTTATGTGATGTTTGTATTACTGTTGCAAATAGCACACAGGGCCTAGCCAAATATGCAATCTAACCACTTGGCTGAAACACTTTCAGAACCACCACAGCTCAAATTAAACCTGACCCTTTACTGCCACTGAAAACTTGGATAGCTAGAGTGACACATACACATCTTTTTCCTTTAAGTTTTTGTCCCCAGCAGAGTCTACACTGGTACTCATGGTGGACAGAGCCAAAGCTATGGATCCAAATAAATCAGAATGGCAATTTCCACCACCACTTGGTACATAATCTGAAATTCAATTCACATTCTCCACCACCACTAAGGCACTTAAGTTTTGCCCCAGAAGGCAGAACTTTGCATTGAAATTTCTGTTCTAAAGACAGATTTGAATTCCAGTTTGCAACAGCATGAACAGAAGTTAAATGATTCAGTTGTGATCCCAGGTCAATTCTATCAACATCTTCAGTGAGATTCTAAGTTATCCAAGATATAGTGTTTGTTCTCTAGAAGCTAATAGACAAAGAGTCTCTCATAGAATTGTGAATTCTCTGGGATATAAGAAACCAGAAATCAGCCTAAATCCTTGTGTATTTTTATCCTCTTATAATAAGGATACTTTAGTGTAGATTTCCTGGGAGGACAAAGGGAAATGAAGAGAATTGCTTCCTATGCAAAGCTGCCATGTTAGGCTGCATGGGTTGTGCATGCAGAATTCCAAGGGCTGTTATTCACACAGTCTGGAGTAGTATAATATGGCAACTTGAGGCCAGTGGTCTCCATTAAGCAGCGATCCAGGAGAGCTTATGCTAGAAAGACTGAGGCTTGGTCATGGCTATTGAGCTAGCGTTCCTCAAAAATCTCTCTGCCTAGAGTTACCCTTGGTCCCACAGCCTAAAAAGCTGAACACACAGGCTAGGGTGAAAAGTCATCAGCTGAAAAAGTTAAAAGGATAAAGGAGCAGAGAGCCATGCAGATTAGGTCCTAGCTCAAGCTGTAGCTAAGACCTAATCTGCATAGAGTTGACCACATTTGTTACATTTATAACATTTATCCTTATAATGTGTAATCACTAAATGCATAAATCACTTGTTGGATGGATGGACAACTATATAAATGATTTCCTAAGTATAGCCTGGTCTCAGCTTACAAACTGCCATTCCCCTAGTGTCCTGTACTCTCTTGTTTCTTAACATTTATAGACATGTTTGTAGATAAGTAATAGATGTAGATAATAGATAAAAGATATGTATAGATAAAAGATATGTAGATAATAGATAAAAGAAGTAGGGTCTTCACTTTCAAGAATTCTCCTTCCACACTTAAGGTATTTCCCAAATAATTACCTAAATATTTGCTAAGGAAAACAATAATAGCTCCATTTGTTGTGAATGTAGCTAGCATATTAATTTGCCCACTTATTGGTTCCAACAAAGTCTATGCACCTTCTTTCAGATGTTCCTTGTCCTGTTTGATATTACCTTTCAGAGGCTCTATCCCATGCATAGTGTGAGGAAGAAAGGACCTGAACTTCCAACAGGCTCATTTATGCTTGAAGTCTGATCTTTAGAGAAGATCTACCTTCTTTGGCATTTATATCACTAGGCCATGTACCAACAGTCTGTCTCTCATCTCCCAGAGCAGGGTTAGCTACTCTCATTTCTTTAGAAAGAAAAGCTGGTTAAGCAGGGGGCCTGTTCTTCCCTGTCTCTCTCTTCCTTCCTTGTCTGCATCATGCTTGTGTTACTACCACAAACAGAAATTCAGTCATCCAAACAATTGGTGGATGTTTGTCTGCGAACTGCTCAGTTTTGCCAATTTTGGACCATTGCTTCATCCGATACCAGCCATTTGTGATCACACACACACACACATACACACAGACATGCACATACTCACTCATAGTCATATACATGGGGGCTTCCTGTGGGCATTTGTATTCTATGTGTTATATTTACCTTGGTACTGGCAAGTAACAGACAACCTTGCAACATGCACACACTTGCCTATAAACCCAGAAGAGGGCCATGTGATCTCACTCCTGGGAGCCTGTTAACTTGAACAGCATTAAAGTTTGAACTTTGCCAAAATCTCTTATAGAGAAGCAACATTTCACAGAGGAGGGTCAACCTCACATGTAGACTGAATAGATACTTCTCTACCCACCATGACCAGGGATATGTTGGAAACCCATCCTTTTCATGTACGTGTCTACCTCTCATACTTCAGCTAAAATATCCAACTAATAATTCATTTATTTGCTTATCCATTCATCTATTCTACAACCATTGATGAGGAACCATTCTTCGGAAATTACAAGGGAAACAAATGTGAGTAAGACAAAATCTGATTTAGGCAAGTCATGAGCTAAGCTAAGTGATGGGGAGAAGAGGGGCCTTAAATAGCTAATGATGCTGTGATAAGTGCAATGAAAGCTAGATGTACAGGGCATCATGGGAGCATAAAGGAGGAGTAACTAACTCAGGTTGACTGGAGGGTGGTTCCGGGAGTTTCCTCTTGGAAAAAAGAAAACCATGACTGAGCTAAAGGCATAAGTTAGGCAAAGCCGTGGGAAAGGTATTCGAGTCAGAAGCCACAGCATGAGCGGAGCCCTGGAAGCAGGCAACAACATGACATGAGTAAGAATTTTAGCCAGGCAGCGGTGGCGCTCCATAGAAAATGGCAAGAAATGAGGCAGAGGAGCCAGGAGAACACGTCTCTGTCTTATAGACAAGGTAAAACAATAAAGCCATTTGCATTTTAGATAGACTTTCTGGCAGATATTAGAGGGTGACAGTACTGAAGGCAGGAAAACCAATAAGAGAATGTTGCAACTCCAAGAGCTGCATAACCCATGTGGCTTCAGCATCTGAGTAGGAGGATGCAGAAGGAAGGCAACTGGCTGGGCAGGGTGGCTCATGCCTATAATCCCAGCACTTTGGGAGGCCAAGGCGGGCAGATCACCTGAGGTCAGGGGTTCGAGACCAGCCTGGCCAACATGGCAAAACCCTGTCTCTACTAAAAATACAAAAGTTAGCCAGGTGTGGTAATGGTGACCCCGCCTCAGGAAAAAAAAAAAAAAAAAAAAAAAGAAGGAAGGCTACTGGGCTTCTGATGTCTCTGAGAACAGGGAACGTTCAAATCAGCAAGTACTCCTAAAAGTCCAGACTAGAAATGTCTGTCAAAACGGGAAAGGGATTCTGCTTGACTTAATTTGTGGGTGAGTGCCTTCTCAAGGAAATCTTGATGCAAAAAGGTATGATGGGACTGGAGCAGTGTGTGCCCTATAGATTTCAAAACTAACAAATCAAATCTCCTTCCCAAGACAAAACCCCACAATGAGGATAAAATGCTGACAGGAAAATTCAAATTGAGCAAGACTGGGACAATATGGATGCTTTCGTTGATGAGTTCAAATAAAAGTGGAGGAGGGCAGCAGTGGAAGCAGACACCAGCAAGTGTGAGGTCATGTCCTTTATAGCTTTGAAAAAGCATCAGAAGAAGAAATGATAAATCTGTAAAGCCAGAAAAAATATCTGGTTCTCTCCCTTATAAGGCTACAGAAAAACTAATTCAACATTGACTCTCTACAGAGTTATTGTGACAGAAATGAGAATAAGAAATAAATAATGTTTCTACAATGAAGGCAGTCCAGAAAGTCATGCCCGAAAAACTGATTAAAACTGTAATCTGATAATTCAACACAAGGTTAAAAAAAAGCTTCAGAAAATAATAGAAGCTATGAAAGGATAGCATAAATCAAAATTAGAAAAATTCAGAAATAAGGAGATTGGAGGAAAGGAAAATTTAGAAAGAGAGGTGACAGAATCAGGAAAAAATTAGAAATAAAATCATTTCAGAGATGATGACAAAACTATAGTAAGTCCCAGAATGAATGAATAGAGCCAATAAAGCCTCAAGAGAAACAGAAGTCAAAGAAAAGAGGAAAATTTAAAGATTTTTTTAAAAAGTATAAAATGATTGTTTAAAGGATTCAGGAATTAGGCCAGGCACGGTGGCTCATGCCTATAATCCCAGCACCTTGGGAAGCCAAGGCAGGCGGATCACTTGAGGGCAGGAGTTCGAGGCCAGCCTGGCCAACATGGTGAAACCCCATTTCTACTTGTAATACAAAAATTAGCTGGGCATAGTGATGCATGCCGTAATCCTAGCTACTCAGGAGGCTGAGGCAGGAGATCCGCTTGAAGCTGGGAGGCAGAGGTTGCAGTGAGCTGAGATCACGCCACTGCACTCCAGCCTGGGCAACATAGCGAGACGCCATCTCAAAAAAAAAAAAAGAATAGCATATTTAAACATATGTAAACCATGAGTCAAAATAGGAGTTCCCAGAGAAGAAAACCAAAGCAATGGAATAGAACAAATACTAAAAATACTAACGTGTGTGTGTGTGTGTAAAACAATGAGAGAACTGAAGCCAAATACAGGATCGATAAATGTAAATCGACTTGCCTACTGGAAAACAAGAAATTTTCAGATGGATTAAAACTGTTACAAAGACAAAATGTATGTCATTAAACACTTATATTCATTAAAGTGAAAACAAAATAAACAACCGATTCAAAAAGCTAGAAAAGGAACAAGAAAGTACAAATATAAAGAATTTAAAACAACAAAGGGAAAATAACCGTCAAATAAAATAAAATTTTAAAACTCATAGACTATCTTGCGCAGATCTCTACAAATATATTTGAATCTGATGATTTCCTAGAAAGGCACAACTTATCTAAATAAGAATTACCATAAGAGAAATAGGGAAAGTAGTTAAAAAGCTCTCCCACAAAAAAGCCCCAGGCCCCGATGGCTTCTCAGCTTAATTCTTCCAAAACTTTAAAAATCAAATCATCCCAATGCTGCTTAAATTATTTCAGAAAAGGAAAGAAAATTCCAAAAATTTTTAAAGTTTAACAAATATTGTATCAGAAAAACATAGAGATAAACCTCACTATGAATCTCAATGCAAAAATTATAAATTAATATTAGTAGGTAGAATCAAATGGTACATTAAAAAAAATACATCACAACCAGATGAGCCTTTTGCCAAGAGTACCAAGGTGCTTAAATTTTGAGAAGTTTTCTGAAATATTAATAAAACTAATTAGAAAAAATCATACACTCATTTCCATCAATGTTAAAGGCATTTGACAAAATTCAATAGTCTTCCATGTAAAATAATTTGATAAAATAGGAATTGATTAATACTTTTCCAATATTATAAAAATACATTTACCCCAGTACAAAAGTCAGCATGTAATTTAATGGAAACACACTAGAGGCCTTCCTGCTAAAGTCAGATATAAGACAAAGATGCCCATTATTCCCAATACTATTTCATATTGTGTTGTATCTAATAACCAATCCAAGAATACAAGAGAAATCAATTAGAAGCATAAAAATGTTGAAAAAAAGAGGTATTACTATTTTTATTTACAGATGATATGATAATATATTTAGAAAATCCAAAAGAACCAATGGAAAAACTACTATAAACAAATGGGACAATTTAATAAAGTAGAAAGTTATAAAATTAATATAAAAATCAATAGCCTTCATATATACAAATAAAAATCAGTTAAAATATATAATGGAAAAAAATTAATGGAAAGACATGTCAGGTTAGGAAACATTAACATGATAAAGATGTCAGTTCTCTCTGAGTTAATTTATAAGTTTCATGCAACTCCATTAAAAATATCACCAGGATCTTTTCTGAAACTTGACAAATTGAATATAAAATTCATTTGGAAGAACAAACAAGCCAGGAAATCTCTAAAATAGAACAATAGGTGGAGGATGTGCCAGCTAACCAGGTATTAAAACATGCAACACGGCTTCTACAATTTAAAAAGTTTGCTTATGATACAAAAATAGCACAACCAATGCAATCAAATAGAAAATCCAAAAGTTGATCCAATTGTTGATGGAAATCTAGTTTGCTGTTCAGAATGAATTTTATTCAGACAATGGCTTTATAGAAGTCACTGAGATGAAAAAGCAGAACCTCACACTCATTCAGTAATATCAGGATTTACTTAAATGACCAACACTTAACATAACTCAGTGGAGATTTCTCTGCTACAGATGCCTAAAGACCAGAAACATTTACCCTATATTCATTACGTTTCTTGCTTTAAGATTTAAAAAAGTCAAGGAAGTACTGATAAGCGTCCACAGTACACTGAAAGGTCATTTCAGTTCTCATACTTTAGTATCTACTTAGTGTCCTATATACTTCAAGTTCTCCGTTTATGAATAGGAATCAAATCTATCACATCATAACCACTTGATAAAGACAAATAAATTGTGTCCAGCACAGTCTTTGTATCCACGTATAAACATTGAAGTAAATAAAATAGGTCTCACTCTATTCCAAGTAGTTGCCAGTATCTTGAAAACACTGGATTGTAGTTTCTACTGATCTGGACTAAGGTACCTCAAAGCTTCTGGACTTATATCCATTCCCTTCTGTAATTTTATTCTTGAGTGCCCTGTCATAGTAAGTTCCATGAGATATCTATGTACTCCCAAATGTGTGCTGAGAAAAGTTTCTCTTTGTCTTGAACTCCTTCATCAACTTTGTCCTTTTTTTTATTATTATTATTATATTTTAAGTTTTAGGGTACATGTGCACAACGTGCAGGTTTGTTACATATGTATACATGTGCCATGTTGGTGTGCTGCACCCATTAACTCATCATTTACATTAGGTATATCTCCCCACCTTTGTCCTTAAAACATAATTTAAACGACACAACTATGGCTCATGGATCTAGTAAACTTGACAAGCCCTTAAAATGTCACAGTCCTGCAGACTTCCTAACAAGACAAAATAGATGAGTTGACAACCACGCCAATTACCCATGACAAATCTGCTTGCCACCCACAAGACTAAAGTTTAAAGTTTTTGGATCTTTTGCTTCCAGTATGAACTAATCCGGGAACCATTCTGGCATCATAACATTACATCAGTGAAAGGAGAACACGAAAACAGGGTCAAGAATTGCAACCTGAACTGCTCAAAAGCACTGGTGACTTTGTGGTTTTGCCAAGACAGCTCACACCAACTTATAAGTACCAACTTCCCCTGAATGAAACTAGCATTTCATTGTTTTCAGCTTACATCATCACACTTATTCTCATTCAACTCTCACTACTTCATGAGCTGTCAAAAATTACACCAAAGAAAATATGAGTGTAGTGGGGAGACGCCAAGTGCAAAAGACCAACAGCAATGCCAAGAAATCTAAAGGAGAAAATGGTAGTCACTGATGACTCACAGTTGGCTTTAAGAGTAGACACTCAGAAGTACCAAGGAGTGTGTCTGCAACATGGACCCTGACTGGCATATTCAGTTCAATCCAATTCCTCAAGTATTTATTGAGCATCTACTATGGGCAGCACACTAGGAAGCACAGTGAACAGAGGTGTGGGTAGTACCCTAGTCTGTGCTGAGGATTCAACTGTGAGCAAAGCTATAAACTGAGGCCAGCAGAGTGACTGCAAGCAAATAGAAAATAATAATATTGTATGATAAGCACAAAGGCAGCACTAAGACTAGGAGGTTCCAGAAAGGCTGTTGAAACAAAAATGAATAAATAGAAAGATAACTGGGGAAATTTGAATATGCGCCGTATATCAGATAATAGTGTTTTATGAATGTTAGATTTCTCGGGGTAATAGTTACATTGTGGTTATGTAGGACATTGTCCTTGTTCTTGGGATAATGTACTCAGGGGTTACAATTTCATGATGTCTGCAACAATCTCTCAAATAGTTCTGTATATAATAATGTATTTGGTGAGGAAGGGAGCGGGGGAGAAAGGGAGAGAGAAACACAAAAAAGATTAAGTTCCCAATCTATTCTTGAATGTGAAATTTAAAACTATACTTTGCCCAGCTATGCTGCTAGCTGGCTGAAAAGAAGTGATTTTACATTCTGTCTTACAAAACAGAAACAATGAGCTCACTTCCAGAAACATGAAGGCGAGAGGACCTTATAACCAAACTAAAGGAGAGAATCACTTCCCAGCTGTGGACTCTACAAAAGAAATTCCCCAAAGGCCAGTCTGCACATGAGAAGGAATTCTCTGGCCAGGGAGTGGGAAATAGAGATACCCAGTCAAGATCATCTTGGTGGGCTATGACTTTGGCTTCGTTCACATCTTGCCTCACCCTTTTAGCAACCAGGCATCAAGACTGTAATCAGACAGAGGCCTCAGCACAAAGCTCTACTATAATCATAGAGAGGGGGAGCAATTTCCTAGCCATTGTGACTCAATTTTCAGACCCCACTGGAAATGTTTTAGTTTCACAACACAATTAGCAGCTGTGGGAACAGTCCAACTGATACCAGACATTTCTATAAATTGGGAAGAATTCCCAAAACCTAGTGCTGGCCATTCTGCTCAGCAATAATAATTATACTTTTTAACAGCTTTATTGAAATATAATTCGTATACCACACAATTCACTCAAAGTGTATAATTCAACCAGCCACAGTGGCTCATGCCTGCAATCCCAATACTTTAAGAGGCCAAGACAGGAGGATCACTTGAGCCCAGGAGTTTGAGACCAGCCTAGGCAACATAGGGAGACTCCATCTCTACCAACAAAAAAACAAAAATTTAAAAACCAGCTGGGTGTGGTGGTACATGCCTGTGATCCCAACTACTTGGGAGGCTGAGGTGGGAGAATTGCTTAAGCCAGGGAGGTCAAGGCTGCAGTGAGCCATGATCATGCATCTGTACTCCAGCCTGGGTGACAGCGAGACCCTGTCTCAAAAAAAAAAAAAAGTGTATAATTCAATGTTTTTTAGTATATTCATAGGGTTATGCAACTATCACCACAATTTAACATTAGAACATTTTGCCTCCCCAAAACAAAACACCGTATCCATTAGCAGTCACTCCCTAGTCCCTCCCAGATCTTTCCTCCTTCCCCCAGCCCTAGGCAACCAACAATGTATTTCTGTCTCTATAGCCTTTCCTATTCTGGATATTTAACATAAATGAAATCATACCACATGTGGACTATTGTAGCTAGCTTCTTTCACTTAGGATAACGTTTTCAAGGTTCATGTTGTAGCAGGTATCAGTACCAAGTTTCTTTTTATTGCTGAATAAAATTCCATTGTATGGATAGACCACATTTTCTTTATCCATTCATCAGTTGATGGACATTTAGGTTGTTTTCACTTTTTGGCAATTATTAATAATGCTGCTATGACCAGTCATGTGCAAGTTTTTGGGTGAATGCTTGTTTTTATTTCTCTTGGGTATATGCCTAGGAGTAGAATTGCTGACTCTTAAGTCTATGTTTAACCTTCTTAGGAGCTGCCAAACTGTTTTCAAAGCAGCTGTGTCATTTTTTACATTCCTACCAGCAATATGTGAAGGTTCTAATGTCGCTTCATCCTCTCCAGTACTTGGGATTTTCTGTCGTTTTTATTGTAGCCATCCTAGTGCGGGTGAAGTGGTATCCCACTGTGGTTTTTATTTGCATTTCTCTGATGACTAATGGTGTTGAGCATCCTTTTATGTGTTTATTGGCCATTGGGATATGTTCTTTGAGAAATGTCTATTCAGATCTTTTGCCCTTTTTTTCACTGGGGAATTGGGTTATTTGTCTTTTTATTATTAAGTTGTAGTGTTTCATTATATATTCTGGCTATAAATCTCTTATCAAATATATAATAATTGTCATTTAAGATGATATTTATTGAGAACCTACCATGTGTCAGGCACTATGCTAAGTGTTTTCCAGTTAGTATCTCACTAAATTCTCACAACAAACTTATAAGATAAGGTATTTTAACTATTATTCCTATTTATAGATGAAAAAGATGAGGTATAGACACCCAGGCTTATACCATTAGTAAGTGATGCCATACAGTCAGATGCCAGAACTCACATCTTACTTACTGTCACACAGGCAGCCTCCCTTTCTGCATCAAGAAGAACTTGGTCAATAAAGTTTATTTCCTACTTACCTCACTGGATGCTGTGAGAATATAATAGACTAGGGTCCCTAAAGCAATGCGATTTCAGTAGATAAACATATTAGAGCAAAATCCTGAACATATGTTCTGTATCACTTTAGCCCTATGAGTTGCTCTTCGAACAGTGTTCCTGGACAAATAGCCTAAGAAGTGGTGCATGTTCCACCACTGTCTGGAAGATTTAATAATGCTTCTTAGTACATTAAAGTCCATGAAAATTCTCGCAATAAAGAAACACTAATTTTTTGAGTGATTGCACATTTGCAAAACATATATACCCAAAAAATCTCAAACCCTCAGAATATATATATTTATAACCATGTGAAATAAATGTAGAGTCCACAGGAGGAGGCTAAACAATCACTCTGTGTTTCTAAACTATATAATCTCCCATGCTATTTTATGCCCTAAAGCTTCAAGGATCGAACATAGGCAAGCTCAAACCAAGACCTTGACCTGCTTTCCAAGTTTCTCAGACCTGTTTTAAATGCAGAAGATCAACACACCTCAAAAGGTGAAAAACAAAGTCTGTCATTGCTCAGGTAGCTATTGTCCACATCTCTATCTAAATTTTACATCTCTGGCCCATCGGTGCAGAACAAACCTCTTCGTGTTGTTATTTTTATTGTAAATATCCAGTTTTCCATTTCCCTCCCTGTCATTGCTTTTCTGTGGATGGGAACCATTTGTGTCATTCAAAATGTGTTCACTTATCCATCACAGATATTGTTTCACAGTGGCAGACATGTTCCCTAACTCATAAGTGGATTACATCTGGAAGTGGGAGGCTAAGACATGTACATTTAAGTTGTGCAAACTGGACATTAAACAAAACTAACTACATGTGTTCTTAATTTTTAAAAGATATGAAAGAAAAGGGTGTGAAAACAGGTGTATTCCAAGGAAAATACTTTTATAATTGTATCTATCACATACTGTTACAGAATTAATTATTTAAGATGACTGGCATTTCTGGATATCATTGCTTTTGTTTTTGTTTTTGTTTTTGTTTTTGTTTGACATGGAGTCTTGCTCTGTCGCCCAAGCTGGAGTGCAACAACGCGATCTCGGCTCACTGCAACCTCCACCTCCCGGGTTCAAGTGATTCTCCTGTCTCAGCCTCCCGAGTAGCTGAGATTACAGGCATGTGCCACCATGCTCAGCTAATTTTTGTATTTGTAGTAGAGACAGGTTTTTGGCATGTTGGCCAGGCTTGTCTCGAACTCCTGACTTCAGGTGATCCGCCAGCCTTGGCCTCCCAATGTGCTGGGATTACAGGCATAAGCCACCACGCCCAGCCCATTGTTTCAGAAATGATGATTTAGGAATAATTCTGATTGTGATGCCTTGGTAGTGATTAATAGTACAGGTTCTTAGATTTAGACCATTTAGGCTCTTTATCAGTTAACTCTTGCCAGGTAACAAACTGCAACAAACTCAGTGGCTTAAAACCACAATCAATTATTCCTTACCCATTTGTGAGTGAGCTGGGCTTGGCTCCAAGTTGTTATTTGAGTCTAGGTCAACTCAACATTTCTCTCTTCTTTGGATCAGTAGGTTGACTGGAACACGTTCTTCTCATGACAATGGCAGAAATACAAAAGGACAAGCCCAACCACATTTCACATCTCTGCTTGTATCATTTCTGCTAATATCTCATTGGCCAATGCAAGTCCATGGCCAAGCTCAAAGACGATGTGTAGTGAAGTACATTCCACCCACCACGAGACCAAAGCAAGTCACAAAGCCATGCCCAACATCACTGGTGTGGGCAAATATACTCCTTTCCTGAAGGTGTAAGCAAGAACATGAGTGTTTTTTAACAATAATGCAGTCTGCCACAGGTCTAGTCTTGGTTTTACCACATCAGCTACATGACCTTGGGCAAGTGTTTTAACCACTCCTTTTGTCAGTTTCATCTTCTATAAAATGGGGATAAAATAATACCTATATTATAGGTCTTAATAGGTGAAAGTTATCTGCATCTTCTCTACCTAGTAATATCTTCTACTTCTCTTTCTTGAATTTAGCTGTAGAGATTAAACCTTTTAGGCTAGCCTAATTCACTCTGATTCAGCTACAAAAATATATAAATGTATCAATAAAGAATACACACAGAAGGACTTGTTATGAATCTAATTCCATTCAGAAGTTTATGCTAAAAACATGAATGGCATTCTTCATTCGGAATGTACTCACACTATTCACACACACACACACACACACACACACACCCTTAATTACCAAGGTGCGTTAATTTTGTCTCCTAAATATTTCTTGAATTCTCAACATCTCAGTAATTTTTTAAATGGCTATTGTCTTAAGCCACTAAGTTTTGGCATAGTTTGCTATACAGCTAAAACTAACTGATCTTTTCTGTCCCCTGCTTAAAGTTTCAGAATAGAGTCCCTAGAGATAAAACCCAAACATCTTAACTTTCTAAAATATGGCCACTCACAATTTATCACCGGCTAAACTCTACAGTCTCCTCTCTGACCATTTCCTCTCTTCCATTTCCAACTATTGCCATAAAATTAAAAATTTTTAAACCTTTAAAATCTCACCTAATAATAAATCAGTTCCATTTATGTCCCTGGCTAAACCCACATTATTCTCTGAGTCCTTCCTGCATCCTGGTAAATAGCCATTTCTTGTTGGCTTTAATTTATTAAACACACACCACTCAATTTTCAGTGCCCTGTAGGAGGTTCTTTCACTGTATAATAAAAAATCACTGCTGTTTATTCATATTTTAATGATACTGTGAATACAATGGTGCATATTCTGACTCCTATTCTTAGAGAAACAGTCTCTGTTGGATTCTCACTGCCATTCATTTTTCTACTTATCGTTGGACTTTGCTATTATGATAATTCCAGATATATCAAAATAATATCATCATGGGCCAGTTGTTTTGTTCAAAAATGAGCCACCTTGCCTATTTGTTTCCTATTATATTCAATAACAGACCCTGCAACCAGATTGTTTTAACTGAACACCCCATGTGTTTGTAGCTCCCTATAGAAAGTCAATAGTCCTCAAACCACTGCTCTCATTACTCTTTTCCAGCTGCTCTAAGCTAATATACCATCACTGGGGTCAAGGTAGCCATATTCTTTCAGGCTAACACATATATGCTATGTATACATGGAAAAGGTCATCATTCCCATTGATTCGATAGTTACCTGGTTAGCCTGATAAATGTATATAATCAAACTAGATAATTCTAGCTCCAACATAGGTACCCAGTGACAATGGCCTCAGATTCCCACTTGGAGCTATGTTATATTGACCCAAATCACTCATTCATCTATCTTGCAAACCCAAATTACCATGCAACTCAGCAAAAAGGAGTAAAGAACCTCCCTTAAATTCCAGATTCGTGGGCAAGTGTCCATTTACATGGTTGAAATGGCATACTAGAAAGGTCTTCTACTTCTCTATTCTACTGCCTACACACACAAAACCACTTTTAGTGAGACTGTTACATTTTCACAGTGATACTGCTGGCAGAATGTGACTGCACAGAGACAAAACTAAATGTGAGCCAAGAAAGTAGTCACTTGGACAAGCTCTTTTTACTGTGTTTCCATGTCATCCACCCACTGGGATCACTACCCAACTCTGAGGGGCCCTCCTACATTGACCAGCTAAGGCAGCACACAAAACCCACTGTGCTGAAAGGGAGACTGGTTTTTAAAAATAACCCTTTTGGTTTTATAGCTTAGTTACAATTATGCCATGCAACACATCTATATGAACAGCCTCGCTACACTCTTTTATTAGACTAAAATTCATTCATGGAGTCAATAAATATTTACCCAATGCCTGCTAAGTGGCAGTCACTCCATATTTTCAAAAGATAGAATGAAACTCATACTATGATTTACATTAATCCCTGTTAATGTGTTTCCTGTTCCACATAATTTACCATAAAGTCTTCCTATATGTATCATCCTCTTTCAGGCCTCACACCCAACCGCCAAGTCTAGTCAAGAGCATCTTCTAAGTATTACTTAACTCTGACTTTTGCTCTCCATCTCTACTCTCACCACTCAAATCCAGGCCTGGGTTTACCACAACTTCCTAACAGATTTGCATGCCTTCATCTTTTCCTCTTAAACTCAGAATAACCACCTCAAAGGCAAATATGACCGTGTAACTCTCCAGCTTAAAATCTCTCAAGGGCTCCTATTCTATAAATCCCTAGCTCCTAAGCATTGCCTGAAGTCCCCCTTTGTCACCACCCTCAAGCGCCCCTCCCCCCCCACCTTTCTGGGGCTGTAAATAGTGAACTTGCAGAGCTGCAGGGACAAGGCAGCATGGTATAATAAATGCACAAAGGCCTGGGCCACACCATCTTTCCTCTCCCACCAAATCTCTCTTACTCTTCTCCCTCCAAGCTCCTCTAGATATTGGGGACATTCAGCAAAGAATTATGCTATTTTTAAGCTTCCATGAGCTACAGAACCAGACTGGGGCAAATAACAAGAGAATTGGCTGAATTGTTGGTTCCAGTCAGTCTCTGCTTCACTTAGGCTGAAAATCAATGCTCAGAAACCGACTCATGAACTACTGCACAAGCTCAGGCAGCTTCTGTTTTCCACTCAGTTCTAGAAACCTAACAGCAAGCTCCATAATTCAGGACCAGTTGCTACCACGTAGAAAATTCTACTCTAAAATGGTGGTTGTGAGTAATCTGAGCCTTGAGGGTTGAAGACCACCCATAGGCTCAGAGGGGCCCACAGCAAGACCAGAGCCTTTGCAATGACATTTCTTGATTCACCATGCCCAGTCAGCCTGGGAACCACATACCAGGACATCATGGAGGTACCTATTATTTTTAAGTAAGATTTACCTTTTAAATATTAGAAAACCATATGCTTATTTTAAGAAATTTAGAAAACAGAAATAGGCATAAAGAAAACACAAAAATACTGGGCACGGTGGCTCACGCCTGTAATCCCAGCACTTTGGGAGGCCGAGGCAGGCAGATCATGCGGTCAGGAGTTCGAGACCAGCCTGGCCAGCATGGTGAAACCCCATCTCTATTAAAAACATAAAAATTAGTGGGGCATGGTGGCACACACCTGTAATCCCAGCTACTCAGGAGGCTGAGGCAGGAGAATCGCTTGAACCCAGGAGGCGGAGGTTCCAGTGAGCCTAGATCTTGCCACTGCACTCCAGCCTAGGCGACAGAGCAAGACTCTGTCTCAAAAATAAAAAAAAAAAAGAAAACACAGAAATTACCTATAATATCATTACTAAAGTATCAGATCCATGCATTTTTTTGAACTTTTTATTGAAGCATAATATACACAAAGACAGCTAGTATCATACTGAATGGGGGAAAGCTGAAAGCCTTTCCTGTAATATCTACAACACGACAAGGATGTCCACTGTCACCACTGTTATTCAACATAGTACTGGAAGTCCTAGCTGGAGCAATCAGACAAGAAGAAGATATTAAGGACATCCAAATTGGAAAGGAGGAAGTCAAGTTATCCTTCTTTGCAGATGATATGACCTTATATTTGGAAAAACGTAAAGACTTTATAACAAAACTATTACAGTAAAGCTTCAGGATACAAAATCAACATACAAAATCAGTAACATTTCTATATGCCAACAGTGAACTATGTGAAAAAGAAATTTTAAAAAAGTAATCCCATCTACAATAGCCACATATAAAATTAACTACCTAGGAATTAACTTAAAGAAGTGAAAGAGCTCTACAATGTAAACTATAAAACACTGATGAAAGAAATTGAAGAGGACACTGAAAAATAGAAAAATACTCCAGGTTCATGGATTGGAAGAATCAATATTGTTAAAATGTCCATACTACCCAAAACAATATACAGATTCAATACAATCCCGATCAAAATACCAATGGCATTCTTCATAGAAATAGAAAAAAAAAATCATAAAATGTATATGGAACTGCAAAAGACCCAGAATAGCCAAAGCTATCCTAAGCAAAAAAGAACAAAACTGGAGGAATCACATTGCCCAACTTTGAATTATACTACAAGCTATAGTAACCAAAACAGCATGGTACTGGCATAAAACAGACTCATAGACCAATGGAACAGAATAGAGAACCCAGAAACAAATGCACACACCTACAGTGAACTCACTTTTGACAAAAGTGCCAAGAACAGGCCGGGCGCGGTGGCTCACGTCTGTAATCCCAGCACTTTGGGAGGTCAAGGTGGGTAGATCACGAGGTCAGGAGTTCGAAACCAGCCTGATCAACATGGTGAAACCCCATCTCTACTAAAAATATGAAAATTAGCCAGGCATGGTGGCGCCCGCCTGTAATCCCAGCTACTCAGGAGGCTGAGGCAGGAGAATCACTCAAACCTGGGAAGCAGAGGTTGCAGTGAGCCAAGATCATGCCATTGCACTGCAGCCTGGGTGACGGAGCAAGACTGCATCAAAAAAAAAAAAAGTGCCAAGAACATACATTGGGGAAAGGACAGTCTCCTCAATAAATGGCGCTGGGTAAACTGGATATCCATATGCAAAAGAATTAAACTAGATCACTCTCTCTTGTCATATACAAAAATCAAATCAAAATGGACTGAAGACTTAAATCTAAGACCTCAAACTATGAAGCTCCTACAAGAAAACATGAGGGAAAATCTCCAGGACATTGGTCTGGGCAAAAAAATTTTAGCAATAACCCACAAGCACAGGCAACCAAAGCAAAAATAGACAAATGGGATCACATCAAATTAAAAAGCTTCTACACAGCAAAGGATACAATCAACAAAGTGAAGAGACAACCCATGGAATGAGAGAAGATATTTGCAAACTACCCACGTGACAAGGGATTAATAACCGGAATATATAAGGAGCTCAAACAACCCTGTAGGAAAAAAACATAATAATTCAATCAAAATATAGGCAAAAGATTTGAATTGACATTTCTTAAAAGAAGACATACAAATGGCAAACAGGCATATGAAAAGGTTCTCCACATCATTGATCATTAGAGAAATGCAAATCAAAACTACAATGAGATATCATCTCACCTCAGTTAAAATGGCTTATATCCCCATAAAAGGAACGAGATCATGTCCTTTGCAGGGATATGGATGGAGCTGGAAGCCATTATCCACAGCAAACTAACACAGGAAGAAAAACCAAACACTGCATGTTATCACTTATAAGTGGGAGCTGAACAATGAGAACACATGGACATAAGGAGGGGAACAACACACTCTGGGGCCTGTTGCGGGGAGCAAGGGGAGGGAGAGCATGAAGATAAATAGCTAATGCATGCCGAGCTGAATACCTACGTGATGGTTTGATAGGTGCAGCAAACCATCATGGCACATGTTTCCCTAGGTAACAAACCTGCACATCCTGCACACGTATCCCAGAACTTAAAATAAAATAAAATGACTTATATCCAAAAGATAGGCAATAACAAATGCTGGCAAGGATGTGGAGAAAAGGGAACCCTTGTACACTGTTGGTAGCAATATACATTAGTACAACCACTATAGAGAACTGTTTGGAAGTTCCTCAAAAAAACTAAAAATTGGGCTACCATATGATCCAGCAATCCCACTGCTGGGTATATACCCAAAAGAGAAGAAATCAGTACATTGAAGAGATATCTGCACTCCCATGTTTATTGCAGCACTAAGTGTCCATCAACAGGTGAAAAAATAGATAAAGAAAATGTGGTACATATACACAATGGAGTACTATTCAGCCATAAAAAAGAATGAGATCCAGTCATTTGCAGCAACATAGACGGAACTGGAGGGCACTATGTTAAATGAAATAAGCCAGGCACAGAAAGACAAACATTGCAAGTTCTCACTTATTTGTGGAATCTAAAAATCAAAACAATTGAAGTCATGGACATATAGAGTAGAAGGATGCTTGCCAGAGACTAGGAAGGGCAGTGGCGGCCTGGGGGGTAGGTGAGGATGGTTAATGAGTACAAAAAAAATAGTAAGAATGAATAAGACCCTACTATTTGATAGCACAGCAGGGTGACTACAGTCAATAATAACTGTATGTTTTTAAGTAACTTAAAGAGTGTAATTGGATTGTTTGCAACTCGATGGATAAATGCTTGAGGGGCGGATACCCCATTCCTCATGATGTGCTTATTTCACATTGCATGCCTGTATCAAAACATCTTATGTACCCCATAAGTATATGTACCTACTATGTACCCAGAAAAACTAAAACTAAAAATAAATATTAAAAATATATACATAAAGAAAAGTTTATATAACAGCACCATTTACATTTTCATGGATATCACTGTGGTGTTTTTTCTATGTATAGATATGCATATTTTTACCAAAACAAGAAAATACAGCACATGCCTTTTTATTTTTTGTTTTTCATTTTTTTATGTACAGTGGGTTATGAACATCTTTCCAGGTCATTAAACATTCCTCTACAATATCACTTTAATAATAGCTTAGTATTCCATTGTTCAATTTAGCCAATACCCTAACCTAGATTTAGACATTTACATTGTCTTCATTTTTCATCATTACAAACAACACTGCAATGAACAACCTTTCAGACAATTTTGCATACTTCCATATTTCTGAAACATTCAAATGTTATAAAAACTCCTTGAAATCCACCTTAAAAATATAGCAAATCAATACATTTTCCTTAGGCCTCATTTTCTCTGTGGCTAATATCAAAATAACTGGCCAAAAAATAGCACTTCGGAAAACTACTTAGATGATTAAGTTTCTCAGAAAGAGCTCATGTTTTTACCACTTGGTCACAATGGGAACTAGATGAGAGAAAAGCATAAAGCAAATCAAACATCTTTCACATAGATAACAGCTATAAGAGGATGTTTCATTGGGAGTTTTGAATGAGACACTTGGACATCAGATACCAAAATGACTTGTAAAATAGACTACCATGAGGAAATTTCATAGTAGGAGAATAAGTACCAGTTACATATTTCATCCATGCCAAGGATATAAAAGGAGAGTGTTGGAAATTAAGATAATTCATAAGAAGAATAAATTTTTACCTTTTGGAAAGGACTGAATTCTGAGTCTCACCATTGTGTTTTCCAAGGGGATGAGATGGGATGGGGGCACTCCCTTCTATCCTTAAGTCAGGTGAGATGGGCTCCAAGGCATGGCTTGGAAAGCTTAATACGTGTTCAACAGCAAATGGCATACAGTGAACCGCTGGTTGACTCACACTTTAGAAAGGCAATGTAAATGGAGACATTAGATTAAAGGGCTGCATCTAGCAAGTAACTACACTGCCCTCCAGTAACAGTTCAAAGGTGTATAAATCCCAGGGATCAGATGTCAACCCCGCCTATGAAGGCAGCCTGCTGACTGTGGATGGAGCCTCCAGAATGAAGAAGCTGTGGGGTGTGTCATCAGAGCAAAGATGGAGAGAGGATGGGGGCAATGCCCAAATCAAAAGGGGGCCCAGTCGAGGGTCCCTGCATAACCCACAAAAATGATGCTGTGAGACAATCATCTTTAAACATTTGACCAGAGATCACAAAGCCACCCTGAAACAGGGTCAGCAAATAGGAACGCTTTTGCTCGTCTTTCCCTTCCTCTCTTCCCCTGCGCCAAGTCCAAAGTGGTCAGGAAACTTGGACAGCAAGCTAGGGAAAGAGAAGCAGGAAAACAGAGACATTTAACTCTAATTCACATTTGGAATATCTGGGACCCAACAATTTTAACTGAATTGAGTCTGGATTTGCAAATTAAAGTCATCTCAGAACTGTCTTTGTCCTATGAGTAGCCAGGGAATCTTGGGGCTTAACCAAATTTTTATCCAGTGGCTACAGAACTTTCTCCACAAAACAAAATGTAAAGGGACAATGGGCAACCAAAAAAAATTATGCTTTCTGATCTCATCCCAAGTCTTATCTATTTGATGTACCAGTTACACGGCTAACATTTTTAGAAGTTACATAGGCCAAGAACTAGACTAAACTTTTTATGCATAATTTAACTAAATCCTCCATGAGTAGGTACTATAATTATCCCCATTTTATAACCAAAGAAACTAAAGTCCAAAAACAAAATAACTTATCTCGGATCACACATTTATTAAAATCAAATCCAAGCCTGTTTGACGCTGCAACACATGCTTCGAACCATTACCATGGTGAATTATTCATAAACACTTTGGTATACAAAAGAAAACTCAAATTATAAAGATCAGATTATCATATCATCATTAACCCAAATATATAGCATGTGTAAGAAAAACTGCCAAAATACAATATTATAAAATCACAATGGCAAGCAAAATGCTTGATTTTTTTTTTATTACTCAGGGCTTAGAGCCACCTAAAAGGTTTCAGCAATATTATATTGCATACACGTTACAGATTAAACATGCCCGTGGACTGTCCCCGTGTAATCACTATAATATTTTATTATAGAATACCAGCATAGGTCCTGATCCCTAGCTCTTGGTAAACATGAGTAGCTGGAATCCATTGTTGTAAGGGCTTAACATCCCGTATGCGTGGTCTCAGCCTGAAAGAGAGTTTTCCAGGGCCTGACATCAATAGAAACTTCTTTGCTGTAGATTTTATTTTTATGAATTGGGATCAACAAAATGAGCATACAGTGACTGCAGGTATTAGGGAATGCTTTCATCAACTAAAGCCGACTGGAGGAGGGAGAGGGTTATCCAAACAGCTCAGCTGTACGTCTCTGCTAAATATGACTTAATCCCAGTTTATAAAAGCACCTGTGTTTTTTGTCATAGGGTTTAGTGCTGCCAACCACGCCAAACAATGCCAACCCCTGTGCAGCGGGTAGAGGGAGAGAGTTAAATGATGCCTGTCAATGTCTAGAGGGATTAAGATGATATAGGTTCATTTTCACAAACATCCTAGGCTACATTTTGAATATGCCTTTCCAGAAATGAAATTCTACAGCACCATCTACCACCTCCACTCCTCATGGCAGGCTTACCTCATCTCAGGGGACAGGGCTGTATTTTCTCCCCTGCCTTCCCTGGAATGGATACTTCTTTCTTCCTTTTTTGGAAAAAAAATTGAATAGTGCTTTACCCCTGAGAAGCTCTTAACAAATTGTTAGTTGCACCACTTCTTTTGGGTTTCCTTTCACTGACATGTCAAAATGTAAATCATCTTTCCTCCTAGACACAAGGCTACTGACACTCGAGCGTAAGATCATCAGTTCTTCCCTTCACTGGTCTCATCAGCCCACCCTCCTCCTGTCTCGCTGTGATTCTATTCATCCTCTTTCCATTGCCTTTATCCCAAGCTTGAGGGCAATCGCCAAACTCCCTTAGACTTGACGCAACCAAGAAATAAAAGCTTGTCTGAATTAAAAGCATTTCCTGGTACTAAGGAAAGATTTTTCTGCCTTCCACAGCGGAACAATGGTCACATTAAAAGATATGCCACACAAAAAAAAACGAACCTGGATGTCTGCAAACTTAGCCAAGGAATCAGAATCTGAAAATTTATAGTATGTCCCCAAGAACTCCCGAATCCTTCGCCCTTCTCTGAGAACCATCCTTCGCCCTTCTCTGAGAACCGCTATGCAGAGCTTTGAGTGACAGGCATAATGGTACAAGCCACGATTTAAATTCTGCTTGCCTCATTCTTTGCATAGACAGCAACGGGCTGATAGAATGCAACTGAAAACATAATTTAGATGGGAAAATACAAAACGTTTTTCCCAGGAAAGGGGGAGGACGGGAACATGGCTTGATCCAGCCAGCAGAGGGCGCAACTTACACATATAAGTATAAACCAGCCTTCGCTGGAAGCTGTAAGGTCTCCTGCGATTTTTATCACAAATTTCCCATTTTTGAAAACCATATCCAAGCTCCCTTGGACAAAACTCCGGTAGAGTCACTCAGCTGTCCCCTCCTGTCTAAATAAGACTATTTTCTACTTCCCCCAGGTCCAGCCACTCAAACTGCCACTTTTCTATCCCTGGCTCTGGCATGGGAAAGAAGGAAGATCAAGTCCTTCAAAAACAGCTTCCCAGAAAGAGTGACCTGTATTCCCAAGTAGCCTTCATTTGTTTAAGAGACTTGCACCTAGCATTTCTTGATCAAAGCTAATGCGCTGTAAATTTCTTCATTTAACAGACTTAGTCTGTTCAACTCTTGACACTGGGAATTGGGATTTCCCAGAACTATTAGCACTGCACAGTAGGCGCTCCATGCCGGCCAAGAACGGGGGATTAACAGGTATTTGTCTCAGCTAATTTCACTCTCTATACCGGGTCTATAGAGACTGGGGCTTCTTGGCGGAGTGTGTGCCACCCTGCTAATTGGCTACGAATGTAACTACTCCAGCATGCCAATGGACCGGGGGTACTCCACAGCCTTAAGAGGCTGGAGGCAAATGGATCCTTACCATGGGCACTCAGGAAATTTGAGGGTTGCTGGGCAGGACCGTAATTGTAAATGATTCATTTGCCAACTTCCACCTCCTGCTGTCTATCAAACTTCCATCCCTGTCGACCATGTGCAGATAGTTCTAAACATTTTACTCAATGACAGTTGCATCCATGAAATCCCGTAGTAACAAGGAATTTCCATATATTCTATTCAGAATGCATGTGCAGAATCAAAAGTCCTATAGGTAGCTCCCATAAAATGCATAATTCCCTGAGCTAGGTAAAATCATTACATCCATCAGGATATTCACAGATTATACGAATCATTTCTGGAAAGAAGATGATAAATAAAGGGACGGTTGTTAGTCTCTTTTCACATGCCCTATTCTTCCATTTCTTGCTGATAATCAGACTCTCTTAGTGATATATCCTACTTCTAAAGTTTCTGATAAAGGAATTGAGGAGTCAAATATTAAATGTTTTAGTTATCTATTGTTGCATAACAAATTATACCATGCTTAGCAGCTGAAAACAACATTTATTATTTCCTAGTTTCTGTGATCAACCAGGATCAATTCAAGAGCAGCTTAGCTAGGTGGTATTGATTAAGTCTTTCATGAGGTTGCAATCAAAATGTTGGCCAGGGTTGTAGGTATCTCAAGACCCAACTGACGGAGAATCCACTTCAAAGATCACTCATATGGCTGGTGGCAGGCCGTAGAAAATCCACTTCCAAGCTCACTAACGTGGGCCTCTCCACAGGGCTGCCTCCCATGCTATGGACTGCACATTTATGTTCCCTCAAAATTCATATACTGAAGCTCTAACTCCCAGTGTGGCTTTATTTGGAGATGGGGCCTCTAAGGAAGTAATTACAGTTAAATGACATCATACGGGTGGGACCCTGATCTGATAGGATTAATGTCCTTATAAAAAAAGACACCAAAGTGCCAGCACTCTCCTCTCCTTTCTCTCTCTCTCTCCCACCACCCCCAACTCCAAGTCTCCCAGTGTGCAAACAAAAAAGAGATCATGAGATCATGCGAACACACAGAGAGATGGCGGCCACCCACAAGCCAAGAAGAGTGCTCTCACCAGGAACCAAACTGGCCTGCACCTTGATCTGGCATTTCTAGCCTCCAGAACTATGAGAAAATACATTGTTGTTTAAGCCACTCAGTCTATGGTATTTTGTTTTGGCAGCCCAAGCAGATTAATACACCCTACAAAGAATGAAGAGTCCAAGAGAGAGCACCCTGAGATGGAAGCCATAGTATTTTTATAACCTAATACCAGAAGTGGCATCCCATCACTTCTATGGGATAGAATATAATCCCATATTCTATTCATTATAAGCAAGTCAATAAGTCTAGCCCATACTTAAGGTGAGGGAATTTTAAAAGGGGATGGATATGAGGAAGCAGAGACAACTGAGGGACATCTTGGAGTCTACCCACCATACTACATAAGAGCTGATTTACTGAATAAAAACACATCTATGGTTATACTATTACAATTACATGTATTATGATACAAGCAGTACATGTTACCTGTAAGAAGACAAAACTGGATTTCATACAATGGGTGCATTTTGAAAGCTGGCTCATAATTTGGGAGTCCACTGCTTTATAATCATGTTCACACATGTGCTCTTAGTTTTTTTTCCCCCTTTTCTGATCCTCTGAGTAGATATGTGCATATGGATACCACTTCCGGTGCCATAAATGTTGCCAGTGGAATGTGTGTAGTTCACCATTCCAAGCTTGTTGTCTGGGCTGTCTGCCACATCTGCCACCCAACAGTAAACCTCTTATTACAAAACCCATCTTTCTATCAGATGGCTACACCCTTGATTGATTAATTGAGCCCCTCTCAACACTGTCATAATGATAATAATAACAATAATACATTTCCAAGTGTGTTTGCTTTACCATGATGAACTGTGGTTTTCATTATCATTTAACTACTACATAGACCTTGGAATATAATATCATTCATCTCACCTTTATTCCTACATCTGTAATAATACTTGAAATAGAAACTTCCTCAAAGATAAACAGTACGGGAATAAAAGTAAGTAAATGGTAGGATGAAAATATTCTATGTCAGGTTACTCTATCTTGTATAGTTCTTTTCAACAGATGAGCTTCTTGACTATGGTCCCTGAATTTCCTTCATTGTATGCACTGAAATGATACTAAATCTCTTAGGGGATATTTAATAATTCTATTGTATCAAACAAATCTAAGTGTCGTGTGTGTCATATAGAATGCATTTGACAGTACTCATCAAATTTTTAATTTTTAATTTGGCATTTAAACATAATGCCAACATAGTGGAATACTGAAATACCAAATTTTTAGTTAAAATTAAGGATTGCTGTTTGGAGTAATAAGATGGCGTATGTAAAAGTACCTGCTACAGCAGCAGAGAGCTCAAAATAATTTTTCAAATAAATTCTAAATAAATTTAGTTAAAATTAAATTCCAGCCATAAAATATAAAGCACAAACAAAAAGCAACTGAAGAGAAACTCAAAAAGAAGGGTAAAGTTGACCCTGCATGGCTCCAGAAGTGGAAACAGGAAACAGGTTCTACTCATATGCAGTCCCCGGCCTCTCCATCGCATTAACATACAAATCATTAACGCTATGCAAATCAGTAACACAATCAAGATTCCCAGAGTAATTTCTATTCCCATGTCTGCAGAGAGATCTAGTCTAGTTAGTTGTACAGATAGAGCTTCCGGAAAATGTGATTAATTAGGGAAACGCATGACAGTCACAAGAGAAAACTTGCAGTTAATCTAAGTTCAGTTAGTCAAGGTTACAAAGAGAATCACATAGGCTACTTAACCTTGTGTAGGGAGAATTCCATTCCACAGCCACCAATGTACCTCTGACAGCAGCCAACCAACTCATAAAACTAGGTCATTGGGTAAGGGAGGCATAATGAGAGATTTGAATGCTTTTAGCATTCCTACTGAGCAGTCCTGCTTGTGATTGAGTAAAATGGGAATGGGGCAGTCACATTATCCTTCCCTATAAATACCGACACCAATAGCTCCCATCTCAAAACCATGGTGACTCAAATGGTAAAGTAATATTCAGGAAAGAAAATTCCTGTTTTGATTTGCTAATGTCATCCAAGATTTCTACGTGACAGTTAAATTTCACAATAATGGAAAAAACTAAAATAATATCCCATTTTGAAAAAGTAGTTATAAAATGTAAATTAAAATAAAAACATTTTCACCAAAGAAATGTAGTTTTCTCTTTTTAACATTTTTTATCTTGAAATAATCATAGAGTTATAGGAAGCTGCAAAGATAGTAGAAAGATCTATACCATGTCCCCTATACTCAGTTTGTCCCAATAGTTACATCTTATATAATATTAAAACCAGGAAACAGACATTCATCAAACATGTATGTATAGTTCTATGCCATTTTATCACATGTGTAGAATCATGTAACCACTACTGCAATCAAGATACAGAACTGTTCCATCACCACAAAGATCTCCATCATGCTACCCCTTTAGAGTCGTATCTACCCACCCCACCATCTCTAACCCTTGCCAGCCACTAATTTGCTCTTCATCAATTTCAGTGTGTCATTTTGAGAATGTTATATAAATAGAATCAGCTAGTATGTGACCTTTTAAGATTGGCTCTTTTCACTTAGCATAATGCCCTTGGGGTCCATGAAAGTTGTTGCATAGGTAAATTTGTGGTGGTTGCTTTAGGTATTACGTTATACATTCATAACTTATCCATCCATTGGTATTGACATTTTACTAGTTCAAGTGAAATGTAGAGACCTTACCTCCCTTTAAGACCCTTTACTATACCCATTTATAATATAATTATCTTAAATATTTCCTGTACATATATTAAGAACCATATCCAAAAACTGTTATATATCTTTTGCTCCAACTGTCAAATATAATTTAGAAAACTCAAGAGGAGAAAAGAAGCCTATTGTATGTGCCCATATTTCGGTTTGTTCCTTTGTTCTTTCTTCCTTCATGGTATTTTAACATTCTTTCATTCCCTTTCTGTTTCAAGAACTTCCTTTAGCCATTTTTTTAAGGGTAGGTCTGGTAAATTATTTAAGTTTTTTTTTTTTAGTCTGAGAATATCTGTATTTCCTTTTCATTTCTGAAGGATCATTTCACTGAGTATAGAATTGGCTGGCAATTCTTTTCTTTTTGGTACTTGAAAAATGTGCCATTTCTTTCTAGCCTCCATGATTTCTGATGAGAAATCCCATCATTTCTCTCTGGCTGTTTTCAAGATATTTTCTTGGTCTTTACTTTTCTGAAGTTGGATTATGATGTGTCTTGGTATGGATTTATTTAGATCTATCAAGTTTGGAATTCTCACAAGATCTTTAATCTGTAGGTTTATGTCTTTTGCCAAATTGGGAGATTTTTCAGCCATTGCTTCTTTGAATACTTTTTCAGTCCCACCCTCTTTCTTCTCTCTTTCTGAGCGTTTTTGTTACAGTCCACACATCTCTGAATCACTCAGTTTCCAGTCTATTTTCTCTTTGTTGTTCAGATTAATTCCTATAGTTCTGTTTTCAAGTTCACTAATCTTCTCCTGTGTCCTCTCCATTCTGATGAGTTTTTTATTCTGATTATTTGATTATTTCATTCTAAAATTTCCATTTGATTCTAGAACATATCCTGTATTCTTTTAACATAGGATATATTTCCTAGTAATAGATTTGTTAGGCCGGGTGCAGTGGCTCACGCCGGGTGCAGTGGCTCACGCCTGTAATCCCAACACTTTGGGAGGCCGAGGAGGGCAGATCACCTGAGATCAGGACTTCAAGACCAGCCTGGCCAACATGGCGAAACCCTGTCTCTAGTAAAAATACAAAACTTAGCCAGGCATGGTGGTGGGTGCCTGTAATTCCAGCTATTCGGGAGGCTGAGGCAGGGGAAATTGCTTGAACCTGGGAAGTGGAGGATGCAGTGAGCCAAGATTGCACCACTGCACTCCAGCCTGGGCAACAGAGTGAGACTGTGTCTCAAAGAAAAAAATATATACATTTGTTGAAATCAAATATAACAATCCCAACCATCAGGTCTCATACAAAAGAAGTCTTATTTATTTTAGCCAAAAGCACAGAATGGCACAATAGCAAATATGGTGGCATAGTAGCGTTAACCAAAGATAGGTGCATCCAAGAATGAAAAAAAAAAAAGAAGTGAATAGTCTGCTGGCAAGGAGACATATAGATTTGTAGCCCTTGGTCATGTAGCCCTTGTCAGCCCTTCAACATGAAGAAACCATGGAACTTCTTTGTGTAAACTTTAGTGTTTCTTCAGGATTAGAAGGCTGCCACACAATTATTCACTGGTCAGTCCAAGCACCAGAGGCCTCCCCCGTTGTCCAAAAGAGAAAAGGCTACAGGTATGACTTCAGTCATCTGAAGAAGTCTGGAATTTCACTGCCAGCACTGCATTTCAGTTGATATTATAAGCAGATGTGGGGGGTCAAAACTGATGTATCACCTGAGAAACAAGGACAAAATATAATCCTGAGCTTTATTTCATCTTATTTTATTTTTGAAGAAAGCGTCTCATTCTGCAGCTCAGGCTGGAGTGCAAAGGCATAGTCATAGCTCACTGCAGTCTCAAACTCCTGGGCTCAAGCGATCCTCCCACCTCAGCCTCCCAGGTACCTGGGACTACAGGCATGTACCACCATGCCTGGCTAATTTTTTAAATTTCTGTGGAGATGGGGTCTTGCTATGTTGCTCAGGCTTGTCTTAAACTCCTGGACTCAAGCGATCTTCCCACCTTGGCCTCCCAAAGTGCTGGGATTACAGATATGAGCCACTGCACCCAGCCTGTGCTTTATTTTATGCTGAGACCCCTTCCCATCATTTCTTACTAACCACATAACATGAACTGGAGATATTTCCTACGATTTCTATTCTCTAGAACATTTTTTATAAGCTAAGTATTATCTGTTACTTTAAATCTTGATAGACCTCATTTGTAAAAACATCCAGGCCTGTGCTGGGCGTGGTGGCTCACGACTGTAATCCCAGCACTTTGGGAGGCTGAGGCAGGATGATGACGAGGTCAGGAGACCGAGACCATCCTGGCCAACATGATGAAACCCTGTCTCTACTAAAAATACAAAAATTAGGCCGGGTGCGGTGGCTCATGCCTGTAATCCCAGCACTTTGGGAGGCTGAGGCAGACAGATCACGAGGTCAGGAGATAGAGACCATCCTGGCTAACATGGTGAAACCCCGTATCTACTAAAAATACAAAAAATTAGCCGGGCGTGGTGGCGGGCGCCTGTAGTCCCAGCTACTCAGGAGGCTGAGGCAGGAGAATGGCGTGAACCTGGGAGGTGGAGCTTGCAGTGAGCCGAGATAGCGCTACTGCACTCCAGCCTGGGCAACAGAGCGAGACTCCATCTCAAAAAAATAACAATAATAATAATACAAAAATTAGCCGGGCATGGTGGCACATGCCTGTAATCCCAGCTACTCAGGAGGCTGAGGCAGGAGAATCGCTTGAACCCAGAAGGCGGAGGGGGAGCCAAGATGGCGCCACTGCACTCCAGCCTGGCAACAAAGCGAGACTCCCTCTCAAAAAAAAAGAAAAAGAAAAAAGCAAACAACAGCAACAAAAAAAAAACATCCAGGCCTGGTGTCAGTATTTTGTTTGGTGGGATGGGTGGGCTATTGCGGAAAATTTTATGAGGAGATTTTTGGCTAATGAGTAAATTTCCTTGATGAGCATGGGTTTATTCATGTTTGGTATTTCAATTTTGATTTATATTTTTAAATAAAATTATTCATTTTGTCTAAGTTTTGAAATGCAATATCCCAATGTATGTATCTTTAATATATAAAGAGCTTCTAAAAGTAGAAAAGAAAAAATCCTACAACCCTAAAGAATCTACATGATAAACCTAAACAGGGAGACTCCCTGCTAAAATAAAAGATTTAATAGGAGTCTCCTAACATAAACCAAAATGTCCAAGATATGATTTCAAATCACTCATTATACAAAGAACTAGGAAAATCACAATTTGAGTGAAAGAAGACAATCAACAGATGCCAACATCAAGATGAATCAGATGTTGGAGTTTATCTGACAAGAATTTTAAAGCAGCCTTAATAACAGCTCTTTCAACAAGCTGTTACAAATTCTCTTGAAACAAGTAAAAAAGTAGAAAATCTCAGCAAAGAAACAGGAGTTACAAAACAGAACCAAATGGAAATTATAGAACCAAAAAATACAATCATCAAAATTTAAAACTACAGAACCAAATGGAAATTATAGAACCAAAAAATACAGTCATCAAAATTTAAAACTTAATAAATGGGCTCAATAGCAGAATGGAGAAGACAGAAAAGAATCAGTTCACAATGAAAGTCACTGAATGTATACAACAGAGAGAACATAGACTAAAAGATTTAACAGAGCCTCAGGGACTTGTGGGATTATAACAGAAGACCCAATATTGCTATCACTGAAGTCCAAAAAGAGAAAACTCCAAAAGAAGAACGTCGGGTTGAAAAAGTATTCAAAGAAATTATGGCTGAAAACTTCCTAAATTTGGAGAAATACATAAACCTACAGATTCAAGACTAAGCAAACCTCAAATAAAATAAATCCAAAATAAATCTATGCTAAGACACATCATAATTAAACTTCTAAATACTAAAGAAAATAAATGATCTTTAAATCAGCCAAAGAGAAACAACCTATAGGGGAAAATCAATTCACATGGCAGCAGATCTCTCATCTGAATCCAGGGAGGCCAAAAAGAAGTGGCATAGCATTTTTCAAATGCTTGAAGACAAGAAATGTGAATGGTGAATTAAATATCTGGTGAAACCATCCTTCAGGAGTGAAGGGGAAATCAAAACATTCTCAGATGAAGGAAAGCTGAATTTGTCACTAGCAGACCTACCCTTGAAGAATGGCTAAAGGAGCTTCTCCAAAGAGAAAGAAAATGATAAAAGAAGGAAACTTAGAGCACTCAAAAGGAAGAAAGAACTACGGTGTATTAGTCCATTCTCATGCTGCTATAAAGAACTGCCCAAGACCGGGTAATTTATAAAGAAAAGAAGTTTAATTGACTCACAGCTCAGCATGGCTGGGGAGGCCTCAGGAAACTTACAATCATGGTGGAAGGCAAAGAGGAAGCAAGGCACCTTCTTCACAAGGTGGCAGGAAGGAGAAGTGCCGAGTGAAGGGGGAAGAGTCCCTTATAAAACCATCAGATCTCATGAAAACTCACTCACACAGTCCCCCAAAGTGTTAACTCATTCCAGCATTAACTCAAAAGTCCAAGTCCAAAGTCTCATCTGAGACAAGGCAAGTCCCTTTTGCCTATGAGCATGTAAAATCAAAAGCAAGTCAGTTACTTCCTAGATACAATGTGGGTACAGGCATTGGGTAAATACACCCATTCCAAATGGGAGAAATTGGCTAAAACAAAGGGGCTACAGGCCCCATACAAGTCTGAAATGCAGTGGGGCAGTTAAATCTTAAAGCTCCGAAGTGATATCCTTTGACTCCGTGTCTCACACCCAGGTCACACTGATGCAAGAAGTAGGCTCCCATGGCCTTAGGCAGCTCCACTCCTGTGACTTTGCAGGGTACAGCCCCACTCCTGGTACCAATTTACTGTATTAGCCTGTTTTCACACTGCTATAAAGAACTGCCGGAGAGTAGGTAATTTATAAAAGAAAGAGGTTTAATTGACTCACAGTTCAGCATGGCTGGGGAGGCCTCAGGAAACTTACAATCATGGTGGAAGGCAAAGGGAAGCAAGGCACCTTCTTCACAAGGTGACAGGAAGGAGAAGTGATGAGTGAAGGGGAAAGAGCCCCTTATAAAACCATCAGATCTCATGAGAACTCACTGACTATCAGGAGAACAGTATGGGGGAAACCGCCCCCATGATTGAATTACCTCCACCTGGTCCCACCCTTGACACATAAAGATTACAATTCAAGGTGAAATTTGAGTGGGGACACAAAGCCAAACGATATCACATGGAAACAGCAAAAATATGGGAAGACGGCAGGGCACGGTGGCTCACTCCTGTAATCCCAGCACTTTGGGAGGCCGAGGTGGGCAGATCACGAGGTCAGGAGTTTGAGACCAGCCTGGCCTACATGGTGAAACCCCATCTCTACTCAAAATACAAAAATTAGCCGGGCATGGTGTCATGCGCCTGTAATCCCAGCTACTCGGGAGGCTGAGGCAGGAGAGTTGCTTGAACCCGGGAGGCAGAGGTTGCAGTGAACCGAGATGGTGCCACTGCACTCCAGCCTGGGCGACAGAGTGAGACTGTCTCAAAAAAAACGGGGGGGGGGGAAGATACAATAGGATATCCTTCTCATGAGTTTTATAAATAATATTTGATGATTGAAACAAAAATTATAATATGATTTAATACTCAAGAGAATGACAATTAAAAGTGGGAAAAGTAAAGGGATCTAAATGGAACAAAGCTTTCCATACATTCCCTTGTTGATACAAGTAGAATGTGATGTCACATCTGTATATCCAGAGCCACCACTAAGAAAACTATACAAAAAGATACACACAAAAACTCTATAAATAAAACAAGATGCAATCCTTGAAAATATTCAAATAACCCACAGGAAGGCAAGAAAAAAGAAACAGAGGAATGAGAAACAGAAAAAACAAACAGCAATAAAATGTAAGACTTAAATCCTAGCATATAAATAATTACTTTAATTATAAATTTACACAATTTTCCTTTTTTTCCGAGATGGAAAAAAAGATGGGTGGGAGGAGGGAGAAGAGCAGAAAAAATTACTATTGGGTACTGGGCTTAATACCTGGGTGATGAAATAATCTGTACAACAAACCCCCATGACACGAGTTTACCTATATAACAAACCTTCACATGTACCCCTGAACCCAAAATAAAAGTTGTTTAAAAAAATAGGGCTGAAAGGGTGAACAGATAAATCCACAATTGTGGTTGAAGATTTCAATACCCCCCTCTTATCAGCAATTGATAGAACTTCTAGATAGAAAATCATCAAAGATACAGAAGATTTGAACAACACAATCAACATATACAGGTTGAATGTCCCTTATCCAAAAAGCTTGGGACCAGAAGTATTACCAATTTCAGGTTTTTCTCAGATTCTAGGTATTTGCATTATACTCACCAGTTGAGCATTCCAAATCCAAAAATCTGAAATCTGAAATGTTCCAATGAGCGTTTCCTTTGATCATGTTGGTGCTCAAAAAGCTCCAGCTTTTGGAGCATTTTGGATGTTAGATTTTTGGATTTAGGATGCTCAATTTGTATAGAACATTCCACCCAGCAACAGCAGAATACACATTTTTTTCAAGTTCTCATGGAACATTCACCAAGACAGACTGTATTTTGGGCCTTAAAACAAACCTCAACAAATTTAAAAGAAGACACAGAATGCACTCTCTGACAATAATGGAATCAAACTAGAAATCAATAACAAAAACAAGAAAAACTCTGAACACGTGGAAATTAACAAACACACTTCTAAATAATCCATAAATCAAAGAGGAAGTCAAAAAGGAAATAAATTGTACAAAGAACTGAAAAAAATGAAAATAAAACATAACATAATATGTAACATACAGCTAAAGCATTTCTGAAAGGATAATTTCTAGTACCAAATGCTTACATTAGAAAAGAGAAGAGGTCTCAAATTAGTAATCTTAAGTTTTTATCTCAAGAAACTAAAAAAGAACAAAATAAACCCAAAGCAAGTAGAGGATCAGATAAGATAAAAAGAGAAATCAACAAATTTAAAACAAAAAAATAGAAAAAAAATCAATGAAACAAAAAGCTAGTTCTTCGAAAAATTCAGTAAAACTACTAAACCTTTAGCAAGACTGACAAAAATAAAAATGAAGAAGATACATTTTACTAATGTCACAAATGAAACGGGATATCACTAAAGATTCTGGAGCCATTAAACAGATAATAAGAGAATAATATGGACCACTTTATGCTCATGAATTCAAAAATTTAGAAAAGACGGACCATTTCCTAAAAAACCAAAACCACCAAAACTCAACTAAGATTAAATAGATAATCTAAATAGTCTCACAACTATCAAAAAAATTGAATTCATAATTTAAAAGCTCCCAAAAAAGAAATTTCCATACCCAGATGGTTTCACTGGAGAATTCTACCAAACTTTTAAAGAATTAACCCCAGTTCTACACTAGCTTGTGCAAAAACTAAAAAATGAGGAATTACTTTCCAACTCGTTTTATGAGACCAGTATTACCCTGATTCCAAAAGTAGACAAATAAAATACAAAAAAAAGAAAACTACAGATCAATATCTCTCATGAATTTAAACACAAAAATTGTCCTGGGTTGGACTGGAACAGGAAAAGGATATTTATGGAAAAACTAGTGAAATCCAAATAAAGTCTGAGGTTTAGTTAATAGTTGGAAAAACTCTATTATACTACAAAAATGTCTATTATGGGTTATTTTGACTATCTTTTTGTTTCAATTACATTTTGATAAGCTAATATATAATCATTTGTTCATCAGTTCTTAGTATTTGTCAAGACTTGCTTGGTGGGCTAGCATGCAGTAATTTTTTTGTGTCCATGTTTCCCCAAGTGTACAGAATTTTATATATATATATAAAATACATGTTATATATGTAATTATATATTATATATCTAATATATAATATATGTTATATATAAAATACATATTTCTGATATATATATCCATTAGATCTAGCTTGTAATTGTGTTGTTTAAATTGATTATGACCTGTTTACTTTTGTGTCTGCTTATTTGTTAGTCTTCAGAAGATATAATGTTCTCTTCTAATTGTGAAATGTGTTAATATTTCTTGAAATTCTAATGACTTATTCTTTACAAATTTTGACAGCCTGTTATTAGATATATACAGGATCAGGATTAGTATATATTCCTGATTAAATGTTGCCTCTGTCATTGTGTAATGATTTCTTTGGAATTTTTTTTCCTTTATGGTATCTTCTTTCTGATATTTATATTGCCACACCAGCCTTCTTCTGATTATTTGTCTGGTATAACTTATTTTATCCCTTTACTCCAAATCCTTTTGTGTCCTTATACTTTTGTTTTATCTCTTGCAAAGAATATTTAGCTGGATTTGGTATTTTATAATCTAATCTTTTGAACAGATTAGCTTAGTGCACTAAACTAATTATTGGTTTTGATTATTTGCAGTATTGGATTTATTTCCACCATCACATACACATACATCTAGTGGAGAGTCAGAGACAGAATGACTCACAGTTTGCTGAATGCCTTCCTTGTCATCCTGAACAGTTTTTATTGTGTCATCAATCCAGACAGAAGCTCTTACCCTGAGCATCAGTCAGCTTCTCACTGTTAAAAACTTCATAGTTTAAAAGAGAACACATGTGCTTACAAAATGGAATTGAGAATTACCATATTGACAACCTGGATGTTTAATGAAGCTAAGACACTGTTTTCAAGATAGAAGGTCCATGAGTGTGAATTTGAGTTTCTAAGTAATGAAGACAATTGAATACAGAGAAGATATTCGATTTGATAAGTGAGAAGGAGAAACAAAGGGTCATGCAGCTCAAGATATTCCCTGCACTCCTCTAGAAATGCAGGTTCCTACTCACAGAAACACTTAAATCTTCACACAGCCAGCATCTCATCTTGTATTATGCATACAGACAGGCTATAGAAATAACAACATTCATGGCATTCCATAAGGTCCCCATTCCATTCTATGGCCTCTTACTCCCAGAAAGCTTTTTTTCCTGCTGTTTCAGAGGAAACTGAAGCTAATGGAGATGAAATCCATCAACTAACTCCACTCCTCCAAATATATTTATAGCCATACTCATCCTTATAACTCTAGCCTACCTATCTCCTCTCAAAAAGGTGAACCCTCGGCCGGGCGCAGTGGCTCATGCCTGTAATCCTAGCACTTTGGGAGGCCAAGGCAGGTCGATCATCTGAGGTCAGGAGTTCAAGACCAGCCTGGCCAACATGGTGAAACCCTGTCTCTACTAAAAATGCAAAAATTACCTGGGCGTGGTGACAGGCGCCTGTAATCCCAGCTACTCAGGAGGCTGAGGCAGGAGAATTGCTTGAACCCAGGAGGCGGAGGTTGCAGTGAGCTGAGATCGTGCCACTGCACTCCAGTCTGGGCAACAGAGCAAGACTCTGTTTCTAGGATAAAAAAAAAAAAGGTAAACCCTCTACCTATATTGGTATATTCCAACAGTTATGCCTCCTTCCCTTGAATTTTAAATCTCCACCTCTTTTCTGCCTCCTTCTGTTCAGGTTATAAGCATGTTCAAATTTCTTCCCATATTATAAATCAGTGGTTCTCAAAAGGTAGTCCAGGAATCCCTGCAAGGGTAAGGGTCCGTGAGTCCCTTTCTAGCGATCTGCAAGGTCTTCCGTTTACCAACCACACATGTAAGTGAGGCGAGATATTTCTTATTTACTTCAACAAAGAAAACATATTGCGACAGATCAAATGTTGGAGATATAATACAGCTGTCTTTTACTAAGTCAGACATTAAAGAAATTTGCAAAAATGCAAAACAATGTCGCTCTTCTCACTGATTTTTTTGTTTAGAAAAATAGTTATTTTTCATTAAAGTATGCTCTGATAAGAAGTAATGGAGTTATTATTGCTATTTAATCAAATATTTTTAAAATTTTGTATTAATATGTAATATAATAAATATTGATAAATATAATCCCCATAAACAAAAGTTTCTGGGGGTCCTTGATAATGTTTTATGAATAGAAAAAGGGTCCAGAGAGGTAAAGAATTGAGAACTGCCACTATGAATAAATTCTTTTCTCAATCCTTCCACCAAAACAGGCTACTGCTCTCTCTTTTTTTTTTTTTTTTTTTTTGAGATGGAGTCTCACCCTTGACCCTTGTCACCCAGGCTGGAGTGCAATGGCTCAATCTCGGCTCACTGCAACCTCTGCCTCCCGGGTTCAAGTGATTCTCCTGCCTCAGCGTCCCGAGTAGCTGGGATTACAGGTGCATGCCACCACACCTGGCTAATTTTTTATATTTTTGGTAGAGATGGGGTTTCACCATGTTGGCCAGGCTGGTCTCGTGCTCTTTTCCGCCTTTGCCACCAACAAGGAGTCAACGCTCCCTGTTCCCATTTCCTCTGCTCCAATTATCTCTGCAATCCATCAGAATCCAACTTCTGCTTCCCATCACTCCACTGAAACCGTTCTCAGCAAGGTCACTGGTGACTTCTTTTTTAAAGAATTTTTATTGTGTTATTTTATGATTACAAAAGTAATGCATGGCTGTTGTCAGACATTTGGAAAATGCATATAAGCAAAAACAAAAAACAGTAATAAAAATCACCCCAATCTCACCACCAAGAGATAAGCATTGTTAGGAATCTGTCCCTCTAGGGTTTTCAATGCACTGCATTACAAAGATGATATTAGAAAATACATATTTTTCTGGCCAGGTGCAGTGGCTCACACCTGTAATTCTAGCATTTTGGGAGGCTGAGATGGGAGGATCATTTGAGGCCAGGAGTTCGAGACCAGCCTGGTCAACAAAGTAAGGCCCCATCTCTGTTAAAAAATAATGATAAAAAAGTATAATTTTTTTAAAAAAGAAAATACATATTTTTCTGAGTGTATGTTTTACATAGTGTTTTGAAACCTGCTTTTTTGCTGACTAGGTCACTGGTGGCCTCCTAAGTACAAAATCCTATAATTTCTTATCAATCTTTAGTCTCCTTGGTCTCCCTGAATCACTTGGCATTGCCAACCATTCCATCCTTTTAGCTTCTCTTCTCCTTCATTCCACACAGCACACTCTCTTCGTTCCCCTCTGATCTCTCTGTCCACTCCTTCCCAGTCACCTTCATTCTTCCTACATGACCCCATTGTTTCTAAAGCTTTAACTGCCCTCTATATGTAGATGAATCCTGGATCTCTATTTCTAACCCCTATTTTCTGCTGAACTCAAAACCCAAATTTCTAACATCCCACTGGCCAACTCCACCTCTACATTTCACAGACTTTTCAAAACCAACATATCAAAACTAACATTTTCTGGCCAAGTGCGGTGGCTGACGCCTGTAATCCCAGCACTTTGAGAGGCCAAGGCAGGTGGATCACCTGAGGTCAGGAGTTCGAGACCAGCCTGGCCAACATGGCAAAACCCCATCTCTACTAAAAATACAAAATTAGCCAGCCATGGTGGTGCACACCTGTAGTCCCAGCTACTCAGGAGGCTGAGGCAGGAGAATTGCTTGAACTCAGGAGGCAGAGGTTGCAGTGAGCTGAGATCATGCCACTGCACTCCAGCCTGGACAACAGAGTGAGACTCTATCTAAAAAAAAAAAAAACTAACATTTTCATATCCCTCTCCCAATCTCCTTCTTATTCTGGAATAACTCGTTTCACCTGATAGTCCCATTTGCCTAAAACAGAAACATGAACCTCAAGGTCCACTCCACATTTTCTGTCAACCACATTAAACAATTCATTTTCAAATACAGTATCTCCCAATGGTCTCTAGAGTCTGTCACCTCCTCACTCACACCACTGCTACTGCTGTCATCAGTACTCAGCTTGTAACCATGCCCCTTCCTCTAGTCTCTCCTTCAAAACTAACAAGAATGTGGAGTTAACTTCCTGAAATACAAATCTGATCATACTACTCCATCTTTCTATGGCTCCTCATTGCATGAGGGCCCTCACTGTCTGGTTTCAACTCCCTCAAGTCCCACATGCATACACGTTCTGTGCTCCAACCACTAAAGCTACTTATCGTTCCCCAAACATTCTATGCCATTTGACATACTTTGCGTTTCTGCCTGCTATTCTCTCTGCCCTTCCCCCATTCTCCACCCAACAAATTCCTCACCTTTAAAGACACCACTCAAATGCCTTTACCTTTTGAAGCCTTCCATGAATCCTCCAAAGACTTGTTGGTTGCTCCCTCATCTCTCCTCATAGGGCTTAGCATCTCTGTCATAGCTTTTATTACACCATATTGGAATGGTCCATCTGCATATCTATGGTCATGTCAAGGGCTGAGATCTTGTCTTAACCATCCTTATACCTCTACCCTCACCTATTGGACAGTTGTTGGATGGATGACTAAATATATACTAAACAAAATTTACTTTGTAGCCTTCCTACTTGATATAACATCCTATGAAGAAGCTACAAATCAAATAAATATACTGCCGAGCATTGGTACTCACTTGCATTCACAGAAGTAACATCTGTGGTGCACAGAGAGTTAATCCTCTGGCAACTAGCACAGTTAGACACAACATAAGCAACCCCAAAAAGTAGTAAGGGAATGTTATTCCAGACAACACGTTAAATGAACTCTTACCGAATATTTTCTAAAACTTACTCTCCATCTTAGACTTTGGACCCAGACCTTTCCCAATGAAATACAATGGAAATTGAGTAATTTTTTATAGTTCAATTTTTATTTTAGATCCAGGGGATACATGTGCCAGTGTGTTACATGGGTATATTGCATGACCCTGAGGTTTGCGGTAAAAATGATCCTGTCACCCAGGTAGTCAGCATAGTACCCAAAAGGTAGTTTTTCAGACCTTCCCCCACCTCTGTCCTTCCTCTAGTAGTCCCCAGTGTTTCTTTGTTGTTGTTGCCATCTTTATGTCTGTGTGTACCCAATGCTTATCTCCCACTTATAAGTGAGGACATGAGGTATTTGGTTTTCTGTTTCTGTACTAATTCTCTTAGGATTATGGCCTCCAGCTGTACCCATGTTGCTGTAAGGGACGTGGTTTTGTTCTTTTTGTGGCTGTGTAGCATTCCATGGTATATATGTACCACATTTTCTTTTCCAGTCCACCACTGATGGGCACCTGGGTTGATTCTATGTCTTTGCTACTGTGAATAGTGCTATGGTGAACATATGAGTGCATGTGTCTTTTTGGTAGAACAGTTTATAGTCCTTTGGGTATATACCCAGTAATGGGATTGCTGGGTTGAATGACAGTTCTGTTTGAAGTCCTCTGAGAAATCAAAATTGAGTAATTTAGACAGAAAAACAGATAGCACTATCCAAAGGAAAAAAAATCTGGCTTTTATTTGCTTTGTGACTGTAGGCAAATTACTGAATTTCTCTGTACCTCAGTTTCCTCATCCGTGAGATCAAGACAAATCTGACTTAGATTTTTTTTTTTAATTTAGAGAATATATGTAATGGAATGCAGTCCTCATCAACATAGCAATTCTTCAGCGTTTAAGAAAATTGGTCATTTGAAAATGTCTATATTGGGTAGTATATGCAATTGGTCTGCCTTAATTAAGGTCATTTATTTATGACTCTTTTATCAAAGAGTAAATTCAATATGGAATCAAATATAAGGGAATAAAAAAAGTTAATGATCAGAACATAGTCTTAATACCAAGACTGGACTGTCAGCTAGGCCTAATCCTTTGCTAAGTAATAAAACTCATCTTTTGCTCACACACACAAAAATACCTAGTAGTATATCCCACTCTTAAACCAAGAACACATTACCCAAGGACTAAAAGAATTCAAATGTCCATTTCGGTCACTTAAGGAAGGTTGCAGAAACCTGTTCGTTTAATGAATGCTGTTCACAGCTGTGCCCTGACAAATGACCCCCAAACCTTTGGGTTATTTCAGAATTTCTGAACTCATCTGAAGTCTATTTCAGGTTTACATCCTGACCAGAAAATTATACACAGCCCATCCATGGATCTCAACTGGCTGTGCGGCAGCCTTCTAAGTCAATTTAGCTAATTTCTTTCACCACCCTTGGCTGTCTATGGGTAATTAAGAGGTTAACATAACAAAAGTGGAGAGTGTACACTCGTGGTGGGAATCTGTACAAAGGGTGACCTTTGAGCCTTCCACCTGTCACTGCCCATTCTGGCCACACACCAGTTTTCTTTGTGAGTTACAAAAAAGTGTTTCAGGGCCTCAGCAAAGGTGGCCAGCTATCCTGAAATCCTAAAATTTCCAAACAGCAAGGGATTGGGAAACTGCAATGCAAATGGCTAATAAATACGAATTACCACAAATCGTGCTAGCATATAAATTAAAGAAACTAAGAAACAATTCAAAGATGGGATTTCAGAAGAAGGACTGTATTTGTCTATTGAAACTTTCCTGTTTTTTTACAACAGGAGTAGGATTTACACACACACACACACACACACACACACACACCCTACTCTTTTACAATGAACTACATTTGACCAAAAGATGACATTGATAAAAACAAGTTTGAGGCCGGGCGCGGTGGCTCACGCCTGTAATCCCAGCACTTTGGGAGGCCAAGGTGGGCAGATCACCTGAGGTCAGGAGATGGAGACCAACCTGGCCAACATGGTGAAACCCCGTCTCTGCTAAAAATGCAAAAATTAGCCGGGCGTAGTGGCACACACCTATAGTACCAGCTACTTGGGAGGCTGAGGCAGGGCAATTGCTTGAACCCGGGAGGCAGAGGTTGTAGTGAACTGAGATCGCACCACTGCAGTCCAGCCTGGGTGACAAGAGCAAAACTCCATCTGAAAAAAAAAAGTTAGAGATCAATAAATGCATTATGATTTTAGACCCAAATTCAAGTTGACTAGGGGTAGGGTTAGGAGGACAAAAATATGAAAGTATTTTCCTGAAATCGCCTTTCTTAAGAGCATGTACAGAGGAAAGAACATCTTTCCATTTGTCCACTTCTGGATCCAAGCTCTAATACAAACATATTTGAATAATGTATGCACATAATAGTATTTAATAGCAGCAAATTCACACACCTGCTGGTTTTCCTCCATGTGAAAGGAGGAATGTAAAGGTCAATTGGATGATTTCCCTTTAGGTAGTGCAACTAGACAGCTGCAGTTCAAATCCCAGTGCTATGTGATCCTGGCAAGTTATTTATCCTCTCTGTGCCTCAGTTTTTTTCATATGAAAATGGAGTTGATAAAAAGAACTTACCTCATGGCTTTGTTATGAGGATCATATGAATCCATAGACAAAATGCATTTAGAACTGAGCTAGGCGCAAAGGAAGCTATTGTTATTGTTATTACCATTCTATTATTTAAGCCTCGAAAGATAGCCATAGATTTTGAAGTAACCAGCATGTAATCAATTTATCTGACAGAGGTTAGAATTTACTATCAGTTCACCAAGCTCTCACTTGACAGACATGAAAAAATGAGTGATATTTAAAAACCAGCAAAGAAATTGCCAGTTCTAAGACCTCAACCAAGATCATGCTTATTTCTGAAAGCCCTCCGAGGAAAAAAAAATTACCCACATATGTGTACATAAAAGATGGCCGAAATTCTTTGCTACATCTTTCATGGTGGGGGAGTTTCTATGTCCCCTCCTCATGGAATCTTGGAATGGTCTGTGACTGCTTTGACCAGCAGAATACATTAGAAGTGACATTGTGCCAATTTCTTGACCCAGGCATTACAAGTCTGGTAGCTTCTGCTTCTTGTCTCTTGGAATGCTCACCCTTGGGACACTGTCTGTGGAAATCCAACCACCATGGTGTGAGAAGTCAAAGCCACATAAAAAGACCATGTGTAGGCTGGGTGCAGTGGCTCATGCCTGTAATCCCAGCACTTTGAGAGGCCAAGGTGGGTGGATCACGAGGTCAGGGGTTCGAAACCAACCTGACGAACATGGTAAAAACCCATCTCTACTAAAAATACAAAATTATTTGGGCGTGGTGGTGCCCACCTGTCATCCCAGCTCCTTGGGAGGCTGAGGCAGGAGAATTGCTTGAACCCGGGAGATGGAGGTTGCAGTGAGCCGAGATTACACCATTGCACACAGCCCGGGCAACAAGAGCAAAACTCCATCTCAAAAAAGAAAAGAGACCAAGCGTAGGCACTTCAGATGACAATCCCAGCTCAGCTTCCAGCTGATAGTCAGCATCAACTACATGCTGCATAACAAACAACCCAAAATCTCAGAGGCTTACAATAATAGAGACATATTTTTTTGCTCACAGCTCTGAGGGTTATCTAGGGTATCTCTGCAGCTGCAGATTGACTGGGCTGCAGCTGGAGTCTAGGTCTGCTCCACATGTCTCTTCATTCTCTTTGGACCAGTGACTATTTGAGATATGCTCTTCTACTGGCAAAAAGACAAGCCAAATCATCATGGACATTTAAAGGAGATCAAGGCATCATCACAGTTGCTAAATTTTATTGGTCAAAGCAGGTCCATGGCCAAACCAACATCAAGAAGGTAGAGAAATGTACTCCACCTACTCTAGTAGGAGAAACTGCAAAGGAACATGACAAAGGGTACAGTTGTAGAATTCTCTGTGAGGAAGGGAGGGAAGAACTGGTGACAGTTATCAATTTTTACTCCATTAAAAGTTTCACAGGACTGTTCCAAGATGGCCGAATAGGAGGAGCTCCAGTCTACAGTTCCCAGCATGAGCGATGCAGAAGATGGGTGATTTCTGCATTTCCAACTGAGGTACCAGGTTCATCTCACTGGGACTGGTTGGACAGTGGGTGCAGCCCATGGAGTGTGAGCCAAAGCAGGGCAGGGCAACGCCTCACTCGGAAAGTCTAAGGGGTCAGGGGATTTTCCTATACTAGCCAAGGGAAGCCGTGACAGACAGTACCTGAAAAATCAGGACACTCCCACCCTAATACTGTGCTTTTCCAATGGTCTTAGCAAATGGCACACCAGGAGATTATATCCCGCACATGGCTCGGTGGGTCCCATGCCCACAGAGCCTTGCTCACTGCTAGCACAGCAGTCCGAGATCAAACTGCGAAGTGGCAGTGAGGCTGAGGGAGGGGCGTCTGCTATTTCTGAGGCTTGACTAGGTAAACAAAGCAACCAGGAAGCTCGAACTAGGTGAGCCCACCACAGCTCAAGAAGGCCTGTCTGAAAACGGACAGACTGCCTCCTCATGTGGGTCCCTGAACCCCGAGTAGCCTAACTGGGAGACACCTCCCAGTAGGGGTTGACTGACACCTCATACAGTTGGGGGCCCCTCTGAGACGAAGCTTCCAGAGGAAGGATCAGGCAGCAACATTTGCTGTTCTGCAATATTTGCTGTTCTGCAGCTGCTGCTGGTGATACCCAGGCAAATAGGGTCTGGAGTGGACCTCCAGCAAACTCCAACAGACCTGCAGCTGAGGGTCCTGCCTGTTAGAAGGAAAACTAACAAACAGAAAGGAATAGCATCAACATTAACAAAAAAGACATCCACACCAAAACCCCATCTGTAGGTCACCATCATCAAAGACCAAAGGTAGGTAAAACCACAAAGATGGGGAGAAACCAGAGCAGAAAAGCTGAAAATTCTAAAAACCAGAGTGCCTCATCTCCTCCAAAGGATTGCAGCTCCTCACCAGCAATGGAACAAAGCTGGATGGAGAATGACTTTGACGAGTTGACAGAAGTAGACTTCAGAATATCGGTAATAACAAACTTCTCCGAGCTAAAGGAGGATGTTTGAACCCATCGCAAGGAAGCTAAAAACCTTGAAAAAAGATTAGACAAATGGCTAACTAGAATAAACAGCATAGAGAAGACCTTAAATGACCTGATGGAGCTGAAAACCATGGCACGAGAACTACATGACGCATGCACAAGCTTCGGTAACCTATTTGATCAAGTAGAAGAAAGGGTATCAGTGATTGAAGATCAAATGAATGATATGAAGTGAGAAGAGAAGTTTAGAGAAAAAAGAGTAAAAAGAAACAAACAAAGCCTCCAAGAAATATGGGACTATGTGAAAAGACCAAATCTACATCTGATTGGTGTACCTGAAAGTGACGGGGAGAATGGAACCAAGTTGGAAAACACTCTGCAGGATATCATCCAGGAGAACCTCCCCAACCTAGAAAGGCAGGACAACATTCAAATTCAGGAAATACAGAGAACGTCACAAGGATACTCCTCGAGAAGAGCAACCCCAAGACACATAATTGTCAGATTCACCAAGGTTGAAATGAAGGAAAAAATGTTAAGGGCAGCAAGAGAGAAAGGTCAGGTTACACACAAAGGGAAGCCCATCGGACTAACAGCAGACCTCTCAGCAGAAACTCTAAAAGCCAGAAGAGAGTGGGGGCCAATATTCAACATTCTTAAAGAAAAGAATTTTCAACCCAGAATTTCATATCCAGCCAAACTAAGCTTCATAAGTGAAGGAGAAATAAAATCCTTTACAGACAAGCAAATGCTGAGAGATTTTGTCACCACCAGGCCTGCCTTACAAGAGCTCCTGAAGGAAGCACTAAACATGAAAAGAACAACCGGTACCAGCCACTGCAAAAACATGCCAAATTGTAAAGACCATCAATGCTATGCAGAAACTGCATCAACTAACAAGCAAAGTAACCAGCTAACATCATAATGACAGGATCAAATTCACACACAACAATATTAACCCTAAATGTAAATGGGCTAAATGCCCCAATTAAAAGACACAGACTAGAAAATTGGATAAAGAGTCAAGACCCATCAGTGTGCTGTATTCAGGAGAACCATCTCATGTGCAGAGACACACATAGGCTCAAAATAAAGGGATGGAGGAAGATCTACCAAGCAAATGGAAAACAAAAAAAAAAAAGCAGGGGTTGCAATCCTAGTCTCTGATAAAACAGACTTTAAACCAACAAAGATCAAAAGAGACAAAGAAGGCCATTACATAAAGGTAAAGGGATCAATTCAACAAGAGCTAACTATCCTAAATATATATGCACCCAATACAGGAGCACCCAGATTCATAAAGCAAGTCCTTAGAGACCTACAAAGAGACTTAGACTCCCACACAATAATAATGGGAGACTTTAACACCCCACTGTCAACATTAGACAGATCAACGAGACAGAAAGTTAACAAGGATATCCAGGACTTGAACTCACGTCTGCACCAAGCAGACCTAATAGACATCTACAGAACTCTCCATCCCAAATCAACAGAATAGACATTCTTCTCAGCACCACATCGCACTTATTCCAAAATGGACCACATAGTTGGAAGTAAAGCACTCCTCAGCAAATGTAAAAGAACAGAAATCACAACAAACTGTCTCTCAGACCACAGTGCAATCAAATTAGAACTCAGGATTAAGAAACTCACTCAAAGCCGCTCAACTACATGGAAACTGAACAACCTGCTCCTGAATGACTACTGGGTAAATAACGAAATGAAGGCAGAAATAAAGATATTCTTTGAAACCAATGAGAACAAAGACACAACATACAAGAATCTCTGGGACACATTTAAAGCAGTGTGTAGAGGGAAATTTATAGCATTAAATGCCCACAAGAGAAAGCAGGAAAGATCTAAAACTGACACCCTAACATCACAATTAAAAGAACCAGAGAAGCAAGAGCAAACACATTCAAAAGCTAGCAGAAGGCAAGAAATAACTAAGATCAGAGCAGAACTGAAAGAGACAGAGACACAAAAAACCCTTCAAAAAATCAATGAATCCAGGAGCTGGTTTTTTGAAAAGACCAACAAAATTGATAGACCGCTAGCAAGACTAATAAAGAAGAAAAGAGAGAAGAATCAAATAGACGCAATAAAAAATGATAAAGGGGATATCACCACCGATCCCACAGAAATACAAACTACCATCAGAGAATACTATAAACACCTCTACGCAAATAAACTAGAAAATCTAGAAATAATGGATAAATTCCTCGACACATACACCCTCCCAAGACTAAACCAGGAAGAAGTTGAATCCCTGAACAGACCAATAACAGGCTCTGAAATTGAGGCAATAATTAATAGCCTACAAACCAAAAAAAGTCCAGGACCAGAAGGATTCACAGCCGAATTCTACCAGAGGTACAAAGAGGAGCTGGTATCATTCCTTCTGAAACTATTCCAGTCAACAGAAAGAGGGAATCCTCCCTAACTCTTTTATGAGGCCAGCATCATCCTGATATCAAAGCCGGGCAGAGACACAACAAAAAAAGAGAATTTTAGACCAATATCCCTGATGAACATTGATGCAAAAATCCTCAATAAAATACTGGCAAACCAAATCCAGCAGCACATCAAAAACCTTATCCACCATGATCAAGTGGGCTTCATCCCTGGGATGCAAGGCTGGTTCAACATATGCAAATCAATAAACGTAATTCAGCATATAAACAGAACCAAAGACAAAAACCACATGATTATCTCAATAGATGCAGAAAAGGCCTTTGACAAAATTCAACAACCCTTCATGCTAAAAACTCTCAATAAACTAGGTATTGATGGAATGTATCTCAAAATAATAAGATCTATTTATGACAAACCCACAGCCAATACCATACTGAATGGGCAAAAACTGGAAGAATTCCCTTTGAAAACTGGCGCAAGACAGGGATGCCCTCTCTCACCACTCCTATTCAACATAGTGTTGGAATTTCTGGCAAGGGCAATCAGGCAGGAGAAAGAAATAAAGGGTATTCAGTTAGGAAAAGAGGACGTCAAATTGTCCCTGTTTGCAGATGACATGATTGTATATTTAGAAAACTCCATCATCTCAGCCCAAAATCTCCTTAAGCTGATAAGCAACTTCAGCAAAGTCTCAGGATACAAAATCAATGTGCAAAAATCACAAGCATTCTTATACACCAATAACAGAGAGCCAAATCATGAGTGAACTCCCATTCACAATTGCTTCAAAGAGAATAAAATACCTAGGAATCCAACTTACAAGGGATGTGAAGGGCCTTTTCAAAGAGAACTACAAACCATTGCTCAACGAAATAAAAGAGGACACAAACAAATGGAAGAACATTCCATGCTCATGGACAGGAAGAATCAATATCATGAAAATGGCCATACTGCCCAAGGTAATTTATAGATTCAATGCCATCCCCATCAAGCTACCAACGACTTTCTTCACAGAATTGGAAAAAACTACTTTAAAGTTCATATGGAACCAAAAAAGAGCCTGCATTGCCAAGACAATCCTAAGCAAAAAGAACAAAGCTGGAGGTATCACGCTATCTGACTTCAAACTATACCACAAGGCTACAGTAACCAAAACAGCATGGTATTGGTACCAAAACAGAGATGTGGACCAATAGAACAGAACGGAGCCCTCAGAAATGATACCACACATCTGCAACCATCTGGTCTTTGACAAACCTGACCCAAACAAGAAATAGGGAAAGGATTCCCTGTTTAATGAATGTTGCTGGGAAGACAGGCTGACCATGTGTAGAGAGCTGAAGCTGGATCCCTTACTTACACCTCATACAAGAATTGATTCAGGATGGATTAAAGACTTAAATGCTGGACCTGGAACCATGGAAACCCTGGAGGAAGGCCTAGGCAGTGCCATCCGGGACACGGGCATGGGCAAGGACTTCATGACTGGAGCACCAGAAGTGATGGCAATGGGGCCAAAATTGACAAATGGGATATAATTAAACTAAGGAGCTTCTGCACAGCAGAGGAGGCTACCATCGGAGCAGGCGGGCAACCTACCAAATGGGAGAAAATTTTTGCAATCTACCCATCTGACAAAGGGCTAATATCCAGAATCTACAAAGAACTTAAACAAATTTGCAAGAAAAAAATCAAACAACCCCACTGGAAAGTGGGCAAGGGATATGACCAGACCCTTCTTGGGAGAAGACATCTGTGCAGCCAACAGACACATGAAAGAATGCTCATCATCGCCGGCCATCAGAGAGATGCAAATCAGACCCACGGTGAGATGCCATCTCACGCCAGTTAGAATGGTGATCATTGGAAAGTCGGGGGACAACAGGTGCTGGAGAGGATGTGGAGAAATAAGAACACTTTTACACTGTTGGTGGGAGTGTAAACTGGTTCGGCCATTGTAGAGGACAGTGTGGCGGTTCCTCAGGGGTCTGGAACTGGAAATACCACTTGACCCAGCGATCCCATTGCTGGGTATATATGCCCAAATGATTGTAAATCATCCTACTATAAGGACACGTGCACACGTATGTTTGTTGCGGCACTGTTCACAGTGGCGGGGACTTGGAGCCAGCCCAGGTGTCCATCAATGATAGACTGGATTGGGAAGGTGTGGCGCATGTACACCATGGAATACTGTGCAATCATGGAAAGGGATGGGTTCATGTCCTTTGTAGGGACATGGATGAGGCTGGAGGCTGTCATTCTGAGCAAACTATCGCAGGGACGGAGAGCCAGCCACCGCATGTTCTCACTCGTAGGTGGGAGTTGAATGGTGAGAACATTTGGACACAGGGTGGGGAACATCACACACTGGGGCCTGTCATGGGGTGGGGGGAGGGGGGAGGGATAGCACTGGGAGAAGTGCCTGATGTGGAGGACGGGTTGGTGGGTGTGGCACACTGACATGGAGCATGTGTGCATATGTGGCAGGCCTGCACGCTGTGCACATGTACCCTAGAGCTTGGAGTATAATGAGAAAAAAAAAAGTTTCACAAATTTTGTTAATGCTCCATTGCACCTGAAGTTGCCCTGGAGCCACTAATTGTCATAATGTCACAAGATTATTAAATGCATTACTGGTTTTAAATGTTTTTATTCTATTATACTACTACCAAAAATCCACTGCAAAACACTTCTTCCTGTATATATTTATGCAGTAATCATAAGCCATAATAACTAACTTTTGCATAGTGTCCTACATTTTATAACACACTTGCATGTATATTGTTTTATCTGTGACTGAAACAAACCTGTAAAGTGGGTACAACAGGTTACTCCACCACCCATCTACAGATGAGTGAATGCAAGTGACTTGGCCAAGATCACACCAGAAGTGAGGGGCAGGGTATTCAAGAGCCATGGTCTTTCTGCTCCCCTTGTCACTGTTAATTTCCAATTGCATGGCCCATTTCTGAGACAAACAATGTGACCTAGTGGAATTTGACTTCATTGTTACTTTTCTCTCCACCACCCCAACCTGGATGACATGAGAACTTATTATTCATTCATAAGCCCTCTGCAAAAAATCTAGGATAACAGTGGTGCCAGTAGGAAGATTAGTTGAAATCTGGGATGCCGGCCAGACGTGGTGGCTCAGGCCTGTAATCCCAGCACTTTGGAAGGCTGAGGTGGGTAAATCATTCAAGGTCAGGAGGTCGAGACCAGCCTGGCCAACATGGTGAAATGCCCACCTTTACTAAAAATACAAAAATTAGCCAGGCATGGTGGTGGGCACCTGTAGTCCCAGCTACTTGGGACTACAGCTACTTAGGCAGGAGAATCGCTTCAACGCAGGAGGCGGAGGCTGCAGTGAGCCGAGATCATGCCACTGCACTCCAGCCTGGGCGACAGAGCAAGACTCTGTCTCAAAAAAAAAAAAAAAAAAATCTGGGATGCCTAGATGGTGTCTACACACAAAAAATGATTTGATATTTGAATGAGTTGAGTGGTAACCAACCAATTACTCACCAGCCCAGTTACTATTTCAGCCTGACATATAAGTACTTGGCCTGAAGTAACAGGTGCTGCATTTTACTTTTGTTCTACTGTTGACAAGACTTTTTTGTGTGTGATCCACACTCTCATTGGCACCTATTTACCGCACCTGTTTTGCAACTGTAATAATAATAATAGACCAGGCATGCTGGCAAGTAAAAGCAGTAATGTGAGTTGTTCCAAAATAATGATGCTTTTTGTTAAGTTGGGTCCGTATCAATAAAAGAAAAAAGGAATCACACGAATATAATTTTCAGCATAAAGTGTCCCCAGTGAGCTTGAAAGGATTCCCCAGAATCTCTCACTTGAATTTCCATCCAGTACAGTAGGATGCACTTGAGGGCTGCTTGACAGGATGGGGTATCAGAGAAAGCCAGGTTTTCCCCTTCTCTGTATCTCCTCTCCTCAACTGAAAGCCTGCCAAGTCTCATTCTCTGGCATGACCTACAATGAGTACTACAATTTAGTACTACATCTTCAATCTACCCTTGGAAGGCGGCACCAATATTGCCTGTTTATACAGGCCATACACTGTATGGACTCATAAAAGGCCAAAGCTGGAAATTACCTTAGGAGTGCCAATCCAACACCTTCCTGTAAAGAAGAGGAGACAGAGGTCCAAAGAGGCAAAATCACTTGCCTAAGGTTCCACAGTGAGCTGGGGCCTCTTGAGTCCCCAGCTGATGAAGGTTTTCCATGTCTAATCTTAGCCTCATCATGCCATATAAACCAGCTAATAATAGAGGACAGGTACTGAGTGATTAATGACTCAGGCACTGTTCTGAGTCCTTTATGTATGCTAACGAATGAAGAGACAGTGGTGCAGGTGCCCTGCCCAAAGGTGGTAGAACTGGAACCTAAATCCAAGTTGCCTGGCACAGAGTCCCATGCTTTCCCATCATTCTATCCTGCCTCTCTAAAACATTGTGGAACACCTCCTTGGCCCAGGAATTGTTCTAGAGACCAAGGATGCAATGAAGCATAAGAGAGACTCTGTCCTCAAGAATTTTTCATCCTTGTGGAAAAGACAGACCATAAATATATAAACAATAGATGCATTTATTCAACAAATACTTTTCAAGTATTCTATGAGTTTCCTAGAGCTGCCATAACAAAGTATCAGAAAATGGGTGGCTTAAAACAACAGAAATTTATTTTCTCATAGTTCTAGAGGCTAGAAGACTGACATCAAGGTGTCAGCAGGGGCATTCTCCCTCTGAGACTCTGTAGAATCCTTCCTTGTCTCTTCCTGGCTTTTGGTGGTAGCTGTCAATCCTTGGCATCCTTGGCTCACAGCCACTTCACTCCAATCTCTACCTGTCATCACACGGCATTTTCCTTTTATAAGGACACCAATCTTGCTGGATTAGGAGTCACCCTAATAACCTCATCTTAATTCAATTACATCTACAAAGCCCCTATTTCCAAATAAGGTCACATTCACAACTACCAGGGTTAACGACTTCAACGTATCTTTTTGGGAGACACACTCAACCCATAACAAATATCTACCACATGGCAGGCACTATTCTAAGCATTGTGGATACTGCAGTGAATAAAATAGATGAAAATCCCTACCATGTAGACCATATATTCTGGAGACAGACAAGAAACAATAAATATGTTGGATAAATAAACAAATGCAGCCGGGCGCAGTGGCTCATGCCTGTAATCCCAGCACATTGGGAGGCTGAGGCAGGTAGATCACCCGAGGTCAGAAGTTCAAGACCACCCTGACCAACAAGGTGAAACCCCATCTCTACTAAAAATACAAAAATTAGCTGGGCATGGTGGCAGGCGCCTGTAGTCCCAGCTACTCGGGAGGCTGAGACAGGAGAATTGCTTGAACCTGGGAAGCAGAGGTTGCAGTGAGCCGAGATCACGCCACTGCACTCCAGCCTGGGTGACGGAGAGAGACTCCATCTGATAAATAAATAAATAAATAAATGCTATAGAATGTTAAAGAGGGATCAGCCAGGACAAAACCACAGGGTGTGGCAAGAGCCACAGGGCTCTGTTTCCTTCCTGGCTTATGCATGTGCTTTTAACATCCGCCATTAAAGATGTGTCTTGATCTTCCAGCAAGGTCCAATTAAGGTAATAGGCTGATTCCATCCACCTGCACTGGCAGGGAAAAGGAAATAACCTAGTTTTCTCACTGGCCTTTTTACTTTGGATTCTAGTAGTGCATGTCAAGCCACACACCATATCTGATGCTTCTTCTATGTGTAAAATAGTCCTCATTACCTGGCACATGGGTGTTTTTAATTCTGGTGTGCTCAAAGAACATCAAAGAGACCAATGTTGTGGGGGTAAAATGGGTGAGACACACAGCAGCAGGAGATACAGTCAGAAAGGTCACAGTGGGCCAGATCATGAGAGGCTTGTAGGTCATTTCCAAATTGATATAGCTTGGATGTGTGTCCCCTCCAAATCTCATGTTGAAATGTGATTCCTGATGTTGGAGGTGGGGCCTAGCAGAAGGTATTAGATCATGTGGGTTGATCCCTCATGAATGGCTTAGCACCATCCCTTGGCGATGAGTGAGTTCTTGCCCTGAGTTCATGTGAGGTCTGATTATTTAAGAGTGTGGCACCTTCCCCGTCTCTCTCTCTCCTACTCTTGCCATGTGATGGGCCTGCTCCCCGTTCACCTTCCACCATGATTGTAAGCTTCTTGAGGCCATCACCAGGAGTAGATGTCAGCACCACGCTTTTTGTACAGCCTGCAGAACCATGAGCCAATTAAACCCCTTTTCTTTATAAATTACCCAGCCTCATATATTTCTTTATAGCAATGCAAAAACAGCCTGACAGAAAATTTGTAATGAGGAGAGGGGTGTTGCTATAAAGATACCTGAAGATACGGAAGCAGCATTGGAACTGGGTAATGGACAGAAGTTGTAAGAGTTTGGAGGGCTATGAAGAAGACAAGAAGATGAGGAAAAGTTTGGAACTTCTTAGAGACTTGTTAAGTGGTTGTGACCAAAGTGCTGGTAGAAATATGGACAGTGAAGGCCAGGCTGATGAGGTCTCAGATGGAAATGAGGAACTTATTGGGAACTGGGGCAAAGATCACCTGTGTTAACACCTTAGCAAACAGCTTAGCTGCATTGTGTCTCCATCCTAGGGATCTGTGGAAGTCTGAACTTAAGAGTGATGACTTAAGGTATCTGGTGGAAGAAATTACTAAGCAGCAAAGCATTTAAGAAGCTGCATGGGGATAGAGACAGTGGCTCATGCCTGTAATCCCGACACTGTGGGAGGCCAAGGTGGAAGGACCACTTGAGCCCAGGAATTCAAGACCAGCCTGGGCAACCCAGGGAGAACGCTGTCTCTAGAAAAAAATTAAAACTCAGCCAGACATAGTGGCTAAGATGGGAGGATGGCTTGAGCCCAGGAGGTTGAGGCTGCAGTGAGCCATGTTCATGCCACTGTATTCCAGCCTAGGCAACAGAGACCTCGTCTCAAAAAGAAAAAAAAAATGCTGCATGGGTGCTTCTAACAACCTATGATCAGATATGGAAGCAAAGGAATGACTTAAAGTTTGGGCTTATATTTGAAAGGGAAGCAAGGCATAAAGTTTGGAAAATTTGCAGCCTAGCCACATGGCAGAGAAAGAAAAGGCATTTTCAGGGGAGGAATACAACTGGACTGTGGAGCAACCACTTGCTAGAGAGATTAGCATGACTAAAAGGGGACCAAATGCTAATATCCAAGACAATGGGAAAGAGGCCTCAAAGGCATTTCAGAGCTCTTGGAGACAGCCTCCCCTACCCCATCATAGGCCCAGAGGCCTAGGAGAAAAGAATGGTTTCAAGGACCAGGCCCAGCCCTGTGCCCTGCTCAGCCTTAGGACACTGCTCCCCATATAATGGCTGCCCCAGCTCCAACCACAGTTCAAAGGGCCCCAGGTACAGCTTGGGCCGCTACTCCAGAGGGTGCAAGCCGTAAGCCTTGGTGGCTTCCACATGGTGTTAAGTTGGCAAGTACACACAACTCAAGTGTGAGGGAAGTTTAGCAGCTCCCCACATTACAGAGGATATATGGGAAAGCCTGGGTGCCGAGGCAGAAGCCTGCGGCAGGGACAGAGCCCTCACAAAGAACTTCTACTAGGGTGGTGTGGTGGGGAAATGTGGGGTTGGAGCCCCCACGCAGAGTCCCCACCAGGGCACTGCCTAGTGGAGCTGTGGGAACAGGGCCACCACCTTCCAGATTCCAGAATGGTAGAGCCATGGGCAGCTTGCACCCTGAGCCTAGAAAAGCCACAAGCACTCAACTCCAACCTGTGAGAGCAGACATGGGGGCTGCACCCTGCAAGCACCAGGATGAGGGATATGCAGTCGAATGAGATTATTTGGAGCCTTAAGATTTAATGCCTGCGCTGCTGGGTTTCAGACTTGTGGGGAGCCTGCAGCCCCTTTCTAAAAGAAGGGAAGCAGAGCATAAAGTTTGGAAAATTTGCAGCCTAGCCATCTGGCAGAGAAAGAAAGGGTATTTTCAGGGGAGGACTACAACTGGACTGTGGATTAAAAATCAATTTCTCCCTTTTAGAATGGTAATGTTTACCCAATACCTGAACCACCATTGTATCCTGGAAGTAAATTACTTGTTTTAACTTTACAGGCTCATAGTTGGAAGGAGATGAATTTCAGATGAGACTTCAGACTTTGGAATTGATGCTAGAATGAGTTAAGGCTTGGGGGGCTATTCGCAGGGGATGATTGTATTTTGCAATATGAGAAGGACATGAGATTTGGGGGGCCAGTGGCGGAATAATATGGTTTGGATGTTTTGTCCCCTCCAAATCTCATGTCAAAATGTAATCCCCAGTGTTGGAGATGGGGCCTGGTGGGAGGTGTTTGGATCATGGGGGCGGATCCCTTGTGAATGGCTTAGTGCCATCCCCTTGGTGATGAATGAGTTCTTGCTCTGAGTTCACAGGAGATCCGGTTGTCTAAAAAGACTGCGGCACCCCCACTCTCTTGCTCCCTCATTCCCCCTGTGATGCACCTGCTCCCCCTTTTCCTTTTACCATGATTGTAAGTTTTCTGAGGCCTCCCCAGAAGCAGATGGCAGTGCTATGCTTCCTGTACAGCCTGCAGAACTGTGAGCCAAGTAAATCTCTTTTCTTTATAAATTACCTAGCCTCAGGTATTTCTTTATAGCAACTCAAGAACGGACTAACACACAAACATTTCATCTTTCACTCTGAGAGGAATGGAAACCCATGTAATCTGACTTCTGTCTTAAAAGGATGCTTCTGCCTGATTGTTGAGAAAAGGCCAGGGAGGGTAGAACAATGTGGAGCAAGTGCAGAGACTGCCATGGCCATCCTAGTGCCAGATGATGGTGGCTTAGATCAGGGAGGTAAGAGTGGAGAGGTGAGAAGCAGCCAGATTCTGGATATATCCTGAAGGAAGATAAAGTAACTCCAGGGGGTTATAAATGCTATAAGGAAAATAAAATAAGATAATGAGAAAGAGAAGAGTGAGAGGATGCTTCTTTACACTGAGTGGTAAGGAGAGGCCACTCTAAAGAGGTCATACTGGGACATGATAGTTCACACTTGTAATCCCAGCACTTTGGGAGGCCAAGGTGGGAGGATCACTTCAAGCCAGGAGTTCCAGACCAGCCTGAGCAATAAAGCAAGACCCCATCATTACGAAATATTAAAAAAATAGAAACAGCTGGGCATGGTGGTGGGCACCTATAGTTCCAGCTATTTGGGAGGCTGAGGCCAAAGGCTTGTTTGAGCCCAGGAGCTTGAGGTTACAGTGAGCTATGATCGTGCCACTGCACTCCAGCCTGCACAACAGAGTGAGACCCTGTCTCTTAAAAACAAAAACAAAAAACAAAGAGGTGGGCCGGGCATGGTGGCTCACACCTGTAATCCCAGCACTTTGGGAGGCCAAAGCAGGTAGATCACTTGAGGTCAGAAGTTTGAGACCACCATAGCCAACATGGCGAAACCCCGTCTCCACTAAAAATATAAAAATTAGCTGGGTGTAGTGGCACACACCTGTAATCCCACATACTCGGGAGGCTGAGGCACAAGAATCGTTTGAACCTGGGAGGCAGAGTTTGCAGTGAGCAGAGATAGTGCCACTGCACTCCAACCTGGGTGACAGAGCAAGACTCTGTCTCAAAAAAACAAAACAAACAAAACAAAGAGGTCATACCAGAGCTGAAACCAAATAATGAGGAGGAAGCCATGCAAAGCTCTAGGGGAAAGCTATTCAAGGAAAGAAACAGTACCCAATATGACAATCTTAGTGTGACAAAAAAGGCAAAGTAGTGGGGTGCAATGAACATGGGAGAAAATGTTTGAGATGAGGTCACAGAGGCAGGCAGGGCCACAGCGAGTTACTGAGAATGTATGCTAACTGCAATGAAAAGCCATAGCAAGGATTGAGGCAGGGAAATCGTGTGCCCTGATATGCTCTTTTAAAAGATCATTCAAGTTCATAGAGACAGAAAGTGGAATATTGGTTACCTGGGCCTGGCAGGAGTGGGCAATCAGCAGTTACTGTTTGATAGATAGAGAGTTTCAGTTTTACAAGATAGAAAAGTTCTCAAGATGGATGGTGGTGATGGATGCATAATAGTGTGAATGCACTTAATACCAAGTCGTACACTTAAAAATGGTCAAGTGGTAAATTTTATGTTATTTATAGTTTACTACAATAAAATATATATTTGATGTAGTATTTTTAAAATGAATAAAAAGGATCGTTCTGAGTGCTGGGTAGAATATGAACTGTAGGAGACGAAACGAAGTAAGTGGTCAGGTAAAACCCAGCCCTGTTGCTGAATTCTGTGCATTGATGGTCTCCTCTCTCTTTTCTCCCTCTTCATTGTAATATTCCGATATAATTTTACAAAGACCTTTCTGCCCTCTTCAGATGTTCCAATGAAAATTTTTAAATGTCGAAATGCCAAAGTCTTAATATGTTAGAAGTGTCACCAAACTTCTGCCTCCAACTGATCAACAAGAAAACAGTGTCGGTCGGGTGCAGTGGCTCATACCTGTAATCCCAGCACTTTGGGAGGCCGAGGCAGGTGGATTACCTCAGGTCAGGAGTTCGAGACCAGCCTGGCCAACATGGTGAAACCCCGTCTCTACTAAAACTACAAAAATTAGCTGGGCATGGTGGCTCACACCTGTAATCCCAGATACTCAGGAGGCTGAGGCAGGAGAATCACTTGGACCCGGGAAGCAGAGGCTGCAGTGAGCTGAGATCAAACCATGGCACTACAGCCTGGGTGACAGAGTGAGGCTCCATCTCCAGAAAAAAAAAAAAAAGAAAGAAAAGAAAAAGAAAACAGTGTCAAATTCCTAAGACTCCAGAGAAAGAAAGCCCACAGCTGCCTTCGAGAACCCACTCCAGGGTCTACTAGCCTTTGCTGAATAGAAAAGTGTTCAGTGTATCTTAACTAAATCCCTCTGATTACACTTTAAGTCCCTGCCCTCTTATTCTAGTGTCCTTGAGTTTTAGGACAGCTGTTTTCCATCCTCTGCAAAACAAGGCTCTCTATACTTGGAAATTTCTGTTAAGTTTTCTTTTCCAAGCTAAACAGTCTCAATTAATTTGAGCTTCTCTTCTATAAAATATCTCTCTGAACAATCCACGCTTCTATTTAAATTGTCCAGAACCGGATACAGTCCTCTCTGAAGAACAGAAAGAACAAAAGTATGTCAGATTAAACGAAATATAAAGAATTATGGAGATTCAGCTCTCACATCAAATTTTTACAGTTTCATCAACACTATTAACAGTTATTTTGTTTGAAGCTACCACCTTTTTAAGTTAATTAACAAACGGCAGATATGAATTTCACATGATCATAGATAACTGCACTACACAATTCACCAAATACTGTTTATCTTCCAGAACCAAGAAAATATGGGCAAAACAGAGCAAATGGTAAATGCCACTAATTTCACCTATGTAACACTGGTTAAATACTATATTTCGGTGGCAAATGAAGAAACACTCACCTATTTAACAATGATCAAATTACAAAGAGCAATAGCAATTAGTCCTGAGTTTCTAAATTTGGGCAGATTCATAGACAGCAAATGTGTAATGTCACACCAATGAATCGTTGTAAAGCATACAGTTGCAACGGCATTGAAATTTACAGATGTTATTGCTATCTTATGAAAAAAATCCTCAGGCTCCATATTAATTTATTTTCTGAATTTTTAGTATTCTGTTTCTCTCTTATTTTTTACTTTATTGGACCATGTATGTATGTTAATATAGCAGTAGTTCTCAAACTTATTGGTTTCAGAACTGCTTGTACTTTTTTTTTTTTTTTTGAGACGAAGTTGACGAAGTTTCGCTCTTTGACCCAGGCTGGAGTGTAATGGTAAGATCTCGGCTCACCGCAACCTCCGCTTCCTGGGTTCAAGCGATTCTCCTGCCTCAGCCTCCCTAGTAGCTGGGATTACAGGCGCCCGCCACCACGCCTGGCTAATTTTTGTATTTTTAGTAGAAACAGTGTTTCACCATGTTGGCCAGGCTGGTCTCAAACTCCTGACCTTATGTGATCTGCCCGCCTCGGCCTCCCAAAGTGCTGGGATTACAGGCGTGAGCCACTGCAACCGGCCGAACCCTTTGTACTCTTAAAAATTACTGAGAACCCCCAAAACCTTTTGTTCATGTGGGTATAGCTATTTGTATGTATCATATTAGGAATGAAAACTGAGAATTTTTAAAATATTTATTAATTCATCTAAAGATAACAATAGATCATTTACATGTTAATATAAATAATATGTTGAATGAAAAGTAGCTATATTTTCCAAACAAAAAAAATACTGAGAAGAGTGGCATTGTTTTATATGTTTGCAAATCTCTTTAATGTGTGGTTTAATAGAAGACAGCTGCTTCAAATATCTGCTTCTGCATTCAGTCTGTTGAGATATTATGTAGCCTCTGGAAACCTTTATTGTACACTCAAGAAAAAATGGGACTTTAAGAAGGAAATAATGTCTACATATTATTATGAAAACAGTTTTTATCTTGTCTATCTCTTGAAAAGGTCTTGTGAAAGGTCCAGGGTTCCTGGACCACGCTTAGAGAATCACTTCTAGAGTAGAGGTTGTAGAGACTGAAATTATTTCTAGGAAACCAAAATTAGTATGGGCAAAACCTATAGATTCTGGGAATCATGTAGATCAAAAGGAAAGTAAACTATACTTCTTTGTGAAATATCTTGTGCTTTAAACCATGCTGATTATATCAGATTCAGAGGCAATATAGTTTAGCAAAATGGCCCCAGGATCACCAAGTGTTATTCAAGCATTATCTTCATTTCACCTTGAGAGTTATTTTTCACTGGAATAAAGAGAAAGCATCTACGTGCCTTAAGGCATACGACCTGACTCCCAGACTCCCTTCAGCTTATTATATTATTGTATTGTATTCTTTTTCTCACTTTCCTTGTTTCTAGAATATTATACACGGCAAGGAAGGCTCCAATTTAGGCAGACCATTTAGAGATTTTATCCAGTCCCAGAGAAATTCACATAACCTGATCTTTCCTGGACCTGAAACCAAAATCCTGTCCTCTCAGAGAAAGCTACAAATGTTAAGTAAAATATCTAACTATATCATAGTGTACAATATAACATGCCACTCCTCTGTAGGCCTAAGATATGAGTAATCATTTCAAGACTCAACGTTTAGTTGAGGATTTGTTTGAGAAAATGGGAAAATTTTTATGTGTGAGTTCTTATTTTACCCTTTTCTATCTTTTATCCCTTCATACTAATCTATTAGGAAAAATGTGTGTGCTGGAGGTGGGCAGTTTATTAATTTCTAGAAAGATAAAAGAAGAAAAAATGTCATTAATTCCACCTCACATAAAAGAAGGTAGTTTTCTAGTATTTGGAAAATATTTTATTTATCCATTGCTGACTGTAAACAGAAAAAAAAGTCAAACAAAAAAATAGCTTAATTGGCTCAATCCAGGGACTAAATCTTTGTAAACAAAGCCAAATTCTTATTGGTGGGATGGCAGAATAATTTTCACAAAATTAAATTGGAATATATGTTTATACATGTATCTTTCACCCTTTGTAACTGGAAGGAGAATACTAGTTGGCTCTGTCTTATAGTAGAACATGTATTATAACCAAATGTGGTTTATAAATACAAAAGCAACAAATGGCTTTTTTTTTTTTTTAATAAAAGGAGCCCTAGGGCTTTGCCTTTGGATAAGATATCACTGGGGACTTTTTTTTTTTTTTTACATTCAGTAAAATACTCAAATAGCAAGTGTCAAGGTATTGTATATCCACCCAGTTGGTAAAATAAGTCAGTTAATTTGGCAGGTAAGTATTAAGTAATCATGCTGTCAGAATCGGGTGAGTATCAAAGGGAGAAAGACAAAGACTGAACAAAAGAGGAAAAATAAAACAAGTAGCAGATTATCAAATAAGTAAATAAAAATGAGAACTTCTCAATGTTCTATTGTATCCTTATAAACCAATTCATCCCTGCAGACTTTTTCTTCTGGCTTGGGAGTAAGGAAAGCAATGTGGGTGTGAGGAAACTATAGCTTGACTGCTTGCAAACTGTGCTGTGGAGAGGTGTTTTCGAAGGTTTCAGAGAAGAAAGCCTTGGTCCCTTTAAGGATTAAAAGCTGCCCTCTGGCAAGCATCGAGTTGCAGAATGGCAAAGAAGCCTGGTTCTCCATACATTAGCTTTTCCCCTGAAGGAGAGAGCTGAATTAGAAGCATAGCTGCCAGGAAACGCCTGAATAGAAACCATTTAAGCAGATTTCATTCAGGCCCAGGGAAACTCACATAACTTAGTCTTTTCGCACTTCCTAAAACAGAAAATGTATGTGTAAGTGCAGTGAAACCTCCTCCACTCTAGGAAGCAAGGATGGAGAGATTTATCTGTGAAACACCAGTGCTTTGCATAGGGCTGGGCACATAATAGGCCCTCAATACATGTTTGTATTAACAAAAGACAAGATAATGTCTCTAGACACCATCCACTTTTAGTTGTTCCCATTTTTTTTGTTGTTGTTCTGTAAGAAACAGTGATTTCAGGCTTTTTCTGAGATTAAAGCCAAGTTCCTTTTGATAAAAAAAAAAGACTACAGAGTCAGAATAGAATTATATGGTAGAACTGGCTTGCTGAAATTAAAATATGATAAATCCCTTATAAATTCCCAATAAGGAAAGTGAGGCCCAAAGAAATTAGCAGATTTGCCTAAAGTGGCCTAACCAGTTAATGGCAAAACCAAGAACAACCCAGACCTCTTACCTTCCCAGGTAGCATCAAGTAGAGCTGAAGTAATCAATCTGGATCTATGGATAGGCTTTAAGAAATCTAAAACCCCTCCCAGAAATGTATATGTAAAATGTATGTGCATTGTAGGGAAGAGGGTCCAAAGTCTTCACTTGATTTTCAAAGAGGTATGTGGCCTCCAAAACTGTTAAGAACCACAGTCTCAAAGGGAGAGTCATTAGGAAGCAACAGGGAGCTATTTAATGCTATTGCCCCTGTGTTATAAGGGGTTAAGATCAGAATTTTAATGAAAAGTTCCTCTGAGACCTCAGCAGGCGGCCTTCAAAGAGATCCTGAAAGCTCAGGCCTTCCATGTGTGAGAGTGTGAAAGGTTCTCCTTAATGCAAAATAAAAACATTCAAAGGTAGATTAAAAAGTGACTGCTGGCCAGGTGTGGTGGCTCACACCTATAATCCCAGCAGTTTGGGAGGCCAAGGTGGGCGGATCACCTGAGGTCAGGAGTTTGAGACCAGCCTGGCCAACATGGTGAAACCCCGTCTCTACTAAAAATACAAAAATTAGCCAGGCGTAGTGGCACACGCCTCTAATCCCAGCTACTTGGGAGGCTGAGGCAGGAGAATCACTTGAACCCAGAAAGTAGAGGTTGTAGTGAGCCAAGATTGTGCCACTGCACTCCAGCCTGGGCAACAAAGCAAGACTCTGTCCCAAAAAAAAAAGCGACTGCTAACAGATGGTATTTGGTGTGACACTGGCTCCACACCACACCCAGGTATTTGGATTCCTTCAAACTTTGATAAAAATTAGTTGACCTTATATACATATTTACTAACCAGAGAATACTTACCCTGGTATTGGTGCAGGTAACATATGATAAGAGAGGATAACGGCTGGCCTCTTCAAGTGTGGATCCTCAAGAGAAGAGTTTGCCCAATGCAATATGAATATATGGTTAGCTGCTGTGATGGTTAATTTTAGGTCAACTAGACCGGATTAAGGGATATCTAGAGAACTGGTAAAGCATTACTTCTGGGTGTGTCTGCAAGGGTGTTTCCAGAGAATATTGACATGTGAATCCATGGACTGAGTAGAGAAGATCTGCCCTTGATGTGGTATAAGTACTGCAGTCCAAAGGCCAGAGAGCCTGCAGTTCTGATGTCCAAGGACAGGCGAAGAATGTTCCAGCTCTGGGGGAGAGGCAATCATCTTTTCTCTCTGCCCTTTTTGTTCTATTTAGACACCCTTGATGTGGGCAGCCCCCATCCAATTGGCTGGGGTACCCAAATAGAACAAAAAGAGCAGAGAGAAAAGGTGATTTCCTCTCTCCTGGAACTGGGACATTCTTCTCCTGCTCTTGGGCATCAGAACTCCAGGCTCTCTGGCCTTTGGACTCCAGGACTTATACCAGTGTCCCCCTTCCCTGGGATTCTTAGGCCTTTGGCCTCAAATTAAGAATTACACCAACAGCTTCCCTGGTTCTGAGGCTTTCAGACTTGGACTGAGCCACGCTACTGGCATACCAGGGTAAATCAGGCAAAGCTGCAAGCTATAAAAATGACACAGTCATACATTAACTATTGGATTTAACTTAAAATACAAATGTACCTTTATTTGCTAATATTTTGATGAAATGTCAGGCTCTTTGAGGATGAGTCTACTAATTGGAGTTGTATATACTCTTTCTTGAATAAGCCACACCCAAATTTGATCATATATGACTTCCAGATTCAGTTTCTTCAGTGAATTGAGAACGGACACTTATGAGGCAATCTGGCTGGAGAATCAGTCTAGAAATTCAATGATTTTCCCATTATTTACAGTTGCCTCCCCACACCTAATTTGTCAATAACTGTTTTTATTAATTCATATTTATTGAGTTTCATGAATATATTCAATCCAATCTTCATAGAAACATTATACTCACATTTCATCCATTCATTTAACATGTATTTAAATTATAGAATTTACACTACTAACTATAACTGGCACAAACAGATTTGGAACAAACACAACTATCTCTGTTAAGCATGGCGTTCAATTAGTAGGAACAGAAGTGTTCACATACAGTGGAGAGTAGTCTGCTAGCTGCAACTTTAGTATTCAGTATTCTGTGGGCAACAGTAAGTATGGGCAAGTGTGGTACATAGGTGAATGGAGAGTAGCAGTTCCCCTAGCAACATAATTAAGTGCAGGTCAATTAAGAGAGCTTCTTTTTTCTTTTTTTTTTGAATTTATCTATTTATTTTTATTTATTTATTTATTTTTATTATACTTTAAGTTTTAGGGTACATGTGCACAACGTGCAGGTTTGCTACATATGTATACATGTGCCATGTTGGTGCGCTGCACCCATTAACTCGTCATTTAACATTAGGTATATCTCCTAATGCTATCCCTCCCCTCCTCCCCCCACCCCACAACAGGCCCTGGTGTGTGATGTTCCCCTTCCTGTGTCCATGTGTTCTCATTGTTCAACTCCCACCTATGGGTGAGAACATGCGGTGTTTGGTTTTTTGTCCTGGCGATAGTTTGCTGAGAACGATGGTTTCCAGCTTCATCCATGTCCCTACAAAGGACATGAACTCATCATTTTTTATGGCTGCATAGTATTCCATGGTGTACATGTGCCACATTTTCTTAATCCAGTCTATCGTTGTTGAACATTTGGCTTGGTTCCAAGTCTTTGCTATTGTGAATAGTGCCGCAATAAACATACATGTGCATGTGTCTTTATAGCAGCATGATTTATAATCCTTTGGGTATATACCCAGTAATGGGATGGCTGGGTCAAATGGTATTTCTAGTTCTAGATCCCTGAGGAATCGCCACACTGACTTCCACAATGGTTGAACTAGTTTACAGTCCCACCAACAGTATAAAAGTGTTCCTATTTCTCCACATCCTCTCCAGCACCTGTTGTTTCCTGACTTTTTAATGATTGCCATTCTAACTGGTGTGAGATGGTATCTCATTGTGGTTTTGATTTGCATTTCTCTAAGAGAGCTTCTATTGTTCATTGTCAGTTTCAGGATCTTGGCCTCAGTTCTGATATTTCAAAATACACGATTTTATCACTTGAGAGACTGATTCACATTCAGCAAAATTAAAGCAACTGAGCTATACACCAGAATGCAAATATGTTCTCTTATGATATATTGAACACTGATGGCCGAAGCACCAGTGGTCCATTCTATAACTTCTCTCTGCCTCCTCTGCCCCCACTCCATTAACCTGATGTTCTAAAATCTATAGCACACAGAGATATAATGGGGGAAAGTATCAGGTATCTCAAAAAGGTCTTTGAGATAGAGGAATGAGAGGGAAGGCTTCATAGCATTGTGACTAAGAGCACAAGCTTTAGAGTTAGACAGACCTGAGTCCCATCCCAGGTCTGAAATTTACCAGTTCAACAAGTCACTAAAGCTCTCTGAACGTGGGTTTTCACATCCTTGAAACAGAAGTTACATTACCAACATCTACTTCATAGCATTATTGCGAAGATTAAATAAGACAAAGAATGGACAACACCCAGGATAGTCCCTGGTACATACTAAGTGTCACTTCATGGTAGTCATTTTTTATTATTAATAATGCAGACTGAATTCCTGCAGAAAAGCTAATGTGATTCCATCATTTCCCTCACCCCAAACAATGGTCCCCAATCTGGCTTCATGGATTTTCAAGGATAATGACTGACACATAATATTTTACCTTAGGCTCTGAGAACATGCACACACACACAAACACACAAACATTGTTGCAGCTATTATGGAGAGCTACCTGGCAGAATGTGATCAGAGTATTCACTACCCTATCCAACAGTCCCACTTCTGGGACTATATCCCAGAGAAAAGTCACACACAGCCCAAAAGGGGACATTCATAAGGAGTGTTATCTGTGGTAAAGGAACTTGAAATAGAGAAACTTGGAGCAACCCAAGTGTCTATCTCAGGGGGATAATGGAAAAGTAAAATGTGAGAGATGCACTCTGTAGCATATCATACAGCAGTTCAAAGCAACAAAGTAGATAGATACCCAAAATATGGGTAGATATTAAGGGCATGGTTCTGAATGAAAATATTCTATCTACCCATGTTTTGGGTATGAATCAGAATTTACATTTCCATTAATGTAAATTTTTAAACATGCCCACAAAATAATCTTACATATTCTGCAAGGATACATACAAATTTGAATATACATATTAGACACGTTGGAATTATTGCCAGTCGGGGGAAGGGAAAGAGTGAGGTGTGGTGATGAAAGGGAGGGAAGTAATGAAATAATCAACATAGAAAGAAGGGAGGGAAGGAGGGAAGGAGAGAGGGAGGGGACAGGCTTATGTGTTTTAATGATGATAGTGTGTTTTGTATTGGGCAATATAACTGAACCCTCCAATGAAACAAACAAACAAACAGCACTACCAGATGGCTGTCAATAACATTTAGTTGGTACAGTAGACTTGGAGGTCATTTTAAAACTAAATGTTTGGGAACTATGGAAGTATGTTCTCCTTTCAAATAACTGGACTATTCTGTTATTCACATTGCTCATTTTGCCCTTTCTCCTTTCATTGTAAACATCCCAACCTGAAGAAATGGAAAGGGAGTCTAGAAAGCAAAGAAGAATGGAAGGGTTACTAATTTTAATATTAACTTATTAATCCTTACTGAATTGAAGTTAAACAGTGAGACAATATATACTGTGATGCATACTCTAATACAAAACAGGCCAATTACCAATATTTGAATACTTGTACCACTATTTATTCATCATGGACATATGAAAAATTCAGTAAAATACTCAAATAGCAAGTGTCAAGGTATTGCATATCCACCCAGTTGGTAAAATAAGTCAGTTAATTTGGCAGGTGAGTATTAAGTAATCATGCTGTCAAACTCTGGTGAGTGTCTAAGGGAGAAAGACAAAGACGGAACTAAGCCGGGGGGGGGGGCGGAATTATAGAAAAGAAATAAGAAGGGGGCCAAAAATAGGCATAAGGAGAAAATAAATATAGTGTGACAGGTTCAACAGTGGGATGGATGTCTCGATTCCATCACAAAGAGATTATCCTAGAAATAAGGACAGACACTTCAAAGTGATGCCAGTGGAGCCAAGTGTTTTTTTTGTCCATCAGATAAAGGCTGTTAATAAAGGTGATCTATAGATTAAAGTGGTCTTTCAATGTCAGTGTTTTCCATCTTACATCTCAGTGTTTTTGTTGCCCTACAACATGTCAGACAGCATACATTACACATTGACGTACACTAACCTGTGGTCTTATCTCCTGACTGCTTAGGCTAGGAGTTGGCAAACTTTTCTGTAAAGGGCCAGATAGTAAATATTTTTGGTTTTGCAGGCAAATGATGGCAAGGCTCATCAGAAGTTCCTTCTCTGTTTGACTAGCCATTATTTTGTCAATTCATGTTTCCTCTTATTACTGCATCGTGCCCTTTGTCTTTACAAGAGAGAGATCAATGTCAGTCACAGATGAAAATTGGATTGAGATGATAGCAAATACCATCTCTTCTGGGCATCTCCATTCCAACAACGCCAATTCTCTCTGTCCTCAGCCTGCTGGTTCTTCATTTCCCACACCTTCATTCCTATCACTTGTCTTAAAGGTACCCTGTTCCTAGATTGTTTAAGAGGCCTAGTACTCTGGGAAACAGAGGGTCAAAGAAGTATTAATACCTTCTAAGAGGTCCCCATATATCCTCAACTATTCTCTTTTGCTTCCTACTATAACCAAACCCTGTTGGTTACACATTCCATATATAACCAGAATCTAATACCTCATTCCCCAATTACAACCACCCTGTTGTAAACCACCATCATTTCTTGCCTGGAAAATTTGAAGTAAACTCCAAATGGATCCCTACATTAGCAGTTGCCCCACCACACCTAGGCACATAATGTATGCTCCATATATTCCATACTTTTTAGTGTTTTATTTTGAAATAATTTTAGACTTACAGCAATGTTGCAAAAACAGTACAAAACATTGCCATATACCCTTCACCCAGATTCCCCTAGTGCTAATATCTTGTATAACCATAGTTCGTTTATCAAAGCTAAGAAAAATACATTGATACAATACTATTAACTAAATTACAGACTTTATTTGGATTTCACCAGTTTTCCATTAATGTCCTTTTCCAGATTCAAGATCAGATCCAGGATACCGTGTTGCATCTAGTTGTCATGCCTCCTTAGTCTCTGCCACTCTATGACAGTCTCAGAGTCTTTCTTTGCCTTTCATACCCTCGACACTTTTGAAAGATATTGGTCAGGGATTTTGTTAAGTGTCCCTCAAGTTGGTTTTCTCTGATGTTTTTCATGAGCAGATTGAGGAGGTTAGGCATTTTTGGCAAGAAGACCACAGAAGTGATCTGTTCTTCTCAATGTATATTAGGTGTAAATGATGTCAATATGTCTTATTATTGGCAATATCATCTCTAATCACTTGGTTAAGGTGGTGTCTGCCAGGTTTCTCTACTCTCAAGGTACCATTTTTTCCTTTGTGATCAATAAATATCTTATGAGGAGACACTCTAAGACTGAGCAAATATCCTCTTTCTCATTCTACTCTATCCACTGATTTTAGTAACCATCAGTGATCCTCGCCTATAATAATTATTACTGTGATGTTGATGTTTGCCCAATGGTGATTGTCTATCTCCTTCATTCCTTCCCCTTTTATTCATTGGAAATTTACTGTAAGGAGGAGGCATCCCATTTCTCCCATTAATTAACTAATATCAGCCAGGTGCAGTGGCTCACGCCTGTAATCCCAGCACCTTGGGAGACTGAGGCAGGTGGATCACCTGAGCTCAGGAGTTCAAAACCAGCCTGACCAACATGGTGAAACTCTGTCTCTACTAAAAATACAAAATTAACTGGGCGTGGTGGGCACATGCCTATAGTCCCAGCTACTCAGGAGGCTGAAGCAGGAGAATCACTTGAACCTGGGAGGCAGAGGTTGCAGTGAGCTGAGATCGCACCATTGCACTCCAGCCTGGGCAACAAGAGCAAAACTCCATCTCAAAAAAAAAAAAATTACCTAATATCACTATGGATTCTTGGATACCTATTGTATTCTATGGATTACAATCCATTGCTATTGTTATTTATTTTGTTGCTCAATGTGTCCGAGGTTTGGCCATTTGGAGCACCTTCAGGTTGGATCTTGGGTTCTTTTTGCATACTCCTATCATTTTATGAGCACATTATTACTTTCTGAGACCACAAAATGTTCCAGGCTAATCGTATATTTTCTTGCTCCAGCTCTGTGATTAACTATATCTCCAAGGAACTGTGATTATTTTCACTGAATAATGACATATAGATGAGAGATGTGTTTATTGCTGCTGCAGTGTCATTGGTTCTAGGCTCTTTCAATGGACACAGCTAGGTGATTCAGTACACTGAATGTAAACAATAATAGTGAAATGTACTTAAAAAAAAAAAGACATCAGCAAAGTGGTGGAATAGGATGCTCCTGACTTTCCCTTCTCCCGTGGATGCACCAAATAAACATCTACACGTGGACCAATTCCCTCTGAGAGAAAGCCAGAAACTGAAAGATTCTTATATACTGGGCAACTGAGAAAATATCCACATTAAAACAGGTAGAAAAAGCTGAGACACACTCAAGCATAAACCCCACCACAGGTACAATACCTCACAGTTGGGGAAGGAATCTCCAAATCCCAGCTTCTCCCTGAGGAGTGAAGGATTTGGACCACACATAGGACCCTAGCTTTTATGGTTCTTCCCAGAGGGTTTGGGTTTTAAATCAAACCCTGGGAGCAGAAGGGACTTGGCATTCACAAGTTTCCCTGGACTGCAGAGAACAAAGAGGTGGTTTTGAATTGGTGTACAAGCACTTCCAACAGCTATAGCCCTCAGGATCAGTCTATAGAGCAAAGGTGAAAATGCCCAACTCCCACTTTCTCCCTGGAAAGAGTTTGTCTGCACACTTTTCCAGCTGCTGCTTGAGGGTTGGGCTTCTGGCCAGCCTATATCTGGGAGCCAACAGGACAGATAAACAACGGACCTCCAAGAGCCTGAATGGAGTATGGCCTTCTGCGCCTTCTCCCTTGGTTCACTCTAGCAATAAATTAGGTATGCAGATTCACCCTAGAAAAAGTCTGTGCACACATCAGTGACTCAACTTTTGGAGTTCCCACCCAAGGGCCTGGCCCCTAAATCACCTAGCTCTGGGAGCAGAAGGGACTCGACACTCACAAGTTTCTCTCAACCTCAGAGAACAAAGAGATGATTTTGAACAGGCATGTAAGCACTTCTAGTGGCTGTAGCCCCCATGATCAGTCCAGAGAGAAAGGGCTAAAATGCTCAGCCCCCAGTTTCTCCCTGGAAGAGGTTTGTTTGCACATTTTTCCAGCTGCTGCCTGAGGGTCAGGCTTCTAACTAGCTTGCACAAAAGAAGACAGCAAGAGAGAAAAAGAGGGATAAAAGAACCACAAGATAAGCAGAAAACAGTTAACAACATGGCAATAGTAAATCCTCTCATATCAGTAATTATGTTAAATGTAAATGGACTGAACACAAGAGAAAAAAATACAGAGTGGCTGGCTGAATGGACTTTAAAAAAAAATCCAGCTATTTATTGTCTAAAAGAAACTCAGTTTACATTTAAGGACACATATAGGCTAAAAGGGAAAAGATCAATTGAGAAATTCCATGCAAATGGTAGCCAAAAGAAAGCAGAAATGGCTAAACATATCAGACAAAGTAGACTCTAAGTCAAAAACTGTCTTTAGAAACAAAGAAGAGCATTACATAATAATAAAAGATTCAGTTCAATAGGAAGATATAACAATTTTAAATATATACACACTCAAAATCACAGCACCCAAGTATATAAAGCAAATATTGACAGATTTGAAAAGAGTAATTGACAGCAACCCAATAATGGTAGGGGACTTCAATACCCCACTTATAATCATAGATAGAAAATTCAGACAGAAAATCAGTAAAGAAACAGTGAACTTGAACAAGACTACAGACGAAATAGACTTAACAGACACACACAGAACTTTTCAACCAACAGCAGAATACACATTTTTTCAAGTATACACAACACATTCTCCAGGATACTTCATGTGTTAAGTTACATAACAAGTCTTAAAAAACTGATGAAAATTGAAATCATATCAAGTATTTTTTTCTGACCACAATGGAATGAAACTAGAAATCAGTATCAGCAATAAAATGGAAAAACTCACAAATACATGGAAACTAAATAACTTACTCTTGAACAACCACTGGGTGAAAGAGGAAATCCAAAGAAAATTTTAAAAATATCTCAACACAAATGAAAACAAAAACATAACATACCAAAACTTATGGGATACAGCAAAAACAGTAATAAGAGGGAAGCTACAGTGATAGACACCTACATTAAAAAAGAAGAAACCAGCCTGGGCAACATGGTCACAACCCGTCTCTCCAAAAAATTTAAAAATTAGCCAGACGTGGTGGTGCACACCTGTAGTCCCAGTTACTCTGGAGGCTGAGGTGGGACGACTGCTTGAGCCTAGGAGTTGAAGGCTGTAGTGAGCTGTGATTGCGCCACTGCAATCCAGCCTGGGTGACAGAGCAAGACCCTGTCTCAAAATATATAGATAAATAATTAAAATAAATAAATACATAAATTTAAAAAATCTCAAATAACCTAACTTTATACCTCAAGGAACTAGGAAAAGAAAAATAAACTAAATCCAAATGTAGCAGAAGGAAGGAAGTAATAAATATCAGAGCCAAAACAAATTAAATAGATAATAGAAAAACTATTTTAAAAAGTTAACAAAACTAAGAGTTGTTTTTTTGAAAAAATAAACAAGTCAACAAACCCCTAGCTAGGCTAACTAAGAAAAAAGACAGAAGACACAAATAAATAAAATCATAAATGAAAGAGGAAAGGTTACAATGAATGCTTCAGGAACAAAAAAGATCATAAGGGACTATTTTGAGCAATTATATGCCAACAAGTTGGATAATCTAGAGGAAATTGATAAAGTCTTAGAAATACATGACTACCAAGATTGAATCAAGAAGACATAGAAAGCCTGAACAGATCAATTACAAACAGAGACTGAAGTAGTCATAAAAAATCTCCCGGCTGGACGCGGCAGCTCATGCCTGTAATCCCAGCACTTTGGGAGGCCGAGGTGAGTGGATCACGAGAGGTCAGGAGTTCGAGACCAGCCTGGCCAACATGGTGAAACCCATCTCTACTAAAAATACAAAAATTAGCCAGGTGTGGTGGTGGGCACCTGCAATCCCAGCTACTCGGGAGGCTGAGGCAAGAGAATTGCTTGAACCCAGGAGGCAGAGGTTGCAGTGAGCAGAGATTGTGCCATTGCACTCCAGCCTGGGTGACAGAGTGAGACTCCATCTCGGAAAAAAAAAAAAATCTCCCAACAAAGAAAAGCCCATGATGACATGGCCTCACTGGTAAATTCTACCAAACATTCAAAGAAAAATTAATACCAATCCTTCTTAAACTCTTCCAAAAAACAGAAATAGAGGGAATACTTTCAAACTCATTTTATGAGGCCAGTATCGCCCTAATCCCAAAGTCAGAAAAAGACAATACAAGAAAAGAAAACAACAGGCAAATATCTCTGATGGATATAGATGCAAAAATCCTCAATAAAACATTAGCAAACCAAATTCAACAACACATGAAAAAAATTATACATCATTGCCAAATGAGACTTATGGGATGCAAGGTTGACTTAACATACACAAATCAATGTGATGTACCACATTAAGAGAATGAAAGAAAAAAAATCACATGATCAGCTCGATAGATGCAGAAAAAGCATTTGATAAAGTTCAACATTCTCCCACAATAAAAAACTCTCAAATAATAGGTAGAGAATGAAATTTCCTCAACATAATAAAGGCCATTTATGAAAAGCCCACAGCTAATATCATAATGAATGAGAAAAACTGGGCCAAGCGTGGTGGCTCATGCCTATAGCTCATGCCTTAGCACTCTGGGAGGCTAAGTAGGGAGGACTGCTTGAGCCCCGGGAGGTCGAGGCTGCAGTGAGCCATGATTGCGCCACTGCACTCCAACCTGGGCAACAAAATGAGACCCTGTCTGAAAAAAAAAGGAAAAGAAAAACTGAAGATTTTTCCTCTAAGATCTGGTACAAAGCAAGGATGCCCATTCTTGCTACTTTTATTCAACACAGTATTGGAAGTACTAGGAAAAGCCATCAGACAAGAAAAAGAAATAAAAGGCATCCAAATCAGAAGTGAAGAAGTAAAAGTATCCTTGTTTGCAGATGCCATAACCTATATATACAAAACCCTAAAGACTCCACACACACACACACCAAAAAAAAAAAAAAAAACCTGCTAGAACTCATAAATGAATTCAGTAAAGATGCAGGATACAAAATCAACAAACAAAAATCAGTTGCATTTCTCTATACCAATAAAGACCTATCTGAAAAAGAAATTTAAAAACAATCCCATTTAAAATGGCATCAACATTCCCTGAACAGACCATAACAAGCTCTAAAATTAAATCAGTAATAAATAGGCTACCAATTAAAAAAAAAAAAAAAAAGGCCAGGACCAGACAGATTTACAGTCGAATTCTACCAGATGTACAAAGAAGGGGTGGTACAATTCCTACTGAAACTATTTCTAAAAATTGTAGAGGAGGGACTCCTCCCTAACTCATTCTATGAGGTCAGCATCATCCTGATACCAAAACCTGGCAGAGACACACACAAAAATAAAACTTCAGGCCAATATCCTCAAAGAACATTAGTAAAAAATCCTCAACAAAATACTTGCAAACTGAATCCTGCAGCACATCAAAAAACTAATCCACCACAATCAAGAAGGCTTTATCCCTAGGATGCAAGGTTGGTTCAACACATGCAAATCAATACATGTGATTCATCACATAAACAGAACTAGACGAAAACCACATGATTATCTCAATAGATGCAGAAAAAGCTTTTGATAAAATTCAACACCCCTTCATGTTAAAAGCTCTCAATAAACTAGGTATTAAAGGAATATATCTCAAAATAAGAAAAGCCATCTATGACAAACCCACAGCCAACATCATACTGAATGGGTAAAAGCTTGATGCCTTCTCTTTGAAAACAGGCAAAAAAACAGGGATACCCTCTCTCACCATTCCTATTCAACATAGTATTGGAAATCCTGGCCAGAGCAATCAGGCAAGAGAAAGAAAGAAAGGGCATCCAAATAGGAACAGAGGAAGTCCAACTACCCCTGGTTGCAGACAATATGATTCTATATCTAGAAAACCCCACAGGGTCAGCCCAAAAGCCCCTTCGGATGATAAACAACTTAAGCCAAGTTTCAGGACACAAAATTAATATACAAAAATCACTAGCATTCCTATATGCCAACAATAGTCAAGCCAAGAGCCAAATCAGGAATGCGTCCCATTCACAATTGTCACAAAAAGAATAAAATACCTAGGAATACAGCTAACTAGGGAGGTGAAAGATCTCTACAATGAGAATTACAATGATTTCTCCAAGAAATCAGAGATGACACAAACAAATGGAAAAACATTTTATGTTGGTGGATAGAAAGGATCAATATTGTTTAAATGGCCATACTGCCCAAAGCAATTTACAAATTCAATGCTATTCCCATCAAGCTACCAATGACATTCTTCACAGAACTAGAAAAAAACTATTTTAAAATTCATATGGAACCAAAAAAAGCTCAAATAGCCAAGACAATCCTAAGCAAAAAGAACAAAGCTGGAGGCATCACATTACCTGACTTCAAACTATACTATAGGGGTACAGTCACCAAAACAGCATGATACTGGTACAAAAACAGGCACATGGACCAATGGACCAGAATAGAGAGCTCAGAAGTAAGGCCAGACACTTACAACCATCTGATCTTTAGCAAAGCTGACAAAAACAAGCAATGTGGAAAGGACTCCCTACTCAATAAATGGTGCTGTGTTAGCCATATGCAGAAGATTGAAGCTGGACCCCTTCCTTAAGCCATATACAAAAATCAACTCAAGATGAATTAAAGACTTAAATGTAAAACCCAAAACTATAAAAATCCTGGAAGACCACCTATTCAATACCATACTGGACATAGGAACTGGCAAAGATTTCATGATGAAGACACCAAATGAATTTGCAACAAAAGCAAAACTTGACAAATGGGATTTATTTAAACTAAAGAACTTCTGCACAGCAAAAGAAGCTATCAATACAGTACTATCAATACTATCAGTATAGTAAACTATCAATACAGTAAATTATCAATACAGTAAACAACCTACAGAATGGGAGAAAATATGCATCTGACAAAGGTCAATGTCCAGCTTCTATAAGGAACTTGAGCAAATTTACAAGAGAAAACAAACAACCCCATTAAAACATAGGCAAAGGACATGAACAGACACTTCTCAAAAGAAGACATACAAGCGACCAACAAGCATATTTTAAAAAGCTCAATATGACTGAGCATTTGAGAAATGCAAATCAAAACCACAATGAGATACCATCTCACACCAGTCAGATGGCTATTATTAAAAAGTCAAAAAACAACAGATACTGGCAAGGTTGAGGAGAAAAGGGAACACTTATACACTGCTGGTGGGAGTGTAATTAATTCAACCATTGTGAAAAGCAGTATGGCAATTTCCCCAAAGAGCTAAAAGCAGAACTCTCATTCAACCCAGCAATCCCATTACTGGGTATATATCCAGAGGAATATAAATCATTCTACCATAAAGACATATGCACACATTATGTTCATTGCAGCACTATTCACAATAGCAAAGACATGGAATCAACCTAAATGCCCATCACTGACAGATTGGATAAAGAAAATGTGGTACATACACACCATGGAATACTATGCAGCCATAAGAAAGAACAAGATCACATCCTTTGCAGGAACATGGACAGAACTGGAGGCCATTATCCTTTGCAAACACACCAAGGAACAGAAAATCAGATATCACATGTTCTCGCTCATAAACAGGAGCTAAGGCCAGGCGCGGTGACTCACACCTTAATCCCAGCACTTTGGGAGGCCAAGGCAGGTGGATCACTTGAGGCCAAGAGTTGGAAACCAGCCTGGCCAACATGGCGAAACCCTGTCTCTACTAAAAATACAAAAACAAAAAATAGCTTGGCGTAGTGGTGCACACCTGTAACCCAGCTATTTGGGATTACAAGAACCGCTTGAACCTGGGAGGCAGAGGCTGCAGTGAGCCAAGATAGCACCACTGCATTCCAGTGAAACTCCTGTCTCAAAAAAAAAAGAAAAAAAAAAGAAAAGAAAAATATTATTTCCATTTAGAAAAAAAGTTAAAAATAATAAAATAGGCTGGGCACAGTGGCTCACGCCTGTAATCCCAGCACTTTGGAAGGCCGAGGCAGGTGGATCACCTGAGGTTGGGAGTTTGAGACCAGCCTGACCAACATGGAGAAACCCCATCTCTACTAAAAATACAAAATTAGCCGGGCATGGTGGCGCATGCCTGTAATCCCAGCTACTCGGAAGGCTGAGGCAGGAGAATCACTTGAACCCGGGAGGCGGAGGTTGCGGTGAGCCGAGATTGCGCCACTGCACTCCAGCCTGGGCAACAAGAACAAAACTCTGTCTCAAAAAAAAAAATTTTTTTTTAATAAAATAAATGAGAGCTAAATGATGAGAACACATGCACACATAGAAGAGAACAACAGTCACTGGCGCCTACTTGAGGGTGGAGGGTAGGAGGACAGAGAGGATCAGAAAAAATAACTATTGGGTACTAGGTGTAGTACCCAGGTGACAAAATAATCTGTACAACAAACCTCCATGACACAAGTTTACCTATATAACAAACCTGCACATGTACCCCTGTACCTAAAAGTTATTTTTTTAAAAAAGAACTCTTCTCAGACCAAGAACCATCTATAAGTCATGTTCATTAAAATTATCTGTTGTGTATTTAAGTAAATAAATAAAACAGCATCAACAAGAATAAAATACTTAGGAATAAATTTAACCAAGGAAGTAAAAGATCTGTATACTGAAAACTATAAAACATTGATGGAATAAATTGAAGAAGACACAAATAAATAGAAAGATATCCTGTGCTAGCAAGAGAAAGAACTAAAAAAAAGTTTAAAAATTAATATTGTTAAACTGTCCGTATGATATCATTTGAATGTGTGTCCCCTCCAAATCTCATGCTGCAATATAATCTCCAATATTGGCGGTGGGACCTAGTGTGAGGTGTTTGGGTCATGGGGGTGGATCCTTCATGAATAGCTTGGTTTCCTCCTCACGATGAGTGAGTTCTCTGAGTTCATGCAAGATCTGGTTGTTTTAAAAGAGCGTGGCACCTCCCTCCCTTCTCTCTCTCTCTCTTTCTCTCCTTTCTCTCTTTCTCTCTCTCTCTCTCACTTTCTCTCCTTTCTTTATCTCTTTCTCTCTCTCTCTCCCACTCCCTCTCTCACCATGTGATATGCGATATGCCTGTTCCTCCTTCACCTTCCACCATCACTGTAAGCTTCTTCACCAGAAATTGAGTAAATGCTGGTGACATGCTTGTACTGCCTGCAAAGCCATCAGCCAAAATAAACCTCTTTTCTTTATAAATTACCCAGCATCAGGTATTCTTTTATAGCAATGCAAATGCACTAACACACATTACTCAATGCTATATACAGATTCAATGCAATCTTATCAAAATTCCAATGGCATTTTTAACAGAAATAGAAAAAATAATTTTAAAATTATTATGGTACCAAAAAAATTCCAAATAGCCAAAACAATTTTGAGAAAGAAAAAATAAAGTTGGAGGTATCACACTTCCTGATTTCAAATTATATTACAAAGCTACAGTAATCAAGACAGCATGGTACTGGCATTAAAACAGGAACATACACCAATGGATTAAAACAGAGAGCCCAGAAATAAACTCAAGCATATATGGTCAGCTAATTTTCAAGAAGTCCACCAAGAAGAAAAAATGGGGGAAAGGATTGTCTCTTCAATAAATGGTGCTGGGAAAACTAGAAGTCCATATGCAAAAGAATGAAATTAGACCTTTATCTTATACAATACACAAAAATCAACTCAAAATGGATTAAAGACCTAAACATAAGACTTGAAACCAAAAAACTCCTGGAAGAAAACATAGGGGGATCACTTCTTGATATTGACCTTGACAATTAATTTTTTTTATATGGCATCAAAAGCACAGGCAACAGAAGCAAAAATAAACAAGTGGGACTGTATCAAACTAAAAAGCTTCTGCACAGCAAAGGAAACAATCAAGAAAATGAAAAAATAACCTACAGGCTATAAGAAAATATTTGCAAACCATACAGCTGATAAGGAGTTAATATCCAAAATATATAAGGAACTCTTACAACCTAACAGCTAAAAAAAAGATAATTGGATTAAAAATAGGCAAAGGACTGGAATAGATATTTTTCCAAAGACGACATAAAAATGCCAACAGGTATATGAAAAGGTACTCAACATCACTAACCATCATGGAAATGCAAATCAAAACCACAATGACATATCACCTCCCACCTGTTAGGATAGCTATTATCAAAAAGACAAGAGATAACAAGTGTTGGCAAGGGTGTGGAGAAAAGGGAATCCTTGTACACTGTTGGTGGGAATGTAAATCAGTATAGCCATTATAGAAAACAGCATGAAGGTTTCTCAAAAAATTAAAAATAGAACTACTATTAGTATTTTGTTGGATATGGCCCAACAATCCCTCTAGTGGGTATACACCCAAAGGAAATGAAATCAGCACCTCAGAGAGATATCTACATTCCCATGTTCATTATAGCATTATTCATAACAGCCACATATAGAAATAACTTGTGCCCATCAAAGAATGAATGGATAAACAAATTGTGGTACATACTGTTTAGCTCTTAAAAAAAAAAAAGGAAGATCAGGTGTAGTGGCTCACACCTGTAATCCCAACACTTTGGGAGGCTGAGGTGGGAGGACTGCTTGAGCCCAGGAATTCAAGACCCTGGGCAACATAGTGAGACCCTGTCTCTACAAAAAAAATTTTTTTTTAATTAGCTGGGCATGGTGATGTGCACTTGTAGTTGCAGCTACTTGGGAGGCTGAGGTGGGAGGATCACTTGAGCCCAGGAGGTTGAGGCTGCAGTGAGCCGTGATCAAACCACTGCACTCCAGCCTAGGTGACAGATTGAGACCTCATCTCAAAAGAAAAGGAGATACTGCCATTTGTGACAACACAGATGAAGCTGGAGGACATCATGCTAAGTGAAATAAGTCAAACATAGAAAAATACTGCATGATTTCATTTATATATGGAATGTAAAAAAAAGTCAAATACATAGAAACAGTAGAATTGTAGCTAGCAGGGGCAGGGAGGGAGGAAATGGGGAGAAGTAAGTCAAAGGGCACAAACTTGCAGTTATATAGGATAAATAGTCTAGAAATTGAATGTACACCAGAAAGACTATAATTTACAATATTGTATGTTGAAGATATGCTAAGAGAGTAAATTTTAGATGCTCTTACCATAAAAAGAGGTAACTATGGAAGGTGTTGAATATGTTAATTTGATTACCTGTAGTAACCATTTCACTCTCTACATGTATATCACAACACCATGTTGTACACCTTAAACTATACAATAAATGTTCATCTTTAAAAAAAAAACTTCATAAGGTACAATGTGACTTTTTATTTGTCAGAACAGAAAAGTCTGTATCCAGTTCATCCTAAAGCCATATCAACTAGGGTTTAACTAGAACTTAAGTTGTATAATAGTGGAACATAGACCTGTTTTGTACCATTTGATGCTGGACTTTGACATATCAAAGTTGGAAGACCATGCCCTGGATACTTTGCTTCTCACATTCCTCCATTTGAAGGTTTTCACAGATTATAGCCAAGGCAGGAAAAGAAATGTAGCCTGGCCCCTACTCTATGCCCTTTGAGAACTGTTTCTCTTCATTCCTTATAATATCTCTGCTCCCAGCAAAAGAGTCTAAGGTACCTGATGCATGGGTGGGCCCCAGTGAACCACACTTTGTTGTATTCACACCCTTGTGTAATACTCTCACCTTAAAAAAAATCTCTGCTGGTCCTATGACTTGCTTTAACTAATGAGATGCAATGGAAATGATGCTATGCAGTTCCAGGCCTAAGCCTTAAGAAGGCATGGCAGCTTCCACTTGTGTTCTCTTGGGAGCTGTTAGCCACCATGTTAAAGCCCAGCTGCTATGGCTACGTGAGGAGGAAGAGAATCCAAGACTACATGGAGAGGGAGGGAGAGAGAGATTGAAGACCAGTCCGCAGCCAACTCACCAGCTAAATGCAGCCTTAGGAGTAAACACTGGAAAGCTATCAGAAGAACCTCCCAACTGAGCCCATCCCAGATTATAAAAACATGAGTAAAAAAAAAAAAAAAAAAAAAAACAAAAAAAAAACAAATCATGGCTATTGTTTGAAGGCACTATGTTTAGCGGCAGTTGTTATATAGCAATAACTAACTAGTACAGTGCCTTAAGTTGGATCATGTCACATTCTGGCACCTTGGAAAAAACCTTACCATTTTAGTAAATCTGGTGGTACCCTGGAACAGGGAGGACAAACAGAACCTCAAGTTCAAAAATTACAGTAATAATAAAATATGCCCAAACACCACAGCCAGAAGATTCAGGATAAGAGAAAACAGTAAGACTTCAAGGATATCAAAAAGCCCCCTCCACCCCCTAAAAATAAATTTTCCTACCAGCAACTAATCTGCCTATCTGAATTCCTTTGCTTTGTTCATTTGATATTTACGGAGCCTTTGCCAGGTTCTAGGTGTACAAACACACAATCCTAGACTTTTATTCCAATGAAAATATAAGCATGGTGAGTGCTCACATGTTTATCTGTTTTTAGTCATTTGTACCTTCAAGAAAAACGGGGTAAAAGGACAAGCATGGCCAGAGGGAAAGGGAGAGAGACCTTGAACACACAGGCTTCTTGGAGAACCTACAGCCAGCTCCACCCAACAATGCAGAATGTGTGACTGATACTTTTGCCAAGGGCTGTTCAAGCAATCATTATTTAAAAATTTGTTATTTGTCCCTGAAGAGCTGCTGAGCCTCTGCATTCTAACCTATCCTGAGTGAAATAAATGGAAGGCAAAGAAATTTTTATAGGATATAGAGAAAGGGGGAGGGGACATAAAAAGCTACTTTTTTGTTCCCCTTGTCACATTGGCTTTGAGATATTCTTCCCTCCTTGAAAAAATCATCTTGAGACCCTCTCTCCCCTGAAACTAAGGTTTCACTGGAGAATGCCCTATGAAGCAGCAATAGTAATAATAATAATCAACACGACAGTGATTAATTTTTATTGAGCATCCACTATGTGCCAGGTACTTTGTTTTTAATGCTTAACTAGCATAATGTTTAGAGATGATGGGGGCCTGGCAGTATGTCATGGAGAAGGACACTAAGAGCTATGCAAAAACTTTAGTGCACTGGCCGCCTCAACTGAAGGCAGCAACCTTAAAAGTGTCATTTGATTCACATTTCTATTGTGAGATGTTCAGATATACTTTCCATTTGTTGGATTCCTAATGTAATAACAATGTCAATACATCAATAACAATATAATAATTGCTGCCATTTCTTGAACACTCAAAAGCCAGGGAAATTGCCTCATTTTGTTCTCAAAACAACCCTGAGAGGGTGCTACAATGTGCCGCATTTTCCAAGTGAAGAAACTTGGGCTCAGTGAGGCCCTGGGGCTAGTAAATAATGGCATCAGTTTTGGGGCCCAACTGTCTATACCTTTCCCCTTCACTAACCTGTGTCTGTCTATCAATCAAGTAGCCTAAAATGAATGTTATTACATAGAAAGACCTAAAGTAGGGACTCTTAATCTGGGGCCATAACTTCAGGGGTTCTGTTAAATCCTGAAATTAAATGTCTGAACCATGTATATATGTGAATTTGGTGAGGGGGTTATCTATCTCTTTTCTTAGTCATAAAGGATTCCCTGATTCCAAATAAGGCTAAAACCCTAATTAAAATGAAGGCCACACTAGAAAATATAATACCGCAGTTCAAACTGGGTGTTAACAGATGGAGGCAGGAAATGCCTCAATATGTGTAATTATGGCTGGCTGTTCATCTGCACCTGCCTCTAAAACTCACTGCATCAAGAAAGAGCCCATTTCTTTATCCACATAATGGCCTTACACAAAGCATAGCTGGGTTTGTTCAGAGTGAAGTTAAACCTGCTTTGCACCAGTTACAGGGCAAGCTGTGCTGTGTCTTGGCCCAGCAGAAAATCCAGGATGAACCCAGGGATTGTTCATGCACAGTAGCTTGGAAATAGAAGGGTTAATGCATGGCTGCTGCAGATTTCCTCTGGGCTCATTTTTCTACAGACAGGGAGTAGATTCTGATTCTGATCCAAATAAAAATTAGATCATTTATTCCATTTCTGAAAACCTGGCAGGAAAACCTTTGTTTAGACACATTCATTAGGCAAACTGAATATTTTCAAAATATAAATTTGAGGCAGATTTCCGAGTCTTGTGTGAGCCCGTGACTCGATCTTGCTTTTCAACCTCATTGCAGAATAAGCCACTGACCACCTGCAGTCATTGCTTTCTCCTGTCCACACTGACTGGAAGGTGTTTGCTGATAATGTTGGAAGAACTCAAGTTCTTGTTGGAAACTCATCTCAGTGAAAAAGGCAAATGCTAGACCTTTTCCTGAAGAAAAGTGGGGAGAGCAGACTGTTGTGTCTTTATTTAGGCACAAGCAAGAAGGAAGGGGCCAAATAACAAACACCAGCTAAGCTCTTTTCTTCCTCCTGCCTGGTGAAGAGCTCATGTGAGTTTGAGATACAGGTAGGCTCATGTATTGCCCACAGAAGGATGATTCAGTGAGCCACACCCAGACTCATCATTATGTCATCCTCTTAAACAGCAGACACGTTCCCTCCAAACGCATTGCTCATGACAGTGCACTGGCAGTGTGGGAGGATGGGTGCTCATACTCCTCCTCAGGACTGAAATCCCAAATGTCATCTAACAAGATGCAGAGGAAAACACCACACCCTCTTCTACACCTTTCCGCTTGCCTGGATTTTTAACATCTTCACACAGATTGAGCATGGTGGTGAGCAGTAGTAAGAACTTACTAAGTCCATGTTGAGTGGGTAACTTATACAGTTCACTATACGAATTACTTTGAGCTATTCCACCTTATGTTCAAGCTATTCTAAATTTTAGTGTTCCTAAATATGCTCTAAAAATGAAAACTCTTGTAAAACCCCTTACCTCACTTCAGATTATCTAAACTGTGGGGAAAAGATAAAAATTACACTCCACTAACCCCAAGACCCTCTTCTAATGGAGGCCTTCTATGGTAGTTTGGATTACTGCTCCCAACTTTGTATTCCCTCCCTGTAACAGGAGTATAAATCCACAGCCTTTGCCATTTGACTTTGCAATAGAATTTTCAAAGTCCAATTGACTTTAGGCTTACCCTTGTGACTTGTTTTGACCAATAGAATGTAAATAGAAGTGACAGCGTATCTGTTATGAGCAGAAGTTTTAAGAGGCACGGCAAGCTTCTACCAGCAACTATTATGCTTCAGTCATTCACCATGCAAAAAGCACGTCTCAGATAACTGCTGTTTTTTTAGCATGGCCCCCACATACATGAAGCAGACCTGAATCAAGTCCAAAGCCTGATTTGTTATTGCAGCTAAAGCTAATATATCTTCCAAATCCAATGCATCAACAAATTATTCTGTAAATTATAAACCATAAGGCTTCATAAAGGGGTAGGACACTTGTCCATCTCTGCTCCTAACATACAACCAACAAAAAGAGGTACCCTTATCAAAATACCCAGTGCTATGTCAGTTCATTTGAAAATAGCATTCTATTTCATCCCCCTGTGTGACTTCAGGGAAAGTGTCCCTGGCAGTCATTTCAAAATTGTTAGCTTAAATTTTTCTCCTTTAAACCTATATAGAAAAGAAAGTTAACAACAGTTTTATTTCTAGAAGTCTTTTGATACACTCGATTAGGGTGGTTTACAATCCCCATCACTAAAGCTTACCAGTCTTTTATTTACCTCCCTCTGTACATGAGAAATTTATAGCTGTTGTAGTCAGTCCTGAAATAAGTATACAGTGTAAGGATGCTATATATTACCAGCTGATCAAAGGAAGACAAAGAAATGAATAAAAGGCAAGAAATGACTAAAGCTCCCAATAAGACAAATGATTTGATAACACGAGAAATGGAGCAGAGAATGCCAAGTCTTGATGGTGATTTCTCAGAGCCTTCATAACTCCATATGTTCTTCATTATATTAACCTGTTGTCATATTTATCAGTCTCTGAGTTTCCCCTTTTTCCTCCATTTTTGTTTCTCTACTTCTTTTACAGAAGATTCAATAACGTTGAGCTGCTTTCACCTTAAGAAGCTATGAATTGTTGGGTTCTGTTTAGTTCCTGGTATAACTGGGAACAATTGAATTTGAACAGCAATTTGGTTTTCACATCTTTTATTTATTAAAGTTCTTCGAAATATAGAAAGTAAAAGGGCAAAAACAGTTTTACATAATATACAAAATGTCAAAAACAGAAAAAAAAATGAAGATAAAGAAAAAATAGAAATAGGCCAGGCATGGTGCCTCACGTCTGTAATCCCAGCATTCTGGGAGGCCGAGGCAGGCAGATCATCTGAGGTCAGGAGTTCAAGACCAGCCTGGACAACATGGCGAAACCCTGTCTCTACTAAAAAGATAAAAATTAGCCAGGCATGTTGGCCGCACCTGTAGTCCCAGCTACTCAGGAGGCTGAGGCACGAGAATCGCTTGAACCTGGGAGGCGGAGGTTGTGGTGAGCCGAAATTGCACCACTGTACTCCAGCCTGGGCAACAGAGCAAGACTCTATCTCAAAAAACACAGAAATAGAATAAAAATATGAGTTTAATTCTATCTAGAGAGTTTCAGTTTTTATGTCTGTTTATGACTAATGTATATTTCTTATCTGAAGAAATGTTAGTCCAAATGTTAGTCCATAAATATGATTGATAGAGGGTTTATCTATTTAATAAATAGACCCAGTGATTATGTAACTAATGTTCAGAAAGAAGGAAAGTGTTTGCTTTAGTCTCCACTTAAAATGTAAGAAAAGCAAAGGAGTAGATACCCTGAATTGCTGCAGTCCTATATATAAATGGTTGGGCATCAACATAGGGGAAACTATTACTTGCTCTGTTCCTGGCACACAAAGGTGTGTTCAGGTTGTTATGAGTGCACTTATCTGTGCATTATAACATACTTCAATAAAAAGGGCTTTTATAAAAAATAAAACTAGGGAACAAATAAAAAACTAATGCCTGGTCATTTTCTTCCCTGGGGTTTAATAGACAATGTACTTATGAACTAACCAATAGTGCTCAAAAACGAAAGAATTTCCAAAAAAGAAAAAAAAATGCAGAAAGTTTAATAATTCACTATTTAGAAAATCCTTCCTGCACATACAGTTCCCTCTTGTGTACAAACGGATGGAAACAGTGGTGTGTATTATCCAAGGCATATACAGTTTTTGCCATCTCTTACCAGGTTTGGAAATCCTAGAGTGGCTCTTTCCTCCTGGGCACGATATCTGCAACCCTAGTTACTCTTCTTGGTGGTTCAGGAATCAGATTCTCAAGTCAAAGTGTGAAGGTTCAATTCCCAGCTCCGTCACGTCAAAGCTATACAACCATGGGCAGGTATATAGCTAATTATACCTCGGCTTTGTCAGCTATTAAACGGGAATAATAATACTACCTACTTCAGGAGATTATTGCAAAGAATTATGTACCCAGCATCTAGGAAGTGTTCAATACATATTCATTATCATCATAACTTCTATGGTAACGGTTCAATATAAAATACATAAATAATTGCAAGAAGAAGAAATAGCACCTAAATCTTCCCAAACTGACATTTCTATAAAAATAAAAAATAGATGGCTGAAGTGTTCATAGGGAAAGTGTATTGATGTTTGCAACTTACTTTAAAATGTAGCAAAAAATAAGCTGAATTGATGAATGAGTAGCAGGATCAATAGATGGACAGATGTGTGATAAAATAAATATGCTGAAATGTTCATTGTAGAATCTAGGTGATGGCTATGTCGATGTTCATAGGACAATTTTTCAATTTTTCTGTATATAAATGCTGGAACAACACAAAAAATCTGAAAAAAGTAAATGGCATAAATATTTAAATTCTATATAATTACTAGGTATAAGGAGAGATGCTGTACTGTACAACTTCAAGTGAAATATGAACATCTAATTATGGATGTGTTACCTTTCCAGACTTAAGTAATGAACTTCAGTTTTCCTTTCTAATTTCAGGAAAACCTTTACTCACCCTAAATTCTTCTATCTTGTTAGGTGGTCCAATGAATGCTTCCTTCTCATTCTGCTTATAAGCAGATTTTGTGTTCAATGCCTTCTTCTTACACAAAGTGGTAAGAGCTATGAACCCTACCCTGGCTTATTTTACCTCCAAGAAAGTAAGAGAAGGAATGTGGGAACCTTTCTTTTTTCATAGCCCAATGGGGCCGGGTGCAGTGGCTCACGCCTGTAATCCCAGCATTTTGGGAGGCCAAGGCGAGCAGATCACAAGGTCAGGAATTCGAGACCAGCCTGGCCAACACGGTGAAAACCCATCTCTACAAAAATACAAAAATTAGACAGGCGTGGTGGCGGGTGCCTCTAATCCCAGCTACTCAGGAGACTGAGGCAGGGGAATCGCTTGAACCCAGGAGGCGGAAGTTGCAATGAGCCAAGATCACACCATTGCACTCCAGCCTGGGCAACAGAATGAGATTCTGTCACACACAAACACACACACACACACAAAATATATATATATATATACACACACACATATATATATATACACACACACATATATATGTATATGTATATATATGTATATATATATATATACATATATATATAGCCCAATAGGCATGATCCAATTATCCCAGAGAACCAAGCTATTTATACTTTATCCATCCTCAAATTAGGCAAATTCTAAGGCTATTCAAATGCAAGAGTACATTAATTCTCCATAAAGAAATGTGGGCCAGGCACTGCGGCTCACGCCTGTAATTCCAGCACTTTGGGAGGCCAAGGCAGGTGGATCACGAGGTGAGGAGTTCAAGACCAGCCTGGCCAACATAGTGAAACTCCATCTCTACTAAAAATACAAAAAATTAGCCGGGCGTGATGGCGCCTGTAATCCCAGCTACTCAGGAGGCTGAGGCAGGAGAATCGCTTGAACCCGGGAGGCAGAGGTTGCAGTGAGTGGAGATGGTGCCACTGCACTCCAGCCTGGGTGACAGTGCAAGACTCCATCTCAAAAAAAAAAAAAAAAAAAGAAAAGAAATGTCGGGTGGGGGTTGTTCTACTAATTATGAGTTATCCCTTTTTGTAAGGAGCTTTTTGTTTGGCCCATTATTGCCTGGACCAACAAAAGAAGAGAAATCTCTGGCAGACACAGTTGGTTTGCCTTACCAACAGCTCTCGCCTAACTGTGTTTATTGGCTCATAAGACCACCTACAGGCCAAAATTAAAATAGGGGCATGATGGAACCCAAGGAAGTTGTACTTGACTTCCCATTTCTCCTAGTTAAAATTAAGTGATTGAAAGCTGAAAATGCATAATAATTTGTATCACTTGTAGATGCCGTGGCAGTTGTAAAACATATCTAAAAATTCTTTGACTACCTCCCATCAAGAGACCCTAAAACTTAAAGTATAATTTAAAACAAAAAAAAAAACCTGCCACAAAAAAAAAAAAAAAAAAGAGATGGGATCTAGGTACGAGACATGAAAGAGAGGCTGAGAAAGTGACTCTGATTTTTCCAACATCTATAGTAAAAAATCTGCAAGGGATAAAAGGTTGGGAATGGCTCCTAGGTAGTCAACCAGAACAGTCTGCCACAAATATCTTTATAATAAATACAAAAGCAAATGACTATCTTATTGGTAGAGGGATAAGGAAGAGCATAGATATATTTTGCTAATTGCCTACCAGAAGACCATTTTGAGGGCTAGTAATTTATTAACACATGAAAACAATTCCTAGAAATTGAAATAAAATTACTGTAGTATAAATAATATAATCAACTTTTAATTTTTCTTTTTTTCTTTTCTTTTTTTCTTTTTTTTTTTTTTTGAGATGGAGTCTTGCTCTGTCGCCCGGACTAGAGTGCAATGGTGCGATCTCAGCTCACTGCAACCTCCACTTCCCAGGCTCAAGCGATTCTCCTGTCTCAGCCTCCCAAGTAGCTGGGATTACGGGCACCTGCCACCACACCCAGCTAATTTTTGTATTTTTAGTGGAGACAGGGTTTCACCATGTTGGCCAGGCTGGTCTCGAACTCCTGACCACAAATGATCCACCTACCTCAGCCTCCCAAAGTGCTGGGATTATAGGCGTGAGCTACCATGCCCAGTCAACTTTTTCTTACTTTATATAATTCTTGACTGTTTTTTATTGTGACACTCTGACATCAATGCGTCTCCCTATCTATAATTCTTGTTTTTGTTTTATTTGTTTTAATTGAGGTACACCATACATACAGTATAGAATGTACTCTAATATCAAGTGTGCAGCTCAATACATTTTGACATATGTACACACCAGGGTTGACACCAGCAAACCAAGATACAGGCTACTTCTAGCACCCAGAAGGTTCTCTCACGCCCCCTCTCTCAGTCAATACTCACCCTTAAAGATAATCACTATTCTGACTTCTATCATCATATATTAGTTTTGCCTCTTCTTGAACTTGTATCAATGAATCATATAGTCTGTAAGAGGTTAGTTTGTTGGTTTATGCTCTTTGGTTTTGACTGAGTAGTATTTCATTGTATGTATCTATTATAAATTTTTTATCCATTCTCCTATTCATGGCCATTTAGGTTGTTTCCAGTGTGGGACTATTATGAATAAGACCACTATAAATATTATTGTAATGCATTTCTTTTGGTGGATATGTGCACTCATTTCTCTTGGGTGGACACAGAAGTGGAATTTCTAGATCACAGGGCAGGTATATGTTCAGCTTTAGTAAATACTGCTGAGCCACTCTGCAAAGTAGCTATATTCCCCTATTTGTTTGCAGTTTCCAAGAGAAGGAATTAATATGCTCCCCAGTGCTACCTCTTCTCACCACTCCAGTACCTTCAAAGAGAAGTCTAATAACACATGGTCTTTCCTCTATGACCCACATCATTCTTCCAGCCTTTCTCTGTTGCTCTAGCTACTAAGACCAGCTTACAAGAACCTACACTGAGTACTTATGGCTCTCTCATGACTTAATAAAATCTAAGCAGACAAATGCAAATGATGTTTAGGTCTGTTTTAATTCTGTCTTATTTCAGGAACTTCAGTAACTTTCTTTTTCCTTCGGTTCATGTCTTTGTGGTTTAAAGAGGCGAATGCAACTAAACTATGGGCGCGTGGTGAAAATAAATGAGTAAAATTCTTTAGGCTTCCTGGGGACAGGAAGGAGGATGGGAGGAAACTGTAATAGAAATGTAATCATTATTGTAATCGGCCTGCAGTGCTATGAATAAGTCATAATTATCTCACAATCTGAGTTAGTGCAGTGATGCTTTCTATTGCCATGTCAACATGTGCATGTACTTATCAAGAAGACCCACGGAGCTGCTGCAATGCTGAATTCTCCAATCCCCGTTCTACATGCATGTTGATCTCGTGCTCCAGGAAAATGTTCAGAACCCGCAGGATTCTGGAGGCAGCCTTGCTCACACCATCCTCACCTTTCCCTATTCAGATCCCTACTGCTTTCTTGTGTGGAAACCATCACAGCATTCAACTGTAATAATGACCTATTTAAATAGCATTGGATGGGGGCCTATTTCTGACATTTGTGCAGGTGTGTTCTTAATTTAAACTTACACAAATCCCAGAAAAACGTCATATTCTCCTGGATATGGATGTTCCCAACCTCATCTTCATTCCTTTCTTCTGAGTTACCAGAGAATATTCTCCTCCACAGAAAAGAAAAGAAAACTGGAGAGGTATGATAATGGGAATGAAATCTGAAAAACTTTTGTGTTCATGAAATGGGCTGTTTTCAGTGTGCTAAATTGGATGCTGGAAGTTTCATTCTGGACCAGCTATTTTGTTGTTCCCAGAATTTTATTTTATTTTTTTGGTAAAAGACATTAAGGGATAATGCTAAACCAAAGATGTATATGGTGATTTCTGACAGATTGGGTGGTCCCTGGGATCAAAGGTCAGATGCTCTGTCTCTTCAGCATCAAAACTTCATCTGACACATGGTCCTTACTGGGCTCCAGACCAATTAAATGAGTCTCTGGAGGGGTCAGACCTGGGCATTAGTAGGTGTCTCAAGCTCCCCAGGTGATTCTAATGTATAGCCAGATATGAGAACCACTGCAGTCCCACCTGCCCTGCACTGTGAGCAATAAGAAAAAGGCAGCATCACCTACATTGTGATAGCCACATTCAAAATATCACCAATGTGATCTGCTTCCTTCTAAAATGCACTGATCAAAGGACAGGGTGAAGTGAAACACTAACTTTCACTGAAGCAAAACAGAACAGATTGAACACTAATGCATTTCACCAAAGTTACATTTCATCCAAACAAAGTGAGAGAGGAAACAAAGCAAGGATAATCAGGAAGAGAATGGCAGTGGCAGGCAGAGCAGCCAAGTGGGCTGCTCACAGGGGATATAACAGAAATTATCGGGGCTCATCCCAGTGCTCACCAGCTTCTCAAAGTATGAAGGTTCTGGCCGGGCGCAGTGGCTCACGCCTGTAATCTCAGCACTTTGGGAGGCCGAGGCAGGTGGATCACGAGGTCAGGAGATCGAGACCATCCTGGCTAACCCGGTGAAACCCCGTTTCTACTAAAAATACAAAAAATTAGCTGGGTGTGGTGGCGGGCACCTGTAGTCCCAGCTATTCGGGAGGCTGAGGCAGGAGAATGGCGTGAACCCAGGAGGCAGAGCTTGCAGTGAGCAGAGATCGTGCCACTGCACTCCAGCCTGGGCGACAGAGCGAGACTCCATCTCAAAAAAAAAAAAAAACCAAAGTATGAAGGTTTTGATGTGCTGACTTGGAAGAACTCCGATCTAGGCTACTTAACCAGAGCATGCGCCCTGATCAGTCTGAGACCATGAGTCTTGAGACACCAGCACAGCCCCTGAAACAAAAGAGTTTATTTATGTGCATGTTAATATGCTTTTTTAATAAAGTGAGAGGGGATTGAGCCCAGATAGAGGCAGGAATGAGAGGTGAAGGGAAAATGGAGAACATCTTGGTACTAGTTATCCAATGGGCCTCAGCAACAGAGCTTGAGTTCCAAATAAGAGAAGTGCAGGCCAAAACTGAAAGGACCATTTTCATTAAAGATCCTATGAGTTATGACTTGGGGGTAACAAAAGCAATTCTTAGGTCTCTCTGGTGACAAGGCACAACCCAGAGCTGGGGAACGGGTGGTCTCTGTACTCTGTAAAGCCTTACCATGGCTCCGAGGATGAGTGCCTCTGTGAGCATCAAAACAGCCCTTTTGGTGTTCTCACAAAAAGCACCAGAGGCAACGCAGTGGCAACCAGAGGCACCGTCAAGCAGCATGATGAACAAAAGCCATCAACTAGGAGGACTTGGAGAGTGAGAGAAACAGGATGGCTGACCCTGCACAGTGGTTCATGAGCACTTGCAAGCCTCCCTCTAATGACTAACAGAAATCCTTTGGGGGAGAAAGGGACATTATGAAGGCTGGGAGTCTCTCATGAGCTAGGAAATCTGGATGTTTACTGTTCATGCAAGTCCACCAGTATCTGAAGTGAGACCCAGGCATGTTCACGTCACAGTAATTTATTGTGCGATATTGAAAATAGGCCTGCCAAGCATATGAATACTCTCTTAAATTTTCTCATTTTGGATAAATTAATAAATACTTGTGAAAAAAAAAAGCAAGCTGTAAAGCAAGGGAGGTCATTTTGTAAAATTACTCAGGCTGGCATCAAATAATTTGTACCACGTGTCTTAAGGAAATTGATTTTTCTCTTTCACTATACTTGGTGGAAACTTCTGGATTGATTGCCAAACAAGTCATAAAGTATTCCCCCACCCAAGATCCATTAGCAAAGATGACAAAATTAGAACACAGTAGATGAAAAGAAAAAGGTATCTTAAGGGGTGGGGGATAAATTATTGCTATTCTCTTGAGCACATTCCTACCGTTCAAGAAAGCTAAACAGTGAGTAGAACTGGAATGACTCATAGAAGGAGTGAAAAAGATCCAAGATCCAGAGGCAACAAAACGTTCTTGATAAACTCCTTGTCTTTCATTGTTAGGATTTCAGTTCTCATAATTTATGCCACTTGCTTTGGGCTCTAATTGTTACCCAAGCACAGTGGACTCTGCCAGACAGATAAAAAATGTGGCTTTGGCCAGACACAGTGGCTCACGCCTATAATCCCAGCATTTTGGGACGGCGAGGCGGGCGGATCACTAGGTCAGGAGATTGAGACCATCCTGGCTAACACGGTGAAACCCCGTCTCTACTAAAAAATACAAAAAATTAGCCGGGCGGGGTGGCGGGCGCCTGTAGTCCCAGCTACTCGGGAGACTGAGGCAGAAGAATGGCGTGAACCCGGGAGGCGGAGCTTGCAGTGAGCCGAGATCGCACCACTGCACTCCAGCCTGGGTGACAGAGCGAGACTCCGTCTCAAAAAATTAAGAAAAAATGTGGCCTCACAGAGTGAATCCTGAGGGACTAATCAGCTGATAAAATGCTAGCAAACCACAGCAGGTTAGAGAGCAAATTCCAGACAGTGAGCCTGACTCTCAGGCCTCCACTTAATAATTTCCACTAAATACAGTTTAGACAAACTCACACTTGTGGTGTTCCAGAGCCATTAATGCCACCACTGAAAAAAAAAAAAAAAAAAAAAAAAGCCAAAGCCTCCTATGATAGTTAATAGTGAGTGTCAACTTGAGCAGATTGAAGGATGCAAAGTATTATTCCTGGGTGTGTCTGTGAGGGTCTTGCTAGAGGAGATTAACATTTGAATCAGTGGGCTGGGAGAGTCAGACCCACCCTCAGTCTGAGTGGGCACCATCTATTCGGCTGCCAGTGTGGCTAGAATAAAGCAGGCAGAGGAACATGGAGGGACTAGACTGGCTGAGTCTTCTGGCCTTCATCTTTCTCCTGTGCTAGATGCTTCCTGCCCTTGAACATCGGACTCCAAGTTCTTCAGCTTTGGGACTCTTGGACTTACATCAGTGATTTGCCAGGGGCTCTCAAGCCCTTGGCCACAGGCTGAAGGCTGTGCTGTCAGCTTCCCTACTTTTGAGGTTTTGGGACTCGGACTGGCTTCCTGGCACCTCAACTAGCAGATGGCCTGTTGTGGGACTTCACCTTGTGATCGTGTGAGTCAATTCTCCTAATAAACTCCACTTCATATATACATCTATCCTATTAGTTCTGTCCCTTTAGAGAACCCTGACTAAGATACCTCCCCCAACTTATGGAAGTTAAAGATAAAAGAGGGGAAAAAGTTATTTTTTTTTCTACCGAGTTTCCGTTTTACTCTCTCCCTCTTTGAAGACATAGATATTTTATAATTTTAGGCACTTGATCATAGCAGAAGAAAGAAGTGTCCATTTTTTTAAAAAGTCACAGTTACGAGAAGATACAAATAAACAACCAAAGCTTTATTCCTATATTATACTTGGGATCTAGACCATAAGACTATTTTGTAGGCAAAACTACTTTTATACCTGGTCGTCAGCATGCCTTGATAATTAGAATCATTTGGATGAGGTCCAAGACAGAACTCCACACCCAATTCTATTTTAATATTCAGAACACTAGAGAAGGGCCAATTTGTTTCCCAAAACAAACATAAGAGCCACCCAGGGGCTCTACTTTCTAAATGAAAATCATATTTAATAACCCCCGGCATCATTTGTAGGGACCAAAACATTTCTGCTATCCCATTGAGATTTACATTAGGGACAGCAGCAAATGGGAAGTCACAGTACAGCTTTGTCATTAGCTGAGTTTATGCCCAAAATACTGAGACAGAGCTCTCAAATCGAGGATAGAGAGTATTGCTGAGGCTCAAGATCCAAAAAGGGCCTCTCTCTCTCTGCCCCAAATCCAAATGTCAGACAAGAAAAAAAAAAAAAAGAGGACCAGGCTCTGACCCATGTAAGGAAGAGGCAGAAGTGTATAAATATGCTGAATGTGCTCTGTGGAGGAAGTAAGAAGAAAGAGTGAAGTGTGCCAATGATCATGCTGATAGTGGGAAATCTGCCATGTCAAGCTGACAGACCCAGATAAAGGGGCTGGGGGAAGTAAAGCTTAGGCATGAGGGTTTGAATTCTGAGTTTCCCAATTAACAGCAACTTTGCCAAGTTACTTCTCCCAAGCCTCTATTTCATCACCTGTAAAATGAAGCTGATAATAGCACCTACCTCATATGGTTTAAATGAGTTAAAGTACAGAAAGTACAGAACTGTGCCTTGTACAAGGCAGTTTCTGTGGGCTATTATTATTTACAATTTTTTCAGATGGTTTGCAATTATTACCTGTAAAGCCAGAAATGGATTACAGATTAAAAAGAGGACATTTTTAAACAAAAACCCAGTGATGGGAGTGATAAGATTGATTGGGTTGGAGATGAACAACAAAAAATAGCATATTGGAATCAAATGAATCTTTCTCTAGCAACTGGCAGTACATAAAATGAAAATAATGTACCTAAAATGCTCTCACGATGTCATTTAAAGGCAGAATAAAATGGTGGCTGAATTTGTTATAGCACTAAGCTTTTATCATGTTAAAACAGTGCACAAGTCATCAGCATAGTTGAAGCAGTGAAATTTTTCAAAATAGTTCTGCAGTCCTTGCCAAGTTACAGCATCATTTTGAAACAACTCACAGTGAGCATAAAAATAAGGCTCTAAGTTCTTTCAGCATAAATTAAACAGCTTAATGTTATTGGAAAAATTATGCAAACAAAATTTAAACCTGATTATATAAGTACACATAGGATCTTTCAATGCAAGATGCCAAAATGCACATATAGAAAAGCATATTAGAAAAAAGTAGACAATTCAATAGAAAAATGGGCAAAAGACTTGATCAGACACTTCAAAAAAGTGGATATCCAAACGAGTATAATAAATGCAGGGAAAGAGCCCCACTTAGCCATCAAGGAAATGCAAATTAAAACTATAATGCCATATTACCACAAATCTATAAAATAGCTAAAATCAGAAAGACAGACAATACCAAGTGCTGACAAGGATGTGGGCAACTAAAACTTTTTCTACATTGCTGGAGGAAGAGTAAATTGGTTCAAACACTTTGGAAAACTGTCAATATCTATTAAAGTAGAACATAAGCATTCCCTATGAGGCTGCAATTCCATGCCTAGTTTCATACCCAAATGAAATGCATGCAAATATCCACTGAAAGGCATGTACAAGAATGTTTAACACTATTCATAATACCCCAAAATGTAAGACAACCAAATATCCATCAACAGGAGAATGGGTAAGAAGAGTGTAGCATACTCACACAACGGAATACTGTATAGTAAAGAGAATAAACTAACTACAACTATGCAAAACCACCTGACGAATCCCACGAACAAAATGTTGAGAAAAAGAATCCAGCTACAGAAGAGCATGTACTGTATGATTCCATTTATATAAAGTTGAAAAGCAGGCAAAGCTAATCTGTGGTGTTAGAAATCGGGATAGTGGTCACTCCCAGAGGGTAGTGACCGAGGCAATACAAAGGGCATCTGGGGTTCTGGTTACGCTGGTTTGTTCATTTTAGGAAAATTCATCCATCTTTTCGATTATAATTTGTGTGCTTTTCTGTATATAGAGCACATTTCAATAAAAATGTTGCATGTTTAAGTGCTTAGTAAACCGTGATCTATGGGTATTGCAACACAAATGTAAATTCCATGAAGGGAAGAGATATTTGTCTCTTTTATTCATTGATGTACCCCAAGCACCTAGAATAGTGCTTGATAAATAGTAGGTGCTCAACTGATATTTTCTGAATGAATGATAGATAAGCAAACTGCTGCAAACATATCAGTAGTACTATTATCTGAAACAGCTGAAATAGGATCCAAGAGTCTACATATCTTATGAATCTGTTCAAGAGCATATGTTATGTCAAGTCTGCAATTCATCAGCATAAGTGAATGGATTTGTGTATTTGTCCTTTTTGCCTATTTTTATGTATATGTTCTTCCAGATGACTATGAGGAAGGCTCTTGTATATAAACACTTACCACTTATTCAACAGGAACACAGTCTTTAAGTATGTTGATAAGTTTTAATTTATGACCCAAAAGTCAATAATAAAGTGGTAAGCATTTTACTGAATAAATTGGAGAAATAGCAACTTGTATCAATGCTGGCTCCACACTGCTTTCAACTACACTAGTTCTTATTCTATTTAGACAAGCTCTAAGCATTAGTGTGATGTCAGCATTTTTCAAAATAAGGTTGAATGACGCCAGGCAAACTGTCAATTTTATTAAGGAGCATTCCTTAAATTGCAAACTTGTCAGAACTTTTTATAATTATATGGCAGCAAGTGTCATAATTTCCATTTTATACTGGAGGCCAATGGCTGTCTCAAGGGAAGGTGCTAATACTAATTCTTAAAATAAAACATGAAATCAATATGCTTTTATAAAGAAATTTGTTGCAGAGACAAATTTCCATTTTCTTCTTCTTCCTTTAATAATGAAACACTTTTCAAGACCAGTCTGGCCAACATAGCAAGACCTTATCTCTACAGAAAAATTTAAAAATTAAAAAATTAGCCAGTCATGGTGGCATGTGCCTGTAGTCCCAGCTACTTGGGAGGCTGAGGTGAGAAGATCACTTGAGCCTGGGAGCTCGAGGCTGCAGTGAGCCATGATCCAGCCACTACACTCCAGCCTGGGAAACAGAATGAGACCCTGTCTCAAAACAAGAAGAAGAAGAGGAAAAAGAAGAAGAGGAAGAAGAAGAAGAGGAAGAAGAAGAAGAAGAAGAAGAAGAAGAAGGAGAAGGAGGAGGAGGAGGAGGAGGAGGAGGAGGAGGAGGAGGAGGAGGAGGAGGAGGAGGAGAAGGAGAAGGAGAAGGAGAAGGAGAAGGAGAAGAAGAAGAAGAAGAAGAAGAAGAAGAAGAAGAAGAAGAAGAAGAAGAAGAAGAAGAAGAAGAAGAAAACACTTGAGTTTTAGTTTGAACAAAAACCATCTAGCCAAAGATTACATGTCCTGGCCTCTCTTGAAGTCAGGTGTGATCACGTGACAAAGTTCTAGGGATTGGGATGTGAGCGGAAATCTTATGTGCCTCTCCTGGGTCATGCCTGTAAAAGGAATGAGTGTGGTATCCTGCTGTCCCTTTCCATCTTCCAACTTACTAGAGTGTGAACTCATAACCATCCTAGACCATGACCAGCAAGTCACATGTTGAGGCTGGCAATACAACAAGACAGAATGTGCCTGGACCTCTGAACGACCTAATGAAGCAAAGCCATCCTCCCAGCCCTGGACTGCCTTCCTCAGGATTATTACATGAAACAGAAGTTAACTCCTATGTTGTTTAAGCCAAAATATTGTAGGGTCTCTTTGTTATCGCAGCCTACATTAAACTCTAATGAATACGAACTCTGCTAACTAAAACATCTCTGAAATAGAACATAGTACACTCATTTATACAGCTTTGTTTCTCATTTCTCTACTCCCTGAAGGTGGCAGGCAGAAAAACAGCCCCCAAAATTTCCATGTCCTAATCTCTGGAACTTGTAAATGTCACCTTACATGGCAAGAGAGGCTTTGCAGATGTGATTGTGGATCTTGAGATGGGGAGATGATCCTGCATTATCCAGGTGGGCCCAACGCAATCACAAGGGTTCTTAGAGGGAGGCAGGAGAGTCAGAGTGAGAGGTGATGTGAGGACTGAAGCAGATGTCGGAATGATGTACTCTGAAGATAGAGGAAGGGGCCATGAGCCAAGGAATGCAGGTGGCCTCTAGAAGCTGGAAAAGGCAAGGAGACTCATTCTCCCTTAGAGCCTGCAGAAAGACCACAGCCCTGGTGACACTTCAACTTTGGCCCCATAAAGTTCGGGTCAGACTTCTGACCCCCCCGCGAACTGTAAATGTGTGTTGTTTTTAGCCATTAACTTTGTGGTAAGTTTTTGCAGCAGTGACAGGAAATGAATATACTGAATATGCTTCCACTACATGGATCTTGTTTCAGTTTTTCAAACACGTCAAGTTCTTTCAGGCTGTAGAATCACTGTCCGTGCTACTCCCACTGTTTGAATGCTCTTTTCCCATATTATTGCAGGTTCCTTCTTGCCATGAGGGCTCATCTTAAATGTCACCTCTTCAGAGAGGCCTTCGCTGCCCATCTCACCTAAAGCATTTATCCCTGTTATTCTTACAGTAGACTGTTATTTTCTATTATAAAAACCCATGGTTTAAAATTATTTAGTTGTCTGTTTACTTATTTACTATTCATCAACCCTAGTAAACTGTGAGTTCCATGAAGCCAAGGATTACGTATGTTTTCTTCATTATTTGTGAATTGTGGACCTGATATGGGCTGTCCCATAAATATTTGTTGACTAGATATTTACTATTAGAAGCAATCATTTTGGCAATAGAGAGAGTTACACTGTTACAAGAGTTACACTGTTGCAAGAGAGAGAGTTACACTGTTACACTGTTATCAAGTTTTGAAATTACAAATAAATGCTAAAAATGAAACTGAAACAAAGTATGAAGTCCTCAAAAAAAAAAAAAACCCAAAATGTCTCTGATTGTTTTTAACATTTGAGAGAATAGCTTACAAAAAAAAAAGAACAATGAGAGGTCAAAAATTCCTTTAAAGCATCAGAAATTGTATCAGAAGATACAAATTTTAGCTGGCTAGAAATCCTTTCCAAATTGTACACATACTGGTTTAAAAAAAACAGAAAAGCTTTTAGGTATTGCTAATGATTGACTTTGGAACTAAAATGTCTCATAATTTGCCTTGTGTGTTATAGATGAGTTTACATTCAGATGAGTTATAACACTCCATGGTGAGCTATTACAAATTGTTACCATTTGCAACTATTTATCCGTATGAGTTAAAATTTTTTACATTATACAGCCAAAGCAAAATACAAAAGTAAATCGGCTACTGAAAGCATGATCTCAAAGAGATATTTGTATACCCGTGTTCATAGCAGCAGTACTCACAATAGCCAAAAGGTGGAAACAACCCAAGTATGGATCAATGTGAAGTTTGCCCTCAAAAATCATTTTGTCAAGCTTATATAATAATCTAAACCCTTATGGATGTGGATGAAATAGCCAAATATCTACTTATAGTATTTAATTATTAATTATACATACTTATTTAATATCACATATAATATAAACTGAATGTTAATTTCAAAATATTTCTCTTTTCCCCCATTCACATTGCATAAAATAATGCTATCCTCATTCCTTACATGCTTGTGATCACCAGAATCATGTTCTGAGTCTTTTCACAGCGAGATTCTAGAATCTCCAGCTGGGTTAATGCATACACTTGGGAGTACAGTAAAGGTTTTCCAAGTGGTACATTGGTGACAGTTTTAAAAGAATCTGTCCCCAGATCCTCAAATTTATAGACTCTTTTCCAAAAACCGACCTCCTGAAAGTACATTTATGATAGAGGAGCAGGTTCTCATGTCTGCCTCCCCTTTCATAGTCTCCCCTTTCTACCTTTACCATAGGATGTTGTACAAGCATGTAAAAACCTCCAGGGTGCCAAACAAAGGGTTAATTCCAAATACGGTACCGGCATCAGTGTCGAGAAGGTGAAAGACCTTAATGACTACATAACAAATTTTTTTGCACTTAAGGTGGTTTCTAAGTCTTTGCTTTCAACAAAATTGAAGGAAGACCAAATTGAGTTGTCAGCTAACAGACGATTAAAAATAATTTCTGATGATAGATTATCATGTGATTTTTGGCATCTAACTGGGAGAAAATTCAAAGACTTAAGTGACATAGCTATAAACAAAACTCTTTCCATTTCCAACTTTCTGTTTATATAAACAAGTTTTCTCAGAACTTCCATTTACAGAAAATGAAAATAAGTGGCCGGGTGTGGTGGCACTTTGGAAGGCTAAGGCAGGAGGATGGCTTGAGGCCAGGAGTTCAAGACCAGTCTAGGCAACATAGCAAGACCCCGCTTCCACAAAAAAAGAAATTAGCTGGGCGTGCTGGTGCACACCTGTAGTCCCAGCTACTCAGGAGGCTGGGGTGGAAGGATTGCTTGAGCCTCAGCGATCAACACTGCAGTGAGCAGCCTAGGTGACAGAGCAGGACTCTGTCTCTTAAAAAGAAGAGAGAGAGAGAGAGGGAGGGAGGGAGGGAGAGGAAGGAAGGAAGGAAGGAAGGAAGGAAGGAAGGAAGGAAGGAAGGAAGGAAACTAGTAATATAACTGATGCCAAATGCAGTCTCATTCTGGCAATGAATAATATTTACTTTTAATACATCAATTAAGGAGAAAAGGTCTCATCTATCTCATTGAGAGATTCTTTTCCAATATAATTTTTTAAGTTTGATAAACATTTACCAAAATTTGTCAAATATTTGTAATTTGATCAATTGTATAATTTGATCCACTGTGTAACTCTATCTGGGATCAATTTGGTAACATGCCTTATGATCACGGGGAAAATTTTTTCACATTTCAAATACACACACATGCACACGTACAATTTGTTGCCAAGAAATATGATAGAGAGACTTCCCTGTGTTAGGATAAAATTCTGTGAGGAAAATGAAATGTAATTATTATTACATAGAAAATTATAACAACATAAATTTTTAAAATAATTTGTGAGCTTTTTTAGGGGAAGATGGGTTTATTGAATCATTATAGAATTTAGATTTCCTTAAACAAATTTAAAGACTGACATAGCAGTTTTATTCTATTTTTTTCCCAAGAGTGGCAAGCATTTGAAGCAGTTTTATTCTGAAATGTCAATATTTACAATATGCTAGAATTGCATCCTCTGTAACCACTTAACCTTGTGATTAAAACTTTAAATACCAATTTAAAGTATGAGAAAGTATATTGCTTTTCAAAATTCTCTCAGTGGCTTGACAAGTAAATAAGTTTGAAGCCCACAGTTCTCTAGAGTCTGCATCTCCATCAAATCCATTCTGTCTGAGATACATAATTATTTGAACCTGTGTATGATGCTGTCACTAGAAATTTTATCCCAACTAAAAGTGTCCATCTCCATAACATGAGAATATTGGATTTTTCATTCATCATGTACATGTATACTTAATGCTTTCTGCCCTAGAAAAAAAGATTATTTTTAAAGGGTTCATTTATAACATCATTCAGTATTTGGCAATGTGAGGTCATATACCCAGGCCTAATTACTGAATCCGTGCTAAATTTTTTTGCCTCCATTCTACAAATTTTATCAGGTGACTTCTGTAGAAGCACCACGCACTAACCGATTGTGCCACTGGAGCTCCAAGGTGACTTCTATAAACATCCAAAACTCTCAGGAGTTAAGATCATTTCAAACTAATATGTCTTGCCCAAATAGAGGTCATCCCATAATGAAAGAGGTTTTATAAGAACTCACATATAAAGTGATGCCTTCTTTTCTGAGGGATAATTTCAGGAGAAAACCTCACTCATATATGGGCATATGTGGTACACCAAAATATAAACAGTGATAGTCTCTATTATTTTTGGTATCTTCCAAATGTTATAGAGTGAATATGTATTATCTTTATAACTAGAAAGAAGAATGTATTATTAAATAAGAAGAGCTAGCCTAATAGTAATGAGCACCCCATGACCCAGATTGTGATTACTAAATACTAATTCCCACTAAAAGGAACCAGGACTTTTTGGAGAAATAGCAAGGACAAGAAAAATGTGTAAGATGAGCCTGGATCACCCTGTTATGCCAGAAAGCAAAGAAACTATAATAATCCTGGTGCTGTATCAAAAGAACTAGGGCGCCAACTTGAAGAGTCCATTAACCAAATAGGGGATAATTGGAATATCAATAATAATAACAATGGAAATTAATTTAAATGCATCAAATATTTGAAAAATCCATGAGTTCATAAAATCACTTAAAAAAAACTCCAAAATTAAACTCTTGTTAATCACCTTTGTGGATGCAAAGGAAGCAATTCACTTGTATAAAAACTGGTAAATAAAAGGAAAGAAACAAGCATTTATCTTGCCTTCTTTTAACAAAGGCTGCCTCACAGTAACCAAATAATAAATAAGGGAAAGTTTCTGTTCATAGAAGTATTCCAGCTAACAATCAAAGAAGGAATGACAGAATTAGAATAACCTCTAATGAATTAATGTACCTAAACAATGATCATTAATTGCTGTTAACATCACAGAAAGAGAAACCACTGGATACTATGTGTCTCCCGTATACAACACTCCTTATGAAATATTCTTGCCAAAGAATCAAACCTGAATCTGAGCAAGTCTCTGTGTTTAACTACCAATTTATCAATTTATGGAAAATACAGGAAACAAAATAAGATGTTAAATCTCAACGTAGGGATCCAACTGGCAAAATCTAGACCCTGGAAAATTCTACAGGTCAAGCAACCCAGATTCTTCGACAAATAAATAGGAAATTTTGAAAAACTTAAAGGACTTGTAGATTAAAAGAGAAAAGAGATATTGACAAATTGCAATGAATGGGCCATTTTTTTTTAATTTCAACTTTTATTTTAGATACAGGGTGTGCATGTGCAGATTTGTTACATGGGAATACTGCGTGATGCTGAGGTTTGAGGTATGGATCCCATCACCCAAGTAGTGAGTGTAGTACCCAATAGATAGTTTTTCAACCCATGCCACCCTCTAGTAGTCTGCAGTGTCTATTGTTCCCACGTTTATGTCCATGTGTGCTCAATGTTTAGCTCCCACTTATAAGTGAGAACATGTGGTATATGGCTTTCTGTTCCTGTGTTAATTCACTTAGGATAATGGCCTCCAGCTCCATCCTTGTTGCTGCAAATGATATGATTTCATTTTTGTAAATGGCTGCATAGTATTCCATGGTGTACATGTACCACATTTTCTTTATCCAATCTACCATTGATGGGCACATGGGTTGATTCCATGTCTTAGCTATTGTGAATCGTGCAGCAATGAACATACAAGTGCATGTGTCTTTTTGGTAGAATGATTTACTTTCCTTTGTGTATATACCTAGTAATGGGACTGCTAGGTTGAATAGTAGCTCTGTTTTAAGTTCTGTGAGAAATCTCCAGACTGCTTTCTGGAGTGGCTGGACTAATTTACATTCGAATAGGTCTTATTTGAATCCTATTTCAAACAACCAGACTGTTAAAAACTATGTTTATGGCACAATTGGGGAAATTTTTTTTTTTTTTTTTTTTTTTGAGACAGAGTCTTACTCTGTCACCCAGGCTGGAGTGCCGTGGTGCAATCTCTGCTCACTGCAACCTCTGCTTCCCAGGTTCAAGCGATTCTCCTGCCTCAGCCTCCTGAGTAGCTGGGATTATAGGCGCCCGCCACCACACCCGGCTAATTTTTGTATTTTTAGTAGAGACGTGGTTTCATCATGTTAGCCAGGCTGGTCTCGAACTCCTGACCTCAACTGATCTGCCCACCTCAGCCTCCCAAAGTGCTGGGATTACAGGCATGAGCCACCACGCCCGGCCACAAATGGGGAAATTTAAATATTGACTGGGTATGAGCTTATTTTAAGAAATTACTGTTGGCCGGGCACAGTGGCTCATGCTTGTAATCCCAGCACTTTGGTAGGCCAAGGTGGGTGGATCACTTGAGGTCAGGAGTTCGAGACCAGCCTGGGCAACATAGCAAAACCCTGTCTCTACTGAAAATACAAACCTTAGCCAAGCATGTAAGCCCAGCTACTCGGGAGACTGAGGCAGAAGAATCACTTGAACCCAGAAGGTGGAGGTTGCAGTGAGCTGAGATTGAGCCATTGCACTCTAGCCTGGGTGATAGAGTGAGACTCTATCTCAAAAAAAAAAAAGAAAAAGAAAAAGAAGTTACTGTTTTGTAGGTATGATTATGGTATTGTGGTTATGCTCTAAAAAGAATTCTGTGGTACATACATACAATGGAATATTATTATTCAGCCTTACAAAGGGGTGAAATTCTGGTACATGCTACAACATGGAGGAACCTTAAAAACATTATGCGGCCGGGCACGGTAGCTCACGCCTGTAATCCCAGCACTTTGGGAGGCCAAGGCTGGCAGATCACCTGAGGTCAGGAGTTTTAGACCAGCCTGGCCAACATGGTGAAACCCTGTCTCTACTAAAAATACAGAAATTAGCCAGAAGTGGTAGGCACACGCCTGTAATCCCAGCTACTCAGGAGGCTGAGACAGGAGAATCATTTGAACTGGGGAGGCAGAGGTTGCAGTGAGCCAAGATTGCACCACTACTCTCCAGCCTGGGTGACAGAGCAAGAATCCATCTATTTGTTTCTCAAGCATGAAATGATAGCCTACACACAATCTTTTCGTATTGTAGCCACTCTGTGATCTTTCAAAATGAAGATAAAGAGGTCTTGTCACTAGGTGTACAATCTATTTTCCTTGACTTGAAATCTCATCTTTTTTTTCAAAGCGCATAAGGACTTTTTCTTTTTCTCTTTTTTTTTAATTATATTGAGTTTATTCATTGATTTCAGTCACTTGTATACCTTTTTTTTTTTTTTTTGAGTTAATTGGGCAATCCTCTATCGGCATGTGTGGCCAAGGATTTTTCATACTGTCTTACATTGGCTGGGAAAGTTGACTTCTGAGTTCCCTGACAAATCTGAGATTCTATGACTTTATTAATCATAACTATTAATAACTACAGGTTATATGTTAATAGTTATAGTGGTTATAATTATTAGTTATAATTACTATTTTGTGCAATAGATTCTCAGAATCTGAAGCACCATAGAGGTTAAAAGAGGTAATAGCCACCTTTCTGTCTATAACAGTCTCCTTTTCAACATCTTGGGAGTTAACAACAGCAACTACACGCTCTGCTCAAACACCTCCAGCAAAATAGAACTCCCCAGGTCCCACAACCATTTTTGCTGTACAGTGTTTTCCTGTCATAAGAAAAATAATTTGCATTCACTGTAATAATTTTAGAAAACAAAACCAAAATGTACAAAATAAAAATTAAAAATATCTGTAATACTAAAAAAATCCATCTAAAAAAAATTATGCTAAGTGGAATAAGCCAAATGCAAAAATGACAAATATTGTATGATTCTATTTATAAGGTACCTAGAGTAGTCAAATCCATAGAGACAGAAAGTAGAATGGTAGGTGCCAAGGGCTGATGGGAGTGGGACTGAAGCGTGTCGCTTAACAGGTCCACAGTTGTTGGGGATAATGAAAAACTTCTGGAAACTAATGGTGGTGATGGTAGCACAACAATGTGACCGTACTTAATGCCCTGAAATGTACACCTAAAAATGGTTAAAATGGTAAATTTTAATTTGTAAATATAGCCATCATTTTTAAAAAGTCCTCTTCTTTTAGAGATGCAGATGTAGTGATGTCTGGGATTTGTTTCAAAATATTCAGGATGGGAAAGTGAATGAGGATAAGAATAAAGCAAGAGTTGATAACTGTTGAAGATAAGTGATGGATTCATGAAAATGTATTATGTTGGTCGTTCTACTTTGAGATATGCTTGAAATTATCCATTAAAAAAAGGAAAAGGAGCTGGGCATGGTGGCATGTGCCTGTAGTGCCAGCTACTCAGGAGGCTAAGGCAGGAGGATCATTTGAGTCCAAGAGTTCTGGGTTGTAATGCACTGTGTCTATCAGGTGTTTGCACTAAGTTCAGCATCAATATAGTGACCTCCCAGGAGTGGGGGACCACCAAGTTGCCTATGAACCAGCCCAGGTTGGAAATGGAGCAGGTCAAAACTCCCAGGCTGATCAGTATTGGGACTGTACCTGTGAATAGCCACTGCACTCCAGCCTGGGCAACACAGCGAGACCCTGTCTCTAAAAATAATAATAAAAATAATAAAAAAAGAAAGAAGAGGAGAAAGAAAAGGAGCAGACTGATTTATATTCTGTCATACATTGTCCAGGTCAGCCCACTGATGCCCTTCATTTTGAGTAACTCAGCCAATCTTGGCTGGAACCTCAGCAGGTGAGGTCTGGAATTAGTTATGCTGCTATCAGCCCAGGACCCAGAGTGACTACAGTTATAACTGGGAATACACAGCTCTCGACATTTCAGTTCTTCCCTAATCCTTCCAAGTAGTCACTCATACAACAGTACTTCTATCTCAATTTCTTGCTTTGTGCCCTATCTCTCTCCTGGAATACAAGCCTATTCTAAAGCTGTCCACTTATCTGAGACCTTCACACCCTGTCTCCTCCCTGCTTTTTCCCTTATAATCTCAGCCTCTGTGTTCAATTTCTCCCTCAAGGAACAAATAATAAAAATATAATAAACACTTATAAAGTACTTATTGAGTGCCAGGCACGGTTTCAAATGCATTCCATATGTCAGCTCATTCAATCCTCACAATAGACCTATGATTCTAGTGCCACTTTAATCTCCACTTTGCAGATGAGGAAACTCAGGCACTGAGTGGTTTAAGTCCCATGCCCGTGCTGACATACCACATGCCAAGGCAGTGGTAGAGCTGGGATTCAGACCCAGGTACAGTGGGCCCAGAGTCCTTGGTTTTCTCCCCATATTGGAGATCTAGGTCTCTTTCAAATAGAACATTCATAGCACTTCCTAACAAATCCAGCTTACTCCTCCCCTGCTAAATCCCTACCTAAGGCTCTTGAGTGCTTTATTTAAGGTCAGTGGCCCTGACGGTCAAGCAGCTGGAATTGGAAAAGTTTAGCAGAGAAACCCTGCTGCTGATGACAGAAATTCTGGCTGCCTAAGAGGGTTGTGAATCCACGCTGTTTCATCCCCAGCCCCTCAGCTGGAGCAACAGGGTGTGAGAGCTGGGAAGGCAATTTCTATCGTACGCCAAATGATACAGGAAGTATTTGACACACCTGCAGAGTTCACTGTAATGGTATTTGACCCGTACTAAAAGTCTCTAATTTGAAGAGAGAAAATGAATATTTGTATGTTGAGGGCGACACAGAGAGGATACATTATAGTGTGACAGATGGAAATGGATTTACTAAGACATTAATAGTATCTAGACAGGTTTTCAAGCACACCTGGGAATACATTACTGACACATTACAGAAATACACTGATACACTTTTATTCCCATAGCAGGCAGAAAAACACTTTATCTTTTACAATTCAAAAGAAAACTGCACTCCAATGACACCCGAATCTATTAATTTTGTCTTCTGGGCTAAAACTCTCAATCTTTCTGAGTTTTGGGCATCATTGGTGAGGGGAAAGTATTTTGGGGAGGAAATTCACCAAGATCAAGTCTCTCTTTTGCTATCATTTCAATGTCATATGGCTAATAATATGTTAATCCTTCATAAATGTATTACATACACACAAAATACACATTCATGCATGTACATAAACATATATACATTTATACATATATACATATACATATATAAATCTCACTATTAAAATGTGAATTTCTCCTAAATGTATTATACATGTACATATACATACATTTTTATATACATTTGTGTATGCTTTTAATACTCTCCACCAGAATCCTAAGTAACTGAGTTAGGAGTGGAGGAAAATGATTTTAAAGTTCATGTGGAAGAATAAATCACTGAAAGTTGATTACCTGTATATTTTTAAAGTGAAAAATAGTGAAGTCTTATCTCAAGATTAAAAATTACTTTTAAAATACTAAAATAAAAACAGGATGGCATAGAAATAGATAAATCAGTAGAAGAAAATGGAGAGTTCAGAAAAAAATCGAAACATATCTAAGAACTCATTACATGAGCAGAAATTCTGCAAAAATGGAATTTTTAAAATTCACATTTCAACAAAGGTGGAATTTCAAATCTTTGCCAAAAGGATGAATTATTTAACATACGATGCTGATATCATTGCTAGCTATTCAAAAGGAACCAAAACTAGACTTTCTCATATCACATAATAAAGAAAAATAGAGGCCGGGCGTGGTGGCTCACGCCTGTAACCCCAGCACTTTGGGAGGCCAAGGCGGGCAGATCACCTGAGGTCAGGAGTTTTAGACCAGCCTGGCCAGCATGGTGAAACCCTGTCTCTACTAAAAATACAAAAATTAGCCGGGTGTGGTAGCAGGTGCCTGTAATCCCAGCTACTTGGGAAGCTGAGGCAGGAGAATCACTTGAACCCGGGAGGCTGAGGTTGCAGTGAGCTGAGATCACACCATTGCACTCCAGCCTGGGCAACAGAGTGAGACTCCGTCTCAAAAAAAAAAAAAAAGAAGAAAGAAAAGAAAAATATAATAATAATAAAATAAAATTTAGGATAATTTTATATTATCTTAGTGTAGGGAGACTTTCTGAAACCAGACAGGCAACCCAGGAACCAGGAATCATAAAGGCAAAGACAGACATATGGGACTACATTTTTTAAATCTTTATTTTTTTATAAAGCAAAAGAATCATAAGTAAGGTGAAATATTGGGGGAAACAGGCAAAGAGTAAGAATAGAAAAGGAAATTAAAGAGTAAAAAATTATATAATAGGCTGCACAGCCTCATTAGTACTCACAGACATGCAAAATAAAATATGGGATTTTACCCATCAGACTTGGGGGGTGGGGATTAAAAGGTAATTATACCCAATAATGTTGAAGATTTGGGGAAACAAGCAGTCTCGCATACTGTTGATAGAAATGTTACCAATGTTTTGGGAATTTTGTAACGCCAAATACAATTTTTAAATGCCAAATGAATAAATAAATGTCAAAATTAAAAATTTACATGCTTCTTGACCCACATTGGGAAATCTATTCCACAGAAATACACACACCAATATTTCAAAACACTTAAATTCAAGATTGCTCATGAAACAATTCAGTGGCAAAAAAAAAAAAGGAAACAAACTGAATGTCTACCAATATACAAATGCTTGAAGGCCGGGTGTGGTGGCTCATGCCTGTAATCCCAGCACTTTGGGAGGCTGAGACAGGTGGATCGCTTGAGGTCAGGAGTTTCAGATCAGCCTGGCCAACATGGTGAAACCCCATCTCTACTCAAAAAATACAAAAATTAGCTGGGCGTAGTGGTGCGTGCCTGTAATCCCAGCTACTTGGGAGGCTGAGGTAGGAGAATTGCTTGAATCCAGAAGGCAGAAGTTCCAGTGAGCCAAGATTGCACCACTGCACTCCAGCCTGGGTGACAAAGCCAGACTCCATCTCAAAAAAAAAAAAAAAAAAAAGAAAAGAAAAGAAAGAAACAAATGCTTGAATAAACTGTAGCTTGTTTATTCATATTTATTCATACAAACAGGCTATGCAATGTAACATTACACTTATCTTAAAAGAATGTTAAAGAAAAACATACCTTTAGAACAGAAGAGGTTTGGTGGTCACCACCTTAACCAAGTTATCAAATCACTTACAGTGGGACAGTCTGATATTACACACCTCCTGACATTATACAATAGAAGTACACAGAATCATTTACAAACTATTCTTGCTAAATATATCCAAACCTAAATCTAACCAGGCCTTTAGACTTAACTTTCAGTTTCCAGGAAACACAGGGAATAGAAGAACAAGCTAAACAACACCCAGAGGAAATAATCAGACAAATATAGAATGTGGGGCATTCTGCAAGACAACTGACCTGGTCTCTTGCCAAGGTCAAGAATAAGGAACAAAAAAGGTGGGGAACTATTCTAAATTAAGAGAGACTTAAGAGACATAAAATGAACTGTAACGTGTGATATTTTATTGGATTCTGATTCTTTAAAAAGTAGCTGTAAAAAAATTTTAGCCGGGCATGGTGGCTCATACCTGTAATCCCAACACTTTGGGAGGTCGAGGTGGGTGGATCACTTGAGGTCAGGAGTTCGAGACCAGCCTGGCCAACATGGCGAAACCCCATCTCTACTGAAAATATAAAAATCAGCCAGGCATGGTGGCACATGCCTGTAATCTCAGCTACTCAAGAGGCTGAGGTACGAGAATCACTTGAACCCAGGAGGCGAAGGTTGCAGTGAACTCAGATCGTGCCACTGCACTCCAGCCTGGGCCACAGAGAAGACTCTGTCTCAAAAAAAGAGAGAGATTTTAGATACAATGAGGGAAATTTAAATATAAACTGGATATAAGCTATAAGGGAATTATTGATTTTCTAAGATATGATAATGGCCTCATGGGTATGTACAAAAAAGGCTTTAAGTTTTAGGCAATGCATGCAGTTTATTTATGGGTGAAGCATTATAATGTCCAACTTACTGTTTCTCAAATGATTCAGGAAAAAATGTTAGGTTGCACTGTATCAAAATGCCATTTTTAAGATCAAAAACAGTTGAGTATTTACAGTTTTGCATGGCTTAACCTGACGAATGGAAGGAAGAATATGAGCACAAATATAGTAAAATGCTAATAAATAAATCTAGACCAAGGTTACATAGGTATTCAATATACTATTATTTCAATTTTTCACACTAGAAATTGAAGGAAAAACACAGACCTATGTCTATTGGCCTGGATTGATACATGATATATTGTCTAATTTTTTTTAATGCTGAGAAACATTTATAGAAGACACCATGATGATTTGGCTCTGTGTCCCCATGCAAATCTCACCTTGAATTGTAACAATCCCCATGTATTGTGGGAGGGACCGAGTGAGAGGTAATTGAATCATGGGGGCAGGTTTTTTGGTGCTGTTCTCGTGATAATGAGTAAGTCTCACGAGATCTGATGGTTTTATAAAGGTGAGTTCCCCTGCACATGCTCTCTTTGCCCACTGTTATGGAAGACGACCCTTTGCTGTTCTGCCATGATTGTGAGGTCTCCCCAGCCATGTGGCACTGTGAGTCCATTAAACCTCTTTTCTTTATAAATTACCCAGTCTCGGGTATTTCTTTATTAGCAGCATGAAAATGGACTAATACAACCCATCAAAGGAGTGAAGCAGAGGAACAACCTAAATGTTTTTATAGATATGTCTACCCACAAAGAAAAGTGTTAATTGTGAATTAAGCTATTAATATTTTTATCTGAGGATAGTGAGAATGGAGGGAGTGAAAGATTAATAACACTTTTTTTTTTTGAGACGGAGTTTTGCTCTTGTTGCCCAGGCTGGAGTGCAATGGCGTGATCTCAGCTCACTGCAACCTCCGCTTCCCGGGTTCAAGTGATTCTCCTTCCTCAGCCTCCCGAGTAGCTGGGATTACAGGCATGCATCACCACGCCCGGCTAATTTTGTATTTTTAGTAGAGATGGGGTTTCTCCATGTTGGTCAGGCTGGTCTCAAACTCCTGACCTCAGGTGATCCGCCTGCCTTGGCCTCCCAAAGTGCTGAGATTACAGGCGTGAGCTACCATGCCCAGCCAATAACACTTCTTAATGTATCTCCAAATTGTTTCACTTGTCAAAATGAGGATGCTTTACTTGTATAATTTTTGAAAACCTAATTGAAAATGCACACACACTCACACATACCCCACCTATACAGAATCTCCCAGAAATTTGGGGTATGTACTGTTTTCAAATGGCCTACAAAGATTTCCCCGATTTTTTAACCCTATATTTTCATTTAGATCAGGGGTTGGCAAATGCCATACTATGGCTAAATCCTGCCCACCACCTGTTTTTGTAAATAAAGTTTTATTGGAACACAGCCAAGCCCATTCACATAAATATTGTCTATAGCCAATTTCACAATACAATGGCAGAGTTGAGTTGTTGTGAAAGACTGTATGCCCCTCGATGCTTAAAGTATTTACTATCAGGTCCTGTCCTTTACAGAGAAAGTTTGCTAATTCCTGATTTAGATGGTCATCTTAATGGATGTTCTGGATAACCTGGACAATCTGCCTTATAATGAAAGGTTACTATCCTATTTCAGTGCTCTAATTTTCAGACGGATTTATAATCATTTCAGCCAGAGTAAAATGGCTTGGATTGTGGTGACCTAGTGATAAAATAATATAGGTAGGTTTAAAAAGTAATTCCAGGGTGGGTACGGTGGCTCATGCCTGCAGTCCCAGCACTTTGGGAGACTGAGGTGAGAGGATTGCTTGAGCCCAGAAGTTTGAGGCCAGTATGGACAACATAGCGAGACCCCATCACTACAAAAAATAAAATAAAATAAAATAAAAAATGAGACAAGTGTGGTAGTACATGCCTGTAGTCCTAGCCCCTCAGGAGGCTGAGGCAAGAAGATCCTTGAGCCCAGGAGTTCAAGGCTGCAGTGTGCTATGACTGCCCATTGCATTCCATCCTGGGCAACAGAATGAGACACTGTCTCAAAATTTTTAAAAAAAGTATTTCCAGAAAAACAACATCATCTTTTGCTCTAAATTAATATTGTTAATTTAAATGTTACAGGGTATATATTTGCTGGTTATATGCTGCTTGATTTGGTTTTATACTTGTATAAAAGCTGTAAGCAGAAGGAGTTATAACTGATCATATATTAGCACATAATAAAAATAATTTAGGTCAACACTGGGCTCCAATAAATGTTTTCTCTTTTAAAAGGTTCTGAATATGTATGTTGAAAATTTCCATAATAAAAAGTGTATAAGTAATTAAAGATCTGTATATTATTCACTTTTGAGAATCATTCCCTTTTACAGTTGAAATAACAGCCAAGAATATGAAGCTAAAAAAACCCTCTGGGTCTAATTACACAGATTTAAGTATTGACTCAAAGTTGCCGTATTTGTCATATACCTAAATAATATGCTATAGTATATAATGGAATTTCCTTCTTTAGATTTCCTTTTCTCTTTTAAATAGGAGAGTCAAAACTATCTATAAAGATTTACCCCATCTTCCCCTCTGACTCAGGAAGTGGCCTATTCTAGAACATTTCCAGATGGGATTCCCTCCCGTATTTTGAATTTATGAGTGAGAAATAAATTCTTTTTACCTTCACACACAATCTAAACACTCAGGTGATTTCCTAAACTTAACAACACACACAAATCCTTTCAGCTTCTAATGGAGATTTTTTTTCTAATGGAGATATTTTAAGGTTGGCTTTCTCTCAAAACAGACAAAAAAGCAGGATATTTTTAAAAGGCCATCACAGTTGGGCATATTTCAATTATTCTGAAATGAACATTGGCAAAAATTAACTCCCAAAACGACCCTGTAGCAAACACATCCTGCAAATGCAGCCGGATTCCATTGGCTCTGCCTCTCAGCATGCTTCTCAATCTGAGAAACCAGAATGATGTGAAAGCAAGATGCATGTCTGCAAGGAATATGATGCAATAATCATGTGTCTACAATTCCATTATGATATAATTAATCTTAATTACACATTAAATTCTGCCTGAATTAAAAGACTAACATAGCTCAAATCTTGTTTGTGTTGCCTATAATTTTACCGTGTTATTTTAAGAAATGTAAAATAAACCTTCTAAAGCAAAATGGTGACTTTGGAGAACCCTGTTCCTAAGGGCTCTTACAGCTCAACTGCAGTCAGCCCAACCCATTTTACCCATTTGCTGAGGACCAGGTGGCAGTGTTTTGCATCCTTATCTCCCATTTCCAGGCTCAGAGGTAGTCAGGACATGGGAAAGGAAGTGCTGATTACATATCCAGTCACCTGACAGAAGGGGGCATCACCCTTACTCTCCTTGTATTTATGTCTCTCTACATTGTTCTGAAGACAAACTAGAGACTTGGCGTTTGCCTCCTTCTCTGTGCACCATTGTAAGAATTTCCTGAGTTATCTTTCAGTCTTCTCTCTCTTGCTTACACAGGTACTTGCTAACCTTCTGAAGCTTCTCCAGGCACACTCAACAACTGTAAGAGCAGAGGATCTTCTTAGAAGGCAGAAAGCTGCACCACAGCAGCCTCTTTATTGTGGTACAATGCAGACACAGTCTGTATTATCTGTGGGGCCAGCATCATGAGATCCTTTTTCCATTTCTACCTATTGAGCCATGGTGCAAATGAGAACTGTTTTTTGTTTGTTTGTTTGCTTGTTTTTCCATTTCCATGGAGATGGGAATTCCAATGTCCTATGCCTTGCCAAGGGGGCAAAAATGTCTGGAACTACTAGAAAAACTTGATGCCAAAAAAAAAACATGAACACAAAACAATGACTTATACATTTTAGCAGAGCATATTTTGACCCTGAGAAAGACAAAGTTGCTTATTTTTGGAACAGGGAAGAAAGTGTTCACTAAGAGTTCTGCACCAAAAGTGGAAATTACCAAAAGCACTATGCTCCTCACAATACTGAAAACTCTCGGCTAAGAAACTGGAGCAAAGGTGGCAAGGAATGATGGAGGGTGCCCTGGGAGAGAGGAAGACACTGAACACCTGCAGTAGGAAAGATGATAAAAGGTAGCTGGCAAATGGGAGGCTCCACATGGAAGCTAGAACCACTCCATGAAGCCTGAGAATACATCTACATCCTTCCTAGAGGATATAATAAAGTGGAACATCGATGCAGAAACCCTCAAACTCCCCAAAAAATGTCTGAACTTAGCCTCTGTCTTCTTGATTTTCCTGTATTTTCTAGGGAGGTTACTGAATCATAAAAAGTCCCTTAGGCCAGGCACAGTGGCACACGCCTGTAATCCCAGCACTTTGGGAGGCTGAAGCAGGAGGATCACTTGAGCTCAGGAATTCAGGATCAGCCTGGGCAACACAGGGAGACCCCTGTCTCTACAAAAAATTTAAAAATTAGCCAGATGTGATGTCACATGCCTGTGGTCCCAGCAACTCGGGAGGATTGCTTGGGCCCAGAGGTTGAGGCTATAGTGAGCTATGATTGTGCCACTACACTCCAGCCTGAGTGATAGAGTGAGACCTTGTCTCAAAAAAAAAAAAAAAAAAAAGAGTCCCTTTATCTGAGATATACCATGTTCATAGATTAGTGCACTGGAGATTGTGTAGATGTCAATTTTCCCCAAAAAAGTCTAGAAACAGACCTGCACATATACTGTAACCTGGTTTATGAAAAAGCAGAGAGTTCCTGGAGTGCTGTTAATGTACTGCTCCTTGATCTGGGTGCTAGTTACATCAGAGTTTTGAGTTTGTGAAAAATTAACAAGCCGTACATTTATGATATGTGTACTTTTCTGTTTGTATATTATACTTCAATTAAAACTTTGCTTTCAATCCCTTTATAAGCATTCAAATGGCATTTTTCAAAGATTAAACTGTTGTTGTTCAAAGTCAAAAAATAAAAGAAAATGTTCAAAATTTGGATGAATTCAGTGGTGATTTGGTTCCTAGTTTCTTGCTTGCCCCTTTTAAATACCTAGATAACTATTTGTTTTTCTCCACTCTTGCAATATTCTGGCCTCTTTCCTTGGACTGTTTATCTTCACATTCTTTTTCCTACCAGTATACTTCAAGGCATTTGAAAAGCTATTGATTAACAGATCTCTTCCATCGTGCAATTAAACCAAGTGCCCCAGGATGCTTTGCTCCAGCCACTGTATCAAGCTTCTTTGTTAACAGAAAACAACTAGAGCAACTGTACTGAAGGAAAGATATAACTTAATAAGTGTTTAAAAGTCACACTTCAAATGTTTCCTCCTCGCTCACTAAGAAACTCCTCATTTTTACAGGGAGTGCACAATTCTTCCTAAAGGCCATTGGTACTGAGACTGTTACATTTTCTGTGGTAAAGTCACTTATCTTTAGCTGAATGCTTTCACAGATAACAAACAATTAGGTTTTGCGGGACACCCTGTAAGCCAGTAATGATCATCTATTACTCAGCTCTGTTTGGAAATCTGTAACCCAAGACTCACTGAAGTCAATAAATAGTGGAAAAAAGGGTATTCTGGCATGAAGACTGTTTATATGTTATACTGGATTTGTGCTCATTTTCCATTAAACTCATTGAAGGGGCCTGGAAATTTGATTGTTTTCTATTTCGGAAATCCCACTTACCTAGAGAACCATCCCCAAATAGTGAAATAAGATACATGGCTTTACATATCATATGTGCCTCTGGAAAATGAGGGGCACAGACAATGGCAACACAAAGATATATTAAAAACTACATAATGTAACTTGTCTTAATATACTTTTCTGAGTCTAAAAATATGCCAGACCAAAAGAAACATATTTACATAAAAAGCAGACAAGGTCAAATAACAAAGAAAGCCCTTAATTAGTTGTAATCAACTTTAATTTGCATACCGTATATAATTCCTAAATGACTGTTAATAATAACTTTATATAATGGACTTCCAATTTTCATGAAAATGGCACATTTTGATAAGCAGACACAAAACCCTAGTACTAATAAGGTTTAATTTGCATACATTAGACTGATTATCCAAACAAAAGGATTACAGTATTACTTCTCCATACCTTTATGTCCTTATTATGCACATTTATTAACTTCACAAAAGCTAGCTGTTAGTGACAAACAATAGCCATGGTTGAAAGAGAAATCTACCGAGTGAATAAGGTACATTTTAATGCTAAGGAGCAAAGTTTATACATCATAAATGCTGAATTTAACTGTTTGTTAGCTAAAGGGACTAGAATTACACAAAGGGTGCTTCATCCTTTGCATAAACCAGCTTGTATTTGTGACCTGGAAAAACACTTTATCACTAACACTAACACTAACTTAAACACTAACACACTAACTTAAACACTAACACACTTTATCACTCCCATTTCATAATGAACTTATCTCAAGCTAGGAAGCCTCAACACTGTAGTATGCTGAGAATTCATGAACAGCCACAGAATTAAGCTTTAAATGTGTAGTGCTGGGGTACAGTGTTAATAAATATATTTCAACAAGCTTAGTTTTCAGAGGAGTAAATAATAATATAGGTGGCATTAGTACTGATATCGGTTCCTAATGGTATCATTTGTACCCTGCAATTAAAGTTTAAGCACTAAATAAAGCATTATTAGAAGATCCGGGTTGGCTTTTCTTATATGTGAACACAAATGAAGCTCACGAGTGTTTGGATAAAAGCCAAAAAACTTGAAACTTAACCACAAGTTACTTCCGGGGTTTTCCTCCACATTTTTGCTACTCGGCAAGATACAGAATTAGAACACCAGGAAATGATTTCCAAAGAAGGCAGGAGGAAATGGAAGCCCCAGGAGCTGAACTGAACAACACCATGGTTAACTCTGAACATTCTACAACATCTTTGCTGAAGGATCTTTAAACCTTTCCATTGTACCCATGAACTGCTGCTCTCTGCTCAGAGCTCCAAAGAACTACCAAGGGCTGGGTTAGGAAGGAGATAGATTTTAGCTGATAATCCTGTATTGAGCAGGATTCTCCAACTTTCCTTCTTGCATTTTCCAGAGCCTAGAAAATACATGATTCAAACGACCATTCAATGCCCATTTCTCAAATGCCTGGACACTATACAAGGAATGCTGGCTCAGAGATGCCCTTGTCCACTCCTCACCCCCAGGTGTGATTTCCCCACTGTAAATTCCTCACCTGGGAGCTGCTCTAAACGGCCACAGACATCTGACGTGAAACATCTTTAAACCAATCTAAGACTGGAAGGCTAATCGAAAGTTATGTTCTTTAAAGTGAGCAATGGAGTTCCAAAGAATTTTGTTTTTCCCAGTATGAACTTACAGCCTTTAAATCAATTTCAAACTGGACAAGTAGCAGTAAATACGTCTCCAGTATTCAGTGTAAGAATCACCACACAAGACACATCAAATAACAACAAATGCTACTGCTCTGAATAGAGATATTATCATGACCCCAAATTAGGGTAGTTAGAATTTCAAAATACCACAATAAAACAAGAATTCATTGTTTTTACCGTGCAATGACTACATTGCCATGAGATGGTGATAGTGACTCTACTATTTTGCCAATCCCAAAGTCAATATCTGAATGTATCCAAGATGTTGCCATTGACTTCAGCAGGGTCACCTACATATACAGGAACACCGAATTTTGGTCCAGAAAATAAACAAACACTATACTAATTCAGTTCATCCAAAGACAAAAATTTAGATGGCGACTTTCTACAAACTCAAAGGTTTGGCGTGTTGATCATTTTATTATGTCCTCAATTATCTCTCTTTATACGTGGATTTGCAAAAAGGGGAAAGTATGGCCCAGCCTGGTTAAGGGCGTATTCCTTTCGGCCAGGGGCAGAGCTGGAATGCGCATGGATTAATCCTCTCACCCAGGCAGCTGTTCCTTTTGCTGTTCCACTGTGGCCCACTGACTGGGAGGTTATGCTTCTGGACCCAGCACACAAACATAATACAACAACATGAGACAGGAAACGCAGTCTTGAAGAAGGAACATAACCTCTATTAGCATTTCCTTTGCTCAAACTGATAGCTCACGCTCCTGAATAAATAAATTCACACTCCAATTCTCTTTCTACCTTTTCTCTGTGCATTGTGGAATAGAAATAAAGATCTCTTTGTCAATTCAGATGTGCTGCTTTTCACGTGCTATGCTGCAGATCAGAGAGCACTTCAGATTATGCAGAGAACAAAGGCCAGCTTGCCTACTTACCTGATTACTGAGAAATGTCCATCTATAGCTCTGTCTTCTAATAGTACATCAGCTGCCACCGTCATTCAATCACATTCCAGCAAGACTTCTAGCAAAGGTATGAAACCTACCTCAAGCTTTAGAAGATAAGAAACACAAAAAGAAAATGTATGTAAATTACTGTCCTGTTAATCTCACCTACAAGTCCCCAAATCATTCTCGCCTAAAGGGGCTAGCTAGAACCGTACCCAGGCTCCAAATGAATCATTTGAAACATTCAAATTCTGTGCATACTATTGAATCTCATCTACTTGCATGAGAATATAAATGCATTGTACATTAGTTTGCCTGGGATATGAACGCTACTGAATCTACCCTCTTTTGCTTACTAATTCCACTAGTTAATATCTTTCAGTGAAGACTTGTCCAATCTTCTTTTCACCCACCACAGTCTTCTCTGAGAGTGAAAACTCAAATTACTTCATTAAGGTTAAGAATGCTAAAGCAATAAATCCTTCTGGTGAATTCTTAAATGCCCTTTGGAAGCAATAAAGGGAACTGGCAATGGTTAAGTTTTGTGCTTATTACTTTCCTCTCTCTCACTTAGCCCAGGATTCCTGTCTGTGAAACTGAGATGTTATAGCATATCCAAGAGAATGAGTTTTTAGGAAAAAAATCATTTTGCATCACAGATCTTATGTCACCACATCATCGGACAAAGCAAGTATATATCCACTGACATTTCACCTATGCCTAGGTGATCATGTCTCCCATTTTACCCAAGACAGTCCTGGGTTTTGCCTGTGGTTCTGGAGTAACTATTAAACACACTCCACTCCTTTTCACACTCCAAAGTGTTCTGGTTTGGACAATAAATTATATAGTCCATTAAAGCTGTTTCTCGTCATTAGCACATGTAAGCAAGTATTAGATAACATCATTTACAGATGTCTATGTTGAAGGTCCTTCTCAAGTTCTAGAACATTAGTTCAACTTCATATTGATAAACTATATTGATATTTCATATTGATACTTTATATTGATATTTCATGTTGACATTTTAACATTTTTAAATCACTTTTGGGTATTTACATTTTTTATCCATATAACAGGCCCAAATAGTGTAAGTAGAGATGTTAGCATCCTCATTGACAGCTAAGACAAAGATCATCAATTTACCTGACCAGACAGTAAGCCTTCTTTATTTCTTACTCTAGAAGTACTCTATTATGCCATAATAGAAGCCTATATAATAGTACCCCCATAAATATGTACAATTTTATGTGTCAATTAATAATAAAATAAAATACAAACAGTTTAAAAGGGGCCTATAGAATAGAACTGAGATCTCGCTGACTATTTTTGAGACATCATTCACCTTATTACTTTAAGTTTTAACTCAAGTTTACTTCCCTAGCAGAAGGATGCTTTTGAAACAAATCCTACAGCTTTTTGTGGCCTGACAGTAACCCTTTCACAAGAGTTGAATTTCTCATCTCTCCGGATCAAATCAAACCACAACCTGATTTAAGACTTGTTAAATTATAAAGTCGGTGGGGTTTGGACAGAGGAAGGAAAGGGACTCATGACAGTGGGGTTTTTTCTGTTTTGTTTTGTTTTTTGAGACAGAGTCTCACTCTGTCACCCAGGTTGGAGTGCAGTGGTGCAATCTCAGCTCACTGCAACCTCCACCCCCTGGGTTCAAGCGATTCTCCTGCCTCAGCCTCCCAAGTAGCTGGGATTACAGGTGTCCACCACCACGCCCGGCTAATTTGTGTATTTTTAGTAGAGACAGAGTTTCACCATGGTGGTCTGGTCAGGCTGGTCTCAAACTCCTGACCTCAGGTGATCCATCTGCTTCAGCCTCCCAAAGTGCTAGGATTACAGGCATGAGCCACTGCACCCTCAAGACAGTGTTTATAAGACTTCACATGTGATTCAGGCAAGTATTTTAAGCCTTGAAGCTCTGTCTTCTATATTAAAGAGAAATGAATCAAAACAGAAACATTTTCCACCAGGGGCATTTCCTAAAATGATACCTACCTAGTACTTTCTTTACATCCAACCTAGAATCACTGGGACCTGGGACACCAGAGAGCAAGGAAGACTGAATGTCCTCTTGCCTTGGTTTTCAGGACACCATGCTCTCCTGATTCTACCTGCCTGGCCACCCCACATCCTTTTGTACCAGACTATTCTATTTTTTTTTTTTTTTTTTTGAGACAGAGTCTCACTTCTGTCACCCAGGCTGGAGTGCAGTGGTTTGATCACAGCTCACTGCAGCCTCAGCCTCCCAGGCTCAGGTGATCCTCCCGCCTCAGCCTCTCAAGTAGCTGGGACTACAGGTGTGCACCACCACACCCAGCTAATTTTTTGAATTTTAAGTATAGACAGAGTTTCACCATTTTGCCCAGGCTGGTCTCCAATTTCTGGGCTCAAAAGAGCCACCCTGCCTCAGCCTCCCAAAGTGCTGGAATTACAGGCATGAACCACTGCATCCGGCCCTATACTAGAGCTTCAAATTTGTTCATTCAACTGAATTCCTCACAATTTTGTCCTACACACTCTTCCTTGCAAAGGCTATCAACTGACAGCCCCCCCTTTAATACATATGTGTTTTATTTGGCCCACATCAACTTTTTTCTTTTTTTTTTTTTGATACAGAGTCTTGCTCTGTCGCCCAGGCTGGAGTCCAGTGGCGCAATCTCAGCTCACTGCAACTTCCACCTCCCGGGTTCAAGTGATTCTCGTGCCTCAGCCTCCTGAATAGCTGGGACTACAGGCGGGTGCCACCATGCCTGGCTAATTTTTGTATTTTTAGTAGAGATGGGGTTTCACCATGTTGGCCAGGCTGGTCTCCAACTCCTGACCTCAAATGATCTGCCCGCCTCTACCTCCCAAAGTGCTGGGATTACAGGCATGAGCCACCACACCCAGCCATGGCCCACATTAATTTTTCAAATTGAACCAATATCTAAACCCAAGACATTTCATGGTAAAATCCAGATTCTTGGCTTCAGTTGAAAATCCATGCAATTCCATTTTCAGTTGAAAATCCATGCAATTCAGTTGAAAATCCATGCAATTCCAATACAGCTGGAGTAGACAGTCCCAACCATTGACCCAAAGTATGCATCTGGCCTGCATTCTCACATGTTACCTGCCTGGCCGCTCTAGGCACTGGAGTTTGCAATCTCTGTTCCACATACGTAGCGTGGATTCAGGGACCATCTCTTTGCACACTAACAACGTCCATTTGGACATTTTCTAAAGTCCAGCCCCACACACCCACATGTCCTCTAAGGTCCAAACCACCACAAACCACAGGTCCTCTGAGGTTACCCATAATCCTAAATGTCCTCTGAGGTCCAAGGCCATATATTCTGCTGCCTAACCAACAACTCCAATTAGATGATTAAAAACAAAAGCATTCCATATTCAGCATCTCCAAAACTGCTCTTTCTCCCAAATGTGACCATCAGTGTGGCTTATCTCAGAAAACAAAACATTTCAAGCTAGACATTTGAGAATTATATCAGATACCTCCTTATCCTTCAACCTCTATATCCAGTAATCACCAAGTTCTATTGATTGACCTCCGAAACATCTTTCCAATGCTTCCATCTTCACTTTATCCACCTTAGACCATCTCACCATCATTTCCATGCTAGACTAGGCAGTAGCTTCCTAATTGCTATCCCCACATGCACACCCGCACCTTTCCAATCCATTCCCTTGCTTAAAATTCTTCAATGGTGGCCATGCATGGTGGCTCACGCCTGTAATCCCAGCACTTTGGGAGGCCAAGGCAGGTGGATCACGAGGTCAGGAGTTTGAGACCAGCCTGGCCAATATGGTAAAACCCCGTCTCTACTAAAAATACAAAAATTAGCCAGGCGTGGTGGCACGTGCCTGTAGTCCCAGCTACTCGGGAAGCTGAGGCAGGAGAATCACTTGAGCCAGTAGGTGAAGCTTGCAGTGAGCCGAGATTGCACCACCGCACTCCAGCCTGGACGACAGAGCCAGACTCCGTCTCAAAAAAAAAAAAAAACCTTCAATGGCTTCTCCTTTATGTGAGTCCTTAATGAGGTCCTCCAAGCCCTAGATGAGCTGACCCTCTAAATTATTCTTCCATCGTCTTCCCTGGACTTCCTCCTCTACAGCTTCACTGGTTTTCTCTCAGTTCTGTGAAGATGCAGCACTCTTTCCTGCTGCAAGGCCCTCATACAAACTCCTCTCTTTATCTAACAGTTATCACCTGCCTCTCGCCATTTGACCAGCTCAGCTCTTCTCAAACTTTTGCTATTATAGTAGATAAGTATGATATTGGTATCACATGCTGGGAGAATGCATGAGACCACCCACAGCTAGAGATTACCACTTTTGAGTTCTGCCCCAGCCCCTTGGCTGCCCCTGAGAGGTGAGGTAGAGCAATTTTTCAGCTGGCCTATAACCCACCTTCAGCATTGTGCTCAAGTGTGTTTGTTGGGAGATATAGTAAAGATCAGTTGGTTCTCAAAGTATGGTCCCTGAACAACAGCATCAATATCACCCCAGACCTACTGAATTAGAAACTCTTGGGTGGGGCCCAGCCATCTGTGTTTTACAAGTGCTCCAGATAATTCTGTTGCACACTCAAATTTAAGAACCACTGATTTTAATAACATTGTAGATAACGCCTACTCATCCCTCAGACCTTTCACTTCCTCAAGTCAGATCCCCCTGCTGTTTATTTTCATAGCACAAAGTACTTTTCCTTCATAATACATATCCCAAGTATTGCCAATTAAATATTTGTGTAGTCATGTGTTTCATGTCTCCACAATACATCAACTTCATATTAATATACTGCATTGATATTTCATATTGATACTTTATGTTGCTATTTCATGTTGATATTTTAACATTTTTAAATCACTTTTGGGTATTTTGTCTCATAAGACCAATTTTGTCCTATGTACCTTGATCCACAGTGCACGAAGAAATGAGGCAGGTGGGGGAGAGCCTTTTTTTTTTTTTTTTTGGAGATGGAGTCTCACTCTGTCACCCAGGCTGGAGTGCAGTGGCGCAATCCTGGCTCACTGCAACCTCTGCCTCCTCAGTTCAAGCAATTCTCCTGCCTCAGCCTCCCGAGTAGCTGGGATTACAGGCATGTGCCACCACGCCCAGCTAATTTTGTATATTTAGTAGAGATGGGGTTTCACCATGTTAGCCAGGCTGATCTCGAATTCCCGACCTCAGGTGATCCACCCGCCTTGGTCTCCCAAAGTGCTGGGATTACAGGCATGAGCCACCGTGCCTGGCCAGGGGGAGAGACTTTAACAAGAATAAGGAAACTCCTTTTGACAAACCCTCGAGGCTTTTAAAATACCTATTGGACATGCTCTCTGCTGAGACCATTGCCGGCCTAGGTCCAAGATCTTATCTTGGGTTGAGTGCACAAAAGGTACAGCTCAAAGGAGAGACTCACCAAAACTGAAGTCACCAACAAAAGCCAGTGGCCAAGGATCAGCAGTGTGATATTGACCATCCAAACTTCACGTCCAACCACCAGGACCTTAAAGACTTAAAATGGGCTGGGCACAGTAGCTCATGCCTGTAATCCCAGCACTTTGGGAGGCCGCGGTGGGTGGATCACCTGAGGTCAGGAGTTCAAGACCAGCCCGACCAACATGGAGAAACCCCGTCTCTACTAAAAATACAAAACTAGCCAGGCGTGGTGGTGCATGCCTGTAATCCCAGCTACTCGAGTGACTGAGGCAGGAAAATCGCTTGAACCCGGGAGGCGGAGTTTGCGGTGAGCTGAAATCACGCCACTGCCCTCCAGCCTGGGCAACAAGAGTGAAACTCTGTCTCAAAAAAAAAAAAAAAAAAGACTTAAAATGGGTTTCAGAGAACTCAGCTGGTTCAAGACACCAAGTTGTTTAGTTAAGATCAACAATAAGGCCGGGCACTGTGGCTCACACCTGTAATCCCAGCACTTTGGGAGGCCGAGGCGGGCAGATCACCTGAGGTCAGGAGTTCAAGAGCAGCCTGGCCAACATGGTGAAAACCCCGTCTCTATTAAAAATACAAAAATTAGCCAGGCGTGGTGGCTGGTGCCTGTAATCCCAGCTACTTGGGAGGCTGAGGCAGGAGAATCGCTTGAACCCAGTAGGCGGAGGTTGCAGTGACCAGAGACGGCGCCATTGCACTCCAGCCTGGGCAACAAGAGTGAAACTCCATCTCAAAAAAGAATAATAATAATAATAATAATAAAGAGCAACAATACTAGCTACTATAGGAGATTACTCCTGAATTTTCCATATCTCAGCTAAATTAAAGTCTATTGCTCATTTATGTCACTTGTCCAGTAAGGTTGGAGAAGGGGAGTATGTGTTGAACCCCATACAGTCATTCAAGGGCCTAGGTTCCTTCCATCTTGTGGGTCTGCCCTTCTCTAGGTCCATGAAATCCTCTCCACCTAACTATGGATGGAGACACAGAGAGAGGATGGCATCTGGTATGTTTATCATGAGCCAGGCCTGGATATGGCTCACATCACATCCACTCAAATTCTGTTGGCCAGAACTTAGTCACATGGCCACACTCAACTGCAAGGGAAGCTAGGGCCCAGGAAAAAAGAGAACAAGGACATTGATAAACATTTGCAATCTTGCCATATTCCTCTCTTCTGGTCATCAAATATGCATTACACGCTTCAACCTAGACACAAACCACCTCCCCAAAGAAAGAAAAAACAAAGCGTTACCTGGTCACTGCATCCAGATAAAAGACCATGATCTCTGGGGGATGTGCTGTTCTCCCCATCTGCTGAAGTCCACATTTGGCTTCTCTTCTTCTGAAAGCCTATGAATTAATAAGACAAATTACCAGCACCCTGAAGAACGTGGTCACCAGCCTATCTGCCCACTAGAGGTCCCCAGGTTATTTCAGCCCTGATATGGTTTGGATGTTTGTCCCCTCCAAATCTCATGTTGAAATGTAATGGCCAGTTTTGGAGGTGGGGCCTGGTGGGAGGTGTTTGGATCATGAGGGCTGACTCCTCATGAATGGCTTAGCGCCATCCCCTTGGTGATGAGTGAGTTCATGGGAGATCTGGTTGTTTAAAAGTATGTGGCACCTCCCCACTCTCTTGCTCTGGCTCTTGCCTGCTCCCCATTCACTTTCCACCATGATTGTAGGCTTCCTGAGGCCTACAGAAGCAGATGCCAGCACCACACTTCCTGTACCGCCTGCAGAACCGTCAGTCAATTAAATCACTTTTCTTTCTAAATTATCCAGTCTCTGGTATTTCTTTACAGTAATCCAAACGAAGTAATACAGGACCCCAGACTGCTACATGTCAAAGAACAGAGGACCAACCAGACATCGGCCTGCCCAAATGCCGTGGGAATGAGAACCCTTTTGGCCACCTTACAGGCCTCATGTTGTGGGAAGCCAAGGGCTCTTCTGGACCCAGGCCACAGGTGCACTGTGGACATGAGAACCCACTGGGCCACTATGCTTCACCTGCACTGGTTCATGGAAGGTCCCATGAACCCACCCACTAGGGTTCTGCCTGGTCATTTTGGCCCCCAGCTTCCATGGGTACTGAGGAACAAAGAGTCAACCAGCCAGCCGGGCACGGTGGCTCACGCCTGTAATCCCAGCACTTTGGGAGGCCGAGGTGGGTGGATCACGAGGTCAGAAGTTCGAGACCAGCCTGACCAACATGGTGAAACCCCGTCTCTACTAAAAATACAAAAATTAGCTGGAGGTGGTGGCATGTACCCCCACGGTGGCTCACGCCTGTAATCCCAGCTACTCAGGAGGCTGAGCCAGGAGAATCCTTGAACCCGGAAGCCGGAGGTTGCAGTGAGCTGAGAGTGCCATTGCATTCCAGCCTGGGTAACAGAGCAAGATTCCGTCACAAAAAAAAAAAAAAAAAAAAAAAAAAGTCAACCAGCCATCGGTCTTCAACTTGCTGTGGAAATAAGAGCACTCTGGACCACCTTACAGCCTTTGCACGGTGGAGAGGCAAGGGCCCTTGTGGTCCTTCCTGCCTGTGTGCTGTGGAAGTGAGAGGTTTCTCAGCCACCCTTCTTCTAAGTGCTGGTGTCCCAAGGGACTTCCCCATCAGAAACCTGGCCGCCGTTTAATGTTCCCTTGGTGATTTGGACCCCTGGCCTACATGCATGCTGAGAAAGAGAGTGCCAACCATCACTGGAACACGCCTTGTGGAAATGAGAGCCTTGTTGACTACCATATGGGCCTCGCGTAGTGGGGAGCTGAGGGCTCGGGGGGCTTCAGATCTCAGGTTTACCGTGGGCAGGAGACTCCTTTGGGCCACCATACTTCTCCCTCTCCGGTTCACACTGGTGGGGCGGGGAAGGGGGTTCCGGTCAGAAAAATGCCCACCCACTAGAGTTCCCTGGGTCATTTTAGCCCCCGACCTGCCTGGGACTGGGGAACCAAGCGCCAACCAGTCTTCAGCCGGCCAATGTGCTTTGGAAATGAAAGTGCCTTTTGGCCACCAAATGGGCTCCCCAGGGGTGGGGAACCGAGGTTCCTTCCTGCTACAACTTGCCCACGTACTGCAGAAGTGAGATCCTGCTCAGCCACCGTCCTTCTCTCCATACTGGTGCACTGAGAGCCCTTCCGGCTACTCACTGCTTTCCAACTGGAAAACTGAATTGGAGGCCATTCCAGCCACCAGGCAGCCCAAAATCCACACATCCATGGATCCTTAAGGTCCCCAGGCTGCAGCGGACAGGGAACTAAAAGCCCTTACAGTCTCAGGCCTCCCAAGTGCTGTGAAAACAAAAGCCCATTTGGCAACCATCTTTCTCACACTGGTGTTCCAGAGGCCCTGCCGGTCAGCAACCTGGCTGTTCACTAGGGTTCCGTGGCTCATTTCGGCCCCCACCTTCCGGCATGGTGGGGAATGGAGGCCATTCCAGCAATTCTACAGCCGATAACTATGTAACTGATAGCCACTTCCGCCACCATCCCGGCCTCACATGTTATAGAGCCAAGGGCCTTTTGTTATCTTCACACCAACCGCGTTTTGAGGAAGCAGGAGCTCTTTCAGCTACCATCCTGCCCTACGCGCTGGTGCCCCCAAGGGGTCTTCCTGTCAGAAATCTGGCCACTTGCTAAGGTTCCGTGGGTCATTTCAACACCACACTAACCCCCTCCCCACCTTGCTTTACTTGCTGAGAAACAGAGGGTAAAATGACCATCAGTGAGCCACTTACTGTGGAAATGAGAGCTCTTTGGGCCACCATATGGGCCTCACTCACCACGGATCTGAGGACTTTTCTGGTCTCGGGCTGTAGGTATACTGGGGAAGTGAGAGCCCTCTCAGCCACCATCCTTCTTTCCATTCTTCATGCGGGTGTATCAAGGACCCTTCCGACTACCAGCTAATCAGCAGCTGGATAACAGGATTGGAGGCCCTTCTGAGCACCAGCCATCCTGAAATCCACACACCAGTGGATCCTTCAGGGCCCCAACCTGTGGTGGACTGAGGAACTCTAAGACCCGCCCCCAGGTCTCCAGGCACTATGTAAGACAGATGCCTTTTGGCAACTGTTTCCCACACCCTGGTATCCTGGAGGGACTTCCGGTCCCTAACCTGACTCTCAACGAGAGTTCTGCAGGTTATTTTGGCCCTCCAGCTTCCATGCATGTTAGGGAACTGAGGACCATCCAGAAGTTCTCTTGCCCACATACTGTATTGATGAGACCCTTTTTGTCTTCTTACAGCTCTTGCATGCTGGAAAACAGAGTTGCCTTCTGGCCACAGGCTGCTTGCCTGCTGGGAAAGTGAGGACTTTTTCAGCCACCATCTTGCATGATGATGCCCCCTGGCTCCTTCCAGCCACCTGCCTGTCCACACAACAGGGTTCTGCCAGTCCTTCAATCTCTCAGCATGCTCATGTGCAGTAGTAAGCCAGGGCCCATTCGGCCAGTGTCCTTCTAGAGTACCAGTGTAAAGAAAGCCCTTCAGGTTACCCAGTTGCTTGTGAGCTAGAGAACTGTATTGGAGACCCTTAGGGTCACCAGCCTGCACATGAACTAGTGTCCTTGGAGCCCTTTCAGCCACCAGCCTGCCCAGGTGCCATGTAGCAGTCAGTCCTTCTAGGCTCCAGCCTGCGTTCACCTGGGAAACTGAAGGCCCTTCTGGCTTCTTGTGGCCTGAGTGTTGTGGAAGCAAGAGCCCCTTTAGGCTCTTCTTCACCATCCTTTCCTTGGGACCATGTCCCAGTGGCCCTTGTCACCAACTTGCCCACTCACTAAGGTTCTAGGAATCATTTTATCCCCCAGCCTGCCTGTAGGCCAGGGAACAGGATGCCATTAGTCATCAACTTGCCCACAAGCAGTTGAGTCTAGAGCCCTTTCAGCCACCATCCTTCCAGTGTTCTGGTGCCTGGGAGCCCTTTCCAGCCACCAACTGGCTTTGCCCTAGTGCCATGGGGTCCTTCCAGTCCCTAGCCCACCCACAGGCCACAGTTCCCTTTGTCCTTCAGGCCCCCTACCTACACATGTGCTGAAGAACTGAAGGTCCTTCCATCCATCAGCCTGCCTTCATTCTGTGGAATGAAGAGCCACTGTCAGTCTCTTGCACTGGTGCTCTGGTGGCAGGGAGGGGACCTTCCAGACAGTAGCCGGCTTGCATGCCAAGGTTCCAATGGTCCTACCAGCCCCCAACCTGCCAAGGAGTTGTGCTCAGAGATCCCTTTCAGTCACCAGCCTGACAACAAACTGGGGTCATGGAGGAGTGAGGTTACTCAGGCAGTAGCCTGCCCACTTGCTGTAGAATCTACAGCTCTATCGACAATCATTCTCCCTCATACTGTTTCTCCAGGATCCTTTCAGCCACCATCAGTCCCACAGTCAGTCCCTTGTGTTGGTGACCTAGGGGAACTGTCCAGCTACCAACCAGCCCACCCACTAGGGTACCAGGGATCCTTTTGGCCCCTACACTGTCCACATGCTGGAGAACCAAGGGCACTTGTAGTGCAAAAGCAGCCATAGACCATGCAAATAAGTGGGCATGGTTGGATTTTGCCCACAGGTGCATATTTCCATCTGATTATCTATAGTAGTCGCTCTCTAAAGTTCTAGCCAGGCACAAGGCTGTACAGAATAAATACTACAGTTCTAAAACTTTTTTGCATCTAGATGTGACAGTGTATCTAAGTTCTGCTCATTGAGATATGATAAAGAGCAATGTGTGCAACTGCTAAACCATACCCAAAAAGAGAAGGGAGGTGACCTCTCCTTTCCTCTCCCCTGTTCCAGGGATGGAACGTTGACATGCACTAAGTCGGGTCATGCAGATGAAGTCAACAACCTAGGGACAAAAAAGCAAAAAGACAGAAGGATCCTGGGATCTCTATGACTTCTTGGAATAGAGCCACCATATCAGTTCCGACATCTATATGAAAGTGAAATAGGCTTCCAACTTGTTTAAACCACTGTTGTCACTGACTTGCATACAGTCCAATCTAACAAATATGCCTGGTTTCACCAAAAATTAAGTTAGTTCAGTTCAACCTCTCAATAACAAATAAAAACCAAAACCAGGAACCCAAGCACAAAAGTATGAGTGAGAAATAGCTCTTGAATCTTTTGACTTCTCTCCATCTCCTGCACTACTATCTTCTCCCCTTTAGACCACTGCCATTCGACAGCTTAGAACCCTCAGTGGTTTTTCAATGCTTTTAAAACATTGACCAGACTCACGAAAACAACCTACTCATTCTCCCATCTGCAACCTTCTCTGGCCTCATGCATACCAAACTCACCTCATTCTCCCAACTCTAGCTACATCATCTTTCTGTCCATTGTATTTGCCATGCTCTCTCCTACTGCAGAACCGCTGTGCTGTCACCTCCACCTGCAACGCTCTTCCCTATCCTCATCATGGAGTTAACTCCAGCCTACTTTTCAGACATCAGCTCAAATATCACTTCCTGACCCTGTCTTCCTTGATTCAGCAAAGGCCATATTATGGGTTATGCTGACACCATGAGCTTGTCTGTCAAAGGCTTGTGACAGTTACAGTTTTCCATTTGTTCTGTGATGATTTGACTAACTATAAGCTAATCATGTCTTAGGGGCTATGTCTGATTTTGTTCACCATTTTATCCAGATGCAGGGTTCCCATAAAGTAGACAAATGAATTATTGTACATAAGCCCCTTTTGCAAAGGCAAGGCAACATGCTTCATAATGGAATTTGGTCTTGTCCTATGTCTCTGAGGATTAGGTTCAGCTGCAAGGAACAGAAAATAAAACAAAAAAACAATGGCTTCAATCAGAAAAGAGATATATTTCCCTTTCTTATAAAATATGTGTGGAAATAGTAGGTTCAGGGCTGGAGTATGATAGCTCTCTAAGATTGTCAGAGATCCAGGTACCTTCCAGCCAGCCACTCTGCCATCCCTAGGATGTGGTTCTTGTCTTCATGGTTCCTGGCTCCAGCCATCACATCTATTCCAGGCAGCAAATTTGAGGAATGCAGACAAAGGCCTGACTCCTCTCTTTTAAGATGACTTCCTGGAAACACCACAAAAAACGTGTCCTTCTCCAGAATTAGTTAAATTGGCCACTCTTTCCCAAAAGGGAGGCCACAAAAATGTGGTCTTTCAGCTGCACATGCCCAGGTAAAAATCAGGGTTTGGGTACTAAAGGATATAGGGAGTGTTTTGGTTATCTATTGCTGCCTAGTAAACCACCCTAAAACTTAGTGGCTTAAAATGATAGCAACCAAAAATAAATAATACAGCAATAACCATATTATTATCTTTCATAAATCTGTGGGTTGAGTGGGCTCAGCTGGGCAGTTCTTACGCTGGCCTCACTTGGGGTCTCACGCAGTTGGCAGTCAACTGATATGCTTGGACCTGTCTCTTCCTTGTTATGATCTCATGGCCTCTCCTCTCCACACATTCTCTCTATGTGACCTCTCTCCCACTGAGCATCCAAAACCACAAAGCAGAATCTTCCAGGCCTTCTCAAAGCTTAGGCAAAGTGTCACTTCACCACCCTCTACCGGTCAAAGCAGTTACAGGGCCAGTCCAAATTCAAGGGGGAGGAGAAATAAACTTCACTTCTCTATGAGGGGAGTGACACAAAATATTTTTTTGAGCAAAATGTTTACATTTCTATTGAAATATACACTAAAACAGAATGAGTTTTACTAGTCAATGAAACTTTGTCAAAGCAAAATCACAAACTTCCACTGGGGAGGCCCAGTCAGCTAGCAGCAGTGATCCCCAAGCAGGAACACCAAGGAGAAGCCTGGGAGACCCCTCTCCAAAAAGCCTCCTTTCAAGAGGCCCCCAACTCACTTCTGCCATATGCACCCACACAGATTTAGGAGCTTGGACATTTTCCAATGACATTGGAAAATGAGCTCCTCATTTTCATATATTTTTAGTTTCTTCTTCACTGCAATAAATATAAAATTGGCAATGCTCATACACCACAGCACAGACAATATTTTGGGCTTTAGCATACAACTGTAAACAGTGACTAGGTTAAAAAAAATAAAAATAAAAATAAAGTAAGTTGGACTCCCCCCACCCCCCACCCGCCCCCCAAGATGTGGTCTTGCTCTGTCACCCAGGCTGCAGTGCAGTGGTGCTATCTCGGCTCACTACAACCTCCGCCTCCTAGGTTGAAGAGATTCTCCTGCCTCAGCCTCCCAAGTAGCTGGGATTACAGGTGCCCACCGCCACGCCCAGTTAATTTTTGTATTTTTAGTAGTGATGGGGTTTCACCATGTTGGCCAGGCTGGTCTCAAACTCCTGACCTCATGATCTGCCCGCCTCGGCCACCCAAAGTGCTGGGATTACAGGCGTGAGCCACCATGCCTGGCCGCCTTTTTTTTTTTTTTTTTTTTTTTTTAAAGAAACAAAGAAACAAAATTCCTAAGAGCCAGGCATGAGCTACTCAAGATTTATTTTGTTGGGCTAAGGTTTCAGACAAAAAATTCTGGTTTAGGCAGATGCCCTTGACAGTCCAAGTAGACCCAGGGTGGTAGCCACAGCATGGTCTATGGCAATCTAGAACACACGCACTGGAAGACAACCTGCCCTACGTCACCCTGGGCAGTCTATCTTCAAGCTGCCACATTTGAGATACCACCACAGACATCTTTATAGTTCCATCATTGGCTGCCATCTAGTGTAGCAGGAATGTGTGGATGAAGGAATAAAAATGTGCTGGGAGAGGAAGAGAATAGTATCTCTGCTAGCTGCCTGGAAAGTTGGCCCCTTAATCACAATGACAACTACGACATTTCACTTGGACAGTTCATTAAATTTATAGATTTCTTTTAAAGTACAAAGACTAAGCAGTAAGTTCTGTCACTGAAGCAAACTGGGATGTCAATCAAAGAAAAATAGATTGACTATTTTTGCTTAAAGTAGTGCAAAGAAGTCTGGCAAAAAATGAAAGTGAACTCAATATCTGCACCTGAGTAACGGGGCAGAATTTTATTTAAATGGCTAGTGGTTCAAATACTATTGCTTAATAGCTCTGATAGATATAAAATGTAGTAACATCTGAGGTTTATACACATGAGCAAAGGAGCTGAAGGCCAGGGATATGGGATTCTAGTTCAAGAGAGAAGCTAAAAGTGCATGCTGCAGGAGTAACCTAATGGATTTGTTTGGATCGTACTCCCACCTTCTGACAAACAGAAAAAGACCTGGATAGAAAACTGTCATTCCAGCCAGGCGTGGTGGCTCACACCTGTAATCCTAGCACTTTGGGAGGCCGAGGCGGGTGGATCACCTGAAGTAAGGAGTTTGAGATCAGCCTGACCAACATGGCAAAACCCTGTGTCTACTAAAAATACAAAAATTAGCCAGGCTGGTGGCACGCACCTGTAATCCCAGCTACTCGGGAGGCTGAGGCACAAAAATTGCTTGAACCAGGGAGGCAGAGGTTGCAGTGAGCTGAGATGGTGCCATTGCACTCCAGCCTGGGCGACAAGAGTGAAACTTTGTCTCAAAAAAAGAAAAAAAAGAAAAGAAAAGAAAACTGTCTTTCCACACACAAAAATCTGACTTAATTCTTCTTCCTATACAACTATACCTCAGCTAAGAAAAAAAATCTCTAGTGAAAAACTCAATAACCTGGGCTACTAAAAATAAAAAGGAAATTTTTAATATCATAAACAAGTTTAGTAAATACCATGTGGATTTTCTGTTGTTAATGAAGACATGATACATTCAAAAAAGTATTTTTTTTGAGATGAAGTCTCACTCTGTTGCTCAAAAAAAGTATTTTTTTAAAAAAAGAATAAAACAAAAAAAAATTATAGAAAGAGACTTCACAAGAAAAAATGAGCCCAAGTTAGGCCAGGCGCGGTGGCTGACACCTGTAATCCCAGCACTGTGGGAGGCTGAGATGGGTGGATCACGAGGTCAGGAGATTGAGACCATCCTGGCTAACACGGTGAAACCCTGTCTCCACTAAAAATACAAAAAATTAGCTAGGCATGGTGGTGGACACCTGTAGTCCCAGCTACTTGGGAGGCTGAGGCAGGAGAATGGCGTGAACCAGGGATGCAGAGCTTGCAGTGAGCCGAGATCACACCACTGCACTCCAGCCTGGGCGACAGAGCGAGACTCTGTCTCAAAAAAAAGAAAAAAGAAAAGAAAAGAAAAAATGAGCCCAAGTTCTATCCCTCACAGTCAGAAGTGGGTCTTAGCACAAATCACTAACCCCTCCTCCAACACACAAATGCACTGCCATTTGCCTTTCCAGTAGAACATAAAACATTCATTACTGAATTAGAACATTAAGCAGAATCACTGCAGAGCATATTTTGATGGGTTACTTCAATACCCACCTGGTCCAGTTCAAAATATCTGTAGATCCAGTTTGTACATATTCACTAGGTATACTGAATAAACCATCTATTATCCCATTATTTTTTAGAAATGGCAGTTCTTACAGCTCAAGCAAACATCAAGATTATAAAGTGCGCTCTTAAAACAAATTCTCAGATGAAGTACATTAATGAGACACCTTAGAAGTGAAACAAACCTGGTTCTTTTTTAGTAAAATAATGGGATAAAGGTAGTCTATGCTGAAGAGCAGCTTCACTTGTTTCCCCATAGAAAAAGGCCCAAAATTTTTTGGACAATAAATTAAAAACTAAGCCAATAAAAAAATAAAATATAAAGGCCAGGTGCGGTGGCTCATGCCTGTAATCCCAGCACTTTGGTAGGCCGAGGCAGGTGGATCACCTGAGGTCAGGAGTTTGAGACCAGCCTGGCCAACATGGTGAAACCCTGTGTGTACTAAAAGTACAAAAATTAGCTGGGCATGGTGGCAGGCGCCTATAGTCCCAGCTACTCAGGAGGCTGAGGCAAGAGAATTGCTTGCACCCGGGAGGCAGAGGTTGCAGTGAGCCGAAATCGTGCCACTGCACCCCAGCCTGGGCGACAGAGCAAGACTCCATTTCAAAATAAATAAATAAATAAAATAAAATGAAATAGAATATACACCTAAGATATTATAAAACTTGAAATAATGTCAGGTGATATGGAATGGGAAACAGAGTTCTGATTCCCTACCCCCCAACCACCCAGCAAAAAAAAAAAAAAAAAAAAACTGTAACAGGTTTTAAGGGAAAAACAAAACAAACCAGAACTCCGAATATGAATAGCAATACACAGACTCTATAGCACAGAATACCACACAAGAATGAATTTTATAGCAGTACTATCATAAGAGTAGCTGGCTAGAGACTATACTTCCAGCAACAGGGCTCCTAGGTCGAAAATGTGTTAAAAGCTTGTAATGTCAACAAGGACCAAAAAAAAGAAAAAAAAAAGAGGGGATGATGGGGAAACGGGAGGAAAGGCTGCATGCACGGGTCCATTATAGACATGATATTCAGCAGCATAAAAATAATACCCTCCAAAGAGTCCCCCTACTGGGGCAAAACCTGTTTCTCACTGCTAAGGACAGGAAAGATTAAGAAAGCAGAATAAATTCACTTGTAACTATAGCATCTTCCATATTTGAATGACAAGCATGTTCAACCTGATGCTGCATGTTAAGAAAATATTCAGCCAGGCACGGCAGCTCACTTTGGGAGGCTGAGGTGGGCGGATCACGAGGTCAGGAGTTCGAGAGCAGCCTGACCAAGATGTTGAAACCCCATCTCTGCTAAAAATACAAAAATTAGCCAGGCGTGGTGGTGGGTGCCCGTAGTCCCAGCTACTCGGGAGGCTGAGGCAAAGAATCGCTTGAACCCGGGAGGCGGAGGTTGCAGTGAGTCAAGATCGCGCCACTGCACTCCAGCCTGGTGACAGAGCAAGATTCCATCTTAAAAAAAAAAAAAGAAAGAAAAAGAAAACATTCAATATGCATATGAATCTAAGCAACATAAAAACCAAAGACTAAATTATGAACCTTAAAAAAATGGAAAAAAAATGTTTTAAAGCCAAGTAGGTATGATTCTAAGAATTATTATATACAATGTAATCCAAGAAAGGCCAAGAAAAGAATCTTCATGTTGTTCAGTATTTAGGCTTGATGTTGTCCTAGGAAAGCAGTAATAATTCAATGAACATGTTACATATACAACTAAAAAGTCCCCTTCTGGTTTCAAATGAATTGAAACAACAATCTTCCTTGGCTAATTTTTCTCCTCTGTCAAACAAATTTTCTATGTACAGGACCAGTTTAAACCCCTCCTCCCCTTCAAACACTAGATATGAACATCCAGGAACATTCTTCAATGCAAAGTGCCTTAAGAAAGAGAAGGATTCTGGAGTGCTGGTGATATAACTGATCTGAGGAAGCTGAGATGCTATTGACACTCATGGGAGCCAGTCAGGCAATGGTGGTTTGTTTCTCCTCAGGTGTTTCCTCCAACAACTGCATGATCAGTTCATTCAAGGGTTTGCAGACCTTTGAGTAGCCACCTCCTGTCAAATGCAGAAAATCAAACATGTCGTGGCAGGAGATGGCACGGTCGGAGTGCACGAAACCCCTGTCAGTATCCAGGAGCTGCACGTTGGTTAAGTTTCAGCAGCGAAATCTTGACGAGTGGGTTCACCTTGGCGTTCTTTTGCCTCAAAGGGTTGGGTTTCTCACCTTGAGGTAACAGATCAAATACAATGATTTTGGCCTGTGGCTGCCTTGTGTTGATAAGTTGTACGATGGCCGCCATACCACCTGCTACCTCTTCTGCCATATTTTCATGGTTGTTTCTTCCTAGCCAGAAAACAATGACCTTAGGCTTAGTATTCCCCAGTTCTCCGCTCTTTAGTCTCCACAAAACATGTCTTGTTGTATCTCCCCCAGTTCCAAAATTCAGTGCATGAAGTGGGGAAAAAAGCTCTCGCCATATCTCATATGGCTGCAGTAACTGCACCACGGAGCCTCCCGCAAATGGTACATCAGGCTGTTTGTCTTTACAGTCCAAAACAAATCTGTTGTGCTGACACATCCATCTGTCATCTCCTTGAATGTCTTCTGCCGCATGCGGAGTAGCTGCTGGGTTTGAGTCTCCTTGGTTCATTCTGCACTGAAGCAGAGGGTCCGTGCAGGCCCCAAGCGGCTGAGGCGTCGGCGGGTGTCATGTTTGTCGCTCCCTTGGTCAGGCGGCCCCACTCGGGCATATCCCTCCTCGGGCCCCAGTACCAGCAGCAGCCGGGAGTGACACAAAATTTGCAGTCTCTTTAACCCACCACCAAAAGAATGGATATTTGGATGCAATTAGCAGTCTTTGTCTCACATCCCTTCAAGACAAACCATCTAGAAGACTAAGAGAGGGACATTGGTCTATAAAACTCCTCTCTTTTAAGATGACTTCCTGGAAACACCACACAAAACGCGTCCTTCTCCAGAATTTAGTTAAATTGGCCACTCCTTCCTGAAAGGGAGGCCAAGAAATGTGGTCTTTCAGCTTGTGAAATAAACTCATGAAAACGCATGAAAATAAACACTGGCCATTATGCTTAGAAGCTAAAGGAAATCAGAGTAAAACTAACGATAATCTCACAGTGATTCTCATGCCAGCTTTTTATAAAGCTCTAGCAAACTTTTAAGACATAGCACCCGTGGGTAAAATAATTTGCACATTAGTAAGCAATTGAGAACAGATGAGTCATGGAAGAGGCAATACAATTGGCCAATTGTCACATGAAAAAATACTTGACCTCACTAATAATGAAAGAAACGCACATAAAAATAATAAGCTCTGCCAGGTGCAGTGGCTCATGCCTGTAATCCCAACACTTTGGGAGGCGGAGGAGGGGAGATCGCTTGAGCTCAGGAGTTTAAGAACAGCCTGGGCAACATGGCGAAACCCCGTCTCTACAAAAATACAAAGAATTAGCTGGGGGTGGTGGCATGTGCCTGTAGTCCCAGCTACTTCAGACGCTGAGGTGGGAAGATCACCTGAGCCCAGGAGGTCAAGGCTGCAGTGAGCCATGATTGCACCATTGCCCTCCAGCCTGGGTGACAGAGTTATCCCCTGTCTAAAATAATAATAATAATAATAATAAGCTCTTGGGTGTTCTTCATGAAACTAACAATATTTTACAAGATTGAAAATACCCAGAGCTATCAATGTTGTTTGTCAAAGTACAAAGTCAAATAGTCTTTTTAAAGGACATTTTGTCAATATCTATAGTTTAAACCATACATACCTTTAAATGGAGCAATTCCAGTCCTGAGTCAATATTCCATAAAAATAATTATACAAGCATTCAAAAACATATGTACAATAAGGCCAGGTGCTGTGGCTCACACCTGTAATCCCAGCACTTTGGGAGGCCAAGCCGGGCGGATCACTTGAGGTCAGGAGTTCAAGACCAGACTGGCCAACATGGTGGAAACCCATCTCTACTAAAAATACAAAAATTAGCCGGGTGTGGTGGGGCACACCTGTAGTCCCAGCTACTCAAGAGGCTGAGGTAGGAGAATCACTTGAGCCCAGGAGGAGGAGGTTGCAGTGAGCTGAGATCACACCACTGCACTCCAGCCTGGGTGACAGAGCAAGACTCTGTCTCAAAAAAAAAAAAAAAAAAAGCATGTAAAATAATGTGCATTTCAGTATTCATGTGTCACACAATATAAGCTGACTTTTATTTAGCATCTATAGTGTAGCACAGTGCTGCAGGTACTTTTATCATCTTCAATTTTCAGGTGAAGAAACTGAAGGTTAATTTGATTGCCCATGGCTACAGAGCCAGAAGTGGAAAGAATTGGCTCCAAGCCCTGTCTCATTGATTCCAGAGCCCAGGGCCTCATATACTGCACATTCTGTTACAGATGTCTTCCAAACCTTGCCGAGCATGGCAGATGTGCACTGCTTTAGGATTACCTTTCTTTCTTTTTTTTTTTTTTTTTTTTTTTTGAGACGGAGTTTTGCTCTTGTTGCCCAGGCTGGAGTGCAGTGGCACAATCTCGGCTCACTGCAAACTCCACCTCCCAAGTTCAAGTGATTCTCCTGCCTCAGCCTCCCGAGTAGCTGGAATCAAGGCGCCCGCCACCACACCTGGCTAATTGTTTGTATTTTTTTAGTAGAGATGGGGTTTCACCATGTTAACCAGGCTGGTCTCGAACTCCTGACCTCAGGTGATCCACCCGCCTTACAGGTGTGAGCCACCGTGCCCGGCCAGGATTACCTTTCTTCTCATGTATTCTTGTCGTCTTAGTTCAAGCCATTCAGACAGGCAAGAGATAGAGATGCTGGAGTGAGGGGGAAGATACCGAGCATAGAGTTAGGAGAACTAGAGTCAAGTATAGAGTTTTTTAAATCACCATATTTTGAGGCGGGGGTGGCAGGGGGAAGCTGTAATACATAATGCTGGCAAGGTTGTAGCAAAATTGGTACATTCATGTAAAGGTAGTGTCAATTGGTTCAACCAGTTGGAGACATTTTGGCAATATTTCAAGAGACTAAAATGTTCATACGCTTTAATCAGTAATCCCACTCTCAGGAAATTATGTAAAGGAAATAATGCAAAAGAATAAGTTAGGTGCCCAAAGGTTTTCATTACAATGCTATTTGCGATAGCAAACAATTAAAATAACACAAATGTCTAATATGGGGGAATGATTAAGCAACGATTAAGAGTTTGTGTTTGACAAGAACCACAGCTGTTCACCTTTTTTCTCAGAATCCTTTGGCTCATCAAGCCCTGATCCTCACGCAGCCCCGGGTGCTTGTGTTAAATAAAACAACAACAGTCATCAAGGCACATTTTAGCTCTGCGGAACCAGAATGGAGTCAGCCCAATGTTTTCTTCACATGTAAAAAACTGAGAACAGCTCCACCTGCCCTCTTTTAGCTCTGCATAAGTCTCTGGTCTTTAGCACATTTGCTGTTTACAGTTGCAACTCCCTCACAGTTTTCTCGTCATTTCCAAAATGTTTTCTTCCCTGAAGTTGTGCCTAAGCTTCTGGCATTCAGGATGCCCGCCAGGAGAGGCTCTGGGGCCTGGCTGCCTCCAGCATCAGCATGACAGAGGCCAAATCGCCACTTTACGAACTGCAGAGCCTCACCAAGAGATGACCTATAATTATAAGAAATACAACAAATAGTGATTATTTTTATTGATGTCAAACTGCATTTTTACAATGAGCTGTGTTCCAAGTGAGAATGCCTTCTTTCCCGGCCAATGCCCAGCTACAACCTGCTTACCAACTCCATGCGCAGAACATCATCAGTTCTTGCAGGTTTGTCCGAAAGGTCCTAGAGAAGCTGTTTGGAAACAATGTCCACTGCAGGGGGCTGCCAGTTTTGAGGATGACGTGAGGTGGAACAATGACCATCATTAGTGAACAATAATGGAATCAGAACAATACACCAAATGCTTTAGGGAGTTAAAATGTTCCCTGCCTAATGGCCACATGTGCCATATAATTATTTTCTTTGTGTACTTATTGCAATTTTGAAATTGTCTTTCATTATAAATTGTGTTTACAATATAGGTGACCTCCTTTTGCTACATATTCTAATACTGCCAGGTCGTGATGTTTCTCAATATGGTAGATGTCTTTTTCTTGGATGTGTTTATTTATTTAGCTCCTTACTTCTAAGATTTTTTTAAAGCTGCTTTCTTTTCTACAAAACCTCTTTCAGAAGGTAGCTGAAAGTAGAAAGGAGGTGTGATTTGTTAGTCCCAAATTTTAGTCATCCACCCACTACTAGCAAGCTCTGTGACTGTGGACAAGTCAGTTCATCTCTCTCTAATGCCCCAAGTTACTCATTCTGTAAAAATGGGTGAGATTTACAGAGGATAAGAGCAGCAGATTCCAGAGTCAGACTGCCTAGCTCATTCCCATCCTGGCTCCACCTCTCCGACCTTGGGCAAACTACTTCTCCCTGTGCCTCAGGTGAGCAACCATCGCAGTTTGCCTGGGATTGAGGGATTTCCCAGGATACAGGACTTTCACCTGGAAACCCAGGCAAATCCTGGGAAAACCAGGCTGAATTGGACACCCTCTCTGTGCCTCGGTTTTCTCATCTGTAAAAGAGGGATTCTAATAGAACCATCGCTATATGATTGTCTGGAGGATTCGTTGATCCGTGTGAAAAGCACTTAGAGCAGCCGTCTAGCATTTTGGTGTTCTTTATATGAAGGAAACATTTTTTTTTTTGAGATAGAGTCTTGCTGTATCACCCAAGCTGGAGTGCAGTGGCACGATCTCAGCTCACTGCAACGTCTGCCTCCTGGGTTCAAGCAATTCTCCCACCTCAGCCTCCTGAGTAGCTGGGATTACAGGTGCGTGCCACAATGCCTGGCTCATTTTTTTGTATTTTTAGTAGAGACAAGGTTTCACCATGTTGACCAGGCTGGTCTCAAACTCCTGACCTCAAGTGATCCGCCCACCTTGGCCTCCCAAAGTGCTGGGATTACAGGCCTGAGCCACCACACCTGGCCAGGAAACACATTTTAAGTACTGGCAAAGAGTAAGCACTCAGTCTGTGCCACCTTTTATTCTCAGGATTGTCTTCTCTTAGGCATCTTCTGTCTCTCTCTTCCATCCCCCTCTGATACTATTTCACCATCCCCTTTCTCCTCTCTTCTATTTAATAGCTTAAAGACTTAAATGTGAGCATAGTTTGTATTAAACCCGACATGCTGTGAAATCCTTTGTTTCACTTACCACTACAGACAATACCAATGATGCCTTCGAAATGTTTTTAAGCAATTTAATATAGCTCTCATTGGAATGTCACAATTTTCAAAGTTATAGTTCAATCTCCTTTTAGTGTAATGCAATAAAAAGGTTACTCTAATGTCATTTCCTTCGTATAAATAACATCAAAATGCTTCAACCCAGAAGCTGAAGAAGAGAGAAAGAGGGTGAGGAGAAACAGGTAAGAATTGGTCCATGATGACATGCAAGGGCAGCATTGCCTGGGCCGGTTTCCCTCTCTGTCTTTGACAAGACATTTCTGGGTGAGATATTTTTGCATTCCATGCAGTGGGAGCGAAGCCTGACCAATGGGATCCTGGGAAGGTGGGGGGACAGCTGTTGAAGAGATGGCTGGGAACAAATGAATGCAGAGAAAACCTCCATAAACAAGGCTCCCTTTGAGAGGAAAACAGGAGGACTCAACATATGCCAGATGGAAGTGGGACCTCCTAGGGAATGGAGCCTTGGGACAGCCCTCTCTGCTTCTTTTTCTTTTCCCAATCTGTGATGCCTAATAACTAAATAGGCCATATTTTTGGAGGAGATCAAGAGAAATGAGTGAAAGAAAGGACAGGCATTTTCTCTGATGATCAGTCCCTTTTGCAGTTGGCAGAGAGTAAAAAGCCCCTCCTCGATATTTTTGCAGGTTGTGTTGGGGGGGAGGGCAGAAATTAAATCAGCCTATCTTTGTTTATAACTCTCTGTGTGGGGTACACACCCCAAAAGCCAGGCCTGCATGAGGAAGGAAGGAAGGAAGGAAGCAAGCAAGGAAGGAAGGAAGGAAGAAAGGAAGGAAGGAAGAAGAAAGAAAGAGAGAAAGAAAGAAAGAAAGAGAAAAGAAAGAGAAAGCAAGCTAGCTTAGAATTGACTCCATAGTGTGAAAGATTGTCAACAACAGCATTTTCTATTTGTACTGTTTAAGATAGTGTTGGTGGTCTCTTCATTTGTCAGAAAAGGGAAATTTTACACCTGTTAGATTATAGTCTTGCAGCTATTTATTAGGTAGAACGTACAGTGACAGATAACGCCAACTCCCTATTATCCATGAAAAAGAAATATGTAAAAATCACTCCTATGTCTAAACTTCACTTGAACCGTGGGTTTCAATCGCCTTTCTTTCCAGCCTTTCTGGGATTCTCTAAGCAAAATACGTTGCTTTTAATTTCTTTTTAGTCCCTTGCAAGCCTTAAACCGTAGGAGTAATGAACAATGAAATGGCCCCAACAGCAGTAATGGGAGAATTGAGGGAAAAGAATGAGGCCTGGTTAAATAAGGGAAAAGATCAATCAGCGCCCACCTCATGAGGATGAAACATCAAGTGCCATTTGCCCAAATAAAAGTACCTACTACACTCCCACAGCCACAGTGCAATTTTCTGGTTCGGGAAAGATGTTCCTGGGTACCAGAACTGTACTAAGACCTGCAAAGCCTAAAGTGGGGGCAAAGAATGTGATGTTGATTAGAGGCGTGCAACACAAAATTTCATGCGATTGTGAGAAATCTACAATTTCCTACTCAAAAACAAATCCGTTTGAGATTTCATTTAATCTCCAAAGAAAAAACAGCTAAGGCTCACTTTCTGTGCATTAGCATCTGAGTAGATGTATTTGCTCTCCTCCTCCCACTCCTTCTGCCTCCACTCTCCGCCTGCACCTGCTACCACCACGGTCATTTTCGAGGCGCGATCGAGTCTGTGCGTCCTGGGGGCCCCTCGGTCACGAGCCCCACGCGGAGCCCGGCGCCTCTCCTCCCAGGCCCTCCCAGCCTGCGCCCTCTCGCGGGCGCCCCTAAGTCCAGCGTCCTCATTCACCCGCGCCATTGGGGCCACCGGGGGTCGGGTCTTGGCTTTGTTCACCGGGTCCCCGAGACCCTGGAGGCGATTTGACAAGGGGCGTCGGGGCCGCCGCCGCAACGCCCCCAAGTAGCGCGGCCCCAGCAGGGCGCCCGGAGCTCCCCTGCCCCCGGGCTCCTGCACCTCCTTCCAGACAGGGAAACCGAGGCCGCCTCGGGCAAGCGGTGCCCTGAGGAGGGCCCTGCCCGGGGTGACCGGTTAGAAGAGGAGGTGACGCCGTCGGTGCCGAACAGGCCCGGCCTCAGCGGCCCCACGAGGCCCCTAGGCCGTGAGTGCCCCAGTTCTCCGCCACCGTCGCTGTCCCAACCTCAGCCTGGGAGCCGTCTCCCTTCCCTCAAAGATGCTGGGTGTCCTCAAAAGGGATCCCGGGTGGGCTGGAAAGTCGGGAGCAGAGTGGGGGTGGTTGGGAGGAGGATAGCACTGCCCCGGGTTTGGAGGAGTCCTCTATTTTTTCCCCCTTCTGTTCAGCTATTTGTGTTTTCTGATCGGGGAAGTGATTTGCGGCAGGAAATTAGATATCTTTATTCCAGAAACACTGTGGTTCTAATGGTATCTATTCCAGAGCCGGCTCCGTCTTAGTAGCGGGCTTTTTTTTTTTTTTCTTTTTCTTTCTTTCTTTCTTTTTTTTTTTCACTTGCAGGTTATTTTGCGATGAAGGGAACAGAGGGCTGTGCAGCCCGGCATCTTTCCTCCTCCCTTCCACACAATACAACTCTTAATTAAACACAGGGACACCCACACCTCCCTTCCCACAGGACCCCTTCCATCTGCTCCTCCCGCTCTGAAATACCAGCCTTGTATGGGCAGGGAAAGCCTCGTGTTGAACTTCCCAATTAGCAAGACACATCGCAAAATAAGGGACTCTGGGAGCTGTTGTCGCTACTATTTTTGGATTCTTCCTTTCTAGGCCCTACCTAGTAAGTGTTTTGGTGGCCTTGGTATAACTTTAAAATCCTGCAGGTCTTTAGAAGCACGATTTCTGTTTTTCTGATTGATGAGTTCAGATTGACACACTCGGTGCAAAAGAAGTAAGTTATGGATCGATTTGAACTGGGAATTTTTTACATTTGTAAAAGCTTCGTCTTTAACTTTTTTTTTTTAAACCAGAGGTTGTAAGGGCTTCAAGAAAATTCAGTTATTTCCAGGTTGAACAAGTCAAAGAGGGTTGGACAAGAACCCTGCATTTCTCTTTTCTCAATTTCTGGCCAGACCAAGAGGGAGTAGGTAATGTATGAGTAGTGGAAGTAGTGGAAGCTGGGATTTGAGGATTTCCAGAGGCAAATGTTGCAGGAGAAGTGAAAGGAGTGGGAGAGGAGGATGCCTGGGGGGAGATGGAGCAGGGTGGTGGCCCAGAAGTCCATCAAGTCAGAAGATGGAGAAATCCCAGAGACGGGAGGTAGGGGATCATCTAGTCAAAAAGTGGACACTCCTAGCTTCAGAAGATGGGAGCCCCAAAATCTGAGCTCAGGGAACTTAGAATCACAGAGTGGGGTATTCTCAAATCAGAAGATAGGAGGGGACCATGAGTGATATGAAGGTACCACAGAGGCCGATGTCAAATCAGAGAAATCTCAGAGTAGCTGCCTTCGGACGATCCTCCACCACCACCACCAACACCAGGCACTGAGGAATCTAAGGGCTCAGGCCGCCAGGCCTCCATGAACACCCCAGAGACTGCAGATTCAGACTTCCTGACTGGTGTCGCATCCTCGGCACGCTTGCCTTGGCCCCACCCCCAATTATTTCACTTCTCAGTCCAGCGTTTCCCGAGGTTCGCCGACAAGAATCCACCCAGCAATTATCTCCCTTCTCGCGCGCATGGGGGGACATTAACCACGAACGCGCTGGAGAAGAAAGGTACAGATGGGTCTTTTATTGAACACTTGGAAATGTTTCCAAGGCTTTTGTTTTTTTCCCCCATTCATTCCTGCCGGATCACTGGGCTCTGCCAACTTCAGTCCCCAGAGGTTGCGGCAGGAGAGCCCGGCCCACTCGGAGCCCCCGCTAGGGGGCGCGCTCTGGCCGTGGCGCTGAGCCGAGCCCGAAAAGGGGGCTGAGGTGGGGAGGCTGGGGGTGCGGACGCCGACAGCCCAGCTCCGGTCCGCGCGGCCTGGGAATTGACACACGCGTTGGGTAGCCCGCTGCATCTTACTCTAGCTCCAATCTGTGCCCACCCGTCCCCACCCTCCACCCCGTCCAGGGTCGCCCGGAGCAGCAGCTACTGAGTCAACGCTGCACCGGGGACGCCTCGACCCTGGCCGCAGGCGGGGTCCCGCCGTCCGGCGGAGGAGAGGAGAAAGCAGATGGTGGTGATTACAGGGCACAGTAAAGTTTCCCTCTCTCTCAGGTCTGGAAACCTGGAGGGATGGGTGCGGCAGGAGATGGGGAACTCCCGCCAAGGAACTCCGTGAGAGCTCAGAGCCCAACCACCTGCTTCTCGCCCGTGGGAGGGGACACACACCCCCTCTTCTGAGAGCAGACAGGAGGCTGCGACCATCTCGTCCAGCTTTATGCTTGGAGCAAAGCTTGAAAAAGCCTCGGCTGCCGCCCGGATGGCTGATGGTGGTGGCGGTGAGGGGGTCTCTTTCCTCTCTAGTTCTTGCTCCCCCACCCCCTCCCCCGGCTGCTGACGGGCAACAGAAAGTGAGGAAGTTTGCAAATAAGGGGAGTTGTCCTAACATAGCCATCACACTCACGCGTCCATACCTTGAGGGCTCGGCCGTGGTCCTCGGGAGGCTTCCAAAAAAGCTGCTTCCCAACAAACCTCTCCCAGCCAAGCCCTAACTGTGGAACCCACGGCTTAGGAGGAGGACACGGCGAAGAGGGAAGGATTAGCAAACGCGACAGAGTCTTCCCAGGAAATCCAAGTTCTATCAGTCCCTTTGGACCTTTCCACGGGCTGTTTCTTTGAAAATACATCAACAAATAAACACCGTCCACAGAGAGATCCCAACAGCCGTGGGGAGAACTGAGGCAGGGTAGGAAGTGGAGAGCACGCAGGAGGCCAAGAAGGCGAGGGGCAAGTTCTAGGCAAGCGGATTATGTTACACTTCCTCCTATTACCAGACTTCCAGGAGGAGACACCTCGATTTGTGCATAAAATGCATACCCTGAAGTGGATAAGACTCTGAAAGCAGCGTTTGAGGAGGTTAACCTTGACTGGTTGGAGTTAAGGGGGGGTGGGGGGAAGCAAATATTTCTGTTTGTGCCCTCCGGCTCTTCCCAGCACCGGCTGTCAATCCCGACGCTTGTTATCCTCACAAGGCTTCAGTTTGTTTGCCTGATCTCAGCAAGGTTTTCTTCCACAAGTAGAACTATAATTGCTATAATTCTACTGTATCATTTGGATCATTGCAGTATTGTTGTTTTCTCTCTCTCTTTCTCTCCTCCTAACACTGCAATAACGCGCTCCAGTGTTAAATTAGCAGGTTGCGGAAGACCATAAATGAATGAAAGTTTGTTTAAAAAAAAAAAAGAAATTAAATAAATAAAACAGCAAAATGACTTGGCAAAAGGGATATCACATCACAGAGAATCCTTGCGTGTAATCAGGTCTTATTGTCTTCTCTTCCAGTGGCTTCCAAATTGGTCGCTAGATTCCAATGAAGTTTATTTCTATTGTTTAAATATATGTTTTGAAGAGGCTGATCGTAATTTAAGGGGACCTGAGCCGTCCGGTGCAACTGGAAGCCCATCACAGCTTGATTTATCTATGTGTATATTGCACAATAAATTAAAACATCTCAAATGAAAAGTATGTGAGGTTAACTCTCTTCCAAACATTTTTTTTTTCTGGATAATGACATCTAACTGCCACCCCCCCTTATTCCACATTTCTTGCAAATGTAATTTTAAAACTATAATGTAGAATTAGCTCTCAGAAAAGAAAGGGGTTTCTCCTTCCACTCTCCTCTTCTAGGTAAATTATTATTTCCAGTTCTAGGAACAAGCCCCATTTTTCACCATAAACAACAGTTCTAAACACATGTGACCTTCACTTCCAGCCATTATTGTCATTTTTATTTAGTGATTGATTTTAAAAGCAGATAAACTGCAAACCATTGTTTTCCAAGCAGACCAGGAAAAGCAAACCAACAGCTACAGACCCCAAAGATTAGAGGAGCCAGGACTTGTGAATAACAAAGTACAAACAAGAATGATATTATCACTAAAATGCAATTACTTTTGATTAGTGAGTAAAAGTGAGGCAAAAAGAAAGTGAAGTGTCGTTTTCCTGGCAAAGTAAAATTAAATTGGGCTAAACTGTAAGTTCTTTCATACGTAATCCTATAGCCCAATTCTTAAAAGTCTGCCCACTCAACACATCAGTTACCCTCTTCCTAGATATTAGACGCATAATTTTGTTTCTAAAATGATATATAGAATAACATATTTTATATATATATATATATATATATAATCCCATATCCTGATTAGGCATTGTGGAGACCACAGCACAGTCTTATGTCTCTCTACCCAGCACCTTAGAAAAGTTTTCTGTAATTTTTTAAATTTAATCTCTTAGAAATAGCAAAAGTTAATTGTAGATTTTTGAAGTTGGGTATTGGATTGTGACAAAGGTGGTCTCAGGGCCACTGGGTGTAGAGTGAGCTAGGTCAGGCCCTTCTCCCCGAGGTGAATGGACGTGTTTCCCAATAGCATCCTCACTTGGGAAGATTGATTAGAAAATAACAAAAATAAATAAAATAACAGAACAAATAAAACTAGTGTTTTCACACAGGTCTCCCCCGAAAACACTTTATATTCCATTAATAGAATTAGATCTAATTCCAGGGATCATTAAGTCAGAATCAGAAATTCTTTGTTAACCTCCCCTTTTACAGTGGATGATTAAAATTAGAATACACCCCAGCAGAAAGTCCGACTTCTTTTAAAAGAAGAACAGCTGCACAAGGGGGAGGAGGGGGGATGGAGGCAAAGAAGTCTTCCACCCAGAGAGCTGAAACTCCGTTGGGCTCTCAGAAATGATTTGTGCATTTGTGTTTTTGTTTAACACGATCTTTCTTGGACTCATTTTCAGCCCACTCCCTGCGTGTGCGGAGCCGACTCTGAAGTCACTGAGCCACCCGGCAGCCGGGTCTTGTGGATTTCCAACGCGGGGCCCGCCGGGGAGGGAAAAGTGCCTCCGTCTCTCCCAACCACCAAGCCGCAGGGACGCCCGCGAGGGTCCGCGGCTGGAGGCTAGGAGGAAACCGAAGTGTCTTTACTCCTCTTGGCTGCGATGAGACCCGCGCGCCTGGAATGGGCTTTCGGGGCCGGGGGAGGGAATGTGGGAGGAAATCAGCGCGCAGAATGTTAGTTTAAAGCTGAACCGGACGGTGTAAAAACACCGAACTCTTGGTGGGGATGGAAAAGGAAGAATGCGGGAAAGGCAAGGAGAGATCCCAGGTGACTTTGAATCGCAGAGAGGGCTTAAAGGAAAATCAAATGTCAGCGATGGCTCGGGTTCTCCTCCGCTCCCCACCACAGCCCGCCCTATCATCCAAGTGCAGAAAAAAACGGATGAGAATTAAGCTAAAAGCCAGAGAGAGAGAGAGAGAGGGACAGAGGAATTCTTTTTGTCCTGTCTTTAATAGTAGTAGTAGTATCAGTATTAGTATTCGCATTATTAATGTGCCTGTTCCCAACCCTTCATCCCCTCCCCCCAGTTTTGTCTTGAAGTTTCCTGCGGAGGCAGCCCGATCTGTCTGCTACCCACCCACCAGCATCCAAGAGTTATGCAGATGTTTATGGCTGAAAAAAAAAAATCCCAGTTATGCATCCTTGTATTTTTAAATACTGACTGTAAGTGATTCAAGTATAATCCTTTGTAAAATGCTTTTCTCTTTGACACATTGAAGGGAGTTGAGAGAGGAAAACCCGGCGTGGATTCCCCCTCCCTGGCCCCTCTCTCACCCACCACCTTCGCCCCAATTCTGCCAGCGTTGGGGCCCCTGGAAATCCCTGGGAACCTGCACCCAGGCAGGGAAGGCGTCCGTGCTGGCCCAGGCTCGACCCAACATCAGTTGGAGTTGGGTTTTAGTTCTCGGCGCTGGAAACTGTTTGGGAAGAAAGGCGCTCTCTCTAAGGTTCACTCTCTCACCTTTGCTCAAGGGAGCCAGGTCATGAGAATTCAGAATTTTAGACGCTTAGATTTGGCTGCAGCCGAATTTGGGTTCCTTCCACCCTGGAGAGGTCAGGGATCCCTGAGGGTTCTGCTCCCTAGCTGCGATTGGAAGGTGAACAGCCTCAGGGTGAAGGCCTAACAGATACGAATTTGTGGGGGAAAGAGGGAAGAGAGTCCAGGGAGAAAGAGGAGGCCCCCAGACTCGTCCCCAGTCGCCCCTCCTCGCTGCTGATACTCGCCTGTCCCTTCCCACCCAGTAAATGCTCTAGGGAAGGCCGCGCGCCTATGGCAGAGCTTTGTCTGTAAGGAGGCTTTTTCCCATTCCAGAGTTTAAAACGGAGAGGAGAGCGGTTGGGGGACGCTACAAACAAGAGAGACACAGTCGGGCTCAGGGTGAAGATAGACAGCGCAATGCCTTGGGCCGCAAGAGAAAAGCGAACTCCCAGACGGCAGATGTTTGCTTGGGGCGGTCACCCTGGCCCCCCGACGCCCGTCCGGCCTAGAGAGGACGGCAATTGAGCGCCAGGGAGGTCAAGGCGGTGTCCTGGGAGCCCAATATCGGCTTTGAAAAGTGCCGAGTGAGTCTGAACGTGAGCCTCGAGGCCTCGCCTCCAGGGAGCGAGGTCCTCGGGTTGGTGGAAGGGGCGCACGCCACCCAGATGGCATTCACAGGCCTGGCATCCCAATAAGCTAGAACTTCGGCCAACACTAAAGGGTCAAAGGAGGAGCTGCAGGAAGAGGATAGCGGACTTAGAAAATTGGTAACTTAAAAAAAGAAAGAAAGAAAAGGAAAATTGGCTCTGGTGCGTGCCCGCTGCCCCCACCCCCGCCTGCCCCTCTGGAATCCAGTCCGGGCTTTGCGCCGCGCCCACAGGCCGACGCAGCCCGGCCTCTGGCGAGAGCCAATCAGAGGGCGCCTCTCAGCACGTGGAGGAGAGAGACTCCAGAGCTCAGCGCCCGCTGCTCACTACACTTGTTACCGCTTGTCCTGAGCGCGGAGAGGGCGAGCTCGGGCCGCGGGCAGGGCGGGAGCCGGCAGCCGGCAACCAAGGGAGGCAGAAAGGCACAAAGATCGCAATAATATCCGTTATAACCCGCTATCTAACCCCACCCCCAACACACACCCATCCATCCCACCCTCCGGGAGAGGCAGCCGGCGATCCGCTCTCTGCGCCCTGGGAAAAAGCCCCAGCCATGAGCAATCAGTACCAGGAGGAGGGCTGCTCCGAGAGGCCCGAGTGCAAAAGTAAATCTCCAACTTTGCTCTCCTCCTACTGCATCGACAGCATCCTGGGCCGGAGGAGCCCGTGCAAAATGCGGTTGCTGGGAGCCGCGCAGAGCTTGCCTGCTCCGCTGACCAGCCGCGCCGACCCGGAAAAGGCCGTGCAAGGTAAGGATGCTCCCGTCAGGCACTTACTAAGGGCATTGGGCCCTGATTTGGATGTTTGGTGTTCGGGGGCCAGTGGCCTGGAATTGTCAATTTGGAGAGGAAGGAAGGAGAGGGCATAACTCTGAGGCCTGCTGCCTCAAAGAGCGTTAAACATCTAGCCAGGGCTGTCTCTCCCTCCCTCCCTCCCTGCTTCCAGAAAAAGGCCCGTTTTCGCTTAGGGAGCCTTTAGCTTTTCGGTGTTGATCGTTAGGTTGTTTAAATGCCCCTTTTGGTGGCCTTGGGTGTGCTCTGAAGAGCGGCGACAGGTCAGAAACAGTAGATGGCCGGTGGACCCTTGTAGCACCAACTTGATGAAGACAAGAAGCCCAAAAGCTGGTGAATCGGGGTCTCCAGGCTGAGTGAGCCTTGGCCTTTCCTCTTTGGAAGATTTCTGTATATGCAATGTTTTGGTTTTATTTTTTTAATTGCAGATTACTTGTGACCTTTTAAACCCAAGCTTTGCAGAAAACATCTTCCTGGGATTCTCCAAATGCTCCTTAATGTATTTAAAATGTATGAAATGTGTGACTTCTGGATGCTAATTTTTTCTCTGCTATTTTATTTTTTAAAATAGACGAGCTGTTTAAAATATTTTATTTTTTTCTGAAATTAAAAATTCCAGAACAAATGTCCTTTTACCCCGAACCTGTTATCCTCAAGTTTCGCCTCGAGCTTGCTGCAGAGGTGTCGCAGGGAAAGGAAAGAACTGTTGGTTTCTTTTAAAATCCAAAAACCAGCGGTCCGGCCATAGCGCAATTTGGATGGCAGGAGCAGACGGTTGAGAAGGGGGCATTTAAATAAAACTGACTTTTTTCTTTTCTTTTTTTAGCCTGCAGTGGCACCTATGCCAGGCGCTTCCTCAAAAGGAAGGAGCGGCCTGCGCCTGCTGCACTCCCACTCCCTCTCTGCCCCAGACCTTTCCCAGAACATTTTTGCCAGGATGATTTTTCTTTGCCTTTTTGTGCAAGAAGCCCCCCCACCCTCTCCCGCTGTGGGCTGTTGGGGCGCGGCCTGCACTTGGGGCCACAGGGCCGCTTTCCCCCACCCCGCCCCGCAGCGGTCGCCTTCAGGGCTGCACCCCTCTTGCCAACCCTTGCCCTCATGGTGGAGCAGCGGGCAGAGGTCATGCGCAAAGTTTTCAGGATAGTGGTGATTTTCTTTTAAAGTTGTAGAATGTTTTCGGATTTTCCTCTGCCCCGACGTGGGAAGGGAAATAAAAATGAGAGAGTAGGAAAGGGGAAAGAGAAAGGAATAAAGAAGAAAGAAGGAGAGAGGGGAGAGAAAGCCTGCAAAAAGAGAAAGAAAGGGGGAGAGAAGGAGAAAGAGAGGTGAGGAAAAGAAGGGAGGGGGAGAAAGAAAAAGAAAAAAGGTAAGGAGAGAAAAGGAAGGGAGAGAGGGGCAAGAGGAATAGATAAGGGAAGGAAGATAGGAAATAAAAGGGGGAGAGTGAGAGAGGGAACGGAAAGAAGGGAGAGGAAAGGGGAAAAAAGAAGGAACCCAGAGAAAGGGAGAAGGAGAGAAAGAAAGAAAAAGAAAAAGCAAGAAAAGTGGAGAAAGAGGCCAAGGCGTCGAAGTCTGGTGGTGCGCGGTCCCCGCACGCCTGGGCCTAGGCACTGGGGGAGCAACTGCGGGCGGGCCCCGGCAGCAGCCCTGGCTGGGACTCCCCGGCCGGCCGGCTGGCTGATAGCTCTCCCTTGCCCGCAGGCTCCCCTAAGAGCAGCAGCGCCCCGTTCGAGGCCGAGCTGCACCTGCCGCCCAAGCTGCGGCGCCTGTACGGCCCGGGCGGGGGCCGCCTCCTTCAGGGTGCGGCAGCGGCGGCGGCGGCGGCGGCGGCGGCGGCGGCAGCGGCCGCCACGGCCACGGCGGGTCCACGCGGGGAGGCCCCTCCGCCGCCACCGCCAACCGCGCGGCCCGGGGAACGGCCGGACGGCGCAGGGGCCGCCGCGGCAGCCGCGGCCGCGGCCGCCGCGGCCTGGGACACGCTCAAGATCAGCCAGGCGCCGCAGGTGAGCATCAGCCGCAGCAAGTCGTACCGCGAGAACGGGGCGCCCTTCGTGCCGCCGCCGCCCGCGCTGGACGAGCTGGGCGGCCCGGGGGGCGTCACGCACCCGGAGGAGCGCCTCGGCGTGGCCGGCGGCCCGGGCAGCGCCCCGGCTGCGGGTGGTGGCACCGGCACCGAGGACGACGAGGAGGAGCTGCTGGAGGACGAAGAAGATGAGGACGAGGAAGAGGAACTGCTGGAGGACGACGAGGAGGAGCTGCTGGAGGACGACGCCCGCGCGCTGCTCAAGGAGCCCCGGCGCTGTCCTGTGGCCGCCACTGGCGCCGTGGCCGCAGCAGCTGCCGCTGCAGTGGCCACAGAGGGCGGGGAGCTGTCACCCAAGGAGGAGCTGCTGCTGCACCCGGAAGACGCTGAGGGCAAGGACGGCGAGGACAGCGTGTGCCTCTCTGCGGGCAGCGACTCGGAGGAGGGGCTGCTGAAACGCAAACAGAGGCGCTACCGCACCACGTTCACCAGCTACCAGCTGGAGGAACTGGAGCGGGCCTTCCAGAAGACGCACTACCCGGACGTCTTCACCAGGTATGCGCGTAGGGTGGTCGCGGTCGCAGCGGCAGAGAGCGCACGCGGGCCCCAGGGAGGGACAGCGGGCTGGCAGGGGCCCCGGCCTCGGGGCGGACGCTTGGCTCCTGGACTCTGTGGAAGAGCGCCCTCCCAACACACCCACCCTTGCTCACCCAAACTACCCACTCCCCCGACCCCCACCCCGGTTCGGGCTTTAAGTTTAGGCTGGAATGGTTTATCTTCTTCCCAAGGTCGTTGCAGTTTAATGTTTTCAAATTACAAGTTTTAGTTAGAGAGAGGAAAAGAAACAGCCTCTCCAAAGAGCGCCCGAAAGCGCCACCTTGGAGACGCGCGCACAGCAGAGGGCACAGACACAAGGCCTCCGGAGCTGCGGTCCCGGCTAGGTCCCCGGCGAGGCTCAGGAAGCGCTGTCCGCAGACAGAGCAAAGCAGGGGCTATTTTTGGTCGCTGTGCTGTGCGCTCGCCACCCCCGCCTGGTGCCCCAGGGGCCTGGTGGGTATCAGTTACGCAGTTCGCAGTGAAGCTGGAGCCCGTGCCAGCGGAGAAGGCCTTTAAAAAGATCCGAGTTCTGTCGTTTCAGGACTCCTGAAATAACCAAAGGAAGTCAGAACTGGGCAGTGTTTGGTGTCTGAACACCTGAGGGGCCCCAGCCAGAATCTCCCCTTCTACTCTCTGTCCTCTCCCGACACACATATTAAACCCACCGTGCGTTTAATGTAAACGGGTTTACCGGGTGGACAATGATTGCTGGAAGCCTGGCAGGGAGTAGACAAAGCAGTTGGGGGAATTTTCTCTTTGGATCAGTGTCCAAGCCGGGTGTTCGACCTGGTCACGCTCCACCTCCCACTTGTTTTTCTGGGAAACATGTGCCTGTGTGATGACTGGACCCTCGGCCCCAGCTTATTCACCACCTGGGGCGCCGGCCCGGGTAGGGATCCTTCTCTCCCACCCCAAGGCCAAGTTCTCAGCTCAGGCGAGGAGCCAGTCTTAGGGCAAACGTCCCCCAGTGAGGGGGAGAAAGGGATCGGTGACTGCCTAGCGCGGGGCTTGTCAAGCGCGGGCAGTTCCTTCGAAGGAGACGTGCGCAGCTTTTCAATGTGCATTTTAGAAGGGGAATGCTGCCCGCCCCTTTGAACCAGAGGAGAAATCGCTGCTTAGGGCTCGGGAGGCCGAGCTACTCCAAAATGTAGTTGGCCTGGCAATTGCCTAACTCTCTCCCAACCAGAAACAGAAAAGAGCAGACTTAATGCCAGGCAAAGGCACTTAAACCTGGTCATCCCTTGGGCTACACTTGGTCTTCCCCTGTGTCACCCAGTCCTTTCCTTATCTTTAAAAAAGGAAATAAGTTTGAAAACCTATGTGTGCTGTCAAATAGCGAATTGGCCGACCAGCGTTTTGCGTTTATCGTACGTGTGTATTTCCAAAGAAGAAACTGAGCTGGTGTCAGTTGGCATCCACGTCCGCCCTTTCTTAGCTTCTGGCGGGCTTAGGGGCGGGGGAGGACCGAAGTGCACGAGGAGGGGCAGCTCCTCTTCCCCGCCCCACCCCCACCTCTTTCCAACCCAGGGGTTTGAGCCCCTTGGCTCCGGCCCTGAGCCAGCCTGGAGTGCCGCTTTAGATTTGCTGATGCCCACTGTAGCTGGGGGCAACGGCAACGGAGGGCACTTATGGAGACGGTTTACCTCTGGTGCTGAAGTTTCAGGTGTGGACTGGGGGCCTACCGGCAGGGCAACCCCAGGTCCCAGGCTTCGGCGGCCCCGCTCTTTCATATTAGCGAGCCGGAGGGCCAATTATTCTCGGCGCGGTCATATTTTCGGTAAACAGGTTGTAAGCCGTTTTACAGCATCTTAATGGTTTCCTATTTGCCTTAATTGTCGCAGTAATAACTGCAATGATGGGGTAGGGTTTCAGTTAAATTGACTTCCCCTGAGATGGGCAGGGTTTGTAGTGGGCATTGGAGTCAGGAGGTGCGCAGAATTTTGTTTAATCGAAAAATTACCCCACTGAACTCTTAACAAGCTTAACATACCTGCAGAGGGTAATGGGGAGTGTGACCCAAGGGGATGATGGAGGGAGGAAGGCGGGGGAGAGAGAGATGGAGGGAAAGGCATAGAGCTGGAAAGAGAAGAAGGAAGAAGGAGGGAAGAGAAATTTTTAAAAAGAAGGCAGAAGGAAACCAAGAGGACAGAAAAATATTTTCTTAGTTAAGTGCTGAGTTCCTATCCCACTTAATATTAGGACAAAACAGGGTATAAGCAGTGTGTGTGTGTGTATGTGTGTGTGTGTTGTCTAACTCTGGCTTAAGACAGTGAGAGAGAACCTGTGTACCCAGGTTTGTAGACTTGAAGCCACCCTTGGTTGTCACACACGAATGTAGTATGATATAATAGATAATATCCTATATCTGGTAATGTGCTTCGTGTTTTTGCATTTTCAGTCAAATAGTTGGCACTCCAGGGGGTGATGGAATGGTAATGCCCATATGTTTGGGGGTGGGGGGCAGGCAGCCAGGGGAGACCCTGGTGGAGTAGGCCTGCCATAGAGGAGGAAATAGCTGAGAGGGCATTGCTGGGGCCTGCAGTGACCTCCTGTCTGTGTGTTGCTTTCTTATAGGGAGGAACTGGCCATGAGGCTGGACTTGACCGAGGCCCGAGTCCAGGTGAGCTGCACAACAGAGGGAAGAGGGAGGGAGGAGGGCTGGGGGCCAGTGGGAGAGAGAGAGATGGGTTGGTGGCGGGGGGGTGCGGGGGGTGAGATCCCCTTCACAAAACCAAGAGAAGCAGGATCAGAAAAGTAGACCCAAGCACTCTCTCACACACAAAGATATTTAAAACTTAAGACATGGGAGGTGGAAGCGGGAGGTTTCTGGGTTTGGGAGCCCAAGGAAGGAGTCCAGGATCAGAACAAGGGCTTTAGAGTCCCTGAGACTGCAGTTTGGGACCCCCTAGCCCCAAAGCTCCTATAGGAAACAATCCACCGATCTACTTCTCCTGATTGAAATAATGGGATGGAGCATGGATTTGGTTGTTAGACAAATCCGCTCAGTTCCAAGCAGGTATTTGGCTGCGATTAAGTCTCCAATCGGGCTTCATAAAAGCCCACTTAGTGCTAGAACAAACAGGGCCATTTGAAGGCAAAATGCTGTTTGATTTCCCCTCCGCCCCGCACAAGGAGCTGGCTAATGCTATTTGATTTCCCATTTTTTATAGCAATGAACCCACATTGATCTAATAGGGAGTGAGTGCAATGCTATTAAAGGTGTTTGCAGCCCCATACCAGAGTGCATTTCCGAACCCAGGCCTCATAACCAAAGAGACGATCAACACTGAGCAGCCCCGATGGCCAACAGAAAACAGATGTCCCCGAGTTAGGAGCTGAGTGAATCACTTTACAGTCAAAATCAAGCGCTGATAAAGCACAATAAATTCCATATGGCTCATTTAATACACAACAGCTTCTTGCATTAGAGGGCTAATGATGAGGCCTGTCCCCTCCTTTCTGTTGACACATTTCTCCATTGTCAAACAGAGATGTGACAGCAACTCCGTATTTTCAGCTCAGGGGAACAAGTCGTGGGAAAGTTAAATAACTTTTAAAAAGAAAGAGAGCGCCCCCTCCCTTTCTCCTCTCCCCCTATTCACTGGAGAAGATGTAATTAAGTGAATATGAATTATTAGAGTCCTTTCGTTTACCTTTGGGGGGCCTCAGAGGTATTAATTCAATAATGAGGAATTGCAGGGGGACATCTTGATAATTGCAGTTGAGCCGGGAGAGACGATCTGTCTGTAAAAAGGTTTCCACGTTCTTTGAGGGCATTCTGAGTCCACTGCCCCCAGTTCCCCTTCTTCTTTCACTGCGATCAAGGAGTGGCGGATATTCTTGTCTAGACAGATTTGGCTACACAAAAGCTGCCCACCCAGTCCGGTCCCATCTACAGTCTTACTTTTTCAAGCCTCTGGGTTTCCACACTGAAGTGTTTCTGAAATTCACAAATAGATTATTTTGAAGGCTGTGGAATGGTGTGAATGGGCCCCCTTTTGGCCGACTTGGAAGTAATTGACCGATTTGGATTCTTGATTTTTCTTGCCCTGGGGGGCTGTCTAGAAGTCAAACCAAGCTTAGATGCTAGTGCTGGTAACAACAAGCCCCAGTGTGTAGATTTGAAAAATATGGATGTGTTTCACATTTTAAAATATATTCCTCTGGGATAATTTACATTATATTTTAATATAACTCTGTATAGCCCTGGAGTTCATTCTTAATTTTCAGACTTGTGTGCAGTTATAAACCCAGCCCTAAAAATATTAATGCCTTCAGGGGAGAAGGAGCATATCTTCCCAGCTGTGGGTGTGATGAGCAGGTCACATAAAAATAATTTCATGCTCCTGGGGTTTATTTTTAGATGATGGTAGCTGCCATGTTTCAGGTAAAGGTCTCCATTAAAACCGCTTTCTATTAGCAATTAGGAAAATACCTCAGGCTGAAAACCTCCCTCCAAGCCTAAAACTATCTTATTTAAATAGCCGATTTAAAACACATCTCCAAAAGGAAATAAAAGACTTGTTAGCTCTGAAGATGTGAAAAGTCTACACCTATCATGCCCTCTGATTTCTATGCGCCCAGGTATTGCTGCCTGCTTCATCCATGTAGTCAGTGCCTTCCTGCATAGAACTGGGTCCTGCAGGGATCCCCTGCCAAGAGCAGGTTGTGTATCCCTGTTTCATTTCATAGAGGATTGACCCCCTGAAATGTATGCTTGCTAATTAACTCGAGCCTTTCTTCCCTCCCTCTCATCCCTCTCTGAACCCCAGAACCCAGCATAGTGCTCTTTGGTGTTCAATAAATGTTTCTGGAAAGAATAAATGAACTATCTTTCCACTTTCCTCTTCCATACAGAGCAAGAATTTTGCCAGCTCTTGCGTAAATCTGAAATAGGTGAAAATAGCTGATATGCAGTAAAACAAGCATGTCCCTCATCTCTTGGTGGCTGCCCATTCCCTAGAGTCACCATTGAATGCATGCTTTCACTTGCCTTATTTTACCCAGTTCTCATAACAGCCTTATGAGTGAAGTTTTATTATCCCCATTTTACAGATTCGAAAACTGAGGTTCAGAGAGGTTTAAGTGACCTGCCTAAAGATCCTAGCAAGCGTCAGCACAGACGTTTAAACTTTGGTTTCCCCAACTCTAAACACACTGAATCACTTTCCTTAAACTTGGAAAACTGGCCCAGGTGGAATGCCGGCAGAAAGGGTTTGCTTGTCCTGTTTCCTGCTGACTTGAAGTTGCGGCTCCTATTCACTGCTCATTTGGCCCCAGACGCGTCCGAAAACAACCTGAGGCCAAAGAGGGGCAGGTGGGCGCGGGCCGCGGTGGAAAGGAAGGGGGCCCCGCAGCGCGCCAAGGGAAGGGACGGGTAGGGGCCCGGTGCGCCCGCCGGGCCGAGCCGCGCCGACCCTGGGCTCTCTCTGCCTTGCAGGTCTGGTTCCAGAACCGTCGGGCCAAGTGGCGCAAGCGGGAGAAGGCAGGCGCGCAGACCCACCCCCCTGGGCTGCCCTTCCCGGGGCCGCTCTCCGCCACCCACCCGCTCAGCCCCTACCTGGACGCCAGCCCCTTCCCTCCGCACCACCCGGCGCTCGACTCCGCTTGGACTGCCGCTGCCGCCGCCGCCGCCGCCGCCTTCCCGAGCCTACCTCCGCCTCCGGGCTCGGCCAGCCTGCCGCCCAGCGGGGCGCCGCTGGGCCTGAGCACTTTCCTCGGAGCGGCAGTGTTCCGACACCCAGCTTTCATCAGCCCGGCATTCGGCAGGTAACGCGCAGCCTCGGAAGTCTGTCTGTCTGTCTGTCTCTCATACACACAGAGGCTGGGGGCAGGGAGGAGGCAGGAGTCAAACAGGGTTACACACATCTTTTTCTTTGACCCAACCTCAGAGACTGTAGCCAAAGAAAATACTCTCTAATTGAGCCTCAAAAAAAAAAATGTGGGTCTTGAAGGTATTGACTTGGAACTTAATGGGAAAGGGGAAGGCAGTGGCAGTAACGACAACCGTGACAACCGAGAATGAAAGCTGTAAAAGTACCATTTGCAGGCTGCAACAAGTCCCACCATAGGTGGTAAGCGAGCAAATATGTACAGGTGTAGGGTACAGAGCAGGGACGACTTTTTAAGTTTTGCAAAAGTTCTTCCTTATGCCCCCCAACCTGGCAGCCTGAGGAACACAGCCCTGATCCCCATGGGAGCCCTGGAGCCACCAGGCCCTCTGGGTGCACAGAATTCTTTCTTCTGCCCCAGACTCCATCTTCCTTGTCACTCAAGTGACCCGCTGCCAACGACACCCCCATATGTGCAAGCCCCGATCTACACGGCAGTACAAGACAACGAAATAAAAGAAACAGTTCATCTTATAACTCCCTTTCTTTAATGAACATCGAATGAGGAAATAAAAAGTCTGTATAATCACACAGACAAAGAAACAAAGGAGGGATGTATTGTGTTAGCGCAGTGAAAATAAAACTGGATGCAGCTTCAATGATCACTCTTTGGGAGAACAAAGAAATAATAGATTCATCCAACTGCGCAGCTGCTTAACAAAAAATCATCTTACAGAAAATTAAGACTCGGAGTAAATTTAGTTTCTTATAACAAACCAATAAAATAAACAGCGAGCGCACTGAAGCAGAGTTAGTGACTCAGTTTACCTAATGGAACCAGGGCATGTTACGCCACCTCCGGGTCACACTTTATCATTTCTTTCTGAGAAAAATCTTAAAGTTCTGTCTCTCCCCTCCCTCCACTTTTTCCCTCTGACAAGTGACTTGTAAACCCAGGCGAACCGTGGCTGGAGGACCGAGTTGCGAGATTCGGAGAGGCTGGAAGAGGGTCTGGGCTGGGGTGGTGCGAGGAGTGAGCAGTGGGCTTGGGAGAAGGAGGCGGCGCTCGGTGAGCCCAGGTGGGCTCATTTCTAACCCTGGAAATCCGGAATTGGCCCCGCGGGCCTGGAGCCAGACCCCTCAGGGAGGCGGTCGGGAAAGCTCGCGGGCGCTCCAAGGCGGTGGGCGTGGGGGTGGTGTCCGGTGGCCCCGGGCGGCTCCGGCCACAGCTAATGTCCCGGTGCTGTGTGCATGGGGTGGAAGCGTCACGTGGAGTAATTCGGTCGCCGCTTGGAGGCGGTGGCGCTGGCGTGGGTCCCAGGCTTGGGCATCGCCTTGCGCCGCGCGCCAGGGTCGTGGGTCGGGGGCTCCCTGAGGCCAGAGGCTACAGGGGCGCGGGGAAGACAGCTGGGGTCGCCGCGCCAGGATGTGGGGCTGCTGGCAGGTGACACCCGCCCGTGGAGCCGAAATCAACAGGCGGTCGCCCTTCACTCTCACCCGCAGGCGCTGGCCAGACGCGGGTAGCTGAGTCCCGCGCGGAAGGGCGGCCGCGGCGGCGCGGGTGGCCCGGGAGGCCGGCGAGCTAGGCCTGTTTCTTCAGGGCGCAGAAAGTCCCGGGCCAAGGAGCCGGAGGGAGATCTCAGAGCCTGCGGCGTGCGTCCGGGCAGCTGGAATCCCACCTTCTCCGTCTTTTTTTTCCTCCCCCCTCCCACCCTCCACCTTCCCTTCTTTTGCTCTCCTCTCCTTTTCTCCTTCCGCATTCTCTCCTGGGAGATAGTGTCATTGCAGCCCCTGGCCTTGGAATAAACCGTCCGTTTAAGCGAAACCACCGAATCCACGCCACTGGGCCGTGGGGCTTGAGGTCTCCACGCCGGCCTGTGGACCCCGGCCCGGCCCGGCCCCTCGGGGAATATCTGGACTCGGTCTTTTCCCCCCAGTCGGTTCCCTGCCCCAGGAAAGCCCTCTCTGCGGGGTCCAGCTTCCGCCCGCGCCCTCTGCCCACTTCCCCGCCGCGGCCCATCCGGGTCCCGTGGGTACCGCGCCCCTCAGCTGCCCCGGCGACAAGCGGCGGGAGACGCTGCCCGAGGCGCCGCGCACAGCTCCCGAGGCCATGACCGCGCTGTTTGCTCTCCCTGCAGGCTCTTTTCCACAATGGCCCCCCTGACCAGCGCGTCGACCGCGGCCGCGCTCCTGAGACAGCCCACACCCGCCGTGGAGGGCGCAGTGGCATCGGGCGCCCTGGCCGACCCGGCCACGGCGGCCGCAGACAGACGCGCCTCTAGCATAGCCGCGCTGAGGCTCAAGGCCAAGGAGCACGCGGCGCAGCTCACGCAGCTCAACATCCTGCCGGGCACCAGCACGGGCAAGGAGGTGTGCTAAAGGCTGCCCTCCACACCCGCGCCCCGCGCGCGCCCCGAAAGGTCACCTCACTCAGCACCACTCAAGACCAAATGGAAACAGAGGACCAGCACACTCCCGAGACGGCACTGAGAGAGCGCAGCCGCCTTCACAGCAGTCTGGATGCGGGCATGGCAGCCCTCGGCGCTCCGGGACGTGGCACCTCCTCGGCTGGCTGTCCACCCGCCCCTGCCCCTGCCCCTGCTACTGCCAACCTCGCTCCAACTCCAACATCCACTCTCTCTTGTTCTTACTTTCCTGAAAATATCGGGGAGGTTTTCTCCCCCAGACGCCTGATATTGAAGTAAAAAATTTAAAAAGCCCAACCTCTTCCTCCTGACACCCCACTTAGCCTTTCTTTTCTTTCTTTCTTTCTTTCTTTTTTTTTTTTAAATAGCATTTTGGCGCTCGAAGTTGATCTCCCCAGCGAGGGCCCCAGCGTGAAGCCAGGGCCCGGGAAGCAAATGCGAGCCTGTAAGATAGCTAACAGTGCACTTAAAGGAAAGGGGCGTCTTGTTCTTGTTCTCTTCTTTATCATACACCAACCAAGGTTTTTATATCAAACCAAAGGGAAATAATACTCTGCTAGAATATGGACTGTTGAAGTCACCAAACTGTGATTATTGATTCTGTACATACCATTGTTATTAAAAAAAAAAAAAAAAGAACAGAGCTTTGTATATTTGAAATGTTATAACGCAATTGCACTCAGCGTGGTATGGTAAAAGTTTGTCCTCCCGTAGATTCTTACTGTGTTGTAGATACGGTAGGGTTCCTAGACAAATATTTATGTACTCAAGCCCTTTATTTAACTTATTAACTGTAGAGGCTTCCGAAACCTTCAAGATAAAGGCAATGGTACAGTACTTTTGTGTAATGTGTAATTGTTACCACTTTTCCTTGCTATCTAGTGGAGAAGTGTCACGCTCAAAATAAAAAAATTATATGTTTAACAAAACGAAGTGTGAATGCTCCATACAGGCGCTGAGGGGACAGTAGAAGCCCCCACCCCCACCCCCCGGGAGTCAAGGGTGGGCTCCAGCGTCCAGGCATCTCCTGGGATTATCTGCACACGCGTTTTCCTGGCAGAGGCCCCTGGTTTGAATCCGATCCTCAAAGGGAACCGGATTTCCTACGAAGGTTAAGGACGCCGCCGCGGTACTTTCCACGCGCACCTGGGCTCTCCCGGGTCGTGTCACAGCGGGAGCTGGGGGTCCCGGGCCACGGAGGTGGGGTGGGTTCCAGGATGGGTGGGTGGATGGTGGGCGTTGTTGACGGTGGAGTCAGAAATTTGAAGCAAGCGGGAGTCTTGGCTCGGAAGGCGAAGGGAGCTGTTGGAAAGTGCCACGTAGCCAGGAAGTGAAGTGCGCAGTCCGAGATGACAGGTAATGGCGAGAGCGAGAAGCCCAGGCGCTCCCTTCCGAGGGGGCGGGCTCCACGGCATGTTCGCAGGGAGGAGGGAGTGTGTGTGTGTATTGTGTTGTGTGTGCGTGTGTGTGTGAGAGAGAGAGAGAGGGAGGGAGAGAGAGAGAAACATGCGGGAGCAGTAGTGATGGAAAGGCAGCGAGGGGTATCCAAATGGCAGATCTTAACTCGACAAATGTCATTACATCACTTATCCAGGCATTGGTAAATGTATACATTTAAAAAAATCTAAACAACTCAGATTTCGTGAGGAGACCCAAACAGATTTGCAATCCTTAACCACCTCGGCGCACGCCTCCCTCCTCGCGGCGGGGACCGCAGCTTCTCCCTCCCCCGGGCCCTGCCCGCGCCCCTCCGGGTGACCGCTTGGTGGAAGCCCGCCCGCGGGGGCTGGGTCTCGCCGACGCTCCCAGGGTGATGGGAAAGGGAAGAGAAGCTTAATTAGTTTCAATTTGCTGTAATTAGCGCGCCGGACCTTTGGGGAGAGGGGCAGGCGGGAGGGGTGCGGGGGTGCCGCGGCGTGACTACCGCGATTGCGGAGCTGGGGCCGGCAGCCCCGCCACGCCGCCGCCGCCGCCGGCCAGTCGGTCGCCGCGGGGGGCGCGGGTGCCTCTCTGGGCTGGGGCCGTCGGGCTCCGCGCGCGCCCTGGAGGAGGGGGGCCGGGTCCCCTCGCGGCCCAGGGCGCAAGTGTGCGCGGCCGAGGGGAGGGTGCAGGGTTGGGCAGAGGTCAGCGGCCTGCCAGGCGCTGTGCCCACCTGGGTGTGGGCAGCCCGCCCGGCAGCTTCGGCGCTGGAGCCCGCACGTCCCGGGCTCGCCTCCTATCCTGCACCCCCCTTCACCCCCAACTTCAATCCCCTCCTCTCCAACCCCGGGTCCAGACGCCCGGAGACCCCGCCCGCCCGAAACGTTGGAGAGCTCACGGAACCGGCTCGCCGGCTGGTGGCCGCTTCTGGCACTTGGGTCGTCGGGTGGATCACCGCCACCCAACGCTAGCCCTGGACTCACGGGGGCGGCACTCGCAAGAAGGGCCCCGGCCTGGGGTATGGGGAGCGGCCGCCAACTACCATTCCTACCACACACTCCGTTCCCGGGTTTAGTAGGCCCGGTGGGAACTTTCTAGGGCCTTACTGGAGGTCTGAGAGTCTAAAACCCTCAGACTCCACATCCACAGGCTCTCCCTGAGTGAAAGCCGCTTTCCTGGGGTGGTCAGGGCCGCTGGAGAGTTTGGGGAGGAGACGGGACTGCTGGAGAAGACTGAGGGAAAGGAGTTGGGTGTGTGTGTGTGTGTGTGTGTCTGTGTGTGTGTGTGTGTGTTGTGGTCGATATCAATTTTGCGTCGATTTTGCCTTTTTGTTTAGTAGGGCTTCTTTTCCCCCCTCTAGGCTGCTAGTTGGATGGTATACGAGAAACAGTACCATTCTTCCTGTTAATGAACTCTTTTTTAAGTCATTTTTTCTCATTTGACCCTTCCATGGAACAGAAGCAAATTGCGTGAAATTACCTCCAAGGATTACATTTATTACTGGCCAATGAGAACCCCTCGCCTTGTTTTACAAACTCTTAATCCTATGTCATTCTGATGCTGCAAACAAGCCCAGTCCTGGGCCTCCTATTCTTTCAACTTTCCCCAGCTGGAGGGACCTCATTCTGCACTTAATATTCCCCATAAATATCACACGCTAAAGACCCCCTGACTTCCAGCAAGTCCACATTAAACATGTGACATGTCACGCATGAAAAACTCTGAGTATCTTTTCAAAGCAGCATTAAAAGCAAAGAAACCAATTTTCTTCTCCTTCCAAACCTCCCCAAGTGCTGAATGATGGGGATTGGAAAGAGCCACTGGAGCGTACTTAGGGGGATTTTATGAGATTTTCCAGAATGATTTAATCTTATTGTGAGCATTATTAATGAATGGCAACCCAATTTGGCCCCAATATCTGGGAACTTGGTCACAATGCTGGGAGCGGCTGACCCCCCCCCCCCAACCTTAAGCAAACCTCTTCCACCATGGAGGACATGCAGAGCCCCAGGGAGTTTGCGAGGGCCCAGTTCAGGGCATGGCTGTGTCCTATCACACCCAAGGCAGAATGGCCCAACACCTGCTTTCCCAGGGCCACCCCCACAGCATCTTGGGGTGAGGGGTAATTGAAGCCTGGGACAGGCCTCTGTGGGAGGGTTGAGGGAAAGGAGTAAGTTAATTTGCTACATTTTCAGACAGGTTAGCCAGATCTGGAGGAGGTCCTGGAAGGCAAAAAGGGCGCATTTGGCATAATATTATCAGAGGTGTCCTTCCATCACCAACTACCCATGGCCCGAACTGTGGACAGTAGTCAGGGCGGGCATCTTAGGTGTGTGGGGAGGTAAGTGGAATAATTAGGGAGAGTGACTGTTGAGAAACTTTGGGCCTCCTTGGGACTTGAAACTCAGACTTAAACTAAAGTCCATGCTGAAATTGGCTCGGAACAGTTTCCCATTTTTTTTCAGGTACTAATCACCCCCCACCCAACTGGGGCTAACGTTGTTTTTGATTTGTAGTATCAAGAGCCAAAGCACCTGTAGTTCTCTTTTTAGTATCCTTTTAAATGTGATCTTACTAGAGTGACAAAAGGGGCTGATGTGAGAGAAAAACAAATTATAATAGGTTAGCCCAACTTGCTTTAGGAGAAAAAAAAGTCCATGAGCATGTGTTTATGTGTATACCCAAAAGTGAGTGTGTCTGAATGAAGGGGGTCTTAAATGGGGCCTAAAATAATATTTTGGAACACAGAAGTCCCCAGAACAACTGCATATTTCACTGAGAGTGACAGCCTGGCTGGGGGACAGGAAGAAGAAAACCCACTACCTGACGGTGGGGAGAGCGGGCGGGGGCGTGGGGTGGGGGGAAGCATTTTTCAAAGGAAGAAGTCTTGTTATCCCTCCCTGGACATTATTAAGGGTCCAGTTTGAAGTATACATTTTTTTCCTTTAAAGATATGGGAGTGATTACCGGTTATACATTAAGAAATGTCATTCAGTCATTTTTATTCATTCTCCGGAAATCTTCGTAAAAGCCTGAATCATACTTCTACAAGCAGCAATTTTGTTAATCCAGGGGGTTATTACTCTGGGCCCTTATTAGGTTCTACACCACTGCCAAGCAATCCTATAACCCTCTCAAAAGAAGTTTACCTCCCTGTTATAAAACCAGTAGTGGTATTTATACTGTGCAATAATTAGTGTATTACTTGAATCCACTAACACGTTCATTTTATCTCTGCACAAAACCTCTAGTCTGCTTATAGAAAGCTTGTGCCTCCTTTGGTGCTGTTAAAGTGGTGAAAGAGTGAATTGAAGGCTGGTTGCACTTTCTCCTTTTGCCTCGCCTTAATTCCCATCTCTTTTTGCTCTCATCCAATTAGCACAGTGTATTAAGCGGTTTATCATCTCATAGTCAGCTATTGAGAGAAACAAGGCGAGCACTTTGCAATAGAACCTGCGCTCCTTTGACACCCTCAGGTACTTACATATTCCACTGCGCTATGAATAATAGAGGAAGAATGGAGCGCTAATTCCCTCATCAAAGAATGCCTTGTCTGCTGCTTTGCTCAACAACACCATTCTGATCAAAAGAAAAGCAATAAAGCTTAGCATAACAAAACGAAACCTACTTATTAGCTTAGTGGTTAAATTAATGCAGAGCCGCTGCTATTCAAAACCAAGGTTTGAAAACAGCCTCCAACAACCTGATAATGCTGCCTTCGGGATGAAGGAATTTTAATCTGAAATTTGAGGCTGGCTGAGATGAGTTAATCTATTAAACTGCTATAAGGAAGCTCCACCACAAACTGTTCAATTAAGAAATATTTAGGTGAGAGGGGGTGAGAAAGAGAGAGAGAGACAGAGAGAGAGAAGAAAGAGGGGGCGGGAGAGAGACAGTGAGGAGCAGGGAATGGCAGCTTTAAATTTGGGATGGGAGCATCGAATTAAAGGGTCGGGCATCCTGACAAGAGGGTCTGGGGCTTGGTGTTTTTCTTAAAACCCTAAAACAAACAGGAAAATCTGTTTTTGGAGTTTCCTTACTGTTGCATCTTCCGCCAAACTAATTTTAAATGATGTTTGAAGAAGTATATTGAGGAGCATGGTGTGTGTGTTGGAGGTAAGAGGTAGTAAGGGCTGGAGAAAGGGGTGATGGTGAGGGGCAGTGAATTCATTCCCTTTCAACTTCTCCCAAATTCCAGTCTTGGAACTTTGATTAACCCCCACATCCTGGGCAACAGTCACAAGATTAACTCCATCTGTTTTCTGGACAAATTAAAATCTTATCAAGCATACTCTGTGGGATTTTCCACTTCTGGCCCCCCTCTATGCACCTTATATGTAGAAGAGTGGAGGGTTAGCAGATTGTGTCCAAGATAAGCTTGTGTACAAGTATCTGCTACAGGTAAAATCCTAGTTCCTAAATTAAACAGAAAAAGTGCCCTTTCCAGAGGCAGGGGGCTCTGAGAAGAGCAGGGTTCTTTTAGGGTATAATTTCCCAACTGGCCCAGATAAACTTTGGCCCAGAGGTTTACTCTGGCCCACACAGAGTTTAAAGTTTCATTTTAAAAAATTAGTTGTCAAGGTTTAGAAATCAGTAAGCTTTGTGGAATATTTGGATTCCTGGCTTCTCTTGAAAACTCGATCATGTGGCCATACTGGGCCCTGTCCCTCCCAGCATCACTGAGTAGCTGCTGGCCCCTTTGGACAGGACCTGCTCACTCCTGTTTGCCACAGTCCCTGCCACTCACTCTAGTGTGAACCTGGTTTGCTTCATCCATTCACTTTTAGAATTTGAGTTTAGGACACGTGCCGGAGTCCATGGAGACCTGCAGGTCACCTCTCCCCTTACAAATAAGATGGGCAAAGTTTCCGCATCAGTTCTGCTGGGTGCACTATCAACCACACAAATCAAGGAGTAGAAACATCTCTCAGAGAAAAATAAGTATGTGATACTCCCAACTTCTAACAGAGATTCACTGGAATTCTTAAAGTTGCAGTTTCAACTTTCCACAAAATTCTGGAATCCTTAGGTGCCTAGAGTTCTAACAGATCCCAATAAGAAAACATCAACTGCTGCATTAGCTTTTTTCGGGGACAGTACTTAGAAATGCCTCACATTCTAGAGAAATGGTCCTTGCCCCCAGGGTGTTTATAATCTAGAGGCAGGGACAAGAAACAATCCAGTGAGAAGTTACTTGAGTCTCTTGGAGTTTCCTGATGACCAAGTTCAGGGTAACTATTTATATTTAATATAATCCCAGATCCCAGAAATCAAGGAAAACATGACTCCCCTTCAGAAAGCACACTTTAGAAAACCATCTCTCTAACCTTATGTGAGAATAGCAATTACTGAAAGAGTTGACCAGGGGAGCAATAAAAACACATTAATCCCTTAGTTCCTGAAGCACCTTGGGTGCTCCAGTTTGTGACAGGCTGCAGAGCTTACACAGTAGCAAGTTAGTTAATTAACTGACAGGGCTCGAAACCCACAGTGTTTCTACTTAGAATCTCAGTCTAAGAGCAGGAGGAGAAAGGAGAGGGATGGGAGCCAGAGGGGAGGTGAGGAGGAGAAATAAAAAGAAAAAGCAACATAAAAGGCAGCTTCATCTCCACTGCTTAACCCATCAGTATTCCTTCACTAGGGGGACCTTTTTTAGGGGGCGCCTTTGTCTCAGGAGCCCTAGGCCTTGCTCTTCAAAAAGAGATGCTGCTGGGCTCTTGGCTTGGCTCTCTAAGTCAGCAAAGCACGTAAGAAACCATACTTCATCTCTTAAATGACCTAAAGTCACAGAAATTCTGAATGCTTCTCAGAACATTCGACCAAATATCATGCTGTGCACTCCTGAGCTGGGTTCTGATAGAGGTGGCTATGAAGAAACTGGGCTGAGGTTTGAAAAGGGGATGGCCTCTAGTCATATATATATATATGTGTATATATATGTGTGTGTATATATATATATGTGTGTGTGTATGTATATGTATATGTATATGTATATGTATATGTATATGTATGTACGTGTGTATGTATTTAGAGGTGGGGGCCTCACTATGTTGCCCAGTCTGCTTTGAACTCCTGGGCTCAAGCCATCCTCCTGCCTCCACCTCCCGAGTAGCCAGGACTACAGGTGTGTGCCACAGCAACTGGCTCTACTCACATTTTACTCCTTGCTGCCTCTCTAGTCAACTCTTTGCACCTGGTAAGGATTCACCACAACTGCTTTCCCTTTAGAAAACTTTATTCTTAAGAAGAAGGCACAACATACTTTTTCTTTTATAAAAACACACAGGTCAATGTTTTTTAAAAACACAGCATAATTGTACAAGGGGAAACATTTTGTTAGTATAATCTTACCAATAATGTAAGAGAGGAAAGACTGCCATACTGAAATACATTTTGCTGCTGCCAAAGACGGTCCTATTGTGAAGAAATGAGAAAAAAATAGCAAGCGCCAGGGCCAATTAAGCATCCCTCTCCCCGTTTTTCTGAATACAACACAGTGATCCTCACCGTAACCCCTACACATGTTAATGGATTGTTAGAGTATCAAATTATTTTCAATGTGCTTTCTTGTTGTATAAACCTTTACCTGCACTTTCTATTTAAGGGGCAAAAAGGGAATGTGAGTGTAAAACACCTGCTCAGTGTGTGTCTGTTGGACTTTGGAGCAATTCAACAAACAAGCCTGCTCTGTTTAATCTATTTAGTGAGTGCAAGGCTTCTAAATCTTCCCCCTCAGCTACCTATATAAAAGACAAGACTGAAAAGGACAGCCACTCCTGGATGGCTGGAGAAGCATTTGGATTTAGACCGGGTTTAATTGGCATATGAAAAAGCAAAACGTCAGCTCTTCAGTCAGGCTCTGAGAAGCTCTCTTTATGTGGGGGGGACATAGGCTAAAGGCCCTGAGGCAAAGCCTGGGGTCACTTACATTCCAGCTACTCTCAATCCAAGTAGCAATTTCCCTCCCTCAGAAACCGGGTCTTCAGGAGCTTGGGGAGGGGAGCTTGGGGAGGGGCTCTGGAGTTGTGTTTTAAAGCAGTACATCTTAATATGAAGACAGGAATTTCTATGATGCTTACGAACATTAGACTCAACATTTTTGCAGCCCCCTTTCCTGGTCTACATTCACACAAACATGAGACACAGTCCCAAGGGAGAAACAGATGCTGGAGGAGCATTTAGGGCCAGAGTGGAGGCACAGAGGAAGCTGGGATTTTTCAACTACCCCCTCCTTGGTTACTCCTGGGATTCCCTTAGGATTTCACGGCACAACCAGCGAAGAGTTTGCTCAGATTCACTTCGGAGTAGCCACTTCGGGACAAGAATTGCTCTGCTGTGTTCTTGAGTTTTCTGTAGTCCTGCAGAACTTTGGGGGTAAAAAATTGCTTCTTCAATTTATCTAAAAAGAGAGAGAGAGAGATTAGAAGTCTCAGGTAGTTTCTTTAAAGAACATTCAGTATTCCACCAGAGAAGGGGATGCTGATTCCATTTGTATCTCCACCATCTTATCTCTGGTCTACCCCTGGGGCCAGTCAGATGCAGCCCCCGCCGACCATTCCTCTGTGAAAGCTTTTCTTCCTTTCCCCTGTCTGTCCGCCTCTCAGCACCTAGCTGACTCAGTGCACTGGGGGACAGGGCCACCCTCTACTGATGTGAACTGCAGGTGCACCCTCATGTGCAGCAGACAAGGTGAGCTCTACTCGCAGACGCCACTTTCACCGGCGCTGCGAGCACATGCATGCAACTGCTTGCGAAGTCTGGACGTGGCAGGAAACACCTAGTCTCAAAGGGAGCTATGGCCTCTGGTGCCTTCCAGCCCCAACTCCCCAGATCAGCTGGGCCTAGTAAGCATTTTCTAGTCCCTCCAGCCCAAGTCCCTCTGCTAAACAAAATTTCCTTTGCTGAAAGAGGCGAGAGGTGAGCGGCCCCGAGGGCACCTGTCTGTCCATGGCCAAGATTTCTTTGCTCTTCTTTGTCCACACTGTGTGAACTCAGGGTATGCGGCACTCCTGCTCCTTTAACCCATTCATCCCTGGCCTTTCCCTTCTGAGCAGGATGCTACCAGCCAGAGAAAAGACCCCTCTCCTTTCCCTTCCCAGAGCCTGCTACTTCTACATGTTGTTTTTTTTCTTTCTTTTTTTTTTTTTGAGACAGAGGTTTGCTCTTGTTGCCCAGTCTGGAGTGCAGTGGCGCGATCTCGGCTCACCGCAACCTCCGCCTCCCGGGTTCAAGTGATTCTCCTGCCTTGGCCTCCCAAAGTGCTGGGATTCCAGGCGTGAGCCACTGCGCCCGGCCCTACATGTTGTTCTTTTAAAGGAGCAGTGGGGCTGTGATGCTCAGGTCTGATCTTTTGGGTGAAGAGAGTGATCACGTGGGGGATGACGCTGTGTTCAGGAACCTGGTAAGGTGTCTGGAGAGGCTGCTTTCCCCGCGCCCCCCCCACCCCCAATCCCCATTTGATGGCTGAGGAAACTGGGAGGTTAAGTCACTTACCCAAGGTTACACAGCAGGTAATCAGAGTTGTAGACACGCAAACCCAGGTAGCCAGAACCCCCAGCCCGCACCTGAGGAGAGGCTCACTTCTGCCCACTCCCCCTGCCACTACATCACTACTCCCACATAGAAATTTGCAGGCCTCAGACATCAGCTGATCCTGAGGTGAGGCCTCCGCCCCCATAAGATGCTGGCCTGTGCCAAAGGGCCTGGGAGCAGCAAGGCTGCCCAGCACCTCCCGATAGGAACCGGTCAGGAAGGAAACACGGAGGGGAGAGCGCGCCACTCACAGAAAGCAAACCTCCAACAACAGCAACACGGGAAGTCTACAAAACACCCGGAAAACGAAAACTCAGACTCCAGATTTTTGTTTCTTGGCTATACATTCGCATTTGCTCTCCACAACCTTTTCTGAATTACATAAGTTGTCCTTTAAAGAACAACCACAGGTTTTATAGAGAATTAAAATGCCCAAAAGGGGTGGAAAAAGAGAGGGGGGCTGCAACAGAAAGACAATTTGAAAGTTCTAATGATCTGAGTCTGGGAATAAACAACAATGGCCCCAACCAGTGTCGGCTGCCTCCCGGCAGGCCAGAGCCACAGGCCAGCAACCCCGTGCATGTGAATGACACAAATGCATCTGATGACTGGGGAGAGCACATTTAAAGAGCTGCGGTAATACGGAGCAGGGGAGGAAAAGAGAGGACATAGCTCCTGATGTGTTTACCTCCTCTGCTGATGGGATATTGACTTTTCCCACCAGGTTGGTTAGAAAGGGGACTATTTACGCTGCCACACAGCAGAGTTAGAATGACAACCAGCGTCACTCGGTGCTCTTCCTCCTAAAAGACAACTGTGACCGCCAGCATATCCCATAGCCAGTCAATACGGCCAAGGCACCATTCCACGCCAGTTAGAGATGCAGATAAAAGCTCCCACTTGCTTCCCCAAAGAGAATTTAATCAATAACATATGGAAGGTCTTCTAGGAAACAGAACTGGACTAGCTGTCACAGGCTGCGTCAGGGACAGGGGCTGGTGGGGGGAAGGAGTCACCCCTTCCTGGTTTTTCTCTTCCCCCTTTAGGCACCTGGGCCACCCACGTTAGGCCTCACATTAAACTGTTACCCTGTTTCTGTCAATACTATATCCACCACTTTAGAACTCAAGGGAAAATACAGGTGTTAACTGGTGGAGGCCAGTTAATGTGGCCAGTAAAACCCTGATTCCTTTTCCTGCTTTGATTTTGAGAGTCAGCCTATCAGTAACGACGCCATCACCTCAGGTGCTGCAGGTCAGGTGCCCAATAACAACTGTTAAAAGATTCCAACATGCCATTAGGCAAGAGCCAGAGAAGATCCGCAGCCATCCCATCCCTGTCCACAGAGATGCCACTGGCCCTGGTAACTGCTGTCTCCGCCACCAGCACCACAAAGCCAACCTTTGTCGAGATCGGGGAGGAAATGCTCTTCCTACACACAAGTGCGTCACTGAAATATACTCTAATGGCTTGAAGTATCACCCAGAAATCACTCATCTTAATACATCAGCAAAGCTAATCTCCTTTTTAAACTTTTCTTGAGAATAACATTCGAGGAACGTGTATATAAAGCTTATTTACTCTGATCCTTTCTACATGCTCTGATTCCCTGTGGTTATATGTTAATTACCAAAAATATTCTGTCCCTAACCCCTATGAAAACGATGGAAAAAAAGGGTAGCCTAGATACTAATTATTCACAAAATATTTTATCAGACTACAAAATGAACTGCTCATTTAAAAGTTGATTTCTATTGATTAGAATCTAAAACCTCAAAATAATGAAAGTTACATTCTTTTCTATATGGGATGAACTAGACCATCATCTGTAGGTTGACCTTTCTTAAATATTTTATATAAAAGTCAACTGATCAAATAAAATGCTAGCTCTATTAAAATAATGGAGTATTCTCCCATCTAAGGAAACTAACTCTACTTCACATATTTTAGTTCCATGTCAGTAAACCAAAAATCTCTTTTCAACTTTACTCTTTATAAAACCCTTTTTGGACTTAAAGAAACACACTGAACTAGAAACCACGAGGCAAAGACATTTTAACATCGCCTACTGGTTATTTTCTTTTAATTAAGGCAGGCTTAGGCACACAGGCAGCAGCCGTCTCTGTTCTGAATGTCTGTTTCATTTATTTCTGTACAAAGGTATCAAACAACAGTCAGTTATAATTGATTCTGTCAGGTGTTATACAGTCAGTCATAATTGTCTCTGTGTAGAGGTGTGTCAATTTACTATATCTGAATTAAATATTCTGTCAATTATGAAATCAGGTAATAATTTCAGTCAGTTTTTTAATTGCATGGCTTCCCACCATACAGTTCTCAGTTCTCCCACCTTTTCCAATCCATAGCCTCCCTCCCTCAATGCAACGTGAGCTTTGCAGTAAGGGGTGGAATGCAGGAAGCTTTAGAAAAATTTGAAAGAAAACTGCACCCCTCTACGCTCTCTACACGTAGAGCCATCCGACCTACAGAGAGCTGCTGGAGCCTCTGGCCTGCCTTTTTCCTGAATATCGATCCATATAACTGAGCTTCCGGCTATGCACAGTACCTGAAAGATTTCAAGTGACATCCATATTTTAAACTCAAAGACATTTAGGGCCCCAAATCAAATGGCAAGTACATAAACATTTCTCAAAGTAAGAAATGAAAAGAAATAATCTTTGAGTCAATTCTTATTTAGAAAAAAAAAATTCACAAGGCACAGTGCCAGGCACACACAGTGATCAATGTGTCTATCAATTAGCCAATGCCTAGAGGACCATTCTCACCCATTAAATCACATCTTAGATGCTAAAATATTTCTGAAGGCTTGAAGAGTCTGTTAGTCCACTATCCAGTTCCATTCCTACTTAGAAATAATTATCTTCAGTTTTCTTTCTTTTTTCTTCTTTTATGTTGATACCAAAATACAGCCTTCAAGAAGAATAAAATATCCATGGTTTAGCTCAAGTGCTCTACTAGGCTGTAGGCTGATCTGACAAGTATTTAGAAGTGTGATTATAATTCTCTCCACCATTGGTCTGGTTCATGTTCAATAAACACAGGCTTGCTGCAGCCTGGTGGTGGTGAACAGTGACCCTTCACACTCAAAGCAAATGGAGGTGCCATGGGGCCCAACTACCAGGAAGGGTTGTTCAGTGGAAGTTTGGGGAAGAGCAGAGGCCGATGCGAGAAGGGAGGAGACAGAATAAAGCAATGTAAAGAATGCCACTTCTATAGACAAGAATAGAAGGTAAGAGTCGTGCCCCTTACCATGTTTCAGTGGCAAAAGAGTCACCTTGAAAGAGATAAAAAATTTCCTTTCAACTGGATGAAGTGATTCTCTCAGGGTTGGGTTTTGGGTGTTTGCATTTGTCATGTCGGAAGAAAATTGCCCATGCAGCCCCCTTGCTGAGGTTATAAAAAGTACTGTCAACCATACTGGACAGAATTTTTTTTTGGGTGGGTGTGGGGGGGGAGGTTGTAGAGAAGGAAAAAAAAAAAAGAAACACATTGTGCAGGATCATTAAGCACTGTTGTATAAATAAAGTTAGAAGATCAAACGAAAGAGGGGACTCGGGTTAAATGCTGGAAGACAAGCTTAAATAAAGTTCTAAGAAAAAAGCAAGGCACGCTGTAATTCCAAGAACCTATTACTTCAGACAATTTACTTCAAAAAATAAAATCAGAATGGTAAATGATTACCAAAAAGCAATCATGTCATCATCACTGAGAGATGGAATAAAATAATTTTTTGTGAAGTGGCTGAATGAGAGCAACTTAAAAGCCACGGAGCCTGTCAGAAGCACATTATTTCTTTTTACACCCCGTTTCCCAATTCATCTCAGTGCTGCTGACTAACCTCGGCTCCCAGCAGGTGGAGCATTTAAAATAAATAGCATTTCCTACAAAACGCGCTCCAACTGCCCCATGACAGACGCTTCCAATTCCCGGCCAGCCACTGGATCAGCTTCAGCGGTATCTAACAAGGTGTAAATACAATAACAAGCATGTAATTAAGTGAGCATGATGAAGTTAATGGAGATAATTCATTCCATTTTGGGCTTATGAATATTCTATTAGATGTTATCAGGCAGCTGGAATAGCTGTTAATTTAATCATCATTCAGACCAGCAAAATGTTCTTTGTGCGAGCATAATTGCAGAGAATGAATAATTGATTTGACAATTGTACCAGTGGATTTCAAACAGTTCTGTGCGCTCTCAGAGCAGGAAGGGAGGAGAACTGGAATACTCAAAGCACTGAAGAGGTGGCAGAGAAGCCAGCCTGTAAATTGAACATTATCAGGACACAGATAAAGGACAATTTTTATTTTATCAATGCAACACAATTACATTACAGTGCGCTAGTAATCATTCTGCCCACACTTTAAAAAGGGAAATAAATTACTCTTCATGGGAAAGGACAAAAAGAAATATCAAAACCATTTAGAATCCATTGATATTGGATATTTAATTTTTTACATTATATTTTATTATAGGAAATATCAAACTGTGTTTGAAATTGCTGGTACATTTAACTCTGTTACCTGCAATCAGGTACACAGATTGTATTTTACACGTATCTCTGTATTACAGCATGGTCTATGAATTACAATGACTTTATTGCAATTTTTTAAAACTACCCTAATGTTTAAAAAGCGCCATCATTGAGGTATACAAGAGTATTGTACGCCTTAACTGCCAGAACTCTGTTCTGGATACGCTGAACAACTAGCAAAATTTTATCCTCCACATGATTCTATACTACATTTGAGCAGAAAAAGCAGCAACAAAATGTTGACCTTCAACAAACAGTTTCCAACCTGAAACTAAGTCTTATTAAGGATCAACTGTACCAAAGGCCTAGAGTTCTGAGTTACTACCCCAGCAGAAAACATGTTCATCACCCACCCCCACCCCCCATGGCTATTACTGCAATTCGCAAAAACCTTTCACGGCATTCTACACAGAAGCTTGTAATTTAATCAAAGCCAATGGGATAGTGACTACAGTGAAATTTGATGTAAGCACTACTTTTTAATACACATGAAGTCATGAGAAAATGGAAGCATTCTGAGTATCTTCATTAGCTAGGAATGGTGGCGCATGCCTGTGGTCCCAGCTACATGGGAGGCTGAGGTGGGAGATGGGCCCAGAAGGTAGAGGCTGCAGTGAGCTGTGATTGTGCCACCGCACTCCAGCCTGGGCAACAGAGTAAGACCCTGTCTCAAAAAAAAAAAAAATCTAAAAATCTTAATGTCCAATTAATATTCCATGACAGACAAGGAGATGATCAGTCCCAGGTCAGTGGTGCTCAGGGGGGTTAGGGGGTTGGGACAGAGTCAAGTCGAATCCTGGGAAGTTTATTTGTCAACATATTCAACCAGTGTTCACCATCCAACCTGGTTCTCACAGGTTTTTGTGGGGAAAAGGAAGGTGAGAAATGTGTTTGTGCTTCTTAAACATTCCCAAGATTTTGATAAGTTTATACTGCCCCCCTCAACTAAGAACCAGGACTATAAAAATTTTAGGTATGTCTGATTTTGATGACCTCACAACTTCATATTATGGAAATAACATTTTCCACCAGTACCATTCTTCCTGAAGACTCCAGTCTTTTCAAGTCTTGAGTCAGCAACAATATCCAAGAAGCATACACAACATCTTTATTGCTCACATACCATTTCTAATCTATTTATTTATTTATGAGATGGAGTCTCACTTTGTCACCCAGGCTGGAGTGCAGTGGTGGGATCTTGGCTCACTGCAACCTCCGCCTCCTGGGTTCAACCAATTCTCCTGCCTCATCCTCCCGAGTAGCTAGGATTACAGGTGCCTGCCACCACGCCTGGCTAATTTTTGTATTTTTAGTAGAGACAGGGTCTTGCCATGTTGACCAGGCTGGTCTCAAACTCCTGACCTTAAGTGATCTGCCACCTCGGCCTCCCAAAGTGCTGGATTAGAGGTGTCAGCCACTGTGCCCAGCCGCATTTCTAATCTTGATAAACATCTTAATCTCTACTTATAAGGCTTCTAAAGATGGGCACATAAAAAAATTCAGGCTGTTTAATCCTATGTGGTGACATGCAATATCCACAGGAACTGGAAATCGTTTACTCTGGAGAGGTAACAGGATATGGGTGTGTACACAGGCTGGGACATTCTTGCAAAGGAAGAGCAGATGTGAGGAAAAGAAAATGCATATGCATTAAATGCAGTGAGTGTGGCCTGGGAGTTGGCACTGGCTTTAGAATCGGAAATTCTGGACTCATTTCTGGGCTCTTATTTCTGAATGTCAAGCCTCTGCTTATTTTCCTTCACTTTAATGAATGCACAGGCTGACGGATTAGAGTGCCCAGGCAGTTTCTGAGACCATGTTAATGGTCAACAAATGTTAGTTGATGACAATGATGACAACAGATAGGCAGTAAATACAGTCCAGTGTACACAGTCATTTACCACAGGTGGGAGAAGAAAAAAGCCCTCAGGGTGTAGAAATATGCAAATAGGCACCTGAAGGAATGGCTTTTACATTTCTTGGGCCAAAGGCTGTACCATCAGCTAAGCTGTTGTTCTTTTGGGGATAAAGTCAAAAGAACATAGGCCATGGCTTGGTTGCTTCTTAATCCTCTGGATATCTTCCCTTCTCACTAGCCTCTTGTTCTCACAGCCTATGCTGTGGTGTTAGGGACAGTTTTGACTAATATAAACAGCTGGAACTAAAGCGAGGCCACAGTTGGATGGTGAAGGTAACAGCTGTGCTATAAACAGGTCTTCTTGGTGGGGCCCTTACCATTCCAGGTCACCATCACATTCTGGATAGAGTGTAGAAAAGAGGTCGTGCCTTCCTAAATCCTGACATGAAGGCAAGATTCTCGTAACACCCTTTCCCTTCTGCACACTGGGGAAGGATAAAGTTACAACGATTCCAGGGGCACTCAGCCTTTCTTGGGTTCCGTATTTGTTTGCGGGTAGGGAACATTCCCTTCCTGCTTGGGTATCATGGATCCACAGATGCCATACCTCAAGATGGTGAGTTACATACCTTGTGGAGAAAAAGATGAACATTTTTGATTAAGCCAAATCAGTATTCTGGCAAAATAATAATGAAACATATGACTATACATTTAGTGTAAGCGGATCAGTAAACAAGTATCTGTGGATAACCTGCTACATGCAAGGCACTGTCAAACAGGTTATGAGAAACAGAAGCTTAAATAAGCATTGCACTTTAAAGGGTTTATTAGTGGACCATTGCTGTGTAACAAATCACCCCATGATTTGATGGCTAAACATAACACACAATACATACATTTCTCGGTTTCTGTGGGACAGGAATCCAAGCATGGCTGAGCTGGGCATCTCTGGCTCAAGGTTTCTCACAAGGCTACAATCAAGGTGTCAGTCCCACTGTCTCCTGAGTGCTCAACGGGGCAAGGATCATTTCCAAGTTCTCTTCATGTGGACTGCTATTCCTCTTAGGTTGCTGAACTGAGGCCCCAGTTCCTCATCACATGGGCTTCCCCAACTCACAATATGGCAGCTGGTTTCCCTCAGAGTGAGTGAGTGAGAGAGTGAGAATGCTCAAGACAGAAGTCAACATCTTTTGTACCCTAATCTCAGTAGTGACATTTCATTGCTTTTGCTGTATTCCTTTTTAAGAAGAGAGTCACTTGGTCCAGGCCATACCCAAGGGAAGAGGACCACTGCACAAATAATAGTCACTGGGTGCCATCTTAGAAGCTGCCTATCAGAGAGGGCCAACGCTCTGGATAACTGGTGGAAATACAGGGGAACTCAGTAACTTAGTGTGGAGCACCTAAGAGTGGGGGAGAAATTTAAGGACTTAAGAAATCTGAGAAAGCAGAGTGATAATAAAGTCAAAGGCAGACTTTTAAAGTGACTATATATAAACATACATACATACATATATATATATATATGTTAAGAGACAGGGTCTTACTCTGTCAGGCTGGAGTGCAGTGGCATGATCATACTCCTGGGCTCCAATAATCCTCTCACCTCAGACTCCCACATAGCTGGAAGTATAGGTATGTACTACCATACCTGGCTAATTTTTACATTTTTATGTGGAGATGGGGTCTTGCTGTGTTGCCCAGGCTTGTCTTAAACTCCTGGCATCTCACAGTGCTGAGATTACAGGTGTGAGCTACCGGTCACCTGACTATATATATATATATTTAAAGAGACAAAGTCTTACTCTTGCTCTGTTGTCCAGGCTGGAGTGCAGTGGTCATAGCTCATTGCAGCTTTGAACTCACATATCTTGAAATCTTAACTGGTTGATCACTAACATAGCCACTGTCCCTCTTTTCAACTCTTCTTACCAACCAAAGACTCAAGGATTGCCCAGTGGAGGTAATGGGTGGCAGTGCTCCACCCTACTTAGCTATTTTAATACTGGCATCCCTTCTCCACCCTGATTAATGTCATGGCTCTGAGGAAACTGTCATAAAGAAGGAACCCTTTCTTTTTTTTTGAGATGGAGTTTCGCTCTTGTTGCACAGGCTGGAGTGCAATGGCGCGATCTCGGCTCACTGCAACCTCTGCCTCCCGGGTTCAAGCGATTCTCCTGCCTCAGCCTCCTGAGTAGCTAGGATTACAGGCAAGTGCCACCACGTCTAGCTAATTTTTGTATTTTTAGTACAGACGGGGTTTCTCCATGTTGGTCAGGCTGGTCTTGAACTCCTGACCTCAGGTGATCTGCCCACCTCAGTCTCTCAAAGTGCTGGGATTACAGGCATGAGCCACCACGCCTGGCTGGAAGGAACCCTTTCTTAGAGAAAAGACTGGATGCTTTTGTGACAGTGGGTGGCCAAAGTGAAGCCACTGATAAATACTGATTGAATATCCCTTATCTGAAATGCTTGGGACCAGAAGTGTTTTGGATTTTGAAATATCTGCACCACACTCACCAGCTGAACATCCGAAAATCTGAACTCTGAAATGCTCCAATGAGCATTTCCTTTGAGCGTCATGCTGGTGCTCAAAAAGTCTTGGATTTTGGAGCACTTCAGATTTCCAGATTTAGGATATTCAACCTGTACAAGGATATTCAACTGAATTTAAATTCTCTCTAGAGGGTTTAGTGAAAAATTGAGAAGACTGAACTAAAAACAATGGAAAGTGGCTTTCTCTAGAAAGAGATACTCCCTTTAGGCCTACACTGTACAAGAGTGGCCAGGTACTGACTCCAATGGCTGACTTCCAAATGGGGGGTTATTAGAATATTTGGTATTTTATGTTTCATGATTTCATTATTATGGAGTAAGGGTTAGCAACTATGGCCTGAAGGCCAAATCTCGGCTTCCACTTGTTTTTGTTAATAAAGTTTTATTGGAACACAGCCATGCCCATTTGTTTCTGTGTTATCTATGGCTACTGTGGAGAAGTTGAATAGCTGCAAAGGAGACTGGTCCTCAAAGCTGAAACTACTATCTGACTCTTCATAGAAAAAGTGTGCCAACTCCTGGTATAGAGGGTTCAAAAAATACATATCTTATTTCATCCTAACAACAGTCCCATAAGTTAAACAGAAGAGACACCATAGCCATGAGGAAACCGGACCAAAGAGGCTTTTCACAACGCCACAAATTTAATTCATGCTCTTTCCTCTAAACTCTCTTTGTAAAGGGACACACACACACAAAACTCCTACTCTCCAGCCTGCATGATTTATCTTAAAAAGTGCAGGCCGGGTGCGGTGGCTCAGGCCTGTAATCCCAGCACTTTGGGAGGCCGAGGCGGGCGGATCATGAGGTCAGGAGATCGAGACCATCCTGGCTAACACAGTGAAACCCCGTCTCTACTAAAAATACAAAAACATTAGCCGGGCGTAGTGGCGGGCGCCTGTAGTCCCAGCTCCTCGGGAGGCTGAGGCAGGAGAATGGCGTGAACCCGGGAGGCGGAGCTTGCAGTGAGCCGAGATCGCGCCACTGCACTCCAGCCTGGGCAACAGAGCAAGACTCCGTCTCAAAAAAAAAAAAAAAAAAAAAAAGTGCAAAAGGTCTCCTCAGCATTCTTATATAAAATTTTCCATCTTTGGCCCAAGCAACTGCAAGTCTTTAGAATTTTTGCCAGTATTGATGCAGGATGCTGGAATAAACACACACTTTTTTTTTCCGGTGTAAAACGTTGATGGTAGGCCATGTAAGGCAAAATGTTCCCCTCTACATGTGTTTACATTTACTCTAATAAAAATCTGAATCCTTATTTCAGTTTGTTCCTTGGCTCTTCTTAGATGAAGGTTCAATGATAGCAGAGAAGATGAAATGAGCATATTAGGGAATGTTGTATTGCACATCTCAGATTCTTCTCAAATAAATGCATAACCTTGTGGTAAAACTGAAACTCGCCATCCTCATTTCTGTATGTTTATTATGCACAGTTTCAGCTACCAAGGAAGAATCCCCACACTGCTCAGCATTTTAACTACCATAATCCTCAATGTATACTTTTTAATGCTTAGTCCAAAGCTAATTACAAAATGGGTCTTATTGATTTGCAAATTGTTGCTATCCATTTAAAGCTATGTCACATTTATGACTCAATGATTAAAAGGGAAAGCGGTGTGTCTCTTACACTCAATGATTTAAAGGGAAAGCAGTGTGTCTCTTACACAGTACAGTTCTTGATTAAGTCACTGAATTCTCTGAAGCCTCTGGCCTTGTTAAGCAGCCTCTAGGTCCTCATTTTGCAGACGGAAGCAGGGAGTTTTGGGGGAGGCAGGTAGTAGAGGACACGACAGAATGACTAAACCACAATTCCACAGAAGAGGCAAATGGTGCTTAGAGAGGTCTAACTGCTATAGGCCATCCCACCATGCACAGCAGTCTCCCTCCCATATTAAGACAGGACGATCTACACAATGGATTCATCTAGATGGCACTAGCAAATGGGATGGTTACTGATATTGACTGCATCATTATCAGAGCCTTTTTTTGCAAGCTTTAGCAAAAATTAAAATGCTCTTAAACTGTAAACTGAAGGAAAATATGGATCTAAAATATGCTTGGCAATAAGCCCAGAAAACCAATAGGATACCTGGGAAAGAACTCTGAATTAACATAAGGCTAAGAACGTGGAGACTCTTAACAATACTGATTGATGGGCCATTAACCTATCCTCATCTCTACCACCAAATGACCATATCTTTCACTGGCAAATAAATTGCGTTTGGGCTTCTCTACTTGTTTATTTGACAAATATTTATTAAGTACTGACTGGGTGTCATGTACAATTTGGGATAGGGTAGAGATGAAGAAAGGATTCCAAAATGCCTTAGCACGCCTGCTGTATTTCAGGAGCACAGTTTGGCATTCTAGCTGGAGAGGAAAACATACAAATAAGTAAATACACTACAATTCGATGTACCCATAGAAACATGAATTATTAATTCATTCAGCAAATATTTACTGAGTGCCTACTACGTGCCAGATACTATTCTAAGCCCTGGGACATAGGAATGGACAAAACAGACAAAAGTGCCTGCCTTCATTAGGATCAGAATCTGATAATACTAGAGATATGATTAACATAAACGAGAAAAATCCATTAGAGACAACATAAAGATAAATGAACACATACTCTTTAGAAGAAAGGCAGCCCAGAAGTCTGAGTTGCTTTTATTATTAATGCAATACAGTTAAAAGATCACAACTCAATTATTTTGAGCACAGATTATAGCTTATTTATATAATTTTTAAAATGTAAATAAATTTGGAGGAAATGGAGCAGGCTTAAAGGATGGCGCTAGTGCCACTCTCAAAATAGCCCATCTATTGGCCCTGAATTTTAAAATATGGCTCACTCCAAAATACATCAAATACAACGTATACAGCTGCCATCTGTCCTTAGTCATAGTAGGAGTCCCTTTCATTCACAAGCAAAGCCAGTGGAGGGAGGGGAGGGACTTGAGATGGAGAGAAGATAAATTCCATTTGTGCTATTAAAAAAAAAGTAGAACAGTGAACCCAGTGGTTGAAAAGTGAAGATAAAAAGAAGAAAACAGTAATCTTGCTATAGAAACCAGAGAATTATGTTCTTGCTCTCCCCCGACTTTTTTTTTTGCTTTCACATTGTACAAACTCTAGCACCCTGAACGACTCACTCTCCTGCTATTTCCAGCACTTTAAAGAAACTTTTCAACATTTCTGCTTGACACATTTTTTCAACAGGGAGGTGAAGACAATAAGTAAACAGGTAGTAAAGGGCTATTTAGAGAGCTGGTCAGTCACAGTAATAATAAAGGGAAAAACCCCCACCTGAACAGAACATCCATCCTATGTGTGGCAGCCACAGACGGCACATGACCTCTGACAAAGAGTTTTCAGAGTAATTTTAATGCTACTCTGGATTTAACTTGACTAACTGGTAGCAATTGAGCACATCTTTTTTTCTTTCTTTTTTTTTGTGGCAGCAGTTATCTAAAATGCTACAATAACAGCATCAAAAGTAGAATGGTGGAAGATTGGTTTTCCATTGTGCTGCTGAACTGGCATAATGCCCACTTTAAAAGCAATTCGCTGCTCATCACTGAAATCTGGCAGACACGACACTAAATGCCTTGAGGGAAAAAAAAAAGGGACCTGAGAAGGGGGAACCCACTCCAACCACCACGCAAAAGGGGTAAAAAGAGCGCCACAGATGATGAATCTGGGTGAAAAGAGAAAATTGCCAAATAAAAAGTTTAGCATTGCATGCAGACTCCCAATAGGCTGCACTTAATTTGCTAGAAACAGATTTTGTCTACAGGTCTGCATTAGTAATAGCAGAACAAAACAAAAGCAAAATATATATTTATGTCTGTCTATTGTTCTGATGAAGCAAAAACCTAGTGAGTTCCGTCAATCATTTGTCAAACATGTCTTCCCCGTTTTATTTACCACCAAATATAATGAGTAAATATGTGATAATAAAACTCTTCTTTTTACATGGACATATACAATTTTTCCTCCTGCTAAATACAGGTAATGATTTAGGAAGCTTTCAAAATGTCTTTTTACTGTCAATAAAACTAATTCTATTCCCATTTTCATCTGAAAAAAAGGCTTTACAAATGAAAATTCAAATTAAAATTCTGATTATAGTGTAGTGTGACAACACCTGTATTTATAATTTTACTGTCAGCTAGCTTGTAGTGTTTAACAATAGCTCGAAGTAGAAAAGTAATTGGAATTTGTCTGTAACATGCCAGATGACGGCATTGGGAGCTTTGCTATGCTACAGCAAATTTGGTTTGATGGCAAAATAACCTCACTGAGACTTCTACAAATCAAAGGTTATTGGGGCTGGAGGGGGGAAGGTCTCTCAGGTATGGGATCCCTTCCTGACTTTGGGGAATCTGAGAGTTCACATCTGATGAGTAAAGACTGCTCTGATCCTGACTTGGGCTTCTGGCCCATCACCTGCCCTGCAGCCTCTCAAACAGTGCAGATGCAATGTAGTTTCTAGAGTTACTCCAGATAAATCATCAACCACAACAACAATATCATCCTGTTGGTTTGGACACAAACCAATAACGTAGCATAGCTATAAACCTGACAGAGGTGGGTGGGATAGGGGATCCATCAAGTGAAGGGAAGCATAGCGAGGGACTGAAAAGCACCTACGTGGGGCAGGGCAAGACCCTGGTAACAGTAAGATACAGGATGCTCACCACTTATCAAAGGCTACACAGCCAGGAGCTCTAGAGATGTTCATTGTAGTCATTCATTTTCAATAACCACCGATAAATAATATAGGTACCCACACAGATGCCTAAGGTTTGCTATTTATCAAAAGATTAAGAGAAAACTTACACATCCCACTTGTACTTTTACTGAAGCGATATGGAGAAAAAAATTATTTAAAGCAGTGTTCTGCTGTCAACTTGAATCTTTCAAAACTTATAAACACATGCTAATCTCCACACACAACTTGCCTTACTCTAGTCTACAAGTGAAAAGCCCATCTTTTTCATTATCCTAAAGATGAAAAAAAAAAAGCCACATACAAAAGAAAAACAGAATGACAGTGATGTTTTAGTTTACACTAGATATGGCAACACACACAAACTGTCAAAACTATGGAATGAAAAAAGCTGTTATCAAGCAACTGTCAAGAAGAGTCCTCTGAGATTTGGAAATCTTGTGTTTATTGTAACTACTGCACATTACACAAAGAAGGAAACATCCCTCTCCTTGCTCTTGCTGCTAAATATCATGCAAGAGAACACAGCCTTCTCCCTTAGTATTGGAATTAATTTTTCTTCCCTGGGTGTAATTCTGTGCCTGACAGAGCTGCTCACCTCCTCCTAGGGGTTTCTACAGTGTGGTCAGAGTTCAGAGAGAAACTCGAGGTTACATCAAACATTATTTCATTTCAAAAACCATCACTGCCTTATTTCATGTTGTTAACTGGTCGTCTACCCGGTAAGAGTCGGATCTGTTAACATCAAAATGCATAGTCGTCACCTGAATGATTTTCCTGACGAGTTCTACAAAGTGAAGCATAGAGGTGAAAAGGCATAGACACTTACCATAAAATGACTTTAATTTGTGACTCTCTCTCTCTCTCCCCCATCTCCCTATTAATGCATACAACAGAGAAACCCAAATCCCTAAGGGGAAATTACCATCTTATAAAGGGAAGAAAAGGAAAAAATACATGGTCCACATCTCCTCCACAGTGAATGATATTAGAGATCTGGAGGTCATTTCTCCAACCCAAACTCAAGGGGCAAAATTTCCCCTGGAGTCTCACCTGAGTCTATACATTTTATTACACTTGCTAAAGTGGCCTTTTCACCTAAACACAGAGGCAGCATCACTCGCAGTCTGACTCTTAATTCAGACTTAATTCAGCAGGCCCATGTGGGTCTGCTCAGCCAACTGCAGGGCAGCGCCTTGGGAATGGCAGCAGCTGTCCCTTGATTAATGCAGGTGAAAGCACTCTTCAGGCATTTCCATTTTTGTTTCTTGTGTTTCCTTCAGATGCAGGATATGTGCCTTTTGACATTTCTCAAGATGAGGAGAAAGTGGACAGTAGAACCCTTAATATAAGTGTAATTGCCTGGATTCAGATGAACCATGGGTCAAATCAAACCACAAAACACATTTTTGTAAAGAAAAAAATCTGTTAGCAACACATGGGCTGACATATAGAACAGTCATAATTTCTGACCAGAGATTCCAGTGAATTTACTTCTGTACATTTTGCTGGCATCCTTCCCTGTATAGAGAGCTAATGAGAACTTCAGCACATTATTGATGGATGTGTCGGCCATCTCAGTGATGCAGAAAAGAAGTCAACATGTCTTAAGTGGATCTTGGATCTAAATAGGTTATAATTGTTACGCGATGCTTACAACATACTTATTTTAGGTTTCAGTGACCTGGTATGACTCAGTCAGCAACAGAATAGGTCAGTCAAATTTTAACCTGTGGTAAAAATGGCTTAACACTGATGTCAGTTTTATAAAAATGAAGATGACTACCTAGTAAAGAAAATCTAAATTCTTCTAAAACTCTTATGTAATCTTTTATAATGTTAATCATTAAGCTGCTATTTATTGATTATTAACCACTAATAAAGGGAAAAAGAGGAATAGACATGTTTATCACTTGCCTTCTCTAATACTATTTTACAGTAAGCGGCTAATTTACATTTTCTTCATGCAATGATCTTAATACTAGTTCTCTGCTAATAAAATTTAATTTGAAGGAAACAGTTAAATTTTTTCTCCCTTCAGTCTGAAGGCATTTTGGCAAGTTTTATGTGGAAAAAAAGAGCTGTAAGTTGGTGAAGTTATGACAACCGATCCATTAAGGAAGTTTGGGGATATCTCTAACAAAGTTGGGGACATCATCTTTAGTTATTCATGCAATCCATAAATCATTAGCCTTGTGCACACAGTAGTTATGTTTAAAATGTACTCTACAGCCAGACTATTGGGGTTGCAATCCTGACTCTGCCATTAACTTGCTATGTTACCTTGAGCAGGCTTTTAAACCTCTCCGGACCTCCATTTCCTCATCTATCATTTAGGGACAACAGCAGTACCTACTTCATAGGGTAGTTGTGAAAATTAAATAAGTTAAAACACAGAACATGCTTATAATAGTGTCTGGTGCTTAGTGTTCAATAAATGCTATTAATTATTACTATTGGCAAACTTATTCTTTTACAGTTTGAACTGTGGGTATCATCTAGAATCTAACCAAAAAGAAAAAAGAACTCTTTCTCATCAAATTTGACCTGGGTGGAATATGAGGTAATATGTAAAAAAGATCCCTGCAAACATCTGGTACATTGTACCAAATATACAAATATTGTGAGGCCTTTGAACGTTCAAAGGATAGTACACACAGAAGTGGACATTTCCCTCTTAATTGTAAGAACAAAGATGGAAGCTTGATTTACAAATATTGAATTCCTAGTACAAAAATGTGGACAAAATTCAAAATGCACACAAAAAAGCCTACATTGAAAACTCTCTGATTTCTGGTTATAGATGGCACACTAAATACACATATTTTGCTCTGTAAACTCCCAAATCCTCACTCAAATTACAGTAAGGGACTTTTTAAAAGACAAAAGAAACTCCAAGAAAGAGGAAAATAGTAGTGGAGGTGCTGGCAGCAAAAGCTAGCGAGCAGAAAAACAAGAGATGACTTACTCCCAAAGGCTCATGAATTGGTGCCCCAAGCTATCTCTGGAAGTATGAGTGAAGACCGGTTCAAAGTATATTCAAGACAGAGACCCCAAACCCCCACCTCCACTCTGGCAGAAGGCTTATTCTCTTGATGAGGGTCTCTGAGCCCACCAAGGCATGCTGTGCCAAGACCCCAAGTTCCAGATGCCCGAAGCCAGCTAATCCTCTTCAGGGAGGAGACTGGATCTATTCTGGGGAATCTGACCAGCACACAAGAAGAGATCTCAAGTTATTGACAGATCACATCCATGAGAACAGGAACACTGCAAAAACAAGAAAATTCTAGTTCTTAGAAATTAAAACATAATTGGACATGGTAGGAAGGAAATCAAAGAAGAAATTCAAGAAAACTTCCCAGAACTGGAGGGCTTGACTTTCCAAATGGAAAGAGCCCACCAAGTACCCAGCACCATAAATGAAAACTGCCCCAGACCAAAACACACCATCATGAATGTGCCCATGCACTGGGTGCAAAGGAAATCCTCCAAGTGTCTAACAAGGAAGGAGAAAAAAAAAGGACACAGGTCAAATATATAAAGGATTAGGACTCAGAAAAGCTTTCAACTTTTCAAAAGCAACACTAAAAAAGATGACAGTAGAACAATGTTTTCAAAATTATGAGGAACACTGAGTTCCAGCCTAGAATTCTGTATCTAACTATCAATTAAGTATGAGGGTGAATTAAGGACATTTTAAGACAAGAAAGGTCTCAAAAGCTTCATCTGCCAAGTACTCTTTCTCAGGAAGCTACTGGAAGAGATGTTTTACCTCTCCCCAAAAGAGGGACAGTAAACAAAGATACAGACTGTAGGGCACAGGGACTCTGAAATAAGTGATATGTGAAGGCAATACCCAGATGATGGTAAAGGAAGATTCCCAGGATAACAGCTGTGCATCAGGCCGCGAGGGTCATCAGCTCAGATACCAGTTATGTGTGAACTGATTTAAGAGCAGGTTTAGAAAAGCAGAGGAAGAATTGGTATGTATCAATAGTGGCTATTGGTATCAATCAATCAGTCTGCCGGAATCATGCTCTAACTGCCTGAGGACCATGGCTGGAGGTGTTAAGGCCTCTTTTCTCATTGTAGGAGATTACTGGGAGATGCACTCTGTGCCTATTATTTAGAGATAAGGAGGTGAATACTGAAAACAGCAGTGGAAGGAGTCCCAAGTGGTTGTGTTTGAAGACTGGGAAATGGGAAGGAAAGGGACTGCTTTTTGTAACCAGACATATGAACTTCTGATAATTCAAATTATGTGCATGTTTAACTAATGAAATTAAAATTAACCAACCAACAAAGAAGTCTCCCACTCATCCCATGTCCTTTCTTAGAAGCAATCATTGTCCATTTCTGTGTCTGTCCAGGAATATTTGGGAAGCTTTATTAACTTTCATCAAGTGACAGGAGCACCTTAGCTCTAGAACTCTTAGGGTAGCTGAATTTGCTGAGAAGACTGGAATTTATTGTGAATTATGAGAATGAGAACTTTTAAAGGAAATTTTTATCCAAAATGTACATTACAGGGGTGGTTAACTCTTTTTTGAAAACTGGGAGTGTTCATGATCAACACTTTATTGTAATTACTTGAAGTTGTGGCTGTGCATACAGAGGTGGGCAGGACACAGGCCGACAACAGTGGCAATGGAACTTGCTTTCTTCAAACACTCCGATTTGAGCTTGCTTTGGGGCTGTACTGCTTTCCCAAAATGGCCAAGGCATGCCTTTCTGGCTGTGTAACTTTCTAGAGTAAGGCTTCTGAAGGTTTTTTGTACCGAGGACTCCTTTGGCAGTCAACTAAAGCCCACAGCTCCTATCTCAGAATGTTTTTAAATAGGTAAAACAAATAAAACAACATAGGAGTGCAAAGTAAAGCAATTACACTGAAATATACTTGTCGGTATTAAAGAACACACCTGTGGTATAGTAGTGTATGTACTTTCTTATTAAGGCATTATAGACAAGATCTAGCACTGTGGTGAGTAAAATTTCAAAGCAATGCTAAGTGATATTTTAGATATCTGCAACAACTGTAATGTGATCAGAAAACATCCTTGACGTCTACTGCTGATAACAAAGTCAGATACTGCTAATACCACTGTATTCTGAGGCCTCCATCCATATTTGAAGGGTGCGCTAAATTCTAGTTAAAGAGTAGTGAAATTAAACATGTGACTTTTTCCCCATTCTGCTTCACAGATCTCACAGTTCTAGAGCAGCAGTTTACAATGTGTGGGCCAGGGGACATCTGGAGTGACCCTTTTAGGGGTCTTCAAGGTCAAAACTTTTTTCGAAATCATACGAAGACATTACTGGCTTTTTCCACTCTCATTCTCTCATGGGTCTACAGTGGAGTTTCCAGAGGCTACATGATGTGTGATGTTACCACAGATTGAATGCAGAAGCAGATGAGAAATCAGGCTGGCTTTCTATTAAGCCAGAGAATAAAGAGATTTGCCAAAATTTAAAACAATGCTGCTCTTCTCACCATTTTTTTTTTTTGTTTTGAAAGATATAGCTATTTTCATAAAAGGTTTCTATGTTAACATGTAATGAGTTTATTATTGCTAAAGTGAATTTATTTAATAAATAAGCCTCTGTTCCATATCAATATAGCATAGCTGCCTTTCTATGAAAGTAGCCACCCAAGGGCCGGGTGCGGTGGCCCACGCCTGTAATCCCAGCACTTTGGGAGGCCAAGGCGGATGGATCACGAGGTCAGGAGTTCAAGACCAGCCTGGCCAATATGGTGAAAACCCATCTCTACTAAAAACACAAAAATTAGCCAGGCGTGGTGGCGCACACCTGTAGTTCCAGCTACTTGGGAGGCTGAGGCAGAAGAATTGCTTGAACCTGGGAGGCAGAAGTTGCAGTGAGCCGAGATCATGTCACTGCACTCCAGCCTGGGTGACAGAGCGAGACTTCATCTCAAACAAACAAACAAAGTAGCCACCCAAAGACCAAGGCCATTTTCCTCGTGTCTAGAAAACCATTGCTACATTTATCATTATTACTGTCCTTCGACTTGACAAAATACTATCGAGGATTCCGTCAGCACTGGCACAGTGGCCCCAAGCCCTTCCTCACCAGCTCACGCTCACACAGCCATCTCACTAGCCCTATATTAGGGTTTCTTTGTTTTCTTTTTTAAGTTCTGGGATACATGTGCAGAACGTGCAGGTTTGTTACATAGGTACACATGTGCCATGGTGGTTTGCTGCACCTATCAACCCATCATCTAGGTTTTAAGCCCTGCATGCAGTAGATACTTGTCCTAATGCTCTCTCTCCCCTTGCCCCCCACCCCCCAACATGCCCCGGTGTGTGATGTTCCCATTCCTGTGACCATGTGTTCTCACTGTTCAACTCCCACTTATGAGTGAGAACATGCAGTGTTTGGTTTTCTGTTCCTGTGTTAGTTTGCTGAGGATGATGGTTTCCAGCTTCATCCATGTCCCTGCAAAGTACATGAACTCATTCTTTTTTTATGGCTGCATGGTATTCCATGGTGTATATGTGTCACATTTTCTTTATCCAGTCTATTATTGATGGGCATTTGGGTTGATTCCAAGTCTTTGCTATCTTAACCTACTAACATTTGGTGCCAATCATTATTTGTGGGTCTATCTTGTGTCCACTGTAGAAGTTTAGTAGCAGCCTTGGCCTCTACCCACTAGACGCCAGCAGCAGCCTCCCTCCTGCTTCTCCCCAACTTGTGACAATGAAATGTCTCCAGACATTGTCAAATGTTCCCTCGGGTGGGGAGGCAAAATCATCCTGGTTGAGAACAGCTGCCCTCAGTGTACTTGTACAAGATGACCATCCCTCTGTTAGAAAGGCTCATTTTTCCCATGTGTCCAATAAATACTAGGTCTCCTCTCTGGGGTGGATTTTTTTTTTCCTGTCATTTAATTGATAAGTGACTATTTTTTAGAAAACAAAATACTCTCCTGGGTAGGTGATTTAATGGGAAAAAGAAAACAAGTATGAACAATGAGCTACTCAAGAGAATCTGGGCCTAGGGGGAAAAAAAAAACTGGTCAAATACTAAATTCACGACATTTCTGTTCTGAAAATGGGCTGAGAACTAGACACATCCCCCAAGAAAGGGAAGCTTGTGTGGGGGTGGGTACCCAACTAGGAAAACAGTACATACAGGTTTGCTTTTGGTTGTCCGCAGCAACCAATACAATGTAGATGGTCGCCAAAGAAAGTCAGTGGCTCCCAGGAAGACTCCCGACCATGGTGGGAGGGGAGGGATTATGGAGAGCCCAGTTCAGAATAACCAAAGAGAGCCTGCCTTTGGAGAATAACTACATTTCAGGTGAATGGAAGCACCTAGAGAAAGAGCAGGTTACTGCAGGCTGTATACTCAGGTAACCCTGGGAAGAGGGAGAACCCTCTGGAGACATGCCATGACAAAGGCCAAGATAGGACCCTGAAGGCTAGAGATGTTTTAGAGTGGACACAGCCTGAAGCCAGTGGAGACAATCTAGGAGGTTCAGGCCTAGGCACAAACATTGGAGGACTTTCTTTTTTCTTTTCCTTTCTTTCTCTCTCTCTCTTTCTTTTTCTTTCTTGCCTTTTCTTTTTTTTTGAGACAGTTTTGCTCTTGTCACCCAGGCTGGAGTGCAGTGGCGCTATCTCAGCTCACTGCAAACCCCGCCTCCTGGGTTCAAGTTCAAGATTCTCCTGCCTCAGCCTCCCAAGTAGTAGCTAGGATTACAGGCAAGTGCCACCACACCCAGCTAATTTTTTGTATTTTTAGTAGAGACGGGGTTTCACCATGTTGGCCATGGCTGGTCTCGAACTCCTGAACTCAGGCAATCTGCAAGCCTTGGCCTCCCAAAGTGCTGTGATTATAGGCATGAGCCACTGCACCCAGCCAGAAGATGTTTCTTAACATGATCACGGACTCCACCAGATCTGCCAACATACCTTACCCACATCTTCCTCAGCCAGAAGGCTAAGCTTCTTTGTCTAGGGTCCCTTCTCCAATATCTAAGCCAGAATTGGCTAATGGAAGGAAAAAAAGTCAAGAACTGGGTGCCTTGTCAACCATGCTGGTTAATTATCAACAGGCAAGCTAATTGTGGATGAAAAAAAGTGGAACTTATCCTATAAGCCTGCTGACTTTTACAGATTCCTTAGCTTCTCAGGAAAGGTTATTTGAAAAACTCTCTCATCTTGTCAGAGCTCAAGTAGCAAGGGATTTATCCAGACCTTGTTAGATAAGCAGGGTATTCTGCAAACCTGTGACAGCCAGGTCTATGGAAAACCTCTCCCAGACTCTTGGTCCCCTTCCTCATCCAAACAGTGTGCCCCTAAGCAGTTATTCTATACAGGGTGATGCCGACAGCCTTTTCCCGGGACTTGGAATTGGAACAGAGAACAAGAAAGAGGTCCTTTCTCAGTTCAGGTTGCTAGACTTGTGCAGCATATACGTTTGGGAACTGCAGGGTGAGCATATTCTATCCAATGTTGGTGGTTTCTGATACATCTAAAACTCTAGGTATGGTGGTGGTCCAAACAGATCAGGTGCTTAGAAAGAGGTGAGAGAGCAGGATAAAGAAGATGTCAGAAAATTCACCACCATAATAATACCCACTCATAATTTCCCCTAAGTTCTTCTGAATATTTTATTTTAAACAAACTATCAGGTTCTAGCAACTTTAAAAATTAAATCCTCCGGCCAGGCCCGGTGGCTCACGCCTGTAATCCCAGCACTTTGGGAGGCCAAGGAGGGTGGATCACCTGAGGTCAGGAGTTCTAGACCAGCTTGGCCAGCATGGTGAAACCCTGTCTCTACTGAAAATACAAAAAACTTAGCCGGGCGTGGTGGCAGGCACCTGCAATCCCAGCTACTTGGGAGGCTGAGGCAGGAGAATCGCTTGAACCTGAGAGGCGGAGGTTGCAGTGAGCCAAGAACGTGCCATTGCACTCCAGCCTGGGTGATAAGAGTGAAACTCGGTCTAAAATAAAATAAAATAAAATAAAATAAAATAAAATAAAATAAAATAAAATAAAATCTTCCACATCCATTCCCTTTTCATGAAATCCCCCCTCCATCTTTAAAATCCTGAATAATATCTTGGTCCACATATTAGAGTAGTGAGGTAATACTTAGCCCAGGGAGATAAATTCACCCTTTACACTCTCTAAGCCACACTATTATATGTTTATGGAAATGAAAATTTTGATTAATTTATAATGATAGTGCTTCCATGGTTAGTAAATATAAAAACAGCCAGCCAGTCCTCATGTTGCTTAAATGCCTATCTGTATGGGTGTGTGTATTTCCAGGGGTGAAAACAGAGTCACAGGTGCCTGGTTGAGTGGAGGTTGGTAGCACTGCCATGATGGCTTCAACAGCCAGGTAGAAGTGCCAGGGGACAGTGTGAGGCAAATAACTCTTAAAACCTGCCCTGCCCATGCTATGATTTGTTGCTTTGCACTAGCTACATGTCACTCACTGTCTTATCTCCTTGGAAATGATAAAACCACCAATCTGAATATACCCTGGTAGGGGTAGTACAACTGCTCATCAAAAGAGGCTTTCTTTCTTGCAGTTTTGATGAGCAGCAGGTAAGATATGGACACCCAGGTTTCATTCACTGAGGTCCACGTACATGACAGTCTGCACTGAAAGCAGGTCAGGTGTAAGGGGCATCCCGGCTTCACAGGATTTAAAGCAAACAGATACACTCCCAGCTTTGGGAAGAGGGTTCAAGATTGAACAGACCCATCGACACTGTCCTGTGCTCACCCTTCTGAAGTGGTGCTCATTTGACCCTTTGCCTCTTGTGACCAGGGAAGAAGACATGTATTGAAATCACAGGATGGCTACTGAGGGTCACAAACCTTCTGGACTAATTTATACATCTGTGTTTTATTTAAAAAAATTTAAAATCTAAAACAAAGATCCTGAGATTTACTAATATTTGCTAGTTGGGTGGACATTAGCCCCACCTTGCTTGGTTTGAGTGTCAGATGCTGCGTGTGAAGCTCAAATTAGAAGGTATCCTCGTTTCTTGTGTTTTTGACCCTGTTCCATGGGCAAGGATTTGATAGAGGGCCCCTCTTGGGCAGGTTCACTTTCAGTCCAGTGGGATATAGTGAAGTTTCTGTTTGCATAGTTAAGTGGCTTTAACAAGATCAAGTTAGTTTTAACTAAATTAAAAATCTCGAAATGGACTTAAAAAAAACACCCTGGATTAAAAACACACCAATATTTAAAAAATACTGTTTTTCAACCATATCCACTTAAGAATGTATCTTTTGGCACATATATGTATTATTTTGAGAAGTGTCTGTTCATGTCCTTTGCCCACTTTTTAATTTTTTTTTTTCCTTGTAAATGTGTTTAAATTCCTTGTAGACTCTGGATATTAGACCTTTGTCAGATGGATAGATTGCAAAAACTATCTCCCATTCTGTAGATTGTCTGTTCACTCTGATGATAGTTTCTTTTGCTGTGCAGAAGCTCTTAAGTTTAAATATATATTCCATTTGTCGATATTTGCTTTTGTTGCAATTGCTTTTGCGTTTTCATTATGAAATTTTTGCCTGTTCCTATGTCCAGGATGGTATTGCCTAGGTTTTCTTCTAGGGTTTTTATAGTTTTGGGTTTTACATGTAAGTCTTTAATCTATCTTGAGTTAATTTTTGTATATGGTATAAGGAAGGTCCAGTTTCAATTTTCTGCAGATGGCTAGCCAGTTCTCCCAGCACCATTTATTAAATAGGGAATCCTTTTCCCATTGCTTGCTTTTGTCAGGTTTGTCAAACATCAGATGGTTGTAGGTGTGTAGTCTGATTTCTGAGTTCTCTATTCTGTTCCATTTGTCTTTATGTCTGCAGAGACGTGGAATCAATTTAAACATCCATCAATGACAGACTGAATAAAGAAAATGTGGCACATATACACCATGGAATACTATGCAGCCATAAAAAAGGAACGAGGTCATGTCCTTTCTAGGCACATGGATGGAGTTGCAAGCCACGATCTTCAGCAAACTAACGAAGCAAAAGGAAACCAAACGCTGCATGTTCTCACTTTTAAGTGGGAGCTGAATGATGAGAACACATGGCCACATTGGGAAGAACAACACACATTGTGGGGGGAGGGGCTGTCAGAGGGGGCTGAGGTGGGAGGAGGGAGAGCATCAGGGAGAATAGCTAATGGACCCTGGGCTTAATACCTAGGTGATGGGATGATCTGTGTAGCAAACCACTATGGCACACATTTACCTATGTAACAAATATGCAAATCCTGTACATACACCCCTGAACTTAAAATAGAAGTTGAAGGAAAAAAAAAATGCATATTTTGCGTATGTTCTACAGGATATCTTGCACAGGAAGAGTACATTAGTGCTCTTTCAAATTACCTATATATCTACAATTACATATATAAATATCAGAGATTTCAGCAAAAAAAAAAAATTAATGTTAAGAGTATGAAATCAAACAAGTTCAGAAGAGTACTGTTCCAGGTATACAATTGCATGGTATCTTGGTTTACCTTTTCCCTGCAGGGATAAATTCTATCATTAGGGGTGCTTTCCTGGGGTGCATGGGGATGCCTCCTTTCTTATCCCTGACTTCAGACTGTTCTCACCTTGCTTTTTTCACCACTGGCACACTGTTATAAGTGGGAGATAAAGGGTTCTGCCACCTCAACAGAATGAAGAATACCTCTTCTATGCAGGCCCCCTTTCTGCCATTAGATTACAGATTCTTTTTTTTTTTTTGAGACGGAGTCTTGCTCTGTTACCCAGGCTGGAGTGCAGTGGCGCGATCTTGGCTCACTGCAACCTCCGCCTCCCAGGTTCAAGCAATTCTCCTGCCTCAGCCTCCCAAGTAGCTGGGACTACAGGCGTGTGCCACCACACCCAGCTAATTTTTGTATTTTTTAGTAGAGATGGGGTTTCACTATGTTGGCCAGGCTGGTCTAGAACTCCTGACCTCGTGATATGCCCACCTTAGCCTCCCAAAGTGCTGGGATTACATGCGCGAGCCACCGCATCCTGCTAGATTATGGATTCTTAGAGAAGAAGGATACTAACTTTTTTGCATCTTAGAAAGCATGACATAGAGAAGATGTTTAATACATGTTTAATGCAATTGAATAGAGGGGGAAAGTTTGGTGAACTTGGAATCCAAAGTGCTGTGCTAGACGCTTGGAGAGGAAGAAATGCAATCTCACACAAAAACAGCTTACCAATACAATGGATTCTTTTTTTTTTTTTTTTTTTTGAGATGGAGTCTCGCTCTGTCGCCCAGGCTGGAGTACAGTGGCCCAATCTCCGCTCACTGCAAGCTCCGCCTCCCGGGTTCACACCAGTCTCCTGCCTCAGCCTCCCGAGTAGCTGGGACTACAGGCACCCGCCACCACGCACGCCCAGCTAATTTTTTGTATTTTTAGTAGAGACAGGGTTTCACCGTGTTAGCCAGGATGGTCTCAATCTCCTGACCTTGTGATCCGCCCGCCTTGGCCTCCCAAAGTGCTGGGATTACAGGAGTGAGCCACTGCGCCCGGCCTGGATTCTTCTTATAGCAAATGCTTAATCTGATGATGTATGCTAAATGTATCACTTAACCTTTTATTAGTAATTTCATTTTTTATCTAGTAAAATCCAGTTTGTTTAGAACAGATGCAGGGAACTGGGTATTATAGTTACCTCAACATGATGGTTAATGGGAAGGTAATAAAGGACTGTTGACCACTTTTTAAAATGTTAATAAAGTAGCATAAATTAATAACAAAACTATATTGTACACAATCTCTTTTATGAGTTAGAGAGTATTCCATCATCATGAACACCTGCCACCATGGTACACTGAAAATTTCTAGTTGGTACTTTCTGAATAGTTAGATTTTTGTACAAGATGAGATTACTAGTGCTAAGTCTAGATGCAGAATTTTAAATTAATGGGGAAAGGAACTAAATAACAGGAAAAAAAGGACAGGTAAAGGTACCATTAAGTGTATTTAGTGCTCGCAGTTTAAATTGTTGATGTTTTTCTTCAGAGAGGACAAAGCTGGATACTGGCCAACTGAGCTGAGCAGCTCCAAAGGGACACTTGTGACCTGGGGTGGTGCTTGGTGAAAAGGGTCCCAGCTAACTCACCCCAGGCACAGCTAGTGGTGTCCGCATCAACATGTTTCTAGTGGAGAGCCACTAATAGCAGCCCTCCAGAGTGACTTTATATATGTTTTTCTATCTGTGAGGTCTTAAGTAAGCTTGAGAATGACATGAATAGTAAAATCCAATTTCTTTTTTTCTTTTTCTTTTCTGAGACAGGGTCTCACTTTGTCCCCCAGGCTGGAGTGCAGTGGTGCAGTCTCGGTTCACTATGGCCTCAACCTCCCAGGTTCAAGCGATCCTCCTGTTGCAGTCCCACAAGTAGCTGGGACTACAGGCATGCACGACTGCAACTGGCTAAATTTTGTATAAAATGGGTTTCGCCATGTTACCCAGGCTGGTCTCGAACTCCTGAGCTCAAGCCATCTGCCCACCTCAGCCTCCCAAAGTGCTGGGATTACAAGCGTGAGCCACTGCGCCCAGCCTCAATTTCTTAATACTACAGCCCCTCAAACAATCAGCATACAAATCTCTACCCAGACATCTATGTACGAAAAGTATACAGACTTTGCTCTGTATATTTCTCTATTGTTTAGATCTTTTACCACAGAAATGCATTCATGTAGTACTTGTACCTAAAAAAAAAAAAAACAGTTAAAAATATGTTTCGTCTTCTTGGATGAGAGAACAAAAGAAAAATGTTCTGTGAAAGTTCTCAAAGAACCGGAACGTATCACCCACTATTGCCTGATTCAACCTGTCAAAGCTGCTCTCGATGGACACAAAAACAAAAAAGGTCAACCCATGAATCATGACATTTAGAGTAACAAAAAAGAACCCATCTTTCTTATTTTCTGGCACACAAAAATTCAACACCAAAATGTTATTAAATTGAGTTAGTATTATCAGTAAAAAATATGCTCTATTTCCCATTATTTATGAAGCCCTATCCTTTTCTTTCTTACCAATTACATTCCCTATCATTTCCAAAATATACAAACTGTTTTCAATCAACAGATTTCTTTATTACAGTGTGCAGCATGCTTGTTACTGCCTCTTTTCTATATTGAATCCTTGATTGGACAAGCATTTTGAATTTAACACGGACCATGATTGCACATATCAAACAAATTAAAGCTGCCAATCTCTTTTTGGAGACCATCCTTTATATACACTACCACTGAAGAGCACCCTAAGTGTATTTGCTTAGGAAAAATGGGGCAGGAGTGAAGAAATGATTGCTGTCAGAGTTTGCCATGTTATCTAGCTGCTCTTACAAACATGCACTCAGATATTGTTATCCTTTTAAAACATATTTTGTCACTCTGATGTCAAAACCATCCATGTAGCCTTTACAACATTAAGTATTCTTCATGTTAATCTTAAAATAAGGACTTGATAAACCCAAAAGGATAAAAAAGTAAAAAAGAGAGACCAGATAGTAGGGTTAGAATGCTGACTTGAAGTTCACTAATAAACTTGCTTTTGGATGACAGGGGTGGATGGTGGCAGTGGAATTTTTCCTGTTCCCCCTCTAGAAAATGAGAATGTACCTCAGGTACATTTACAGCAGTTGACTGTTGAGAAACTTGAAGAGACTTGCCATTAAGTGGCACTGGAAAAAAAACATGTTTTATTACTAGGCAGGGCTAGCATTCAAGAGTTAAAGTCTAATATGTAGAACCAAAATGTTTTCAAAAACTTGAAGAACGATGCATTTCTATGGTAAGGCAGAGTTGCTAGTTTTTCAAATGAAAACTCTGCAAAATAAACACTTTATAATAATGAATACTAGGATATTTTCTAAATCATTAAAACAAACTTCAGTTAGACATTACTAAATATAGGGCTTTTGTCATCTTACGAAGCTACTTAAAGATAGTTTCAGAAGCTTTCCACATTTGAATTGCCAATCAGAGGTGAAAATATTGGAGCAAGAGGACTTTTTGATACCTTTGTTTATTTTAAGAACCGAAGCAGGTTCTTAACACCAGGAGAGGGTTCCACAACTTTGAAAACTATGAAAAAAGCTGCAAAAACATACAAGTGAAAAAGAAAACTTTCCTGGAATCACTCTTCTTGCTCTTTTTAATCTAAGAGTTTGGCTAACTGCTCACCTTTTCCTTTCCTCAAAACCATGAAAGCAAAGGCTTTGTATATTTCTACAATATTTATATATCTGTGTATTTCTACAATACAGCTGAACTTTTACGAGCTCAGCCACAGAACCTGGCCTTCTAACTAGCCAAGAACTAAAAGATGGGAGGGAGTAATGGTGCTGAGGTCAGGCAGTTTTACTGGTTTTATCCATTCATTCATTTGTCAGCCACCATCAGACACACTGTTGGATTTAGTGCTTAGCAACACAAGGATGAAAAAGCAATTAGCCCTGGCTCCAAGGAACTCACATACAGTGGAAGAGAGATGCATAAGAAGAAACATATGTGAGAAAACATACAAGGAGCTATGTGAGGAAGTGTTTAACTCTATCTGGAGACCACAGAAGAAGCCAGATTTGGGCTGAGGGACCATGAGTAGAGACAGAAGAGTTTGAAGAAAATTCAGAAGTTTAACTTAGAAAAGAAAACATGCTGATCCTTCACTTACCAAGCCCACCTTGGTATCAGCATGTTACTGTTTTCCAACATCTGGTAGGCTTTTAGTTTGTTATACATAATTCTAGCACATACTGATTCTGCACACAGTGTACAACGGATACCAAAGTTTGACATCCAGTCAGATTGGTCAATGGGGGCATACACCCTCTACTGGGAATTTTAAGGTATCGAGCCCTTCCTTCCCTATAGTGATCTGATATAGGGGGATTTACAAGGTTAACTAGGTTCGTTTAATTGCTGCAGTCCATTCACCGATGTCCTTATTGATTTTTTAAACTATAGATATATGGTATAGATAGCTTACCAGCACAGGATTTAGCAGCAGAAAGGTTTCTTACCATCTTCATGGGAATCTCACTGAGACTCTCTATCTGCAATTGGTGAAATAGCAATAATGCCTCCCAGAATTAGCATCAGGAGTAAATTGAGACAAAATGCATAAAAAGGGCCTGTACTGTGTCCGGCACATAGTAGGTACTTGGCTGAGGACAGCTACAAATGTTATGCTCTTTTATTGATATATTAATTGCCTATGGAATTATGAGACTTGAACCATATGTTTTTCCCCATGGAATCTGTGAGGAACTACTCAGAATTACTCTAGGTGAATGTGACTGGTGTCAAGTGCCTTTCAAAATACGCAGTATTTATTAATATGGTCCATAACTTGAAATTACAGATTCCCTAATAACGTATTATAAAGAGCCTTAAGTATTTATTTGGTGTCAGCTACCTAATTTCAATACTTCTTGTGTGCTCTGCGCAAGGCAGTAAGCTAAATTAAGACATAAATGTCAGGATAACATTTTATACAATTCAAGATTTCTAGGATGTATATAAGAACATCAGAATTCATGTAGAGAATTCACTCTTTAGTTGTTTGTCATAAAAACATTTTTATTTGAACTCTAATAACTATAATTTACTTTGTAAACTTCCTGGTAAACTCAAATCTTTACATACAATCAACTTATTAAAAAGCATGAAGTGGCATATGACTATTTCCCTTCTGGGGGTAGAATTAATTATCATAAGACATTTATTAGCTGAAAGTCTGTGAATTGGTGGATCTTCAGTAGAATCTAGCTAGAAGGTGTGTCTGTATAGCTAATGGTGTTCAACTATTTTTCAAGAATTTTAATGCCTTTGGGTAGAGCTTGCATTCCCCAGCTTCCCACCAATCAGCACTTCCTGCTATCTGACACCCTGACATCTGATCCTTGATTGTGCCTGCATTAGATCATAATGCAGAACAAACTTGACTCAATTAGCACCTAGGGAAAAACTTAAGAGTAACGGCAGCACAAACTCCTTCAAATTTCACAACTTTTAGGTCATGAGGGTTTTAGTGATTTGAAAACAACTTCTACGCTGCCAAAACAGACTGGCAGGGAGTTATTAGTTTGGGGGAAAAATTAGGTATAACTTATTTCTAAGTGGTTAAAAATGGGATTTTGCTGACATAGTATATGTTGCCTTTTGTTTTTAAGGAATTTTTTAAAACATTCTATAGATGCCTTATATGATTACAAATAAGAGTTCTGTATTATTGTAGACTTACCATAATATATCAAATGAGTGGCATTTACTGGATTTCAACTATGTACATGTATCTTATTTAGTCTACATACTTACTCTTTAAAGGACAGGCATTACTAAAACATTACCAAGTTATTACTGATTCTGCAATATCTCTTTGAGAAATGCTGAAAAATGAGTTTTTGTCCCTATTTTAAGACTGGAAAACTCACAGCACAGTAATCTTCTGGAGACTTCATAGAAACTCTACAACAGGAACCCAGGTTTTCTGACCCCCAAACCTATGGGTTCTCTACCGGCTGTAACCCCTGAAAGAGGATTTTGACAAAGGTGAGACAAAGAGTCTTTTAAGACGATCACTTACAATCCTGTGCGACTGCTCTGAGCAAGAGTTGGGGCAAGATGGCTCTTTCTTCATCACGATGAATTGGAATCAGACATGCCATTGAGTTTCTTGGCATATTAATATGCTGATATTTTACTGAAGGTCATCTAGGTTCAGGTTTATTTTGTATATAATCTTTAGAACTGAATGCCTCCCACCTAAAACACTTCATAATAATGTTTGTTATTAATCAGGCCTTTCTATGTGTATGTTTTGGGGTCAGTTTTCAGTACAAAATGATTATTTTAAATATGCACAGATTCTACTATTCCTTAATAAAACCCACAGTTCAAAGAACTAAGATGACCCTGAAAGTTGTTATTACTATTATTTAATCTAAGAGGATATGTTGATTTTATGTCATTGAAGGGAGAGGAGAATAACTAAATTGGGACCATTCTTATATAGTAGTGAGATTTCATGGGGTTACCCATTATATATATTCAAAATTAAAACTATTAATAGCTTAGAAGGAAACTCTTGCAGACTTTTAAAATAATTATATCCATCTCACAAGTCATGTTGAAAGTTTTGAATAGATAACCAGCCCACATTAGTAACAAGTGCAAAGGCTGAGCAAACACGAACAGTCCTATGAATCTGCAGCATATTATATAAGGAGATGGAATAGTGAAGAGCATTGGAGTCCCGCAATCCTGAGTGGAAGGTCTGGATATGCCATTTACCAAGTAAGCTATTCAACCTCTCCAAGCCTTAGTTTCCTCTCTTCTAATAATAATTATAGTACCAACCTCAGAGTTTTAGTTTTTAAAGGTTAAACAAAATGTACGCAAAGTCCTTATCCTTACTGTGATGCCTAAAACATATAGTAAACACTCAATAAAATATTAGTTATGATTATCAGCTATTCATTCCACACCTATTTATAATAAAGATTTAAGCTGTTCTGTAATCAAAAGAAATTTGCCCAAGTTAATGCGATATCTGTTTAATGGTATTTATAATCATAATCATTATTGTGCTATATTGTAATTAGGCACAAATGGTAAACTGTTGGTATAATTTACTGTAATTAGTATACAGTCAAACTACTTTTTTTTACAGTTTTTCACTTCTTTGTTCTTGATCTAACATGTGATCAATATTACCAACTGTTTCTCCTCGTTTACCAGTTGTGTGATTTTGATCACATCACCTATCCTCTTTAACATTTCCTTTTCCTCTTTGTGAAATGGTAATAAGACCCATTTCACAGTTAAGATTAAACATAGTAAAGCATAAAAAGTAAATATAATATATATATAAAGATGCAGTAAAAACATAAAGATTACATAGAGAAATAGCAGAATGCCTGACACAGAACTGATCAATAAATGGCAGCTGTCAGCAGGTGGTAGCATTATAGTTTGTCATGACTAACATCACAATGCTCTTTCCCCTGTGGAACTTAATGGCCATATTCTCAAAAACTTTCAGGCTAGGAACAAGCTTCAGGCATGAAGGTGGTTAAGACTTTTTAGAGCAGTGGTATTCAACTGCTGCTGTATGCTGGGATGAAATTATACTGATGCCTGGGTCCATCTCAGAGAGTGAGCTTTAACTGGTCTGGGCAGATTTTTTTAAAAAAGCTCCTAAGTTAGGCTTTATTGGGCATTTGAAGTGGAGAATCTCTCTGTTGGAGGAATGGCTGAGCTCAGGTGAAACCCATTCTTGGTTCCAGAGACAGCCAAAGAATCTTAGTGAGTCTTGCTTACTTTGGGAGAAGAGGAAGTAGAAAGGAGGTCTTTTCTCCTGGGCACTCGAAGAGGAAATAAATCAGGTGTGCTTTTAGGGTTGACCTTAGGGACAACTTTGTGTATATGTGATTTTAAGAACAACGGGAAAGTACCCTGCTCCAAATATAACCCATCATCTACTTGCTAATATTTGGCACTATTTCCACATAAAACAGAGCAAGTTAAATCTGACAATACAAATAACCCTGGAAATAATAATATAAACACATCAAAAAAGAAATATTTTCAGTTTTTGAATGGTACAAACAGAAGGTTTCCCTTTATTTTAGAGATTGAGAAGGAGGCAAGGTAGCAGGAGAGCGCTAGACACCAAAGGGACGCCATCCAAGCAAGATGGTGAAAAAGAGCAGAAACTGACTGAGCAAACCAGACTAGTATCCCCGAGTTTACAGTTTTGTAGTGGGAGGCAAGAAAGGAGTTGTGCAGGAGTGCATCTTTATGGAAGCCCCAGTCACAAGGTCATGAAAGGAACAGCTAGCTGCAAATGTCTAACAAGTGCATCTCTAAAAGCATGATGCTATTACACTGGAAGTAGAAGTGTCCTCACTAAACATGCAGAACATTAAGGTCCTGTGCAGAAAAAATAAAAGCAATATATTGATAGAAAGAAAATTAAGCCTCTAACTCTGTGGTTCAACAGCAGAGCCAAAGTAAAAACAGTATTTCAGTATCTGAAAATAACTTTAGTTCTGCCTTGTTCATGGCTATTCTGGCATTACATACGTATCAAATTGTGCTGGTTAGGATACAACCTAGTGAATGTCCTCACTGATAAATACCTCAGATATGGTTCTCTAAGTTTGTCAGCCATCCTAGACACATACTTATGGACAAATAAAACATATTTTGGAGAGTCAAAATATTGTTACGATACAGCTGTTTTAAGTTTATTTAGTATTTCAGAACTCCTTTTCTGGAGGGTCATTGTATCCAACATCCTCCTATGAGTTGAGCTTTTTAAACATTTTGCCATTTTATCTAACATCCTCCTGTTTGTAATCCCCCCACTCCAAAAGAAAGATTATCTTATAAGGATCGATTTTTCAAATTTAGTAGCTTTCCATCGAATCTTTCTGATACTGTCAACACATGAAGGTTTCTTTTCCCAGTTGGTTCACTCGCCGTCAGCTCTTAGTGGGGGCTGGGTCCTCGAAGCCACTTCAATCTCCTCAGAGTGCCCACTAACACATATGGCCTACTAGGAAGAGGTGCGCAGCTCAGTGGATAACTTTCAACAGAGTATTAGGAATGTAGCTGTCCCTTAAGGGTCTGTATAAAACTTTTTATTTAGCATGAATGTAGAATTGATACAGGGTACTTTCTCATATGCTCAACTCTACTTCAATCTATTTATAGTGCATCAATTGTCTAACAACTATTGAAATATTTGAGGGTAGAGGTGCCACAGAGATGACAGACAGTCCTTAGATCAGGAGTTGGAAGCTGGCAACCTACCAGCTGAATCTAACCGGACACTGTGGACAGCACAGTGTTTCAAAAGTTTTTGAAACTGAATGCCTTTAGGGAAGGCATGGTGTGTTAAGCTAATCTTAAACTTTATCCCAAAAGACTTCAAAGAATTTTTAGCTCAGGGACTTTGTTTTTCAGCAAGATAATTCTGACAGCAGCGTGGAGGATAAATCAAAGGGGGGATGACTGCTTAGACACAGTGCGGCCCAGTAGAAATATAATAATATAATGTAAGCCATATATGCCATTCTGAGAACATTCAATGTTCTAGTAGCCACATTTTTAAAACCCCTAAAATAAAACAGGTAAATCTTAATGTTTCATTTAATCCAGTACATCTAAAATATTATCCTTTCAGCATGTAATCAGTGTATGAATATTAATGAGGTATATCTGATACTTATGACGCATCTCAATTTAAACTAGGCACGTTTCAAGTGTTCAATAGGCACACGTGGCTAGTGGCTACTGCAACAGACAGAGCAGGTCTAGAAGTAGAAAAACCAGTAAGACTTGTCTAGGAATCCTGTTGAGAGGACCACCTGAACTACGGTGGCAGCAAGTGAAAATGGTAGAAGGAGAGAGCCGCAGGATGTACTTAGAGGTAGAACCAGCTTACAGATCCTTTTTTTTTTTTTTTGAGATGGAGTCTTGCTCTGTCACCCAGGCTGGGGTGCAGTGGTGCGCTCTTGGCTCACTGCAACCTCCACATCCTGGGTTCAAGTGATTCTCATGCCTCAGCCTCCTGAGTAGCTGCGATTACAGGCGTGTACCACCATGCCCAGCCAATTTTTGTATTTTTAGCAGAGACGGGGTTTCACCATGTTAGCCAGGCTGGTCTTGAACTCCTGACCTCGTGATCCGCCCACTGTGGCCTCCCAAATTGCTGGGATTACAGGTGTGAGCCACCGTGCCTGGCCACAAATCTTGGACATGGACTGGATGTGGAGGGAATGGGAGAGAAGAGTCTATAGGATTGTTTCTGGCTTGGATGACAGGATAGGTATGGAGTGCCTGTGACTGGGAAAGGGAGGGTAAAAGAAACAGCTAGTGGGGAACAAGGAATACAATGACTTCACTTCTGGACATGTTGATTTTGACAGATGTTCATGGGACAGACATCTCAGTGGATCTATCTAGGAGATCAATAGGTATGCGAGTCCAAAAGTCAGTCTGAAAGAGGACTCGATCAGTCGAGTTAGACTTGGAGTCCTTGGTGTGTAGGGTACAGATGAGATCATCCATGGAGAATGCACACAGACAGAAGACAACAGAGGGGAAACTCGATAAACCAATGTTTTCAGTACGCTGCCCCCTGCCTCAATTATAAAAGTAACACACTGTCAGGAAAATGACTGCTGGCATCTCAGTGCATTTCCTGCCAGTCTTTTTCTAAACTGATGTTCATGAATATATGTGTGTGTGTGTTACTACAGGGGAGAGTATATTAACTACACGGAACTGAAACCTGCTTTTCTTAATACATACAATTCACTTTTACAGAACATGGATAATAATACACATTGTAATGGCTGTCCAATATTCTATGATACAAAGGACGTACAATTTTTCAAACTATATGAACATATAGATTAACATCTCAACATACATTGTGATCTGCACTTTTGATTATGTAAGAGGAAATCATTTTAAAAATGGAAAACAAATGGGGTGGAGAGGTCAATGGTAGATGGATTGGAAAGATTCCATTGGGTTTCGTAACTAGGAAGTCACTAAGGACCCTGCTGTGAGCAATAGAGCTGTTGAGTGAACTAAATGCTAGAGAAGTGAAGAGCCTATATACAGCTCTCTTACAAGAATCTTACAAAGGAGAAGTGGGAGCAGGGAAATATAAGATTAAAGAAAAGCTTTTGTTAAGTTTTAAAATAGTCAATGCTTAGTGTCTCTGGAATGACTGTGTCTGTTCCATTCTCGCAAAGATCACCTCAAGTCTCGCCTCCTCCACTCATTCTTTTCCCACTAACTCAAGCTCCATCTGATCTCTTCCTCTTAAAAATGGATTAGAAATTTTTACTCTTAACCTCCCAATATACAGCTGAGGCTAGAGGTTCTCAGTCGTGGGGTGAGACAGGAGAGCCTCCACAACAAAGAATCACCTAGCTCAAAATGTCAACAGTGCCAAGGTTGAGAAAATCTCCACTATATTTGGAATTCAAGCCACCTCTCTCCCACCAAGACGCAGGACTACCATGACTAAAATCTTCCAACTACTTTCCTCGCGTCTCCTCTTGTTCCCCTATGATGCAGCAGCCAGAGTGACCTTCAAGAACAGATCAGATCCTGCCATGCCCCTTCTCTGCTTAAAATCTTCAATGGCTTCCTAGTGTACATAGCTTGTCTACCCCCATTTCCTACAGGCAACAATTCTGAATTTGCTGTATCTCTTTTCTACCTGCATATTATACTTTTACTATATATTTGTATAAGCACAAACAACACATAGATACTATTTTAATGTTGTTTTTAAAATTTATATAAATCATTTTATATGTACTTCTCTATCTGTCACTTACTTACCTAGGAGACTATTATAGACAGTGCGGATATTCATCCATAAACATCACCTTGAGCGTGGTACATGGGGGTTGGGGGTGGTGTCTGTCTCTAGGGCATACACCTAGAAATGGAATTGCTGGGTCTTATGTTTGCACAGCTTCAACTTTACTAGATACTGCCACATTTCTTCTACCAACTTACTCCCATCAGCAAATGCAAGAGAGTTTCCATGTCCTCACCCAGTATTCCCCAGTTTTGGTTAACAAAGCAATACAAAAACTACAGCCAGTGTTCAAACATCAGACAATTCCACAGGACCATCTGTGTTTCTTCCTCTCCTTGAAAAATGAGAACATCTGGCAAAACAGAGCTCATGTTTTCTGTATGAAAACAGCATGTATAATTCATCATGGTCCTAAAGGCATTTGAGTTTGTGAACCCTGCACTAGGTGGCCATAACACACTACTAAAATCTTGAACCATTCCAGCCAACAGCCTTCTGTGTGGCATGCTGGTGTCCACAAGTCCTGAGGTCTGGGAGCTGGCAATACCCACAGGTGATGACTCATATGCAGGTCCTGTCTGTCCACCCCCATCCCAATCTGGTCTTTTCATCATCAGCTCTCTTCTTTATCCACAAACTCATCAGTACTATTAATTTTAGTTCATGGCTGCTACTTGCTTCTCTCCTCCTTCCATTCTTTTACTGCCTATTTTCTTAGTTTCATACTTTTTTTGGCCTTTTGTAGGTATGTAACAGGTATTCAAAAATATTGTTTAAGTTAGTTCAGGAGATAGTAGAGTCTTGAATTTTTATTAACTATTTATTAAGCAAAGGTAAAAGAGAATGAATGATTGCCAAAATTCTATTCTAGCGTTTTCTAAACTATGCCCTGCATCTACATAAATATGGAGAGAGCTGGCTTAAAACAAAATTAAACAAATTTCTATTGTAGGACACCTCTGAGCCTTAAATATGCTAATATACATTGAAAACAACAAAGGGGCGGGGGATATAGAATGTAGCATTTTCTAAACTTCTTTGGTCAGGGAGTCTTTGTTACCCCGGGAATACTAATGACACTAGAATTACATAGAACAGATTGGGAATGCTGCCCTTTTTAAATGGTCCTTCAACTTTCGGTTTTTCCCCTACACTAATCTATAAAGTCTATTTTGTTTCTAACAATGAAGTTACCTTCCTAGGGAATTTTGGGTTTTATATATATAAATATATATAAACATATAATATATATATAAATACATGTGTATATATAATTTGTTGATTTTTTTAAAGACAGGGTCTTGCTTTGTCACCCAGGCTACAGTACAGTGGCACGATCATAACTCACTACAATCTTCAACTCCTGAGCTCAAGTGATCCTCTTGCCTCTCAGCCTCCCAAGTAGCAAAGACTATAGATAGGCATGTGCCACCATGCTCAGCTAATTTTTTTTAAGAGGTGGGGTCTCACTATGCTGCCCAGACTGGTCTATAACTCCTGGCCTCAAATGACTCTTCTGCGTCAGCTGAAGGGAGGGTGGGCTGGGATTAAAGGCATGAGCCACCAGACTTGGCCTATATATTTTAAAGTTATTAAAAGTAATTCCTCCGATAGAGAAGAGAGGAGTTAGGTAGAATAACTGTCTTACTTTTTTCCCATTCAGGAATTTCAATAATAAAGCTTTAAAAAATGGTTTTAGGTGTCTCTTGTTATTGAAAACTACAATATAACAAACTGGTTGATGAAAGCCAACAAAAACAAATCTACACATCTCTGAACAAACCCTAGACTGCAACAGAAGATCAAAGTAAACATGTCTCCACCGTCACAACCAAAATCAAAGGCAACTCTGCAGCTGGATTCTCAAAGTAGCTGAAAGTTCTCATCAAGTCCATGTCAGTCTTATTCTCCGTGAGCACTGTACTAACCCACCCCATGTGTGATAAAGCTATGAACAATGGGGACTGCCTAATGCAAATTGTGTTCCTGAGTCACTGAAGGGGTTAAAGCCATTTCATGTCATTTAAAACCACACAGTGGAACAAATGGCCATATCCAACTGTCTTCTTCTTGAGGGCAGAAACTGTGTCTTAATCCTGCTCTGGGCTGGTGTGGTGGCTCACACCTGTAATCCCAACACATTAGGAGGCCAAGGTGAGAGGACTGCTTGAGCCCAGGAGTTTGAGGTCAGCCTGGGAAACATGGCAAGACCCAGTCTCTACAAAAAATAATTTAAAAGAATTAGCTGGTGGGGGTGGGCGGGTGGCAGTACACACCTGTGATCCCAGCTACTCAGGAGGCTGAGGCAGGAAGACTGCTAGAGCCCAGGAGATTGAAGCTGCAGTGAGCAGTGCTTGCGCCACTGCACTCCAGCCTAGGCAAACGAGTGAGACTGTCTCAAAAAAAAAGAGAAGAAAAAAAAAAAAACCAAAAACAAAGAGAAAAAAACCAAAAACAAACAAACAAAAAACAAACAAAAAGCAAATTCTGCTCTGGATCTCTGAGGGCTGCCCCACAGTGCCTGTCACACAGAAGACACAAAGGAAATGAAGTTGGTAGACTTCGCTGCTACAGAAAACCAAGGAAAAAAGAGCAAGCTCACAAATGTCCATGCTCCTATGAAACTGAAAGTCCTTTTATAGCCTTCTTGGGACTAGGGCTCAAGTAGCTGTGAACAAGTACTGTTAGATGAGCTGGTAATACTGTTATAACCTTCACCTGGGCCAGCCTGCCCTCTTAAAAAGAATAGCTCATTTAACCCCTGTGCTACAGGGGCTCAGTACTGGCACTTTCTCGATTTAAGGATGACAGCTAGTCCATGATTTACTGTGGTCCACTGACCAGTGAAGAATAAGACAATACCACCAAATGTGACAGGCTAAACTTCTTACAGATTTTACTTTGATGCTCACCATATTTACTACTAGTACAAATCAGGCTGAGAAACACCTACCATAAATCAGATATCTAACACTAACAAATTATGCACCCATTACAGATGACCTTTGGAGTTGCTCAAGGTACAGTCACAATCATGCATTAAAAAAGCTGCCTTTCACTGTAAAGTGTGAATGTATGAAATTAAATGAGGCTTGCAATGTAATCAGTGTGGTTGGCTGCTTTAATATATTCCATTTCAATTTCAAATCACCGTAAGCCAAGAGTGACGAATCTAATTTGATCAGTTGTTCACAAAAACACAGAAAAGCAAATGTGGATCTAGCAACACAGCCAGATTTTTAAAGGAATTAATATTTTCCACCACCACCAGAAGCCCTTAACATATTTTTTAAAAAATACTAATTAAAAACAAATCCAAACAAAATTCTTTTCTCACTAAAAATTCAACCCTCACACTCAAAAGTTCAAAAGAGACAATACTTAAAAGCATAAAAAGCATATTTAATTTTAAAAGCCAGTGACATATTTCAAATGTACCAAGAGAAAACTAAAACCAACAGGTCTTTACAGTGCACTTCCTGGAACTAATGTGGAAGGTTCTCCAGCACTGGTTATTAGTATCTAGCAAGAATTTGTATACAAACATATTTCTTTATCCCCATCCCTACTATAATTTGGGGCAACACAACTCACAAATGTACTCACTGTCATACTAGAGGTCTTTAGGACTCTAGCAGCTGCTTAGCAGAGCACACAAGAAACAACATGCTGATATGGGAATAAGACTGCATTATCCCAGTCACCTTTGAAAGTTGTGATGCTCTTCAGAATCTCCCTAATTAATATGTAATTTTTAAGGCTTTAGCATTTTCCTCTAGACCTCCGTACATAATTTCTAGAGAAAATACACAGAGTGCTTCCAGCAGGTGCACATTTGGTGGAGGGGGACCTTCCAAAAGCTCCCACAGTGGAAATACCACACTCCTTACCAAAGCCCTTCTTTCAAGATCTAGCCCCTGCCTATTTGTCCAACTTGATCTTCTGTTACTTTCCCTTCGTTGCCTGTCCTCCAGCCACACCTGCCTCCTAACTGTCCTAAGATGCTCCAGCTTCAGACTTTTTCCTCTGGTTGTTCCCCTGGTGTAGAACGTTCTGCTTCCAGAATTTCCTCCCTCTTGTCATTCAGGTCTCAGCTTAAACACCAGCTTCTTAGAAAGAACTTCCTATCCACTTCTATCAAACCACCCCATTTTATTGTCTCTGTAGGGGTTGTTACTATCTGAAATGATCTTGCTCTTTACTCTTCTGTAGAATGTGCCATGAGAACAGATACCTTGTTTATGCCTGATGCATGGTAAACAACAACAACAAAAAGCTAAAAACAAACTTATAACATAGAACAATAATAGACACCATAAAGAGGCACTAAAGTAACACAGATGTTTAACGATTTCTTTTTCAATAGCTAGGATGTCTGACACTGAGGAAGGGCGGGAGGGGCTAACATCTTTGGAGTCTGCTGGCCCTAAGTTTCAAATGCGTGTCTGCACTAGATAGAATTTACTGTCCTAGAAAATAAGTTTACCTGTTTTATATCTGTAAAATGGGGATAAGAGCATCCATTCAGCAGATTATTGTGAAGATTAGCATGACTACATGTAAAGAACAGTTCATCAGTAAAGGATTTGATGTTTATTTTATTCTTATTTACCTATCACTACCAACTACTGACATTCTCTTTAAAAATGGCAACCAAATAACAAAAATATGAATGAATCAGCACTCACTGTATCACCACATCACCCTGGAAACTAGGAGATTACAAATACAAATGGACAGAAATAAAAATGGTATGATTTCTAGAATTTTTTTTCCAACTTTTAAGTGATGGCTGATGTCTCTATCACTTCTAATTATAAAATACAACATATCTCATTTCTTTCTTGAGACAAAGATCCAAAGACAACAAACTACTAAAAAACTGCATTTATTAATTTATATTCAGTTAAACAAAGGCAAATATAACAAAGGGTACTTATTAATTTTATTCTCCAGAGATGCTTTAGCTGAGCCATGTCATAACAAAGACATCACATAGCAAGGCTTCTATCAGCACTGAACAAAAAAGTAGCTTTTTTTTTCCCTTCTGCTTTTTTCATTTGAGCAGTAAGGAACTATGCTGGCTTATTTATTGGGCAGTAAATGTATTCGAGACACTACCCTTTCAGGATAATGAAAACCTCAAAACAGGTCAAACACTTGAAGTGGTAAGTACTGATTGCATCATGGAGGTACATACTATGCAACCAGCCTTCTTTGTGCTACTAATTCTGCAGCTAACAGATTTGGGGAATTAGTTAAGAAGGGAAGGGCACTAGAGAAAATACTATTAACTGAGAAATACAAAAGGATGGCAGCAAAGAGAAGGTTATGGGAGTAAAATTACTAATTGAGGAAAAATAAGGGAAAACAGCAAAAATAGAGAAGGCAATTTATATGAGCTGGACTGGTCTGCACCTATAGTATCAGGGTGGACCCCATGTGAAGTTGCCACATTTTGTACACAAAAAAATGGTCTAATGTCAGCAATTTTATATGGTACAAACCAACACATTTACCAAAGCACTCAGGACTCCTCGTTACCACCTAATAAATGATACCCCCTAACTCGTGCATGAGTTTTGCATGCGAGTGGAAACTCTGAATGGCTTGTATTTGGAACCTTTACACAGCAGTGTCCAAAATGGTAACTGTTAGGGTGTCAGACTCCATTGTGGACAAGAAACTCTTCTATTTTAATAGATTCAAATCCCCACATTTCTTTTGATGGCTGTTAAGGTTTCAGAAGGCATTCTCAGTTTCCAGAGAAAGATTGGTATTAAAAATGTAATACAGGAGTTTAGAAGTGCTTAAATATTTTGAAGTCTGAATAAAGGCAAGATTCAAAGGGCATAATGGAAAAGAAAAGACATGAATTTACATAATAACTAATATTTTAAGATGTTCAAGAAGACCCTTATAGGGACACAGAAATACATTTTTAAAATAACAAGAAATGGGGATATTAAGGCACATAAATAAACCTGTCACTGCAGTGACAATGTACTGGTGAAGTGGGGCGGGAAGATGAAAAGGGGAAATATTCAGGTAAACACACCAGTATTTAAAAACAAATGGTGTGTTTGGATAGCTAATGTGATAATTTGAATTACAGCATGTGGTATTCTAAAAAAGAGTGCTGCAGAGTTGCCTGTGTGCTAGAAGGTGATGGTTAAGCTTGTTCCAGTATTATTTATAATAAAATATCCTCGTCTGCATTTGGTGGGGGGGGGGGGGGGTAGGGAGGTGTTTAAAGAAAGTGAGTATCTGTATAGTGATCAAACTGTTACTGAGCAAGAGCTTAAGCCTACTCCTAATCACCAGGATTTCTGTTAATTAATTGTAATCAGGATAAGGTAGTGAGGAAGGGGACAGCCAAAGTGCAGAGAGCAATGGGGGCGGGGGTGGGGTGGGGACCTGTTTTGGTGAAGATGAAGGGTTTAATTAATCACAGGGCAAAACAGAAGTTGACATTTACATCTCAATGCTGTCCCTGGTTATAAGCTGACCAAATGTAGATGAAGCCCACTGACAAACCATATTTCACCAATTTTAAGATAAATCTCCTCTCCTATGTTATAACATCTCTGAAATTGGAACATGTCTTAAGTTAATGTCATTTTGGATTTAATGATAAACGCTGATAGAGTTTAGCTAATGGTCATCTTTCTAAAAGTCACTCTGTTCCAACTTACACCAGCCAATCAATTATCAGAGAATGTTAAGTTTCCTACATGACTCTGTAACAGCTGCTAGTATCTTAGAAAATAAAAAACACCAGGGAAGGAGATGGTCTTAGTCATCTACATGTTTCTGATGCTTAAACACACCTCTAATTATGCCCTTTATCTGAACTAGGAATCTTGGGAGATAATATACATTAAGAACTTTAATACTGGGTCCCCTGACTTTGTTACAAAGAATGCTACCTGTGTATGATTCAAAATCTTTATGGAAGGCAATCTAAGCAGATACAGAAAATATTCAATATTTTAATATGTTGAACTACTGGTGGAACAGATGTTTGCCACTTGGGTAACTACAGAAAACCTAACAGAAATCTTTTGATGAACTTTATTGAAAAGAATAAGACTGTTAAATAAAGATACCATGCAATGAAGGAGGAAAAGAACTCTGGAGTCCTGTGTTGCCCAATAAGGTAGCCACTAGTCACATGTCACTATTTCCATTTAAATTAATTAAAACTAAGTAAAATGGAAAATTCAGTTCCTCAGTCGCACTAGCTACATTCAAGTGTTCAACAGCTACATGTGGGGCTAGAGGCTACAGCACTGGACAGCACAGATACAGAACACTTCTACCATTGCAAAGAGTTCCGGTGGACAGTGTTACTCTAGATGAACAATCTGAAGATGAGTTATAGCTCAGCTCCAACACGTAGCAGTTGCAAATCTGGATAAATTAATGGTGTCCACCAAAACTTGCTTTTCTCATTGGTAAAATGAATATGTAATTGTTATCCTACTCCCAGAGATGCTGTGAGGATAAGAGGACAAAGGACACGTGAAAGTGCTTTGAAAAGTATACAGTAGCTGGGCGTGGTGGCTCACACCTGTAATCCCAGCACTTTGGGAGGCCGAGGTGGGCGGATCACAAGGTCAGGAGTTGGAGACCAGCCTGGCCAACATGGTGATCCCCCGTCTCAACTAAAAATACAAAATTAGCTGGGTGTGGTGGCGTGTACCTGTAATCCCAGCTACTAGGGAGGCTGAGGCAGGAGAATCGCTTGAACCCGGGAGGTGGAGGTTGCAGTGAGCCGAGATCGCACCATTGCACTCCAGCTTAGGCAAAAGAGCGAGACTCTGTCTTAAAAAAAAAAAAGAAAAAAAAAGAGAAAAAAAGAAAAAGAAAAGAAAAATATACAGTGCCATAAACAGGTTAGCTAGTAAGTTATATTTTTATATGATTTACTTTAATAAACACACTTATGTCTGCTGGATTTTTTTTTTTTTTTTTTACTGTTTAAACCCCCAAGTTTCATGGCTTCTTTTTCTTTTTTTATTGGGAAGGGAGGGGGCTGGTTAAAAAAAGAGGAAAAAAAAAACATGCCTCAAGATATTTTTTAGCAAACAAATGCTTATAGTAACCACATGAATAACAGAAATGAGTGAAGTGGGCTGCAGTGAGGCTATGGCAAACTGGAGAACCCATATTCTGTCCAAACTGCTTAGCTGCTACTCAGCTTCAGTCAATTGTGGCCATTCAGGAATGTTGACCTACTGTAGCCACATATTGATTTTATTTAAAAATGCCAGAAATTTGGCTCTTTATAGGAACTCCCCACACTAAAAAATATTAGCAACCATTTAGAAATTTGAGGTGTTCTTCAGGCAAATTAAACACATTTAAAGGTCATGCGCAGTTTGTGGCTGCTACTATGCGACCTCTGGTTTCTAAGACGCTATGGCAGCTATACTTCTTCCCATGTGGTCCCATGTCTTAGGACACTTACAAATAAATGCACACAATTTACTGCTCATTTCATGTGAAATATAAATAAGAGTCACAGTATTACTTATTTTATATAAATTACCATTCTCCAGTATTAAGAAATTATTTCTATGATTACTAAAATATTGAAAAGGAAAAAAAGGCAAGAAAATGATATTATTCCTTCTTGCATGATTTTATATGCAAGTTTTACTGTAATTAAAGTTTTTTTATTGCTACTCCATTGGAAAATCACTGAAAATATGGGGGAGAACTATAGTATCTTATATAAAAGCCAAAGTCTTCTACTGATGAATGAGTTAGAAATGTTTTTTAAAATTCTAATTTGAAAAGCTTAATGTCAGAAAGCAAAGCAAATCTTTTAATTCTCCCAGTAATTTAAATGCTATAAACTCAAAAACACATTCAATTTAAAAGGTTTCTATTATATTGAAGCATACACAATTTTTTATTCCAAGTATACTTAACTGTATTTTATTTTTATCACATGCCCACCCAAAGGAATCAGCAGTTGCAGCCTTTTTATTCAGTTGATAATTCAAATATTATTTCTAATACAAATATATGGTTTATCACGCTTATTTATCACTAACTTGCTACACTTCATAATCGCATTACAACCCCACTGTGTACTGAATACCACTTACAGTTCAAACTACTCAAGATAAGCACTGCTACTTTCAAGAGAAGATTGGCAGTAATTAAAGGTCTTATTTAGTAGTTGTTGGTAACCACCTTTTTAAGGAGGAAAAAAAAAAACAGAAAGTAGCATAGATATATTTAATTTAGTAATTGTATTTTATTAATGAGGTCTATTTTGGACATATACTTTAACTGGGGTTAAAACAAAGATGTGCTAAACTGTTATCAACGCTATAAAACAGAATGAGATGGAAGTGTTTTGTAATTCATCAGTCGGAAGAATTGAAACATCTGTGACCTACATGGCATAAAACTAAACCATACTAGAACACTAATAATAATAATAAAAACAACAATAGTACTTTGCACTTATAGACCTCCTTTCAGAGGAATTTCAGAGTGCTTTTTAAACACATGTTATTTTCCCTTTTTCGAACAAATAAAACAACTAAATCAAAGAGTAATAATGGTTTGCCCATGCCACAAAGTGAGTCAGCGACAAACCAGGAATAGATTTTCTAACTCGCTCAGTCTCCCACAATGATATCGTGCAATGATTACTCTGTTAGAGTATATCTTGCAGGTTACACTCAAGACAGGTATCTCCAGATTTCTTGTGGGCTATTTTTCTCCCCCAGCCCCAGCCTATTAGTAGTATTGTTTACAAACCTACATTGCCATTAATACGTGTGCCTGCATGCTGCTCAACTGAAAGTCACATGGGTGATAAGAGAAAACCAGTCTGAAAGTCTCTTAGCGGTTCTTCACCTTCCCACCTTCACGAGAGCTTTCTGGAGTTGGCCTCCAGACATTTCAAGATATATTAAAGGCTAGCCAACCAAATAACACATCTGGAGCAGAGAGCTAAAACTGTGAATCACTAGAAAAATCTGCAGGTGGCTGGATGCGGTGGCTCCTGCCTGTAATCCCAACACTTTGGGAGGCCAAGGCAGGCGGATCTCTTCAGTTCAGGAGTTGCAGACCAACTTGAGCAACATGGCAAAACCTTGTCTCTAAAAAAAAAATACAAAAAATTAGCCAGGCATGGTGGCACATGCCTGTAGTCACAGCTACTTGGGAGGCTTAAGTGGGAGGGTCACCTGAACCTGGGGAGTCAAGGCTGCAGTGAGCCGTGATTGCGCCAATGCACTCTAGCCTGGGCAACAGAGTGAGACTCTGTCTCAAAAAAAAAAAAAAAAAAAAAAAAAAAAAAAAAAAAAAAGAATCTGCAGGGAAAACAACCAGCTGCTATCAAATGTATATAAATTCTGGAGGGCAAGGAGTGTGCCTGGGTTGAGACAGTCCTCATTTGAAGTATGATTTTAGACTTTCAAACTTAATCCCACTAATATGACTGAGCATCAGTTTGATTTATATAACCTAAAGGTTTAAACAAAGAAATTTCTAGGCTGGAATTTATGTAATCTTCTGGAGATACATGATATCACAGCCCAACTCTATTAGTAATTGTCAGAAAGTAGACAGATTAAGGTGGGAAATTAAGTCCATGTGGAATGAGGAGATGGTATGGGCTAAATGTTTGATGAATGTATACATACATGGATAGAAAATTTTTTATGACACAGTTGAAGGACATAATAGGAAATAAATAGCAGAGAAAAGAGGATGGAGTCAGAAAGTGCTCTATTACAGAAAACATTAATTTAACATACCATTTATTAGGCTCCTATCATGAGCAAGTTGCCATCAGACATAAAATAATGTATCAAGCATGATCCCTGTCCTCAAATAATTATAATGTAAGAGGGACAGTGCTTAAGAACTACAGGAGTTTAGAGGACAAAGAGATCACTTATGGCTGGGAGGCCTTAAAGTATGAATAGAATATGAACAGAGACTGGGTTGAGGTTGGCTAACCCAGGCAGGGAAACCACACCAGCCAAAGGATGTGGCCATAGTGGAGTCAAGGCCTGCTCAGGGACTGGTGAAGAAGGGTCTAATTTGTGGGTACCAACAAGGTGCAGTCCTAATCCTTCTAGGCAAAAAGGGGTGATCTGAGACTATTTTATAACTCCAGCTATAGCCAGTCAAGCTATTTCTCCTGCCTGGACACCCCAGGTAAGATGAGCACCCCAAGAGATGAGCACCCCAAGAGATGAGCACAGGACACAGGAATATCCTCCTAAACCCTCTACTACTACCATCCTGTTCCAGACCGCTTGGAGGACGTGCAAAATTATAAAGTTGCGGAAGGCTGCTCTACCCAGGATCCAGTCAGCTGAGTGTCAAGGTAAGTAGAAGAGGACAGGAGGTGGGAATGGTCTCAGAAATCCAAACCACAGAAGCTCCTAAGTACCACGTTTGGGTTAGCCTCCACCTTAATATCTCCCCAGTTACCTATCCAGTCTCCTTGAAAGATCCCCCATCCTCCCCAGCAGCCCTATTCCTTCATTCATGACGCAAGTTAATGGGGGAAAATAATGTGCTTTATAGCCAATTTTGTTGAAATGCATTTATTTCATCTTCAGTTTGCTCATTACCAGAAAACAGTTCCTTCTTGCTTACTTTTCCCTAGCCTATTTTTCTTCACTTTATCTTTGATGCTACATTAGCGTATACAGCACCATAAATGCTTCCTTTATCTAGGAAATAATTCTTGTGTTTGACTTCATTTTCCTTTCTACTGTCTGTTTAAATTGTTATCTAGATGCCACCCAGTCTCCCTTTCTATATCAAAGTCAAACTTAATGCATATTTGACAAGAAGCAATATTAAAGTTTGAAGAGTTTCACTAACTCAGAGATTCCCAACACTGTGGGTGTGCATCAGAATCACCTGCGGAGATTTTTAAATACACTGCCGCCTGGGTCCCACCCCAGACCTACTCAATCAGAAATCTGGCTTGCAGATTATTCGTGTTTCAACTTCTTCCATTAAGTATGGAAGACTGAGAACTAAAGTTTTCTTTTTAATACACTTCTGACATGATGCTATTTCAATAGATAAGAAAACTAAAACACAGTTATCAAGATATATTTTAAGCTCCTTGAGAACAGGGACCATGCTTTTTTCATACTGTAACCATTTGGTAAAAATGAATCGAGCATTTGCTACATGTTTGGTGTTGTGCTAGATGCTGAGGATACAAATCTGAACAAAACATGGTCAATGACAGGCTGCAGAAACCAACTCAAATACAGTTGTAACACTAAGTACTATAATAGATAGTCGTTTAGACAAAGTATTCTCAGAAGTAATAAAACCAACTGACATTTACTGCATGCTTACTATGTGCCAGGCACTGTCCTAAGCATTTTACGTATTGCCTGTTTAATGTCCCAGACGTTTTACATATTAGCCTATTTCCATGTCATCCTGCTGAATTTAGAACCCTTTGAGGTAGGTGCTATTTTTTTCCTGTTTTATAGATGTACTTCAAGGTTACTTATCTAGTAAGGGGTGGAAAGTCAAAATTTGCACCTGGCACTCTCACTCCAGAGACTGAGTTTTTAATCACTACCCTATATTGCTTTTGAGAAACCCAGGCCAATGCCCTTGGTGTTCAACAAATGCTAGCAGAAGGAAGGAACAAAACAACAAACATTTTACAGAGCATTCACATGGTATGCCTGAAGCTCCTCCTTCCTAAAACTCCTGAACACAACAAACTAGAACCGTTGAATGTTTGTATGATTCCTTAGAGCCTAGGCAAAGACAAATATTATCTTTCCCTTTACTTCAGTAATGAGATCAGAAGCTAGGTTTTCATAGCTAACCCTTAAATCGATCCCTTCATTTCTATTCCTCTAGTTCGTGAGAGCTTACATCATTTGAGCCAAACTAAAAATGGCATTTTGAGGACACTGCTTCCAGGAATTCCCACATGCCTGTAGCATGTTACAGTGACACTCTGCTGCAATGAAAAAGATATTTCCTTAGAATTAGGCGAGAAAGGCAAATCTAAAGAGATGATATTTCAGGTTGAAAGAAGGAAAAAAGTTTCCTGATTCAGAGTTAAAGGCTGCTGCCAACAGCTTGTTTTGTTTCCAAAGATCAACACACAAAAGTTTCACAGAGCTGGAGGGAAAAGATTTGGATGCTAAGTTAGACAGGGGGTGGGGGGGCATAATTCTCATCATTCCTTTGGGAGCAGTACAAAAATAACAAAACCTTTATAAAAGAGATGAGCAAGCTGGCTGTGAAAGGAATGACCCCTCACATATAGGGAAAGCAATTTGCATCTACAGATCTCATTGGTATAAATGACCTCCTTCAAAGAGTGAAAACCTCAATGGAAAGCCACTATATACCCATGAAAAGCTTTGCCGCTTATTTGTTGAGCTGTATACAGACTAACAAACAGGAGTGGTTAACCTGGCGCACCATGCACTATAGAGATATTTTTTTTAAGTAGGCTTAGTCAGCTAATCTTGTTGAGATTTCTCTCATACTACTGATTTCTTATTCTCAAAATAAATTAAGAGGCTTCATTCAAAATTCCCTGTGGTCTACCAGCTTGAGTTTGTTGGGTGTCTTTGATTGTCTCTTGTCTTTAGATTCCCTGCCTTGCCTCTTTAGATTTTGCTGTGCCCTTTGGTATTTCCCGTTAGTCCATGTCTGGAATAGCTAATTACATGGTAGGGTAATTCCTGCCGTACAACAAGGAATAGCAGAACCTTGCTAATTCACACCAATGACTGAAAGACTCCTGTGTAAGTTACTGAATTATGCAAATGAGCAATAAGTGAAGAAAGATGATTCAAAATTGTATTTCATTCATTTATTTTGACAAGTGTAGTTTAGTCTTAATTATTTTGAAAATTTCTTTGTAGCATACTGATAAATTTACTGCGGCTTATTTGTTAAAAGTGATAAAGCCTTCACTAACAGAGACCAGAGTGCACTCTGTTGAATAATTTCCCAAGACAGACTACTGTTCAGACGCTTTCTTTTACTGTGGATTTTACTGACTTTTCAGCATCGACTTTTTTTGGTAAGGCAATATATAATATACCAGTAAACTTGAAGAATTAGTTCAGCAGTAAACATTTACTTCATAAACAGGTCTTACATGTTTAAACTTTCACCATGGTGTTAGTGAAAAAACAAAACACAACAAAAAATCAGCCATGCTTTAAGTAAAACATTTTTACATTTTTTTCGTCATAATGCTAACAGGACTTTAATTTTTATTGTCTAAATAAAACTAGTTTGGTCTGTCAGTCATCCCATTTAATTCCAATTTCTATTTTGTTTTGTCTTACCACACTCCTTTTCTTTATAGTTAAAGACGTCTGTTTTAAGATAAGTGGATATATCACAGTATGTAAATTTTCATGTCAAAATACTTACATTATTATATTCTGAGTTAAATTATTTAAGATAGAAAAACATTTTGATACACTTTTGACAGATGTATCCTGTAGGATGGATCAATTTCTTTCAAAGCACCACCACTGGTTACAGTGGAGAGTGGAGAGTGGAGAGTGAAGAGAGAATACTCTTCAAGGACAGCGGGCCCAGTGGCTCACGCCTGTAATCCCAGCACTTTGGGAGGCTAAGGCGGGTGGATTGCTGGAGTCCAGGAGTTTGAGGCCAGCCTGGGCAACATGGTGAAACCCCATCTCTACAAAAAAATACAAAAATTAGCTGGGCGTGGTGGCACGCACCTGCAGTCTCAGCTACTAGGGGCGGGGGACTGGGATGGGAGGATCACTTGAGCCCAGGAGGTCGAGGCTGCAGTGAGCAGAGATCGTGCCACTGAACTCCAGCCTAGGTGACAGAGCGAGACCCTATCTCAAAAAATAATGCCCTTCAAGCTTATAGTCCTGAGTTTAAAGCTTTGCTTCTTAATAAGCACTTTTAGACGAAATTTTCAATTCAGATATGCTTTCAAATCATGATGCATTTGTCAAAGGAAGTTCTCCCTTTATAAAAGCAAGATAAATAGGGCACTTAAAGAAAAGTGAGAAAGGCAAAACTTCGTCTCAAACTACATGTCTGCATCTGTGCCTATTAAAATCTCACATACTCTTTAAGGCCCAACTCAGGAAATCTCCACCAGGAAACCTTCCCTGAGGTATATGCTGAGATCCCTCAGCAATTCATACCATTCCCTTGTATTTGAGTTACTTGTCTTCAGGCTGAAGTTTCCCTAATAGATTAAGAACAGGGCAGCTGAGATATGGCAGAAAGAAAAGCCGGGCTCTTAACACTTCTAAGCTTTGCTACTTTGGGAGAGTCATTTCATCCTTTTGGGGTTGTTTCTCATCTCAGAAGTGTCAACTACATATCCGTATACAATGGAATTGTCTGGAAAATGTAAAAGATAATGGCTGTGAATGTTCTCCACAAAAGTAGAGTCCTATAAAAAGGAGGTATTTAGAGGTGAATGCATGAATAAGCAATTGGTCAGAAGTATTGGTACTTCTAGAAGCAATATCATATAGGACAGAGACCCAATACATATTTGCTGAATAAACTGGGCAAGGGTTCAGGGCACGAAGAGGGGACAGAGAGTAACAGACTTACACACAGACCTGCTTTTTTGACCCTATTTGAAATTACAATAATTTCTTAGAACAAGAAAAGCACATCAGTGTCTAAAATTAGCCAGCAAATCTATCTTTCTACGAACTAGTTTAAGCCTTAAGCTCTAGGGGATGGTGCTAGGGCTTGCAGGGCTCACAGGCCAAGGAGAGAAGGGTTTCCCAGGGCCTTTATACAGGGAGAATGTAATCAGTGTTGATTTAACTCAATGATGGGCTACTAAGTCTGTCTAGTTACTGTCCTGTTAGCCACAAGGTAAGAGAATGCAGATGGATCTAAATAAATTCATGACAACTACAGGAAGAACTAGTTTAAGAATGAGTCAAATTGATGATGGGTTTTCTTTGTATATGAAGGGTAGCATTATATGAACCAGATAGTACAGCATAAAATAATAAATGGCACTGATTAATAATGTGAAAATCAACATCAGTTCTTGGCCTGGGCCTACAGGGTTACTGGAGACATCACAAGGACATAATTAGACTTCAAAAGTTACGGTTGATTCCCTTAGATAATTATGAAAAATTTATCAAGAATTATAGGATAATGACATATGCCAATTCACATGCAAAGCAAGAAAGCAAAGCAAAACAAAACACAACAATGTCAGTTTAAATGTCAGCTTCAAAATGAAATTTGTATTATAATTGAAAAGATGAGGATTAAGTGAACACTTTGCTTTTAACCATTAAGGGCTATTCTGGCATGGTACAAGCACTAGTAAAAAAAAATAAAAATAAAAAATACCAACCACCAAAACAAAAACAAAAGATTAAGAGGAAACGTGAGAGGCAGTGCTGTCTCATAGAGGGAGCATAAACACTTCTGAAACCATGAGAAGAAATGTTATCACAATAGAGTTAAGGCAAATAAGAAATGATTAAGACATTAAATTCTGGGCTAAGTAAATGAGAAAAGATTCCCAAGAGGAAAAAAATATGCAATTTTAAAATAACCCCTAACTACTAGAGAAAAATAGCAGAGTCAGACTAAATCTGTTTAAATCCCAAACATCTCTGAGACCATGAAACAATTCTGGATAAATATAAATCCTATAATTTGCCTGAAGCAAATGGGACTGGCATTTTCACACCGTTCACTGACTTTTTAAAAAAATTCACACTTATTGGAAATTTCAGCTAGTATAAAAAAGTCACAAATTCAATAACTGGTAATACCACAATGAGTGTTTCGTTAGAAAGTTTTAAGAAAAAAACGAATATCTGATCTCCTGAGCTGAACCTTTTAATGTTTAAGGCTACATTTTTAAAAGAAATAACTCATACATTTTAAGTGGCTGTTTCAATACATTTCTAGTGAGAAGCACTAATTTTGGGGAGGAAATTAGTATACCTGTATCTAACCCCAAGTGCTTGATTTAGGTCATGTTGTAATAGATTATACAGATATTACCCAAATACTGATAATATTAATTCCTGAAACTCATAGTACATTCCATCATGATACTTAAAGGATCTACTCACTTCTCTGCCATGAGTATTACAAGCCCTTTCCTCCTAATTGATGTGCAATTAATTCAACCAACGTCCAATTAGTCTTCTACAACATTACCCTACTTAGACAATAAAGCAGAGCCTCTAGATTGGGTTCTAAACCTGGGCTAAAATAGGCTCCTACAGACCAAAAACGGTTCTGGGATTTCTCTTTGTAGTGTAATTTAGATGTCATATCTAATTTGCTGTCATGACTATTGTTTCACTGTGCAATTTTTATGTCGTTTTGAATGGTAAAGGCATCATAGCTTTATTGAATTAAACCTTTTGTCTTTATTTAGGGTCTGATGTTACATGTTTGTGCGCTTATGTTTATGTCTCAAAAGCTGCTTTTGACATCAAGTAGTAGAAAGGAGTATGCTCTCTTGATACGTTTGCTCATATCTTAGTAAATATAAACACAAACTGGAAAAACACCTTCTCCAAACTGAAGAAACAGAAAACTGAATATCATTATTGCTTTTAAAGGCAGAGATAGCTATTAAATAAGCCATTCACATTACAGAATTATAGAAGACCTTGCTGTTGTGTAACCTAAATGCCTTGTTGATTCTATTAATCAATTCCTTCCTAAGAAAGAACTGCCCTTTCCATTGACAGTTTTTGTGGTACCTACCTCAAACATTTAGATATTATTCTTACCACACTCCATAGTCACAAAAAAATTAAAATGCTCTCTGACTTTTTAAATCACAAGGGACAAAGTCTATCTTACCCATACCACAATACTCAGTTTAGTGTTGGTCTGTTGGCACTTATCCTTGTCCTGGCCTATGAGTTCCAGCTCTAAACTAAAGTTATGACTAAGAAGACTAACCATGGAAAGCCTTCCACTAGACCACTGGAATAGCCTTTTAACTAACTTTTAGTGCATGAAATTTCATAAAGTTTTTACTAGATAATTACACTTCCTGATTTTGTAATTAGTGGAAGTACATGCAATTACATAATAATTATGATAGTAATTACGTAATTAAGATGTATAATTATGTAGTAAAAAACATCATGGAAATAAAACCATCTACTGTGTAAGCACAATACATTTTAAAAGTAAATTCACTAGCTCAACTGTTTAAAAATACTTTTCTTCAAAATAAAGTGATTAGCTCACATTATGGCTTAACTGCTTGCGAATTGTTTCATTTTTTTCATCATTGGTGATAGAAGCATATTTTTAAGAAGTACATAAAAAAACTTATCAATCTTTAGTATTTTTCCTACTAAAAAATGACAATATGCTTTGCAAATGCAGACCATCAACCACATTATCACCTAGACATGGCAGAGCCCTTGTGTTGCTGTACCTGTCACTATAAAAGGGGAAAGGAACTTGCCCACTAAAAAGACATAATGCGAAATGATTTTATAGAACGAGTAACACATCTGTTATCATAGAAAGCCTCTAAGTCTCTTTGTACATAAAAGTGCAAACGTTGAGTGCATATTTACAGAAATGGGCTTAAAGACACATAATTAGAATCTGGAAGCTGGCTGCTCCAAAATATGGCAACTTTCATATACTAACTTAGCTATCTTGAAGAAGATGGCAGAAAATGTACAGAGCCAAGACACTTCTACTTATGGGGAAAGCAACTAAAGTGACCATTTCTTGGAAAATGTAGTTTCTCTTCTGTCACATTGTAAAGTTATCTCAAGTTAAAACAAAAACAAAACAGGCAGTATCCATAGAGAAAAATAAACCAGTGTTAGCAGGCTGCATGCTGCCATCAGACAATACCAACTTTCTCGTTCTTGTAGTGAGTATAAAAACATCACAGAAAAGTCAGTGACAGTAGGAAAAAGAAAATTTCAAAATAAACTTTTCAGTAGCAAAATTTAAGAAATAGAATCTTGTTTCCATTAAAAGAATCTAGTTGAATGCCTTGAAATCTTTATAAAATACTACTAAATCAATGTTGTAATGAGGTCCAGAATGTAGTGATAGGGTGAAACTTTACTCTGGGCACATAGAGAGTGGCCCTTACACGAAGTGGGTGTAGAACTACACTCCAGTTCTTTTTTTATTGAGATGGAGTCTCACTCTGTGGCCCAGGCTGGAGTGCTATGGTGCGATCTCGGCTCACTGCAACCTCCACCTCCAGGGTTCAAGCGATTCTCCTGCCTCAGCCTCCCAAGTAGCTGGGATTACAGGCACGTGCCACCATGCCTGGCTAATTTTTTTACTTTTAATAGAGACGGAGGTTTCACCATGTTGATCAGGCTGGTCTCAAACTCCTGGCCTCAGGTGATCCACCTGCCAAAGTGCTCCCAAAGTGCTGGGATTACAGGCGTGAGCCACTGTGCCCGGCCTTAGTTCTTTCTTTTATAAGCCACTAATCTTAAAAAGCTGAAAGCTATTTTGAAAATCCTAATTTACTTCTCCCTTGTTCCTTCTAGTTACGAAGAAACAAAGTGGAAGAACTCATGCTTTTTGGCTTTTTTCCCCTCTCTTAGCCCTTGTCAGACCACTGCATTTTTAGCTTAATAAAAACATATTTCAAAAGGCCAGGTTGTGATATGAATTCTACCTTAAAACTTGGGTAGTCCTTCTGTAGCCTGCATAGTTGTTGTTTTAAAGTTTTACCAAAAGGACGGCCCTAATCAATGAATGAATAAAATAGAAGTAGGCTTTAGTTATTAAGGGAGAGTGTCTTAGATCAGTGCTTCTGAAACTTTAACACGCGGAGGAATCACCTGAGGATCTTGTTAAAATGCAGATGCTGATGCAGTAGGTCAGGGGTGGGTCTGATATTGTGCATTTCTAACAAGCTTCCACGTGATGCCTATGCTGCTGGGTTACTGATCACACTTGGAGTAACAAGGCCTTAGGTTTGACTTGGAAAAAAATACACGGAGAAAAAAAGCTGGTTTGGGTTCATTTCTATGTTATTTTTTCCCTCAATTGTGAAATTATTTGGGTAATTACTTCAAGTTGAGTAACATTCTCTATAACATTTTAGTGCTTATAATTTTTTTCATGTTATGAGAGCAGTACATGCTCAGAGTACATAATGTAGAAAATATATAAAATTATAAAGAAAAAGAAAAGCTATAATCCACCTAGAGATAACTATAACAAATTCTAGTGTTCCTTACTAATTTTTCTACCTTGCATATACACCACAAATTAGAATCATAAGTTATCTAGTTTTGTATTTTATCATTATATATGTCATTAAAGATTAAACCTATGTAATATCTAACAATAACAACCCCCAGAGGCTCAAGATTATATAAACCACTTTTTTCTTACCAAAATTCTTTACGTATTTCTACAATCACTTCTTTATAATAAACAGACAGCTATGTTCTGAACTGTCAAGTCAGAGCTTCCTACCATAAAAATTCCCTTAATCAAAGAAACAATTTTTAAAAACCCTCAGATCATTTTTTTATTTGTAAGAAAATGAAATTAAAAATGCAGTTTACAGTTACCCATCTTAAAATCTATTTTTCTAAAGAAAATTGCACAAATATAAAAAATATAATTTTAAGAAGAATGAATAGATGCGAACTGTTTTGTGTGTGCTTTACCTGTTATTACTTATTAAAAACAGAAAAAGCTTGCCCTCAAAATTCAGCAACAGTTTTTCGATGGAATAACACAACCAGGCCGGGCACGGTGGCTCACGCCTGTAATCCCAGCACTTTGGGAGGCCGAGGCGGGTGGATCACAAGGTCAGGAGATCAAGACCATCCTGACTAACGCGGTGAAACCCCATCTCTACTAAAAACACAAAAAATTAGCCGGGCGTGGTGGCAGATGCCTGTAGTCCCAGCTACTCGGGAGGCTGAGGCAGGAGAATGGCGTGAACCCAGGAGGCAGAGCTTGTAGTGAGCCAAGATCACACCACTGCACTCTAGCCTGGGCGACAGAGTGAGACTCCGTCTCAAAAAAAAACCAAAAAACAGAACACAACCAGTGGGCTTCAAAAAGTGGCAATAAGAAGAAAAGGACCAGACAGGTGCTCTCTGACACAGTCTTCTTTTTAATATTTTGTTAAGGATTTAACCAAGTAAATTCTAAGGATGTCAACTAGCTTAGAGAGGACCACAGGGGCTCTTTGCTACTTTCATGATGAAACTTTCCTGCTTTCACTTTAACAGTTCAGGAAATATAGCGGAAATCCTTAACACTGAAATGGGACCCATCTTGAGACTTTCCAAAATCTCCACATTCCCATATACACTAAAGCATATAATTTCTTCTATAAAACTCTTATTTTCTGGCTTAAAAAATACTACCTTTTAAGACCCTTTTCAGTACTAGCTGTTGTCTTTGTTTTGGAGACCATTTTCCACAAAGTAATATAACTATTAGCACTTCATGAGTGTAACTACTTAGCTGATGGGGAACACAGAACAGGACCCCGTGGCAGTGTGGGTGAGGAGCAGTAGGCTTGGCTTGCTCATTAGTTAAGTGACTGGATATTCTTTCAGTTCAATTTAAATCTGGCATCAGCAAAATAACACACACTAACATGTTACCTACCTTCAGTATCACTTGCAAAGAGTTCAAGCGACAAGCGTTAAATCTGCAAATGTCAAGGAACTTTAGTAACTTTAATTTCTTCATCAATATAATGAGCACAATCCACTGCTGCCTCACAGGAGTACTGTGAGAACTCGTGTTACACACGTGAAAGGACAATAGGAAACTATGAAGTACCTTAAAAGGGGCAGCCTAGTTCTTCTGGGTGGCATGTTAGGAAACAAGAGGGCCTACAGATGTTACCACCAGGCCTAAAGAAAAGACAGAAGAAAAGAGATGACAAGAGACTGAAAAGTTTAAGGAAAAAAAAAGAAAAGAAAGCATATGAGGCTCAAGAGGGGAAGTGAATGTGGGATTTCACCTGGTTGAGAGGAGCAAGAAAACTGCAATCTTTGCAGGTGCAGCTCAGGAGGCTGGGGCACTCAAGGCTGCCCATAGCACTTTGTGAGAAACAGGGTGACCTGAAGAATAGTCCATCTAGGCCTAAAGAGACCCCCACTGGGAAGTCAGGCTTTCCAACGGATACTTCTCCTATGGGTAAATTGTCATCTTTTAGCTAGCCTCTATGCTGCAATTCCAATTTCTGTCTTCAACAGAATTCTACATCCTAGTGTTCCAATTCCGGCAGTGTTCAAAGGAATTTATTAAGAAATTCAAGTAGATCATCAGTTATGGACTGAATTGTGCCCCCCCAAAATTCATACTGAAGGTAGGTTGAAGTCTTAACCCTTTGTACCTTAGAATGAGACTGTATCTGGAGTGGACTGTATTAGAATGGACTGTATAAGGCCTTTAAAGAATTAAGTTAAAATGAGGTCATTAGGGTGGGACCCAATCCAATATGACCAGTGTCAGTATAAGAAGAGGAGATTAGGTACAGAGGGAAGACACTGGGAGAAGATAGCTCCCTAGAAGTTGAGGAGAGACCTGGCCGGGTGTGGTGGCTCATGCCTGTAATCCCAGCACTTTGGGAGGCCGAGGCGACTGGATCATGAAATCAGGAGTTTGAGACCCACCTGACCAACATGGTGAAACCCCATCTCTACTAAAAATACAAAAATTAGCTGGGCGTGGTGACGTGCACCTGTAATCCCAGCTACTCAGGAGGCTGAGGCAGGAAAATTGCTTGAACCCAGGAGGCAGAGGTTGCAGTGAGCCAAGATCGCACCACTGCATTCGAGTCTGGGTGACAGAGCGAGACTCCGTCTCAAAAAAAAAGTTGGGGAGAGACCAACCTTGCTGACACCTTGCTCTTAGACTTCTAGCCTCCAGAAATGTGAGGAAATATAGTTAAGCCACCCCATCCATGGTACTTTGTTATAGCAGTCCTAGCAAATGAATACACCATCTTACTATTAATAGCTGACACAGAATATGAGGAGAGAAGCATCTACTAAATGAGAACAGAAACAGAAAAAAAAGTTTCTTTCTAGAACTAAAGAAAGATCAAACACTGAAGTGAAAAAGCAGTTAGTGGCTCCCTCTCTTTGCTTCCAAAATAATTTCACCCTATTGGTGGTGACACTCAGGCCATACCACACTTAGTTGTTGCTGAATCTGTCTTTCCTCAACAGACTCTAAGCTCCTCCAGGGCAGGGAGTGTTGGCCATCCACCTTTGTTCCTCTGACATGAGGAATGTCACTCAACACCTAATAGGAACTATATATAAACAAATTGTTTTTACTGTTGCTGAATAAACAACAACAAAGGTTCAGTTGAGAAAACTAAGAGACTTTTTTCTTCCTGCATTTTTAAGGAGATTTAGATTTGAACTGATTCAGGTTTCCCCTGAACTGTTCACTTACCCCTACTCAGGCCAAGGCACCACGGGATGAGGCAGCCAAATGGGACCATTTCATGCGGCCATCCTGGAAATGGATTTTTACTTCATAGATTGCCCCTATGTTCCTGTAAAACCGCCTTTGAATCCATTATGCCATCTGTGTACATTCTGGAGCAGTTACAATAATAATGCCAAAGTCCCACAGAAATAAGATTTTAAAAATGTAATGCAGTTACAGCAAATATGCAGTAAACACTTCACCAACGTGAATAACAGTCCTTTACCATTTTAAAGGAAGGAAAAAATATCAAATGGGGTTAATCCACATTATGGACTAATGGTCTGTAAACTCTCGTTTGAAAGCAAAGCAGAGAAAAAGCTTTGACAAGAGCTACTTTTCCCCATAAAAATAAACCTCTTTCAAATAATTTGTACATGTTTTTCTAAGTCAAATTGCCAAGTTTCAAACAAAAATTAAAACCACCATCCAGTTACAACCCTTAAAATATGGGCTTTATGATGGAAATGGTAAAACAATCTTAGTGAAGGAAATGTTGCTAGGTACTGACAGTAAAGGAGAGTCTACAGTAAATACTTCACACACCAGTTACGGGGCACTTGTTGACAGAAGACACTTAGACTCCATTCTCAATAATATAACTGTGTATAACGACTGTCATTTTTCACAGGACTTTTGATGTTAACATCTACTGGTGTTCTGGCCATGGTCCAAATTGAATAAATATATTTGCCCTCCGGTTCCCTTAGATTTTAAACTCATTTTAATAGCAGGTCTCCCTTGAATAGCAAATCAAAAGAGAATTCACTCCAACTTATAAAGTGAGAAGTCAATTTTATTTGTTATACTATTTTAAACTTATGGTGTTTTCCCCTATAATTGTTCTCCTCTCTACTATAAGAATATTCTTGTTCCCCCATTGTTCCCTATGAACTATGACCTTGCATTCAATTGTCTTTTATTTAGAAACCATCCAACTATGTCTTTAGAGTGCCCAGGAGAGGGGTTCTCAAACTTGGCTGCACGGCAGAATTATCTGGGGGAATTTTCAAAAAATTATAGCTTCCTAAGCTCTACCCCCAACATCTTCTGAATTAGAATCTGTGGACATAGGATCTATGGATTTGGGTTTTTAATATGCCCCAGGTGACTCTTAGGAGAGGGCTTATCAGATGTCATGTGTTAGGAAACCTCTGCTCTTGGTAAGTGTGCCCCCAAGTTTTGGTTTATATCCCACCACTTATGAATACCCTAATACCACTTAGCATTACTGCATGATCTGAAAATGCCTGGAGCATGTAAATTTCAGCTAATTCACTCATTCCCAAACTGTAATTCAGGAATAATAAATAAACAGCAGGAAACTCAAAGAGTTTCAATTGGTAAAATTCAATAAATAAAACAAAAGGGCTCTTGGAACATTTCATGAAGTTCCTTCAGTCACATATATTTTTTTCTCTTCTCGTCTTATTTTCTTTAGCCCTCTGATATATAAAAGAACCCATCGATAACTCAATGCCATTTTTGCCCCGAATTGCTGGGTAGTATATTATTAGATACAAACAATAAAAAAGTGTACTGATCCTTAAACTTGTGAAATGGGACTACAGTAAACTCTGAGTGTACAGATCCTGTCAATACTTTTCCCTTTTAGCCAAGCAAGAGGCTTCCAAGCGGCTACTTATTTCCTCTTATTTTCTGTGGGTGTAATAACGTGCACTTCTCAGTGTCCTCTAAGAGGATGGGCTAAATCTCCAGTGACTTTCCAGATCACTCCTCTACATGCCTCCAAGAGTTGCCAGACCTTTTGAAAACTGCTGATCATAAAAGACTGATTCTGCCTCTCAGATAAGAATTTTAGAGCCGTATAGGGAAGAGGAATCTTTCCCCTCAAATAACATATAGAAAACAATCTAGGATGGATAGATTTAGAAAGAAATAATGGGCTGGCCAGGCACAGTGGCTCACGCCTGTAATCCCAGCACTTTGGGAGGCTGAGGCAGGCAGATCACCTGAGGTCAGGGGTTTGAGGCCAGCCTGGCCAACAAGGTGAAACCCCCTCTCTACTAGAAATACAAAAATTGGCCAGGTGTGGTGGCACATGCCTATAATCCCAGCTACTTGGGAGGCTGAGGCAGGAGAATCATTTCAACCCAGAAGGCGGAGGCTGCAGTGAGCTGAGACCGTGCCACTGCACTCCAGCCTGGGCAACAGAGCAAGACTCTGTCTCAAAAAAAAAAAGAAGTAATAGAGGAACAGGTTCTAATATACTGATATTCAGAAAGAGGTAACAGACCTGATAGAAACAGATAATGCGTTCAGATAATCAGTACTTAATTTTCTCAACTCATAACTGTCTTTAGGAAAGGTCCTTGGGGATAAAAGAAAAACAGCTGTAAATGATATTACAAGTATATATGGGCTAGACATTGACCATGAATAAAAGTTCTAAAACTTAGTTATTAATAGGCAGAATAAATTTATTCTCTGTATAAATTTTACTAATTCATGGAAAATATGCTGTGGAGATAGCTCAAGTCCTTGTTGAACATCTAGAGATAAGATACTAATATCTGAACCAGCTTCTCCATCAGTTGTAAAATGCTCTCTCTCCAAGGACAGCAAAACCAAATAAGTCAAGGCATTTAAAAAATAATTTCTAGCCTATCTTGTGGATGGAAAAACAAGTCAATTATGACTGGAATTAAAAACAGTGAGAACAAATCAAGGGCAGCATGGGGATTCTTATGCGGGGAAATCTAGCAATAGTTGTAGGTTTTTAATGTCATTGCGGTTGTTTCCAGCCCTAGTACCGACCAACAAAACGTTGAATTGATACTCGCTGACAAACAACATAAACACTCTGTAGGTAACTAATAAGAAAAATGTATAAATCTGCCTTTTTTATTTTTCACAGGTAATAGAAAAGTTGTCAATGTGATTTTCAGGTAGGAGAAAAAAAAAACAAACATGCAGTTGTCATGACATTTTCAAATACTTTAAGTTATGTAACAAAGCTTTTCCCAGACCCATTAAGTCCCACAGTGCCCGCAAGTCTTGTATAAGGAAACGCCGAGTGCTGAGGGTTCCATGCAACAGCTGATCATACGGGCTGAGGCGCCTATATACTCTCTTAGGATGGAGTCAATAAAGGAACTCCACCTCATCCCTCTCTCAAAACGAACCCAGGCTTTTAGCGAACAGCAGAGACACACTCCAAGTCTATTTTTTTGCAGTAATATCTGGTTTTTGTAGGCCCAATGATCACGTTGCCTATGCTTACTTTATTACAGTTACTAAACTCTGTAGAAAATAGCATTTTCAAAATATAGCATTTAAAGAGTCCTTTTTGTACTGTTCCTCCCCCAAAGCCTTGCTTTAATAGAGGACAATGTGAAACAGGCTGTGGGGGCCAAAGCTGGGGATTCCTATGCCACCGCCCCTCATGCAGGGGATCCCTGTGTTCACATAGGCCCCCACGGCCTGCTTCTGAGACAGCAATGTGATGCTGCATGAACAGCCTGACACAGTAGGTCTGGCTTTTATAATGCAAATTTCCACTTTAAACTCAAAGGTAATTACAGTATTTTAACGTACCTTTCTCATGATCGGTAGTAAGTTTCTCCAGTGCACACTCCGCATCAAAAATGTACCGGTAAAAGCACAGCTGGGTGTACAGGGACTTGTCAGAATACTGTAATATAACAGAAAATAAATGAATACTACTACTGGGGAGGGGGAAGCGATGGGGATCACTCTCAGCAGAGTGTATCCCCTACTTTCAACTTCCAAATCAAGCAGCATTTTTTAAAGAAAGTGGGTAAGAAGGGCAGAATCATACTAATGGTTTGTCCCTCTTATATAGCATATACACCTTTCATAATTCAGAATAAATCCTGCCACTTCGATCATAGATTACTACTTGCGAAGCTGCAGACTGATTACCCCTGCTGTCAAAAACCTGATTTTGTCAAACTGCAAATTCCTATGCACTCATGACAATTTGCACTGTTAATTGGGAAAAGTGCTATGTGCTTCCTAACTGGGCCCTGTCCATGCTAGCAGGAAGTTAAACAAATTCTGAAAACTGTTTAATACATATTGCTATACCATGAGCCCCGTTTTATGATTTGTGGTGACAATCCATTGCCTGTGCCAGGATTGGCTCACAGACTCACAGTAACATCTTGACTATTTGCTCTGTGGTAATCCTAAGTGGGCAACGTATGATCTCTGAGAAGTACCATGTGAAATGAAATAACCAAGGCTTTTCATCCCACCCATGTCAAAACACTCGTTTAATGACCTTGCCAAGTTCCAATTCAACAAAGTGTAGGAGACGTGTCTGAACTACTATTCACTCAGCAAACATATACTAAACATTCCTGAGGTTATTTAGAGTCACTGTGTATTCTAAGCAACTGTGTCTCACTCTGTGTGGGAAAAAAATACATGCAGTCAATTCAATAACCAATATGAGAATTATTTGGGGAGTCACATTCAAATGCACTTCTATCTATTTTAAATCAACTGACCTACAAACTTTCTTTCCATCTTCCCAAGGGGTTAGACACTTGGGAAACTTGCGAGCTGGGGAACAATGAGCTCAAGCTTTGGTGTTTTCTTTGAGGGGTCCTACCAAGGTGAAACAACTAAGCCCTCAGAACTTTTCAAATGAGAAGATCAAATGACAAACATGTTACCAGTTTCTCCCTTGCTGCCTTGGAATGACATGTAATTTAACCAACACTGAACACCCACTGTGTGCCAAGTTGGTTGAATGAATGAATTTATGAATGACCACAACAGCCAAGTCATTTGTACAATCCATGCAGCAAGGCCAGGTGGCACACACAGACTATCATGTAAATAAGAAATTAAGGAAAACCACTATCTACAACTGGATATGGAAATAGCACTATTTTCAAAGGGAATCTCTTTGAGTAACCAAGTATTAGATCCAAGGATCCTAGCTGGGTCTTAATGATGAAAAATTATAGCCAACCCAATTTGGTGCAGGAGTAACTAAAATTCAGTTATTAGAGCTCACACTTCACCTTTCTGCTCATTCCCTTATAAAATGTGTTACTAAATTTAGTGTATTTTATACTTCTTTGGCCATTACAAATGGTATCTATAAATATTCGGTAGCAGGAACAAACCCACATGGAGCAATTTATCGGTCAGGGCTATTGTCTTTTTTGTGGGCGCATTCCTTCCACAAGTCTCTCTTTCTTTACCTGAACCTACTTTAAAAAGTATACACCTAGAAGCCTATTTTATTTCTTATTAGCTATTCTACAATATGCATCATCATTATACTATTATACACCAGTTATTTTTAGCGAATCCTGATTACTGCTTCCTGGGGGAAAAAAAAGGAGGACGACAGCGATTAAGTTATTTGTTTAGTTTTTTAGATTCAGCAGTAATTGCTGGTACACATCTCCCTGACTGCACACATGCTGCAGGTTGAATAGAACACTGAAATTACCTCCTTCATAATAGTTTGTTTTGATAATGTATTGTGTGTCGAGATGATGAGAAACAGTTGCTGTCAATTTGATTAGCCATTATATTTTTATGTTAATTGCCATTATTGGGTCCATTCTGTTTAGTGTCACCATAGAAGCCATACAATGTTAGCATAAATAACAAATTGGAGTAAATTAGGAAGATATATTTTTGCCAATTCATTTTAATTGCCCCTCAGTCCTTCCGTTGGTTAACGCAGCTGTTGACCCATAATAAGCGCTGGGTCAATATAGCTGCTTGTCAATTCAGAAATGCAAAGTGCTGTGTTGCTAGTAATGGATATACAACAACCTTTGCCAGCCAACTGAAGCAAACGAGTGACAACCCACATGAAGGAATAAAGCGTCAGCCACGGAGTTTAGTGACCTGATATTAGTAGGCAGGCTAATTGAAAGTCACTGCCTAAATGGATAAGGAAAATAGGGGAAAAAATTAAAAAGGAGTTATATATTTTAAAAAAATATACCAACACCTCCTGCCCTTTTGATTCCTGACATATTTTGCAATTAGTAAACTGGTTGAAAACAAAAGGCCCTATTACATTTTCAATGTCAAATACAATTAAGTGGTTTTAAAAAACACACATGAAACAGAGAAAACTATAGTTTAAATGAACAAGAATAACACCTACTTTTGTTGTCTTGATTTTGCACCACTAATTTGTGATCCCTTGGAGATTTTTTGTTTTTTAAAAAATCTTTACCATCTTTTCTCTTTTGCCTTTGATGATAAATTCTTCTAATCAAGAAACCTGACACTCTCTAGTCTTATCTGAGATCTTCAGCGTTTTTTTCCTCACACTTAAATGCTCATTTTGACTGTACAAGATTGGATGGAAAATACTTCAAGAAAATAAGATGATATTTTAACATTTCTTTCTCTCTCCAGCTTTCACTTATTGGTTTAAAATGTTCGATTTCTTGCTCTTTCCTTGAAAATTGCACTCAACACAGTGCCTAGGCTTCTTTCAGTCTTCCTTTATAGTTAGAACATCATGTACCAAAGTGGCCGACTGTGATTTGGTAAGGACAATACTGAGCTGAAATAGCTACTGTATGTATCACGCTCTGCATTCAAGTTAGTTACTTGGAGTGTTACCAGAGTAATAAGGGTGGGCCACGGGTGCACTCATAGGTCCATATACACACAGGGGTAAGGAAAGAACTCTGTTTTGATACCTGGCACAGGGGACGACTTGGCAAATATTGTTGAAGAAATGAAGGGAAAAGGAAAATGCTTTAATACCACCGTTTTTTATGTGTTCTTTTTGAATCCTGTAATCAGATTATATTAGAAACAACGCAAACTTCATTCTTTCTCCAAGTCAAAGTACTTTATGACCAAAACATAGTCCTGAATCCATTTATCAATATTATCCAGTCTCTCTCCTGAGATTTCTGATGAGGTCCTATATCAGTGGTCCCTTACCTGGCTGCAAACCAGTCACCCCAAGAGCTTTAAAAAAAGTACTGATAGCTGGGTGTGGTGGCTCACACCTGTAATCCCAGCACTTTGGGAGGCATAGGAGGGCAGATCACTTGAGGTCAGGAGTTCGAGACCAGCCTGGCCAATATGGTGAAACCCCGTCTCTACTAAAAAAAAAAATACAAAAATTAGCTGGGTGTGGTGGCGCATGGCTGTAGTCCCAGCTACTTGGGACGCTGAGGTGGGAGAATCACTTGAACCTGGGAGGTGGAGGTTGCAGTGAGCCGAGATCACGCCACGGCACTCCAGCCTGGGCAAAAGAGTGAGGCTCCATCTCAAAAAAAAAAAAAGTACTGATGATCAGACCTCAGCCCCAGAACAACTAAATGAGAGTATAGAGTGGAGTGCTGGATATGAGCATTTTAAAGGGCTGCCAGGTAGTTCTAGTGGGCAGTCTGAGATGAGAACTGCTGTGCTACACACTACCTGTATCGGGGATACTTTTAGAACCATAGACTCTGATCCTTCTAATCTGGCTCAAGATCAAGGAATTTATGTTATCCAAAATAGGCTGAGAAGTTTTCATGAGAATCATTTCTGAGGAAGATGCTTGCTTGTTTAAGCAAGTTATTTCAAGATTAGGATAGGATATATTTTCTGTTACATAAAATACAGGGCAGTGTTAAAGCTGACTTGCATTTTTTTGGTCCTAAATTTTTACTGAATTATAATAAAAACACAAGAAGTACACAAATACTAGGTGTACGGCTTGATGCACAAAATGAACACATCTCTGTGATCAGTACGCAGAGCAAGAAACAACATTTTTAGTATCCCAGAGGCCCCCCTTATTCCCCTAATTATTCCCCATCTTCCCCTTAAAGCTAACAATAGATTTGCCTTTAAACTTTATGTGCATGCAGTCGTACAGTTTGTGTTCTTTTCTATTTGGTTTCTTTCTATTTTTATTTTATTTATTGTGAGACAGGGTCTCACTCTGTTGCCCATGCTGGAATGCAGTGGCGCAATCATAGCTCATTGCAGCCTTGAACTCCTGGGCTCAAGCAATCCTCCCACCTAAGCCTCCCATGTAGCTGGCACCACAGGCGCGTGCCACCACACCCAGCTAACTAAAAAAAAAAAAAAACTTTTAGTAGAGATGAGGTCTTGCTATATTGCTCAGGCTGGTCTCGAACTCCTCAGCCATCACACCCAGCCTTCTTTTTCTCAATATTGTGTTTGTGAGATTCATCTATGTTGTCCTGTGTAGCAGTCACGCATTTCTTCTCATTGTTGTGAGTCCCAGCTACTCCGGAGGCAGCAGAAACGCTTGAACCCAGGAGGTGGACGTTGTAGTGAGCTGAGCTCACTCATGCCACTGCACTCCAGCCTGGGCAACAGAGCAAGACTCCATCTCAAAACAAACAAACAAACAAACAAACAAACGGAATGATGCTACTGTGAATATTCCTGTACATGTCTTTGAAGCACATATTAATATGTATCATTTTCTGTTGATTACAGTTTGGAGGAGGGGAAATGCTGAGTCATAGGGCATGCAAATGTTCAGCTTTAGTAGGTACTGCCAAACTGTTTTCTGAGGTATCGATTTCATCTGACTTTCTTTTGAACTGGTTTGACAAGACAGTCTTTTACTTTATATTTCTAAGATATTTGCATGGGAACATAACCAGTCTTTTCTCTCTCATTTGTAGGGACAGCAGAAATTAGCTAAAGTCATCTCATAACACAACTTGTCCCTGAATTAAATTCCTTGAGGTATGAAGAGTTGGGCTCATGACCTTAGAGATTATCCACAGCAAAATCTTAATCTCAAGTTATCACCCTCATACAACCCAGAAGATGCAAGGCCTGCCTCCTTGCATCATCAACTGGTACATTCTCATTGATGTAAAATTCATTTTGGTGAAGCCTGAAAAATATCAAATCATGAAGGAAAATCAGCTGCCAAAAAACCCAAAACGTACCCCCAAACACCACGTTCTAGTAGAAGCATAGATAATCCAGCACTCGCTATAACTGTAAAATATAATGAAGGTGTATTAAACTGCATTACTTTGCAAATGGTGAAGATACAGTTAAATCTAGGTATCATACCATATAGCAGATTCAGAACTCTAAACCTCACTAGCACTGACAGAGATCATGAGGTACATGTCTAGAAATGAAAATCCAGCTTAGGATAGTCTTTGCTGAAAAATCCCTACTAGCACCCTCACCACACACAGGATAAAGTTCCAACCCTTCAGGTCCACTCTCACAAGTTTTCTACATGCCCCTCAACTGCCAGCCTGGCCATATACCCACGCCACCCTTATCACCATCCCCTGCTACAGTCAGGAAATGTATCCTTCCTTCCTCCACACCCTTACCCAAGCAATTCCACCCCTTTCAGGTCTATCCTTCTGGTCTTGATTAAAGATCCAGTCAGTTCCTATCCACCTCATCAGACCCCACAGTCATCATCATCTTCGGGAAGCCGTTTGTGCCTCCATAATTCTGTCTGTTCACTTTCCACCTGACAGACATAGTTGCCTATCCTGTGACCACATGGCTCACTACACCCTCTGACCTACAGCTCCCACCCCAGGTAGTCCTCACTGGTTTTATCACCCCTTGAGCCTCCTAGGATGTGAGCTGCTGAGGGCGGGGACCACATGCATATTGCTTAATGATACAACACTAGTCCTTTGAATTGATTTCTAATGTGTCCTATGTGTATATCCCCATGGAAGACTGGAATAGCAGAAAGACCATAGGCTTTGGGGTCAGACTGAATCTGGCTTGAAATGTAGTTCTACCACTAAAGGCTTGGGTGACCTTTGACAAACTGCTTAACATATTCACACCTCAATTTCTCCATCTGTAAAACAAGACTAACGTGTCTCAGGAATGTTGTTAAAATAACAAGATACCATACAAAAAGCACCGAGCACCATGACTGCTACGAAGTACACAGTGGATATGTGATAGATCCTATACGTTTCCCAATTAGACGATAAGCTTCTGGAGGGTTTGATTTGTGCACCAAACACAATGCCATGCCAGCCACAGGTTCTCCAGAAAGTTTTGTCTAAGGAACATGTCTAAACTCTTGAACATGAGTGTCTCTTTTAAATGAATGCATTAAAAACTGCTATTTCTACAGCATTTTACTAAAGATATGCCTTCGAATTCCAGTATCGCTCAATTTCCATACACCTTTAGGCTTTAGGTAAATTATTCGTCTTGATTATGAAAAGGTTGAAATAAACTTTCCTGTTTTCCCTGCCACTCAATTACTTAGTTTTCTATCTATTTTATTTGCAATATCTATGTTAACTTAGCTATTTTGCAAATGTGGAACAACAGAGGGTGAAAAAAAAATACTGGTTTGCCAACTCCACTGTACTTCTTTGCAAAGGAAATTATTTCCATAGGCTACAGAAATAACTTATTTGGATTACTTCAATTAGTTCTAATACAAAACATTGCCACCACTTCATTAATCAGCCGCTTGTGAGGGTTACTTTTCCAAGAAGTCTTTTTGGTAATTTGATTAGAAAGAATGGTGGTGCACATTATCATCTGATTCAGTATGTCCATCAAGTAGACAATTTACAGCAAGTTCTTGATAACGATGGGCTTAAAAAACACACAGTAATTTCTTCATTTCAGAATCCTTTTTTTGTAAAGATGAAGTTATTTTTCAAAGTCTTTGGCAACACACGTTGCTGAATAAGCATCAGGAAATATTTTAGTGCTTTAAGAGGCATTTCACTCTTTCCCTCTCCCCACAGACAACCCCCACCCCCACGAATGATGCAGTAATTAAAACCTAATTATTATCTTCATTTTAAACAAAACCTAAAGTGAATACCAATTAATAACAACATACTAATGAGCATCTGCTGTGATGAAATTGAATATGAATGTGCTGCAAATTTCGGGTAATTTATTTTTTTTAGGGGAAGTGCCACTGGTCGCATTCTGCTGTTAGAAGATTATATAGAATGTACACCATTTTCTATCAAGTCATTCTGCACATGGCAATTTCCATCTGAGGAGACACGGCTGGCTTCAATACTGCAGATGTTGAAATATCCAAATATTGGCCATGGGGTCCTCACTGGGACTGAGGACTGTTTACTGTCCTCCCTACAAAAGGTTTCCTTAATGTCATTATTTCTAGGTTAACCTAATGTCAAAAAAAGATTGAATTTGCCCTCTCTTACATGTAAGCATGTATCAATACCTCAATGAAAATTTAAATATAAATTTCAAACCAGAAGAAACAATAACATAAAAATCAAGGTTTGTAAGTCATACCCTTGGATTCCACTGGAACTTTAAGATGGTCTAGAAATGTTTATTGATGCTTAAGCTGGAGACACCCTTAAAACCTCAAAGTGCTGAGATAGTGGGCCAAGTTCAGATTTATTAATAGTACCACATCACAAAGTAAAATGTAGTGGTAGAATGAGGTTCTACAGATTAGTTTCAAACTCCCTATCTATGGTATGAATGGATAGGGCTAGATTAGTGTTGTTCAAATATGTACTATTTGTGGGCCTCAGGGGCTTCTTCATTTATTAAAGTATATATTCATCAAAAAATTTAAAAGGTTCACTCACATGTGCTACATACCAACTTTTAAGACCTTTAAGACCCCAATGTATTAACTGGTGCTCTCACTGACAGACTTGTAAAAAACAAAGTTAAAATAGACATCTATATTGATAAAAATATTTATCTGTTTCATAGATGGGAATTCTGCATGAAATCTTATTTGGAAAAAATGGGGCCAGGAACAGTGGCTCAAGCCTGTAATTGTAGTGCTTTGGGAGGCCAAGGTGGGCGGGGGAGAGGTCACTTGAGGCCAAGAGTTTGGGACCAGCCTGGGTTACATAGCAAGACCCTATCTCTACAAAAAAAAAAAAATAAACTAGTTGGGTATGATAGCGCATGTCTGTAGTCCCAGCTACTTGGGAGGCTGAGGCAGGAGGACCTCCTTGAGTCCAGGAATTTGAGGCTGCAGTGAGCTATGTTCACGCCACTATACTCCAATGTGGGTGACACAAACAGATCCTGTCTCAAAAAAAGGGGGGGTTTTCTTCGATTCAGTAATTTCTAGGATTTCTTTTCAGATCTAAGCTGGATGAAAAACTGCAATATGACTTTGTCTTCTTATTGGCCAAAAAAAGCCACTTGTTCCTCTTCCCTGGCACATTATCTTGTTAAAATAAAAATTCTCTATTATTTCCCATTCCACCCCCATCACACACACACACACAAAAGGCAAAACTGACATCTGGAATGTTTGGTCAGCTTTCAAATATCTTAATAACTGGTCCCTTGGTGCTGTGATAAACAAATATCAACAATGACTAAAATAAATATACATGGCTACTATAAATACATTGGAGTAACATCAGGATGAAAACTTAACCTTTTAATTTGATCTGGATGTTAAGGTGCATTCTGGGTTAGGTGACACCTCTGAAGAAGTTCTGCTTCATATGGAAACGTAGGGTAAGTTAAAGTCAGCCTACTCTCATAGCATGAGCCACCTGTATTCATCAGAAAGACAACTATTCATTTATCTAACATACTGAGAATCTACTACATGCGAAGGCACTGTTCTAGCTGCTAGGGCTACATCAGGGGACAAGAGAAAAATACTGAAAGATTGCAGAAGCTTACAGTATGGTGTGGGTACATCTTCTCCAATACTGTGACACAGTTAAATGTGGATATTTCCATTTATATACCCCTCTCTTCATGTCAACCACTGTCTTTCTATAATTTTTAATGGCATGTATCACTTTTCATTTTCTAATAGAATTATTTGTGTGTTTTAGTTCCGATGCTACACTGAGAGGTCTTTGATGGTCATATTCATTTTTTTATTCCTGACAATATTTTTATCAATATGCCTGTTCAATAACTAAATGAATTACTCTGCTAAACAATAAAAAAAATTCACAACCCTTGCACTTGCATAGTATGTGATATTTTTCAAAGCATTCAATCCTCAGAATAACTCTGTGAGGTCAGGGGAAACTGGGATTATTTCCCTTATTTTACAAAGTTCATCAAGGTGAAGTCATCTGTTTATAATACTAGATCTGGTCAGTAAATGGGGTAGCTATGGTTTGTTTGAAACCTCTTAGAAAAACTGGTAGAGTCAAAACTAGAATGATTATTCATAGCTAGAATCGAGAAGGCGGCATATTTTTATTTCCAAACATCATCTCACTTCTTGGCATGAAATGCTGGTCTAGGATTGAGCAAGATAAAATAAAGTCCATATATGCACGCTATATATGGATTAAATCACAGTATGCCAAAGGAGGGGCTTAATGAAGTTCAGCATGATAGATTAATGTCAATTTGACACTTTCTAGTTTTCAGAGCACTCTCCTTTGCATTATGGTTTCTCCCATTTGATCCTCAACATGTGAGCTACCTATTCTGATTATCCTCATTTTACATATAAGAAAGCTGAGACTCAAAGAGGTTACTGGGCTTGCCTTAGGTCATGCAGCTAGTAAGTGGCAGAGCCAATACTTGATGCCAGGTTTTCAGTGTCCAAGCCCCTTGATCCTTTTATTATGCCACTTTTTATTGATGCATTTTCAACTATGTCATTCTGTGTTAATCAGTTCTTTTGTGGCCAGTTTTCAATCTGACATACTTGCTTTGTGTGCCAGAGACGGTCCATTCATATGCACCTGGTACCTCCCTCACACAGGCTACAATGATGTCACATTCAGGTTATAGTTCACTATAGGTCCAAGTGGCTGAAGCACAGGGCCACAAAAAAGGTCATGGGCCTGCGGGCTAGAGGCAAAGGCTGCAATGAGAAACTGACCAAGCCAAATAGACAAGCTTTCCAATGTGTACCATTGTTGTGCTAGGGACCCAACGTCTAATGTGTCAACTTAATTTTATAATTTTTGCTCTTCATTCTGAGAAGCACCTTTAGAAATTGCACCTTTGATTAAAAATATGTCAAAATTTGTGGGGGGTGAGGGGGTGGCCAGGCTCGGTGACTCATGCCTGTAATCCCAGCACTTTGGGAGGCCAAGGCGGGAGGATCATCTGAGGTCAGGAGTTTGAGACCAGCCTGGCCAACATGGCAAAACCCCGTCTCTACTAAAAATACAAAAATTAGCCGGGTGTGGTGGCACACACCTGTAGTCCCAGCTACTTGGGAGGCTGAGGCAGGAGAATCAGTTGAATCTGGGAGGTGGAGACTGTAGTGAGCTGAGATCGTGACACTGCACTCCAGCCTGGGCGACAGAGTGAGACTCTGTCTCAAAAAAAAAAAAAAAAAAACAGAAAAACAAAACAAAAAAAAAAACAAAAAAAAAAACAAAAAAAAAAACTGGGGAGGGAGAGCATTAGGAAAATAGCTAGTGCGTGTTGGGCTTAATACCTAGGTGATGGGTTGATAGGTGCAGCAAACCACCATGGCACACATTTACCCATGTAACAAACTTGCACATCCTGTACATGTATCCTAGAACTTAAAATAAAAATTGAAATATAAAGATGTCAAAATTTGAGTTCCTAGAAGTAAAATTTATGTTCCACAGTCTATGTATATACTTGAATACGTGTTCATTTGCCTTTAGAAATTCCTAACAGAACATCAAGAGGCTTTCTCAGTTTTACAAATGGAAAAACTGAGGCTCAGAGAGGCCAGGTAACCTTTCATTTGTAAATGGTGGTGGTGGGGGGGAACATGACCTCAAGGCACTGTTACGAAGACTGAATGAGATAATGTATAGGAAACAGTACGGTATCTGGCATAAAATTAGTGCTAAGTAAATGGCAGTGAGTATTATAACTATTTATTAGCTATGAATATTTGTCTTTGGGAAGTTTCCCGAGATAAAGAGACACTTGCAAGAACTTAATCTGGCATAGAGAGAATCAGGAGGCTAGAAGAATACGTTCTTTAGAAGAAAGGAGCTAAGTAAAGCCAAGGTATTTTAAACTACTACATGTAAAAATACGAAATGAGACAAGTATAGTGTGGTGGTTAAGAGCACACACTGTGGAACCAGACTGGGTTCAAATCCTGGCTCTACTTCTTAATTAAATGGGTGGTCTTGGGCAAGATATCTGCTATAATTTGGATGTTTGTCTCCTCCAAATCTCATGTTGAAATGTGATCCCCAATGTTGGAGGAAGGACCTAATGGGAGGTGTTTTGATCACGGCAGTAGATCTCTCATGAACAGATTACTGCCCTCCCTAAGGGAAGGAGTGGCTAAGTGAGTTCTTACTCTATTAATTCCCTTTAGAGCTGGTTGTTAAAAAGAGCCTCACACCTCCCCTCCTCTGTCTCTCACTTCTTCTCTCACCATGCGATCTCTACACAGCCAGCTCTCCTTCATCTTCCCCCATGAGAGGAAGCAGCCCGAGGCCCTCATCTGATACAAATGTCCAATCTTGTCTTGAAGTTCTCCAGACATCAGAATCACAAGTCAAATAAACCTCTTTTTTTAATAAATCACCCAGACTCAGGTATTCTTTCATATTAATAGTAATGTGAAGTAAATAAAGACAGCATCTAACCATGTTTCCTCATCTGTAAAGCAGGAATAACAACAGTACCTCATAGGATTATGATGCATATTAAATGAGTTTAAATAGAAAAAATGCTTAGAACAGTGCCTGAAACATAGTAGCTGGTATATGTTTGCTTTAAATCTTTTTTGGGGGGTTAAATTTGGCTACAACAAACCTTTAATGTATCTCTACTGTCTCTGCTTTGTTCTAGAGTGTTTGTCAGTCTATAATGAGGTTATATCCCTTATAAGCTACTATGAAACAAATTATATCTATGAATGTAGTTTTAGTGACTAATAGTTTCAGAGAACAGCATAGATTCATATACATAACAATGAAATTTTCAAAAATGATGCTTAGGAATATTCGAGAAATGGTGTGCTTTTTTTTTTTTTTTGGTGGTGATGGGTGGGGTGTGTATCAGCTATCCTTCAGCAGAAAGTGTAGAGGTAGATTTTGGAGAGGTCTTTGCTCACCATCCTCAAACTTTGCTTTTTGGTATCATTTGGTCTCACATTAATGATAACAGGTATAATGATAATAGATATAAAATAGTAGTTAATTGTGTGGCTTCCAGAGTCGGACAGACTGCTTCAAATTCTGGTTCTACCAAGTCACTTAACCTCTCGAAGCCTTGGTTTACCCAGCTGTAAAATACCCATCAGAATGTCGTAAAGATTAAATAAGACAATGCATATAAAGTGTTTGGCAAAAGTCTACTGTCTGGCACATGGTAAGCCCTCAATTCACATTAACTATATCCTCCTATTTCATTAAGACTTAATTCTTGTCAATGTTCATTTCTACTGGTCAGACTACATTTGGCCATTATCCTGTTCTAGCCAGCTCAGTCAATGAAATATATTCATACAGCCCACCCCTAAACATGGCTGCTAGGCTCTGAGGACACAGACTCTCTATCCTAACCAGCCATCATAATGAGAGATAAGCAGTAATTCTCTAAGAGATCATTTAGTGGAGTCCATTGGTTTGGACTTTCTTTAGGAAATTTCAGGTAGCTATTAACATAATTTAGTTACTGAATCACGGTAGAGGTCTTGTGATTTTCCTCCATGATATTTTGAATAAGTAGTTATTCAGTAACAAGTAATTGTAGGTATATTTTCAAATGTCAGCAAATTAAATTTCAAAAACCAAAGAAAAAGTAATAAAAGAAAGGGTATTAACACACATGCATGTGTAATTCACTAATTCCTTGTCTAAATTCTTCCAATTTGCCAGGACAATAATGGCACTGCAAAAACAGAGCCAACAAAAAGATGACTTGGCTGCTTTTTGCCTTTTTTTTTTTTTTCTTTCAGATGGAGTCTCACTCTGTCACTCAGGCTGGAGTGCAGTGGTGCAATCTCGGCTCACTGCAACCTCCCAGGTTCAAGCAATTCTCCTGCCTCAGCTTCCCGAGTAGCTGGGATTACAGGCATGCATCACCATGCCCAGCTAATTTTTCTATTTTTAGTAGAGACGGGGTTTCACCATGTTGGCCAGGCTGGTCTCGCAAGTGATCCACCCGCCTCAGCCTCCCAAAGTGCTGGGATTATAGGCGTGAGCCACCATGCCCAGCCTGCCTTTTCTTTTTAGACATTAAAGTGTTAGAAACTTGTTTAATTAGAAACTAGATTTGCTTGTATACAAGATCTGGTCTTTCCCACTGAAAGCTTACCTAGGCTGCTTTCTACATGCGATAGAAAACGAAACTATTCTACAAAGAAGTATTTAAAAAATACAAAAAACAAATTGGCTAATGGATTTTCCTTGGAATAAAATGCATAGCCATAAATGTGTTCTCTCTCAACTACTTTCACCTAAAGAAAGGAAACACTCAATTCCTGTAACTTTTATCTTAAGCTTTTGCAACTCAAAAAAATTGTTTGGAAAAATCAGAAAAACAAAACAAAAATCCTTCCCACGCTATACATCTCCCCAGTCTAGGTCTCAAAGTATGGGAAGTCCTTTGATAATACATCCCATTGATGTTCTCTGTCCTCTTTTAAAAATTGTTCTCAGTGGCCGGGCGCGGTGGCTCACGCCTGTAATCCCAGCACTTTGGGAGGCTGAGGAGGGTGGATCACCTGCGGTCAGGAGTTCGAGACCAGCCTGGCCAACATGGTGAAACCCTGTCTACTAATAATACAAAAATTAGCCAGGCGTAGTAGTGCAAATCTGTAATCCCAGCTACTCAGGAAGCTGAGGCAGGAGAATTGCTTGAACCTGGAGACGGAGGTTGCAGTGAGCCAAGATCGTGCCACTGCACTCTAGCCTGAGCGACACAGCGAGACTGCCTCAAAAAAAAAAAAAAGAAAAAAGAAAAAAAAAGTTCTCAGGTTCTTGTAATAGGCTTCATTCTAGCCTCAACATATTTAGATGCCATTCCACTGTAAATTTTCTGTCTTACCTATCTATTGCCCTCTATCTGGGATTTGAACAGAAGGTTCAAGGATCAACAACATAGGAATTCTTCAATTCCCAAGCCTATGTTATGCCAATATCTTATCTGATTCCTTGGCAGGCTGTGTTAACATGAAAGTGTTTTGTTTCTTCTGCAATCCTCTTGGCTCTAATTGTTCTGTAATCTTCTATGACTATAACAGAAGTGCCTCAATCTGAGCTCTAGCAGGTCTGTTTCTCTGAAATCACTTTTTACCGCCCATTTATCTCATTTGAAGGTCTGGCACATTAGTCAGTACACACCGTGGCACTCAATTACTCTGAGACAGATAATCCATGTCCTCATTCTTCCCCTTTTCTGCCTTAGCCACTTCACTTCTCAGCAGTTTTTCCAAAGGCAAAGTAAGATAAAGTAATGCACCCCCCTGAAATATGGTACTGGCATATAGAAGGTATTCAATAAACACTATTCCAATGTTGACAAATAAAGCATGAAATCAGTCAAATTTTGCTGTTAGCAACACTTAAAGTTTAGAGGGATGGGAAATGGGGATGACTGGTTAAAAACTCAAGTTCTCATTATCTGTGAATTTCATTTGTCCAGGTGAGTGGCGTTCACAATATTTTCTTGGTAATGGAACCCCTTTTCTTTTAGATAAACTTTTATAGAGCAACTTCATATATAAAACAAATAAAAAGAGAAATACTCCAGGGATATCTTTGGATAGAGCCTGGGGCCTCATCCACAGAATGCAGCTTCAAACACTTTTTAATGCTAGTAAAAAAATTCCACAAAGTGTATCAAGAATTTAGGAACTAGAGATTTATGCTCTTCAACACAGGCCAGTTAATTTTGTGAAGAAATGAAAAGAGCAAATTGGTAGATCATCAAGTGAAGATGAGTATGTGAATTTGCTAAGCCTAATATGAAATGGTATACAATCACAGCCATTAAAAAATAAAATAATAGGAAAGAAAATATCTTTATTGGAATACTGTTCCCCTTCAGAATTGTAATAGGTGGGTGGGGCTTAAGCAGAAGCCACTGGAGGCAGTATGAGCCTTCAGTCATCTGCAGGCCTGTAAGGAGGTCCCACCCGCCAATATGACTCCTCTGTAATCTATTTCACCTTGCTCAGATATACTGTTTAACATTTGTGAATGCAAAATAACCTTAACCAGTAATTTTAAACCAGGAGAACAAAAGGAACTTGATTGAAACTAATTTACATTTTCAATTATTATTACAAAAATTTAGAAACTGTGCTGTTTTTTTGTGTGGTCTGTTTGTTTTTAAATAATCTCCCTTAACCCACAGGAAGGGATGTTTGAAAGGGGTTCCAGAATGCTGGCTGTAGTGAAATAAAGAGAAAACAAATCAGGATAGAGTCTCTTTTTCCCTATGATGCTATCTATGCTCCCGCTGGATAAATAAAAGAATGGTAACTTTAAACAAATCGATGTTTATGTTGCATAAAAGAATGCGGAACTACTGTTGTCAAAAACACACACTGCTTCACAAATCCAGATTTTCCTATTCAAAATGCTGTCATGTTATTACGGCTTTACATTCTTATTTGAAGGGCTAGAACTTGCATGAGTGGCCTGACACTCTGATGTCCAAATCTATTCTATCAATTTTTAGGAATGACTTTCCTTTTTTTTTTTTTGCGGGGGTGGGGGGAGATGTTTTACTTTCACAAATGTGCTTTAGCAAAGAGAATATGAATGTTTTGTTCCTTTGTCATAGTTGGATACTTGTTCCTTGGTATGGATTCCTGGCCAAAAAGTTTAGCAGGGGCTCCCAGTGACATTTATTTAGGTGTGCCTTGTCTTCAGTGTGGCAGTTTTGGGAATTACCTTGTGATGATCTCAATGTTGGACATTCACAGAAGTTCTTAAAGCAGAATTATATCTTATCAGGCCACAGAAATTCTATTAAAAAAAATCTTACTTTAAAAATTATTGCATAGTAAAACTGACTGGTGGGGTACAGTTCCACGATTTTTTTAAAATTTTTTTGAGACAGGGTCTCACTATGTTGCCCAGGCTGGTCTCAAGCGATCCTCCCGCCTCAGCCTCACGAGGAGCTGAGATTAAAGGCACATGCTAGTGTGCCTGGCTAAAAAGTCATGCCATGACTTTTTTTAAAAAATTATTATTATTTTTTGAGATGGAGTTTCATTCTTTTCACCCAGGCTGGAGGGCAATGGTACGATCTTGGCTCACTGCAACCTCCGCCTCCTGGGTTCAAGTGATTCTCCTGCCTCAGCTTCCCAAGTAGCTCGGATTACACACGCATGCCACCACGCCTGGCTAATTTCTGTATTTTTAATAGAGATGGGGTTTTGCTATGTTGGCCACGTTGGTCTCGAACTCCCGATCTTGGGTGATCCGCCTGCCTCGGCCTACCAAGATGCTGGGATAACAGGTGTGAGCCACCACGCCCGGCTTACCATGACTGTTTTTTTTTTGTTTTTTTTTGAGACAGAGTTTTGCTCTTGCTGCCCAGGCTGGAGTGCAATGGCACAATCTCAGCTCACTGCAACCTCCATCTCCCGGGTTTAAGCGATTCTCCTGCCTTAGCTTCCCAAGTAGCTGGGATTACAGGTGCCCACCACCATGCCCAGCTAATTTTTTATGTTTTTTAGTAGAGACAGGGTTTCACCATGTTGGCCAGGCTGGTCTTGAACTACCGACCTCAGGTGATCTGCCCGCCTCGGCCTCCCAAAGTGCTGGGATTACAGGTGTGAGCCACCACACCTGGCCTTACCACGACTTTTTAAACACACGTAACACACCACAATCAGGCTGAAGAATAGTCCCACCATGCTTCAAACACCCCTTCATGCTGCCCCTTTGTATTCACACCATTCTCTAACCCATGACAACCACTCTTCTGTTCTCTACATCATTATAGTTTATTTTCAAGAAATGGAATCATACAGAATGTACCCTTGAGTCTTGGCTTATCCACTCAGCATAATGCCTCTGCTATTCATCCAAGATGTTGGGTGTATCAGTAGTACCTTCCTTTATATTGCTGAGCAATATTCCATGGTAGGAAAGTACTACAGTTTCTTTACAGTTGTTTCCAGTTTTAGGCTATTATGAATTCAGCTACTATAAACATTCATATATGAATTCAGGTATTTGTATGAACATAAATTTGTACTTCTTTAGGGTAAATACACAGGAACAGGACTGCTGGATCATATGTTAAGTGTATATTACTCTTTATAAGCAAGTGTCAACCTTTTCTGGGGTTGTGATACCACTTTACATTCCCACCAGCAACATATGAGGGCTCCTGTTGTTTTGCATCTGCGCCAGCTTTTGGTATTGTCAGTATTTTGTATTTTAGCCATTCTAATAGGTGTGGAGCCGTATCTTTTTCACAGTTTTATTTTTATTTATTTTTTAATTTTTGAGGCAGGGTCTTACTCTGTCACCCAGGCTAGAGTGCAGTGGCACAGTCACTGCTCACTGCAGCCTCAACCTCCTAAAGTGTTGGGGTTACAGGTGTGAGCCACTGTACCCAGCCTTTGTCAAGGTTTTAATCTGCATCTCCCTGATGCTAGTGATGTTAAACATCTTTTCACATGTTTGTCATCCTTATATTTCCTATGGTGAAGAATCTATTCAAGTCTTTTGTTTTTTTTTAAATTGGATTGCTTGTTTTACTGTTGAGTTTTGAGAGTTCTTTATATATACTGGATACAGGACCTTTGTTAGATATGTAATTTGAAAACATTTTCTCCCAGTCTGTGGCAGTCATTGCCTTAACAGTGTCTTTTGCAGATCAAAGGTTTTTAATTTTGATGAAGTCCAGGTGATCAACATTTTTCTTTTATGGATCACAATTTTAGTTTCATGTCTAAGAACACTTTGCCTAACCCTAGGTCATGAAGATTTTCTCTTATGCATTACTTCTTTAAAGTTTTATAGTTTTACATTTACACCTACGATATATTTGGAGTTAATTTTTGTATAAGGTATGAGCTTTAGGTCAAGGTTCATTTTTCTCTGCATATGGATATCCACTTTTTCCATCATCACTTGTTGAAAGGACTACCCCTTCTCCATTAAATTGCTTTTGCATGTTTGCTAAAAATAAAATGGCCACACTTGTGAGTCTATTCTCTTCCATTGGTCTACGTGTCTATTATTTTGCCAGTTCCACACTGTCTTGATTACTGTAGCTTTGTAGTAAGTATTAAAGCTATGTATTGATTCCTCCAATGTTATTCTCTTTTGCTTTCTTCTTAACTATAAATACAATTTCTTTCATAGACATAATATTGGACTACTGAGGTTATCTGTTCCATCTTGGATGAGTTTTAGGGTTTATGGTTTTCAAGGAATTGATCCATTATGTTTAAATTGTCAAATATGTGGAGTATTCCCTTATTATTTTTAAAAGAAGTCCATGGGGGTCTAGAATTCTGGATATTGCTGATTTGTATCTTCTCTCTTCTTATCTTTGTCAGCCTTGCTAGAGGCTTATCAATTTTATTGATCTTTCCAAATACAGATTTTAGTTTCATTGATTTTCTCTATTTTCCTGTGTTCAATTTCATTGCTTTCTGGTCTCATCTTTACCATTTCCTCCCCTCTGCTTGCTTTGGCTTTTACTCTTCTTTTTCTATTTTTTAAGGTGCAAACTCAGGGTATTTACTTGAGATCTTTCTTTTCTCCTCATATAAACATTTAATACTATCAATTTTCCTCTAAGCATTGCTTTACCTGCATCATCCTACTTTGTTCAGGTTTTTACTTTCTCCTTTACTCACCTGATTCTAACAGCCTGATTATTTAATACTTATCTGTCAAATTAACTGGCTGATTTTTATCAACTGGGTGAATATACCAATACCTTAAAACTTGTTATTTGAGTATTTTACTGATTTTGTGTGTTCATGATGAATAAATGAGCATCGGTAATTGACCTACTTTGTATTACAGTACACATCACAGTATATATTGTGTTTTTCACTGTCTGATATTTTCATTTTCACCCAGTTCAAAATACTTTCCAATCTTCCTTAATACCTCTTCTTTGACCCATAACTTATTGAGAAGTGTGCTGTTTAATTTCCAAGTACTTGAAGATTTTCCTGTTATCACTCTTTTATTGATTTCTAAAATTTAATTCCATTATGGTTCAAGAATATAATTTGTGTGATTTCAATTTTTTAAAATTCATTAAGGTTTTATGACCCAGAATATGGTCTATCTTGTTGAATGTTCCATGTACACTTGAAAAGAATGTGGATGGTGTTATTGTTGGAGAGCATGTTTTATAAATATTAATCAGATTGTCAGTTCTTCTATATCCCTGATTTTATGTCCAGCATTTCTATCAAATGTTGAGAGAGTAGTGTCACGCTTGCGAAGTATAATTGTGGATTATCTATTTTTCCTTTCCTTTCTGCCAATTTTTGCTTCAGGTATTCTGAACCTCCGTTGTTAGGTGCATATACAATTAGAATTATTTGTTATTCTTGGTGACTTAGCTCTTTTGTCATTATGTAGTATTCCTCTTTAGCTCTAATCATTTTCTTTAACCTGAAGTCTAATTTTCTGTTACTAATATATCCACTCTAACTTCCTTTTGATTAGTGTTTGCATGGTATGTCTTTTGCCATTTTCTACTTTTAATGGACCAATATTCTTCTATTTAAAGTGAGTTTCTTCATGATTATCTCAGTAGATGCAGAAAAGGCCTTTGACAAAATTCAACAACGCTTCATGCTAAAAACTCTCAATAAATTAGGTATTGATGGGACATATCTCAAAATAATAAGAGCTATCTATGACAAACCCACAGCCAATATCATACTGAATGGACAAAAACTGGAAGCACTCCCTTTGAAAACTGGCACAAGACAGGGATGCCCTCTCTCACCACTCCTATTCAACATAGTGTTGGAAGTTCTGGCCAGGGCAATTAGACAGGAGAAGGAAATAAATAAAGGGTATTCAATTAGGAAAAGAGGAAGTCAAATTGTCCCTGTTTGCAGATGACATGATTGTATATCTAGAAAACCCCATTGTCTCAGCCCAAAATCTCCTTAAGCTGATAAGCAACTTCAGCAAAGTCTCAGGATACAAAATCAATGTGCAAAAATCACAAGCATTCTTATACACCAATAACAGACAAACAGAGAGCCAAATCATGAGTGAACTACCATTCACATTTGCTTCAAAGAGAATAAAATACCTAGGAATCCACCTTACAAGGGATGTGAAGGACCTCTTCAAGGAGAACTACAAACCACTGCTCAAGGAAATAAAAGAGGATACAAACAAATGGAAGAACATTCCATGCTCATGGCTAGGAAGAATCAATATCGTGAAAATGGCCATACTGCCCAAGGTAATTTATAGATTCAATGCCATCCCCATCAAGCTACCAATGACTTTCTTCACAGAATTGGAAAAAACTACTTTAAAGTTCATATGGAACCAAAAAAGAGCCTGCACTGCCAAGTCAATCCTAAGCCAAAAGAACAAAGCTGGAGGCATCACGCTACCTGACTTCAAACTATACTACAAGGCTACAGTAACCAAAACAGCATGGTACTGATACCAAAACAGAGATATAGACCAATGGAACAGAACAGAGCCCTCAGAAATAATGCCACATATCTACAACTATCTGATCTTTGACAAACCTGACAAAAACAAGCAATGGGGAAAGGATTCCCTATTTAATAAATGGTGCTGGGAAAACTGGCTAGCCATATGTAGAAAGCTGAAACTGGATCCCTTCCTTACACATTATACAAAAATGAATTCAAGATGGGTTAAAGACTTAAATGTTAGACCTAAAACCATAAAAACCCTAGAAGAAAACCTAGGCAATACCATTCAGGACATAGGCATGGGAAAGGACTTCATGTCTAGAACACCAAAAACAATGGCAACAAAAGCCAAAATTGACAAATGGGATCTAATTAAACTCAAGAGCTTCTGCACAGCAAAAGAAACTACCATCAGAGCAAACAGGCCACCTACAGAATGGGAGAAAATTTTTGCAATCTACTCATCTGACAAAGGGCTAATATCCAGAATCTACAAAGAACTCAAACAAATTTACAAGAAATAAGCAAACAACCCCATTAAGAAGTGGGCGGAGGATATGAACAGACAATTCTCAAAATAAGACATTTATGCAGACAAAAGACACATGAAAAAATGCTCATCATCACTGGCCATCACAGAAATGCAAATCAAAACCACAATGAGATACCATCTCACACCAGTTAGAATGGCGATCATTAAAAAGTCAGGAAACAACAGGTGCTGGAGAGGATGTGGAGAAATAGGAACACTTTTATACTGTTGGTGGGACTGTAAACTAGTTCAACCATTGTGGAAGTCAGTGTGGCGATTCCTCAGGGATCTAGAACTAGAAATACTATTTGACTCAGCCATCCCATTACTGGGTATATACCTAAAGGATTATAAATCATGCTGCTATAAAGACACATGCACACGTGTGTTTATTGTGGCACTATTCACAATAGCAAAGACTTGGAACCAACCCAAATGCCTAACAATGATAGACTGGATTAACAAATGTGGCACATATACACCATGGAATACTATGCAGCCATAAAAAATGAAGAGTTCATGTCCTTTGTAGGGACATGCATGAAGCTGGAAACCATCATTCTCAGCAAACTATCGCAAGGACAAAAAAACCAAACACCGCATGTTCTCATAGGTGGGAATTGACCAATGAGGACACATGGACACAGGAAGGGGAACATCACACACCAGGGCCTGTTGTGGGGTGGGGGGAGGGGGGAGGGATACCATTAGGAGATATACTTAATGTAAAATGATGAGTTAATGGGTGCAGCACACCAGCATGGCACATGTATACATATGTAACAAACCTGCACGTTGTACACGTGTACCCTAAAATAATAATAAAAAAAGAAATTACACGAAAGTAAAATAATAAAAAATAAAAATAAAGTGAGTTTCTTGAAGGCAGCTTAGAGTTGCATCATTAAAAAAAAATCATTTTGGGGCTACCATTTTATTATTTATTTTCTGATTATTCCTTCCTCTTTCCCATTTCCTGCCCTCTTCTTGGTTATTTGAACATTGCAAATTTTATTATAATTTAGCTATTATTGGATTTTGACATCTCTTTATATAGTCTATACTTCAGAATGTCAATGTACACACTTAGAATTAAAATTTTACCACTTCAAGTGGAATGCAAAAACACATATAGACCCCATTTCTCTCTTTATGCTGTAGTTGTCTCTATGTCTATGTACATTGAAAACCTCATCAGACAATGCTATGATTTTTGTTTTCACCTGCAAAACATATTTCAGCAAACTCAAGAGGAGAAAAATAGTCTATTATACTTCCCATTTTTGTTGCTCTTCCATCATCCATGATGTTCCAAGTTTCCTCCAGCATTCATTTCCCCTCTCTCTGAATAACTTCCTTTAGCAATTCTCAGAGCTGGTCGGCTGGCAATGAATTATCCTACTCATCTGAGAATGTCTTTCTTTCACTTTTACTCCTGAAGAGTATTTTTTGCTGGACATAGAAATTTGTACTGATAATTGTTTAAACACTTCCAAAATGTTCCACTTCCTCTGGCTCCAGGGTTTCTGATGAGAAATATATCATCAGTTAAATCTTTTTTTCTTATATATGTCATTTTTCCCTGGCTTTCAGAATTTTTTGTTTTAAATAATTTTATTATGCTTTACCTGGGAATAAATTTATTTTATCCTGTTTGGGGTTCTGAGCTTTTTAAATCTGTAAATTCATGTCTTCTGCCCAACTCAGGACGTTTCAAATATTATTTCTTCAAATAATTTTTTGGCCCTATGGTCCTTCTTTCCTTGTTATTCCAATGACATGACTGTCAGATTTTTCTGTTATTGTTCCGCAGGTCCCCAAGGCTCCTTTTTCCCCCTCCCAGTCTTTTCCTGTCTTCTGTATACTGGATAATTTCTTTTATTCTCTTTAAGACAGAGTCTTGCTCTGTCGCGCAGGCTGGAATGCAATGGCATGATCTTGGCTCACTGCAACCGCCGACTCCTGGGTTTAAATGATTCTCGTGTCTCAGCCTCCTGAGTAGCTGGGTTACAGGCAAGTACCGCCACGCCCAGCTAATTTTTAAAAAAATTTCTAGTACAGATGGGGTTTCACCATGTTGGCCAGGCTGGTCTTGAACTCCTGGCCTCAAGTGAACTGTCCGGCTCGGCCTCCCAAAGTGTTGGGATTTACAGGTATGAGGCACCATGCCTCGTCTACACTGGATAATTTCTATTGATCTATCTTCAAGCTCATTTACTCTTTCTCCTGTCGTCTCCATTCTATGATTGAGCCCACTAAGTTTTTTGCTTTGGTAATTATATTTTTTGCTTCTGATATATCCATTTGACTCTTCCTTACATCTTCTATTTCTTTTTTTTTTCCCCCAGGAGGGTGGAGACCATTATGAGGGTTTCCAACCACTCTGTGAGTTAAAAAAAAATTATTTCAATAGTTTTTGGGGGTACAGGTGGTTTTTGGTTACATGGATAAGTTCTTTAGTGGTGATTTCTGAGATTTTGATGCACCCACCACCTAAGCATTGTATACTGTACCCAATGTATAGTCTTTTATTCCTCACCCCCTCCATCCTTCCCCCCAAGTCCCCAAAGTTCATTATATCATTCTTATGCCTTTGCATCCTCATAGCTTAGCTCCCCCTTATAAGTGGGAACATACCCACTTATAAGTGAGAACATACGATACTTGATTTTCCATTCCTGAGTTACTTCACTTAGAATAATGGCCTCCAGCCCCATCCAAGTTGCTACAAAGGCCACTATTTCATTTCGTTTGATGGCTGAGTAGTATTCCATGGTGTATATATACCACATTTTCTTTATCTACTCGTTAGCTCATGGGCATTTATGTTGGTTTCATATTTTTGCAATTGCAAATTATGCTGCTATAAACAAGCATGTGCATGTGTCTTCCATATAATGACTTCTTTTCCTCTGGGTAGATACCCAGCAGTGGGATTGCTGGTTCAAATGGTATTATACTTTTAGTTCTTTAAGGAATCTCCATACTGTTTTCCACAGAGGTTATACTAGTTTACATTCCCACCAGCAGTGTAAGAGTGCTCCCTTTTCACCACATCCATGCCAACATCTATTTATTTTCTGACTTTTAAATTATGGCCATCCTTGCAGCAGTAAGGTGGTGTCTCACTGTGGTTTTCATTTGCATTTCCCCGATAATTTACATGTTCCATTTCTTTGTTGAGATTTTCTATTTTTCCATTCATTTAAAAAGTGTTGGCCAGGCACAGTGGCTCATGCCTGTAATCCTAGCACTTTGGGAGGCCGAGGCAGGTGGATGACCTGAGGTCAGGAATTTGAGACCAGCCTGGTCAACATGGCAAAACCCCGTCTCTACTAAAAATACAAAAATTAGCCGGGCGTGGTGGTGAGTGCCTATAATCCCAGCTACTCAGGAGGCTGAGGCAGGAGAATCACTTAAGCCCGGGGACCGGAGGTTGCAGTAAGTGGAGATTGCGCCACTTCACCCCAGCCTGGGTGAAAGAGCGAAACTCTGTCTCAAAAAAAAAAAAAAAAAGGGGGGGGGGGTTCACCATTACTTGTTGGAACATTTGGATAATAACTGCCTTAAAGTCTTTATCATATAATTCTAATATTATTATCATCTCAGCATTGGCATCTTTTTGTTCGTGTTCCGTCTCCTCCCCCACCCCCACCCCCCCACCCCAGCAATCTGTGATTTTCCTGGTTCTTCTTATAGGATTTTCCTGGTTCTATCTTACAGAATTATATCCTGGATATTTTGAATAGTATGAGTCTCAGGGTCTTCTTTCAATCCTATGAAAATTGTTGGTATTTTCATTTTAGCAGGCAATTGACTTCATTAAATTTGGGCTGTGAGCTCCAATCCACTTTCTGTGTCGCCAATGTCAGTTCAGCTGTCAAAACTTTTGCAGTTTTTTGGATCTGTCTCCTCTGTGCACTACTAGGTAGTCCTGGGTTCTGGGTGATGGTTTTTATTTCAGTTCTCCATGTCTTTGGTATGTTGATTAGGATTAGACCCTTTCTTTCCACAGGCCCAGAAGTTCATAAACAACTTTTTTTTTTTTTTTTTTTTGAGACAGAGTCTTGCTCTGTTGCCCAGGCTGGAGTGCAGTGGCACGATCTCGGCTCACTGCAACCTCTGCCTCCTGGTTTCAAGCGATTCTCCTGCCTTAGCATCCTAAGTAGCTGGGATTACAGGTGTGTGCCACCACGCCGGCTAACGCTTGTCTTTTTAGTAGAGACAGGGTTTTGCCATGTTGGCCAGGCTGGTCTCGAACTCCTGACCTCGAGTGATCCTCCTGCCTTGGCCTCCCAAAGTGCTGGGATTACAGGCATGAGTCACTGCACCCGACTCATAAACAACCTTATGGGGCCTGTTTCCCTAAGGCTTTCTCTGTCATCTTCCTGGTACCTTCTAGTTCCCTGCAGGTAACTCCTGTTTTCAGTCCTCCAGTCAGAAAGCTGTGTCTTTAGTTATCTAACTTGTCATGTATTTTTGTGACTGTACTCCATTTAGGACCAATGGATAGGAAGAAAGAGAAAGAGGATTCAGGGAAGAGATTTCCCTTCCTTGGAGTTCTGGCTCCTGCTGACTCTCACTGCAGCTTCTGTTGCCACCATAAGGTTACTTGAAGACTGATGCATGAGGGCATGAAGAAAAAAAAAAAAAACAAAAGAAAGCCATGGGGATTTCTACATTCTCTCTGGGTGTTACCTTTGCCACTACTTGCTTCTCCTGGAACTTGCTGTCTGTAGCTTGGTGCCCACGCTTGGTTTTACGCTGTGCTGCATTTAGGCAGGGGAATATCAGGGGACAAAATGGCAAACTTACTGCTAGTTTAAAGGTACTTGAAATCTGGTCATCGCTAGGCACGGTGGCTTACGTCTGTAATCCTAGCACTTTGGGAGGTCGGGGTGTGCTTGAGCTCAGGAGTTTGAGACCAGCCTAGGCAACATAGCAAGACCTCATCTTTACTAAAAGTAAAATAAAAAAACTAGCCAGTCATGGTGCCAAGTGCCTGCAGTCCCAGCTACTTGGGAGGCTGAGGCAAGAGGAACACTGGAGCCCAGGAGATTGAGGCTGCAGGGTGCCTTGATCATACCACTGCACTCCACCTGGTTGACAGAGTAAGAACCGGTCTTAAAAAAAAAAAAGAAAGAAAGAAAGAAAAAAGAAAAAAAAAAAAGAAATCTGGTCTTCATCTTTAACCTACCTGCTACTGTTTACTTTTCGGTCTCCATGTAACTGCTCCACCCATGCTGTCCAGGTTTTACAGTTGCTTTCGGTTGGAGACAATAAGAACTATTCTTACTCCATCTTACCTGGAACCAAAATGCTGGTAGAATTTGATGCTAGGGTTTTCATCTTCTGGGACTACTTCCCCAATCCATGTTCACAACTTTGTTTACAATCTGGATCAAAATTTATATATTCTAAGAAGCTTTACCTTACTAACTACTTTATCCTATCTCTTTACTAACTACTTTACCCTATCTCTTCAGCACTGATGTATTAATTCTATATGTTGTCATATTTTAAGAACTGTTGTTTTGCTTCAAAGGTCTGCGCTTAGTTCCCCATATTCAAGCAGTATAAAGGCAGAACCCATTGTTTCAAAACGTTTTTTGTTTCCCACGTCCCAGACCAGGATGCTGGAGATAGACAATATTCAATAAGTTTAATTATCTGGTTGACAGATGTTCCAATCAGTCTTTCTAAAAATACGAGTGTCTTTGTACATTATGAGAATGAAGAGAAAACAATAAAGCAGGGAGACAGTTAAGGTGCTGGTTAATCATCAAGACAAAACGAGATACAGTTGGTTCTGCTACAGCGCTTGTTTTGAATATGAGAATTTATTCCAGTGCCATTGATATATCACGGAACAGTTTGAACACAACATGAATTTCGTGTTTGCTCGTGCATGATTTTGTCTGCAAGAAATATTAGGTGAATGCAAGAAATGCACCCAAGCAATACAGGAATACATAAAACACACATACGCAAATACCTCAAACATCAACCAGCTACCTCAGTTCACTGTGCTACACTCACCCACATCTGGTGTTTGTTGCAACTTTCCTTCCAATTTCAGATAACCTTCCATTCTCTACGTCATCATGACTCACAGCTGCAATCCTTCTGAGTCCACTTCCACAAGCAAACTTCAAGTCTTTTTCGGGGTAAAGTACCATATTTATTGTAATATTTATATATTTCTTAGCTACTGAAGATGTGTAAAACTATGTCATTGTTTTTGTTTAGGTTCCTATATCCTTTTTTATGTGTCACTGATGAAGTTTTTGTGTGTTGCCCTAACCTTTCTGTTTTTCCATAAACTGTGTGGTTGTCATTATATGATTTTCCATAGCTTAGTGATTTTTAGGAACACACACATTGCATTACAGGACAGCTGAGTGTAAAGGAAGAGGAGAGGGAAGACTGGTGGAAGGACAAGGCATAAGGATACAAACAAGGAACAGAGTATGGAGCACACCCTTAATACTTTCTTAATTTCAAGATTTGCCCTAGAAGATTTTCCTTTAATCTATAACCATCCAAAAAGAAGGGCATAGTCTGATACCACTAAACTGGAGTCTAACAGTCACATGATAGAATAGTTTGCTCTAAAGATCCAACTTCAATCTACTGTTTCTAAGTAGATGTCATACAGCCTCCTAAGGCTGTTTTCATAACACTGGAGCATCTTCTAAATAGATTATGTAGAGAAAGAGTAGAAGGCACCAAATCCTCTACCTTCGAAGCAGAAGCACAGAGAAGGGACTGACAAGAATGTCTTTCTGCCTCCTCAACTTCACCTATTTATATCCTACTGATCCTACCAGTCTTAGTTTACATCTCACCTTTTCTATGCAATCTTCTCTTATCATCTCCTCTAACTACTTATGTACATGTTTACATTAAAAATTAGTACAGCAGTTGTTAATTACTTCCCACCACCCCTTCAACACACCTGCATATGAACACACACCCATCTGAGACAATGGCTCATTCCAGCTGTGCTTCTCATGACTTTCAGGGATCTGTACATGCATGTACAGGGGTGTGCGTGTGTGTGTGTGTGTGTGTGCACGCACATGCACGCGCAGAGGGGTTTCTCTGGTTCTGTAATTTTGCCTCATTGGCTAGACTGTGAGCTGAAAGTCAAACACAACTCATTTTTTTCCCCTAAAGTCTATTAAGAGTAAGGATACTGCTATGCTATATGGGGTCCATAGGCAAGATCTTAGTTTTAGGTGAATAATTAAATACATTAGAATTCAATTGAGAATCAGTAGCCTGTAAGAAGGAATCTCTCCTCCATTTCCTTCTATATAACGTCACAGGGGAAGAAGGATTGGAGTAGCAACTCCTATCAGTTTTAGCTTTAAAATGCATCAAGAATCTAACCACTTCTCACAGATTCCCTTCTATTCCTTGGGCCAAGCTACCATCAACATATTTTGCCTAAATTACAGCAGTCAAAGCAGTCAACTTAGTCAGATACTGCACTCTTCCACATGGAATTCCTGAATAGCTCCCCATTTCCCCTAGCATATATACTAAAGCCCTTACAATGGCTTACATGGCTCTTCACAGTGTCTCCACCCTCTGCCCAAATTCTCTCACCTTACCTCTTTCGGCTTTCCCCATCGTTCCCTTTTCTCTTGCTACACTGGCCCTTTTCCTATTTTTTAAATATGCCAAGCACCCTCCTATCTTAGGCCCTTTATACTAGCTGTTCCAGATCCCTTATACATGCCCTTCCTCTTCATATCTGCAAGGCCCACTGTTTCACATCCCTCTGGCCTTTGCTTACTATTACTGTTTCAAGGAGAACTTCCCTAGATACCCTACATAAATTAACAAACCCTACTTGTGCCAGTCCCTTTCCTACTCACACAGCTGAATTCTTCTCCACAGTACTTTGTCACTACCTGCCATGTCATATAATTATTGTTTATTATCTGTCTCCCCACACTGGAATGTAAGTTCCATGAGGACAGGGACTTAATTTTAGATTCCTGCTGTATACCTACTGGCTGTATCAGTGTTGGTCCAGAGTAGGTGCTCACTAAATTCTGAATGAATTTGGAGTATATGATAAGTAACATTATTTATAACTATGACCTCAAAGCATAAAATGATCTCTGCTTGGCATTCCAAGGACACACAGCCCATATCAAGGTTATGTCTGAAGGAAGAAATAATATAAAAATTATCAAGGATATAAGAAAGATTTGGGACTCAGAAATCCTATTTAAAGAGTGCTGCCCTAAAACCTAGGAGGATTTGGAAATCTCAGTTTCCACCATTCAGTACCTCTGCAAAGCCTTCAGGACTGCCAATAAACAAGCTTTGCACTCCATTGCATAGAAGTAGGAAGGTAAATGCAGGAACAATGAAGGATAGCACAGAGGGCCTGCGCACATTCGGCACCCTTCCTTGAAGCGGCGGAAATGCATCTGCCTACATCTTTGGTGGTCCTGTTGAATGCTGAACTATACATCCCCAAATGCCTTGAAAAATTTTGTTACACATTTCACAGTGTCACTTTCACAAAGAAAAATTTCAGTGTTTGTGATTATACTGAACCAATGTGGTGTTGGTGAAGAATGTTCTGCCCTTATCCTGCATAGCAACTCCTGTATGTTTACTCAGACTATGTTTGTATTAACCAGGTCTGGCTTTCCAGTGAGTTCCTTGTGTTTCTAAAATGAGAAACACAGAGCCACACAATGTACAGCCTTAAAAATAAAATTCTGCAGGGTGAGTGAAAGACAATATATCGTCTAAATATAAATTCTAATTTCAGCATGTGGTTTTGCTATTTTTAATCCCCATGGTATTTCAGACCCCCTTCAGTCAGTGTTCAAGGCTGTATAACAGCTTATTGGTCACCGATGAGTACTTCAAACATCAAGGCTAACAAATATCAAATTTGAGCAGAAAACAACTCCTGCTTTGAACGTAAAAAACCCACATATTCCTACCCAAAGACAAATGTCCATCTTCCACTAAAACAATAACTTGGAAAATACATTAAACACTTTGCATAAGCTCTGAATAATTTATCATACACAAAAACCAATCAGCAGGTGAACCAAGGGGGGAAATTCTCTTATAGGACACAAAAAACATTAGGTAACTTAAAAACATTTTTAGTTAAAAAGCTAAAAATTAAGAGCAAAGAAAATAAAGTAAAAAAGAACACCCAAATGACTAATAAAAATTCCATTAAGAAGGCATAAGACGGCAGGAAAGGTCTCGTGCCAACAGGTTAATACAGAGGTGAGGCGCACTATCCACTAAGATTCTGGGCTCAAAGCAATACGCCTCACTTTTAGGAAACATACCAGCAGAAATAACGAGTGTATTATCCTGTGGTTGCTTAGAGATGACTTAACGAGTTCCTGAGAATGGGCCATTAGCTAGCATTTGCTTTTGCTATTAAAGCTGGATACTGTTTTCACCCCTTCTCTCATCTCCCGCAGCTTAGCACCTGTCTTTGTTTGGGAGTGACATCTATTTCTTTTTTTTCCACCAGGAATTCGGTGCATTTTTAGGCTTGAGTGGCTTAGGAGCAAACCAGCTGTGAAATTGTTTCTTGAGATACTGCCCTCTTCATAACATTTGCGCAAGACCTTAATAAAAGAAATGGCCTGCTGCCCTCCCTGTCCCTGGCCAATTGCACCCATGAAATATATTTCAGTAATGCAATTTTTTTGGGGTTGTTGAAACAATTGCCGCTATAACTGTAAAACATGGCTAGATTGCTTCTAAACTACTTTCGAAAAGTAAGTGCTTGCAAGAGTCAGTTCTCAATATACTTTTACCCTTGGAAAACAGAAGAAAGTCACGATGAATAAAAAAATATATAAAGCTTATCTAATTTATAGCACACGGATCTTAATAGCAGCATTAATGTGGCAATAAAACAATTGGGAGAAAAGGTTCTTAGTAGGAAAAGGTCCGCAGCAGGAAACCCACAGAGTTTGTCACAGTCCAACAATAAGAGCAATTCCTATTGTGAGGAGTGGGAAATCGGCTTGATATGATTACATTTAAATATTAAAGGTTGGCATATTGGTGCCCTCTGGGAACTCAGTATTGTCCTTCAGGGCAGTTTTCAAAGGGGACAGGCTCCAGAGATTTACCTGAGATCCCATGGGTACCAGATGACAAAAAGAGAAGACAATTAGCATATCAGTTCTTCACCACTCCTCTTTTGAATCATTAAAAGTGAAACAATGAAATGCGCTGAAGTTAGAATTCCAGATTTAAAAAAAATGGGGGTAGAATTCAAGTCTTTGAAGGGTTAAGTTCTATTATGAACACATTTCTGCAGCTGCAGTAAATTCCAAACAGTTTTGATGAAGCTTAACAAGAACGTTCCAATTTTAGTTAATTTTAATGGGCTCAGATGAAAAAGGAAGGCGATCTGCATCTCAAGGTTGCATAATAAGTCAATATATGTAAATCTTTACAAGGCAAACACAGTTGGAAACAAAGACATTTAGCTGAAGCGGTATTTGATGTCTCCACTTTTTTGTGCGCATAATTTCTTCCCATTGAAAGCTATAATTGCCTGCCATTTGAAGATATTCATGCTCAATTTTTGAAATTAATTTCAATTGGGAAAATGTAGAAATGTCACCTCCATTGAAAGGGATTTGATTTCAATTATCCTTGCTCAAAGGACTGTGATTTCCAAATACACTTAAGCAAAATTATGACAAGAATTTTTGTTCCAGAAATTTAGTGTTTAAAGACCGATTAGGCGATAAATGGACTCGCTTTGAATTGAAGTGAATGCACCCGTTTCCATCTGAAAGGCACTCAATTATCCTTGATTGCTCCTGTTATAATGTATCAAATAGAGATACCTGCTATTGCTGTAATTTGTGTGAAAATTAACATGCTGCAATTTCCACTGGAAAAAAGGAAGCCCTAATGGGCATCTGAACATACATCAATAAAAGCCAAAGAGAAAAAAATTTAATTTACTGAAAATATTACAAATTGCACCTGTATATAACTCTGACCAATTACAACACAATCAGACAGGGGTGGCATTACTCCCCCATTTAATCTGGGCACAATAATAGTCAATCTCTTTCAGCCCACCATAAAAGTGGGTTGATAAGCATTGCTGTCAATAAAGCTGTGAAGCCAGAATTGAGTAAGGACAAGGTTGGGGTGAAGAAGTTAATGTTTTATTCAGCAAGCAGTTTAAGCTGCCAACTCAAAAGGGACACATTAGAGGGTATCGGTGACAGGAAAATGTCCTCATGGTTTTGCTAGTTCCCAAGGCACTTGCCAAACAAATACTGTGCATAAACACAAGAAGGATCTAAGAAGGGAGAGGAATAGGTGGGAAAGAGTAAGGAACTGAAAGGGGGCTAGACTGAACATCCCTGGAACATCTCTGCATTGGTCTAGGTAGAGGGGCCAAGAAGATGTGGTCTCTGGGGAGAAAGAAAAGCCCTTCATTTTCTTCAGAAACAAGAACTGGAAATGGAAACAAGCTTTTTGCTCTTTTTTCGTTTGTAGACGTGGGCTCTAACTAAGATTCATTCATTCAACAAACATCACTTGGGTATGCACTGAGTTCCAGGCACTGGATCTCCCTGAGGTGAACGAACTGCACACCTGGCCCTTGGGGAGTCCAGTGATGAGTGGGGATAGCAGATGCATCCCTTCCCTCTGCTGAGGTGGGGGTTGGTGGGGGGGGGGGCAGTGAAGAGAAGAGGAAGGCATTTGTTCATCTTCCTGTCCAGAACAGCCCCCCACTTCTGTGCCCTATGCCTGTTTTCCTCCCAAAGTCCACTCTCCTTTGAGGGGCCTTTTCTGATGCTGTAAGCCTTCTATTTTACAAATGAGGAACTTGAGGTCCCAAAAGGTAAAATGACTTCTCTAAGATTACATAGGTCTCTAGATTTCCAGGGCCATATTTACACCTCACCAATAAAGAGCATATATAATCACATTTTACTAGCACATGACCCTTCTCATCCAATAGCATCATGGCTCTTATACTATCTTCTGTTTCTGTACTCGATTCACACAGGACAGACAGCCCATCAGCAAAGTGAAGTGCTCCCTGGAATTCCAACACAGCTCCCAAATGCACTCTTCAAACTCTTCGAACCGTATCAAGGGCATGTTAAGCACCTTGCACTTAAATTAGGCTTCCCAGTCTCTCGTCTTACGAATCTAGCAAATACCTTCAATAGCTAATTAAAATGAAAGCTTCTGCCTATGGTAGTAAAGGGGTACTATTTTATAACTGTTTTCATCTTCTAGATGCCTTGCCTTCTATACTCTTTAACAGCCATGAAAAGTCTACATGTCATTCTCTGTACCCAACCAATCACAGCCATTGCTACATGTATTTGTTCCACTCTAAAAGGTGTCCTTTTTAAAATCTGCCTTCAAATTCTACTCTAAGGCATCTGTGCTAGATACCCTCAATGTCCAGGGATGTCCAATCTTTTAGCTTCCCTGAGCCATATTGGAAGAAGAAGAATTGTCTTGGGCCACACATAAAATACACTAACAACAGCTGATGAGCTAAAAACAAAACAAAACAGCAAAATCGCAAAAAAACAAAACAAAACAAAACAAAAACCCAAAAACCAAAAACCAAAACAAAAAAGAAACCTCATGTTTTAAGAAAGTTTACAAATTTGAGTTGGGCTGCATTCAAAGCCGTCCTGGGCCACATGCAGCCCATGGGCTGTGGGTTGGACAGGTTACTGTAGTCCAAAGTTTCTCAACCTTGACATTATTGACTTTGGGGGCTGCATCATTCTTTAGCTCTGGAAGCTATCCTGTGTACTGCAAGATGTTTAGCAGCATCCCTGGCCTCTACTCAAGAGATGCCAGCGGCACCTCCCTCCCCACTCCAGCTACAACCCCCAGTTATGACAACCAAAAATGTTCCCTGGGGGGCAAAACTGCCCCCAGTTAAGGATCAAGGCTCTCATCTAATAATCACCATCCTCACCTCTCTATTATCTTTCCTACCTTATTGATTAGGGAGCACTGGGATTACAAAGCTGTTGCAGCCCTTTTTGTCCCTTTGGTCAATGGAGTGTGGAAAATTTGTATTTCCCTAAGTCTTCCATTAGACTACAGGCCCATTAGAAGTAGGGCTTCTTCCCCTTGTGGAAAATTACAAACTAGAAGCAAAGATAATTAGAAGAATCCTACACAAAGCATACTGATTAAAATGGAGCAATGTCCATCTAGAAGAAGGCATCTATCCACCGTTTTGTGCATAAATGCACTTCAACATTTTAACCAATACTTTGGAGAAGACAAAAGAGAGATCTTTTATCTTCTCCAAGAACTGCAGAAGCCAAATGGCTGGGTACATGGCAGAATCAGGATTCAAAAATCCCACAATGGAACAGTGATGGGCTGAGGCCAGCAAGGGGAGATTTGACAGGGTTCATTGGAAGGTCTCTGTTGCATAGAGTGCTGGTTGGTCCCCAATACCCAGTCTACTCTTCCTTCTTTAGTAACAAAAAGAGCAATTATTTCCACATGACTAATTTCTAGCCCACGAAATGCAAGCAAGAGTATTGAATGGAACTTCTAGAAAGGCTGCATAAAGAACTGACAAGGCTGGGAAGCACATCCTTTGGATCCTTCAGCCTTTTCTCCATCTTGTACCCTTTGATGGCTTCAGAAGCGTGTGCAGTCTCCTGGGAACACATCATGACTTTGAGAATGACAGAAAAGAGCAGGAAGAGACTATGCCCTGATGACACTGTGGAGCCACAAGAGCAATCCTGGATAGCCCAAACCTGGATTTCTTTCACATGATAAGGAATGAATGTTTCTTAGAGAATTAAATGTCTGTTCTTTTGAAGCTACTGTTAGTTTTGGTCTCCATTACTTTTAGCTCAGTGCAATTCCTACCTGTAATGGGTTGAATTGTGTTCCTAAAAAGATATGTTCAAGTCCTAACCCCGAGTTCCTATGAATGTGGCCTTATTAGAAAATAGGGGCGGGGCTGGGCACAGTGGCTCATGCTTGTAATCTCAGCATTTTGGGAGGTCAAGGCAGGCAGATCGCTTGAGCCCAGGATTTCAAGACCTGCCTGGGCAACATGGCAAAGCCCAGTTTCTACAAAAAATATAAAAATTAGCCAGGTATGGTGGCACATGCCTGTAATCCCAGATACTTGGGAGGATCACTTAAGCCCAGGAGGTCGAGGCTTCAGTGAGCTGTGACTGTGCCACTACACTCTAGACTAGGTGATACAGTCAGACTCTGTCTCACAAAAAAAAAAAAAAGAAAAGAAAAGAAAAGAAAGAAAATAGAGTATTGGTACAGGAAATCACATTAAGACGAAGTTACAGTGAATTAGGCTGGGCCTTAGTCCAATATGAGACTGGTGTCCTTATAAGAAAAAGAGAAAGAGACACACAGGGAAGAAGACTGCCATGTGACAACAGAAGCGGAGATTGAAGTGATGTATCTACAAGCCAAGGATTAGCAGATGCTAGAAAAGGCAAGGAAGGATTCCCCGTAAATTTCAGAGGGAAAATGGCCCCGCCAACACTTGGATTTCAGACATCTAGCCTCCAGAGCTGTAATACATTTCTATTACTTTAAGTCACCTAGTTTGTAGTACTTTGTTAATATACTACCTACTGAAGTCTTACACTTAGGTCTAAATAAGCCATTTGGGTCCAAAAAATCCATGATAAGACATGGCTTAGCAGATGCATGTACAAAAAAAATTGCTAGGCATTTTAATTTAGAGAATGCTCAAAACGAAAAACACTGCAAGTATGGATGCCAAGAAAGTTAACACAACTCTGAACAGACTTAACAGAAATTTACTACCTAGAAAAGGTAGCAGTGACAGGTTTCTTCTGCTCCATACTAGTGCTAGTGAGAGCACCTAAAATACTGCACGCAGTTTTGGGCTCCTCAATTTATCAAGACACAAAGTCTTTACTAAGATCATTATTCTGAAAGCAGAGCTCTAGAGAAACGAAGACTCAGGAATATTGGGTCTAGAAGGGAACACTCAGGAAGACAGCTACTTTTATATGTCTAAGAGGCTCTCATAACATGGGCATTGAATAGGTGCTGAATAAGTGCTTACTGAAGGCAGAGACAGAAAAAGGGATCAGTCTAGCTTTGTGTGGTACCATTCAGCTGAGGTAGGACCAATGAGTGAGCTACAGAAAAAAAAAATTCAGGCCAAATGTAAGACCTGTCTACTTAATTAAAAATAAACTTTAAAAGTGTACTGACAAAGCAATCCAAATGTCCATCAATGGATGAATAAACACATTGTGGCATATCTATTCAATGGAATATTATTTGGCCATAAAAAAGAATGAAGTACTAATACATGCTACAACACAGATGAACTTCAAAAATGTTATGCGAGGTGAAAGATGTCAGACACAAAAGGTTACATATCGTATAATTTCATTTACAGAAAATATTCAAAGTAGGTACAATCCATAGTGACAACAGGGGCTAGAAGGAGGGGGAAATGGGGAGGGACTGCTTAATAGATATGGAATTTTCTTTGGGGTGATGAAAATGTTTTGGAACTAGATACTGGTGGTAGCCACACAGCATTGTGAATGTACTAAATGCCACTGCATGGTTCACTTTAAAACACTTAATTTTATGTTATGTCAATTATACCCCAATTAAAAAAAAGTAAATTGAAAAAGGTTGCTAGCACCCATGTGGCAGTAAGAGAAGCTGTAAATAGAATTTAGTAATCTCTTTGCATCAAATATGCATGTCAAAATAACAAAGGAGAGCTCCAAAAGACCCTTCATGGTAAACCACCATTCCCTACTGGAGAATAACCAATGACTAGGTTTAAGACTTTAGGTCATAGTTCTAAGGTTCTCTTCCTACACGGACTCATGCTTACTGCCTTAAGAGACCACAATTATTTTCATGTTTTCTTCTGAAAAAAGAAACTTCCCCAGGTAGCTTGGCAACATTCTCACTGTCCCTAACCTACTCATCAAATCAACAATTTGTTCAGCCATAGCCATTTTGAGATGGTAACATATAATGATTATAAGTTCATTATTTCTCCTCTCCCTTTAAGGACAGAAGTCCTACAATGGTACACATTATGTGTTCTGTTATAATAGACTTTAGCAATTTTACAAGTGAGGAAAATGTGAGAAACACTAGGGGGTTTCTCAAAGTAGGACTAGAAGTCATTTCACTGCTTTCCTTATAAGTGACCTTCAAGAAATTTAGTTGATTAAATAATTGAATAAAGGGCTCCACTATACTGCTCCTGCCCCAGGGACTATACAGTTTCGACAGATTATTTCTACCATGATCGTGAGAGTCACATACAGACATTTTCTCAGCTCTACATCAAGAATGAATACGTTAATGAGAAAAAGTTTAATTTGGTTTGAAATCCCAGTTCGATAATGAGAGATTAATAATAATAACAACAACAAAACCAGAAAGCTTTATTTTTGGTGAATTACTAATACAGAATCCTCTGTGGAGGGATTCCATACACATCCATACACATTTCACCATATTAAAAAGTCAAAACCACATTCTTAAAACAAAGAGATACTAAAATATTTATTGCCTAACTTGGGTAAGTCTCATCTCTATCACCAGTATGATAGAGTTCGATTTTTAAAAATAACATCAACTTTTATTTTAGATTCAGAGGGTACGTGTACATGTTTGTTACATGGGTATATTGTGTGACGCTGAGGTTTGGCACATGAATGATCCTGTCAAAGAGGGTTCTATTTACTTAGTAACTTAAACATGCATCAAAATTTTCACTCTCGTATTTAAATGCACCTCTTATATAGCAAAAAATACTCAGGGAATATATGTCTTAAGCAGCAACTTGTATACTGGGAATTTCCATGAGCCTAAAAAACTTAACTGTGAGATATATATATATATATGAATGAAATATCTGAGAAGAGAGAAGATACACGTGTAAAACCCTGAGAAAAAAACTGTCCCGGCTTTCTTCTTCTAACTCTGGCAATGCGAGCCAGCAGAAGAGCCAGCTTTCCTACTCCAAGTCAATTCTGGAAAGTACTCAAGTCAACTGCAACCCAGGACTAAGTGAGAATAGGTTTATTATGTGCAGATAAGACTGGCACAGTAAGAGGCCAGTGCTTTACCATCAAACTTGAACAACATATTTAAAGCTCCCACTAGTCTAGCACTAGGAATGTCTAGTGTTCTGTCCAAATGGGCATTTATAAATGCCTATTTTTGCCCACAGATATCAACTTTATAGAATTTTATATAATCTGTGTAATGTTAAAATAGTTTTATAAATAAAGAAATGTTCTGTTCATTAACATGTTTCTAGCACCTAGCAAAGTGCCTAGGATGTAGTTGCAGTTGTTTAATAAATAATTATTAAATGAAAGTAAGGTATGATTGAGACAGAGCAACTGAGAACTTGAGAACCAGATGAGTATAATCCTGCAGAATAGATACTTTGGAAAACCCTCTGATGATTACAATAATTCTGTCCATTGCACAACTGTTTTTTGAACTTCTCTAGAACTATCTTTGGAAAAATGCATTTTTCCCTCCTACTAGAAAAGCCCAGGAACCTCACAAATAGAATTAAGAAATTCCTCGCCCATTATTAGCAACTCAAAATCGAGTACATAAGAGTGTTCTGAGTCCCACTGTCAAGGTCCCTGTCAGGAATGGCTAAGGAAAGTATCACCAACCAGCCTGCTCTGAAACTGAGTAACTCCATAGGGTCATGTCCTGAGCAGCACCGGAACCAGAGGAGCTAATCTATGAAAGCTTCTCCTTGGGAAGAGTAGCTGATAACCTTGAGAAACACATGTCTAAAACGCTGCAGTTTTGAGAAGGACAAGGATATGAAGAAAAAAACAAGTCACTTTGAAATCTAAAAAGATTAATAAATGTTAAAAGATAACCTGATATACTAAACCACTATCAACATCATCCTCGAAATGTATCGGTCTAATAGCTTAACGATCTAAGATTATAGACTAACCTTTTACCTTCTCTTACCAAGAATGCAATCATAAAACTGGTTGATTTTCTAAGAAGTAATTTGATTTTCATTGAACTTAACTTGATGAGTTAGATATTTAAAAAGTCTCAAAGGCAGCATCAGTTCATGAAGCAAGGTGATTCCCCTAAAGCCTACAACCGGATTGATGAGTCACACTAAATACATACACTTTTGTTCTCTCTCTGCACCTGCTGATGCAAGTCTTGAGACAAGAATGACGTAAAAATAATTCAATGACAGCTAATTCTAACATTCCACATTTTAAAAAAAGTTGCTAATCATCAAAGGTATACCAAAAAAAGGGCAAGGAACTTTTTATGCTGATCAAATTAGTTTTAAAAAATAAATGATAGTGTCCAAATGTTAGAAAGGCTATGGTAAAACTGGTATGTTCATAAAGTACTGGTATACAGTATAAGTTGGGAAAGCCCATTAGGAAAGCAATTTGGCAATATAAATCATGACCATATTGTATTTATGCAATGTATGTATGTATTGTTGATAAGAATTTATCCTAAATGTCAAATAAAGAAAAAATCATTTAAGCAGAAAAATATTCATCACAAAATTTCAAGTAGAGATATTGAAAATAGCCTAAAATGCCCAATGAAAGGTATAGTTAAATTTGTGTTTAAAATTTTTGGTACTGGAGGCCAGGTGTTGTGGCTCATGCCTGTAATCCCAGCACTTTGGGAGGCCGAGACAGGTGGATCACAAGGTCAGGAGTTCAAGACCAGTCTGGCCAACATGGTGAAACCCTATCTCTACTAAAAATACAAAAACTAGCCAGGCATGGTGGCACGCGCCTGTAGTCCCAGCTACTCGGGAGGCGAAGGCAGGAGAATTGCTTGAACCTGGGAGGCAGAGGTTGCAGTGAGCCAAGATCGCACCATTGCATTCCAGCCTGGGCAACAGAGTAAGACTCTGTCTCAAAAAAAAAAAAAAAAATCGTACTGAAAATGAAGTACAACACAGAAAAAATGCTTGACAAAAGATAAATGTGATACAAGTATATATCTTCATTGTGATGGCAACCATGTAAAAAAATACATATGGATATGCAAAAGAACAACTGAATACACAACGATGGTAGCTATTTGCAGTTCCTGACTAGTTGCCAAATTTTGTGAAATGATATATTATCCTAAAATTAAGTCATTATTATTTTAAAATAAAATATTTTCAGCTGGGCACATGCCTGTAGTCCCAGCTACTCAGGAGGCTGAAGCAGGAGGATTACTTGAGCCTACAAATTCAAGGCTGTAGTGAGCCATGATTGCGCCTGTGAATAGCCATTGCATTCCAGCCTGGACAACATAGCAGGACTCCATTTCTAAAACTGTGTGTACATATTTTTCTAAAACTAGTCTGTGTATCAACCCTTTTCAGCAGGAAAATTTGAAGTCAAAACTTGATTATAGGCCTGCCTCTGCATTTAAGAAGTAAGTAAATAAACAACAGGTTCCCAAGTCTCACCTTCTTCTCACTAAAAACCTTACAAATCTTCAGGCTAGACGAATTTGGAAAGTGAGGCACATTATGGACCTGTCCTAGTGAGACAGATTGCACATTATCATATTATAGGTTCTGAAAAGATCTGCAATAAACTTGTTTAATTTTAGCTAGCCCAGCATCTGCTAGATATACTTGATCACAAAACCCTCTTTGCTCAAAGAACCTGCAAACTTCTCACTACAGTTTGGAAAATGCTGTTTGGGTCGAAGATGCTCAAAGGGGTCAACAGAGGGAAGGCATCTTAATTACCAGAGAAGTGTTTCCAGATGCCATGCTTTCTAGTTGGGAGTCATTAATGATAGTATGTCTTACACCTCAGGTGTGTATATTAAGGTAGAAAAATGGCTTGAGTGGCCGGGTGCGGTGGCTCACGTCTGTAATCCCAGCACTTTGGGAGGCTGAAGCAGGCAGATCACCTGAGGCCAGGACTCCGAGATGAGCCTGGCCAACATGGTAAAACCCTGTCTCTACTAAAAATACAAAAATTAGCCAGGTGTGGTGGCATACGCCTGTAGTCCCAGCTACTCGGGAGGCTGAGGCAGGAAAATCGCTTGAACATGGGAAGCGGAGATTGCAGTGAGCCGAGATCCCGCCACTGCACTCCAGCCTGGGCGACAGAGCTAGACTCCATCTCAAAAAGACAAAACAGGCTGGGTGCAGTGACTCATGCCTGTAATCCCAGCACTTTGGGAGACCGAGGTGGGCGGATCACAAGGTCAAGAGATCAAGACCATCCTGGCCAACATGGTGAAACTCCATCTCTACTAAAAATAGAAAAATTAGCTGGGCGCAGTGGCACGCGCCTGTAGTCCCAAGCTACTCGGTAGGCTGAGGTTGCAGTGAGCTGAGATCGTGCCACTGCACTCCAGCCTGGCAACAGAGCAAGACTCCGTCAAAAAAAAAAAAAAAAAAAAAAAAAAACAAGCAAACAAAAAACAAAGAAAAATGGCTTCAGAACTACTCATCTATGCAGCTACTTATAAACAATTAATCCAGCAGAGGGGACCAAAAACCCCACAAAATAAACCATTCAGGGTACAGAATTGGGAGGATTTCTGGCTCTTACAAATGGGATTCTGATCAAGCCCAAAGACGATAGCAGTTTCTAGAATGGAATGGCCATGTCTTCTTTTGTAATTATGTAGTGGCAACCAAAGAAATCTATAACTCATATGAGAATTAGTCAGTTTCCCTTTTAAATATAAATATAGTATTGCTCATGACATGTGAAAAAAAGAAAGCATGTATCTTTCTGAAATCTGTATTTTTTAAAAATAAGATTAGTATATGCATATGGTAGTAGGGCATCTTCATAGGGCAAATACTCAGTATCTACTTCTCAAAGCAAGCAGCCCTCTACCCTCTTCTACATGGTTCTTTAGCATTATGAGACTGTTACCTCTGGTTGAAGTGTAGCTTTCATGCAGGCTGGGCAAAGAGGCCCAGTTCGGGAGAATTGAAGGGGAAGGTGACGAGTTCGATTGCGACAGGTTGGCTCTTCACATATCAACCAGCCCTGGAGAGAAGGGAAAACTTCAGACTTATCACCATCGACAAATACAAGTAATAAACCTTTTTTTGGTTATCAAGATAGACTCATTTTATTTAATCTTTTCTCAGAAATTCTGACATAACTCTAGTTATCTCTCTCTCCTGACATGTTAATTAGATAGATCTATGCCCCAAACTTAGAAGTTAGGAAAACCATTAAGTTAAAAAAAAAAAAAAGAAAATCACATGAGATGTTATTTTTTTTTCTTAAAAGAAACACCCTTCCTCACTCCAATACATCAAAACTTCCCAACAAAAACTTCTACTACAGGCAGAATGTAAACCAATGTGTTTTAGTTCATTAGTAAAGACCATTACCAAAGAATGCACCACATACATGTATAACCTTCCCAATAGCTGAGTGACTATTGGCTAGTTACTTAATTGCTGTGCTGTTTCCTTCTCTGTAAAATGGATACCACAGTACTTACCGTATACCGTTGTTGCAATGATGGAACACATTTAGAGTGTCTAGGATTATATTTGGCATAAAAGAAACACTTAATAAATATAATCAATTATTTCATGCAAACAAAAATAGATTCTCTTATATGTGCTTTCTAGAGACATAAAACTAGCTTCAATGTTTTCAAGGACAACTTCAACTGATCACTATTTTCCAGAGGTTTGAAATACTACAGCTATCGCTCACTTCTCTGTCTTTTAGAACCCTCTTCTCACCTTCCTTCTTCAGTTACTCTCCCTTGCTGATCTTGTTTGAATTTTCTCATAGTGATGTGATAAGAATATACCTAAGACCTTAAATCAGTCTTATGTTATAAAACGTTATCTGTTAAACAAAGGAGGTAAGACATCACAAATGGGGTCAAAGTTCACCTGTTCATACTAAGGCACCAAGGTCTGTGGGCTTTCGTGCTACATGCATTGCCACAGAGGCGTAAGTATAAGGCAAATGTTAGAGTGAGGTGCTGGGGTATAAAGGTGAACACGGTATGCTGCTGCTCCCTTGTCTTATGGTGTTCTCACCTGTGGAGCCCCCAGTAGGGACCTGACTATCTGTAGATCTTGGAGCATTTTGAGACATGGCAACTTCTGAACCGGTCTTGAAAAATGAGTGGAAGTTTGGTAAGTAGAGAAGGCAGAAAAGACAACTTACACAGAAAGAACAATGTATGTCAAAGAATGCAGGCCAGAAAGAGCTATGCTGAGTTATCATTAATAAAGGAATCAATAACACGCATAACCACATATCCTATTTCTAGACTGAACAACTTGTTGGTCTTTTCCCCTTAGATAAGAGCAGTATATACATGAGTGTTGGTTCATTATGTCAGGTACTTTAGTCTGCCACTTAGTAATGTTTCCATGTGGTGTTAATCCAAAGCTGAGGGATGCCCTCACTTGCTGCTGTGCCGTTTGACCTCATTCCTCGGAATAGGCTTTTCTGGAAGTAGCTATAACAAAACTCAGGGGAAAGCACCAAGAATCAGTTCTTCTAGCTCCATTTAAGACTATCACAAAAAGGGAAAGTGTATTATAGATCTGTATGAATAAAAAAATTATGCTACCTTTAAAGAATGTAAAATTCATCTAGTCAATACACCCACAGTAAGCATTATTCCTACCTTCATTCAAGGCTAAACTATTTTAAAATTTAATATGAGCTTTTCAAGTACAGGGAGGGTCTCAATGAGCCCTTAATGAAACTTGTAATATATGCCCAGAATTACATTAAATATTGTGAAGAATAGGCAAAAGGGCCCCAGGTACAGTTTTAGGAAATTACAATCTAAACAGGAAAGCAAGGTCCACACACATAAAGACTATAAAAGCAATTCAGTATGGCTTGGCTTTAAGAACCAAGTTGCGTGGTACCAACTATAAATGCTAACAATACAGAGAAGGGACAGATTAGTGTCTGAGATGAACTACTACTACCACAGCAAAAGATCATGAACCAATCAGTGTTTTGGAGTCACAGGCAGCTGTTTAATTTTGAGGGTGTATTACAACATCTTCTTGATTTAGAGAGACATTTATATTCACGTTTTACTATTTCTGAAACTCAGATGCATTTATAATGGACATGTACAGCTTAATAATGTACTTTAGTTTCCTTCAAAAAAGCTGTTAAGTCAAGAGTGCAGCTCACAATCAGCTCCTTAGAATTAAAGAAACAAGATACTGGCCGGGCGCAGTGGTTCACGCCTGTAATCCCAGCACTTTGGGAGGCCGAGGCGGGCAGATCACGAGGTCAGGAGATGGAGACCATCCTGGCTAACACGGTGAAACCCCGTCTCTACTAAAAATACAAAAAAATAGCCGAGTGTGGTGGCACATGCCTGTAGTTCCAGCTACTCGGGAGGCTGACTGCTTGAACCCGGGAGACGGAGGTTGCAGTGAGCCAAGATTGCACCACTGCACTCCTGCCTGGGTGACACAACAAGACTCCATCTCAAAAAAAAAGAGAGAAGGAGGGAGGGAGAGAGAGAGAAACAAGATACTTCGGTTTAGTCTGTTCTAGGCATGGGAGATACAGTGGGGAATAGTGGAGCTGACAGCAAGAACAGGTATTACATTTTAAATGTAGCCTATAAACACTAAAGGTAAGACTAGTTGTTTTCTTGAAGTACCCATTTAGGTATATTAATAAAGGAAACAAACCATACAGGACTGGACCACTCCTTTATCATTCATTGGGTTTGTTACTTTAAATTTGGTATCTGAGGCTTTACATGCTTTGGAATATGTAGTTAGTTAACACTGCCAACCATAGTTGTAATTCATCCAATTCTAAACAAAACTAAAAAAAATAAGCAGACAGGTAATAACTATCAGGTTTTGAGATAAGAAATTATTCAGTTCCAAAATATAACCTGGATATTAAAATTATTTAATTTTTAAAATATAATGTTCAAAAACTATAGAGTTCTTTTCAGATGTTTTTGAAACTTGATTCTGTCAATTTACTACGACTTCACAACTCCCTGGGGGAGCTGCCAACCACGGACATGCTAAGTTATCATCTCACCTGTTTTTAAAGCAAGCACCTAACTCTGACAGAGGTACTAACTAAATGTCCTTTCAAATCATATGGAAAACAGATAATATAATTTGTCTAGACTTCCTACCAGTTATAATTAACATTAAGGAGGTCTTTTTTCCTTTGTCACCTCTCTATTCAGTGCTTATTTGGGTTTGTTTGTACTTACTATCTGTTAATCTCCCTTTACAAATGACAACAATAACTAGTGCTATTATGCATGGAAATTAAACATGCTGATAACTGTGTGAAGGGAACTGGGGCTGAAAAAAATATTAGAAGCCTGTAACTCTTTATGCTTCTTGTTTTATTTTGATAATTAAGCTTTTGGTCATGGTGTATTTTAAACAAAACTCTTCTATGTAGGAAATAGGCCCTAATCATATTAAATATATGCTTTGCTTCAATTCAATTTTGTAAAGTACATTTTATTTAACCCCTTGTTCCCCCAACAAATGCCAACCGGCTAGCTAAATCTAACCTTCAAGGAACATTTGTGCTGTTAAAAAATAAATATAGGCTGGGCATGGTGACTTATGCCTGTAATCCCAGCACTTTGGGAGGCCGAGGCAGGTGGATTGCCTGAGCTCAGGAGTTCAAGACCAGCGTCGGCAACATGGCAAAACCCTGTCTCTACCAAAAATACAAAAATTAGCTGGGAGTGGTGGCACGCACCTACGGTCACAGTTACTCGGGAGGCTGAGATGGGAAGATGGCTGGAGCCCAGGAAGTCAAGGCTGCAGTGAGCTGTAATTATGTCACAGCACTCCAGCCAGGGTGACAGAGTGAGATCCTGTCTCAAAAAAATTTTTTTTAATAAAAATAAATAAATATAACAGGTATTTGAAAATATTCCATGATGATGCAAATCTTATAAGATCTCATACTGAATTTTGTTTCTTAAAAATGACAAAAACAAAGCAAATGAAAATAATAATATTGCATAAGTTCACTCTGATTGATCACTCACAAAGACAAAACTTAACTTACTTTCATTCCTCATTTTCAGAAATAACATATAGCCTGTACAGCCCAAGGCTACATTGACAAGTAAACAGAAGAGAACATTTTTAATAAAAGTGTAGTTCCTTGGAACTACTCAACCTATAAAAAGATTTGGATTTTAATAAAAACCTCTAGAATCACTTTAAGGATGTCTGCTATCCAAATACGTAATTTTATTACGTAATGCCGCACACAAATTATCATAACCAATAGCAATAAGGTCAATAAATTTTTAGTTGCCTGGCTTAGCCACATTTATAAATAGAAAGTTCAAAAGAGGTGAAGTCAGCCTGTCCAATAGCAAAACAAACCTTTACCAAAATATGCCAAGCTCTATGACTTGTTGCTTTAATCTCAGCATCACTAATTCCTTAAAATCATTGTGTATGAAATTGTGTCAAATGTTGATTGGTTCTGATTACTAAATTATATTTTTGAGGCCTCAACTAAAATGGCTTCTTCTGCACATGTTAAAAAGGGATCAATTTCCACTTGTAACTGAGGCGTTCCTAGTAGTTGCACCTTAAACACAAACTGTTATTCATTTGTGTACATTTGTATTTGTAGAAGGCTATACACACAGAAATCATCTAGATCTGAAACTGTAGAGCATAGGAGGTCCTCAAAAATATCTTTTGAAGAAACTATCAACAGAGTAAACAGACAACTCACAGAATGGGAGAAAATATTTGCAAACTATGCATCTGACAAAGGTCTAATGTCCAGAATCTATAAGGAACTTAAACAACTTAACATGTGAAAACCAAATAACCCCATTAAAAAGTGAGCAAAGGACATGAACAGATACTTCTCAAAAGACATATAAGCAGCCAACAAGCATACGAAAAAATGCTTATCACTAATCATCAGAGAGATGCAAATCAAAACCACAATAGGATACCATCTCACACTAGTCAGAATGGCTATTATTAAAAAGACAAAAAATAACAGATGCTGGCAAGGCTGCAGAGAAATGGGAACGCTTATACACTGTTGGTGGGAATGTAAATCAGTTCAGCCACTGTGGTAAGCAGTTTGGAGACTTCTCAAAGAACTTAAAAAAGAGCTACCATTCAACCCAGGAACTGCATTACTGAGTATATACCCAAAGGAAGATAAACTGTTCTACAAAAAAGACACATGCACTCATATGTTCATTGCAGCACTATTCATGATAGACATGGAATCAACCTAGGTGCCCATCAACAATGGACTGGATAAAGAAAATGTGATACACACACACACACACACACACACACACACACACACACACACACCATGGAATATATAGTATGCAGCCATAAAAAAGAATGAGATCATGTTCTTTGCAGCAACACGGATGCAGCTGGAGGCCATCATGCTAAGCAGATTAATGCAGGAACAGAAAACCAAATACCACATGTTCTCACTTATAAGTGGGAGCTAAACATTGGGTACACATGAACATAAAGGTGGGAACAGATTCTGGGACTACTAAAGCAGGGAGGGAAGCAAGGGCTGAAAAACTACCTCTTGGGTACTATGCTCACTACCTGGGTGACAGGATTATTTGTACCCCAAACCTCAGTGTCATGCAATATACCCATGTAACAAACCTGCACGTGTGCCCCCTAAATCTAAAATAAAAGTTGGAGTTATATTTTTAAAAGTCTTCTGAATAAATGAACAGAAGCAATCAAATAAAAATGTAGAGGAGCAAGTTTATAAAAAACAATAAGGAAAATAACAATGCATAGTAGTTTGCATACTTGAGTCAAATACATAGTGGGCCCTTCCCCTCTCATTTCCAATCAGTCACCAAGTTTGTCCACTGGTCTTTCCTTTATAGTCCCATTACCACCAACCTCATCAAAGCCAGACCTCAGACTGTTCTATTTCAGTAGCCTCCTCCCTGGTTTCCCTGACTCCGTTCTCTCTTATATCCAATGCAAAGGGCTCTCCACTCCCATCTCCCAATCACACACCTTCCACAAACAATTAAGAACAAATTCATTGGCCTGGCTTTCAAATCCTTACAACCTCATCCCACTCCCCTGCCCTTTCTCATCATTCTCTTACACAAACTTACTGCCCAATCAGATTGGTTTTCTCACTGTACTCACCATATTTTGCCTGTTTTCACCTCCTTATCATTATACAGGCTGGAGAACCTCTGCCTAAAAGGTCGATTCCTTGATCATCAGTTCCATTCGTCTTTTGTGAAATTTTCCCGATCCACAGGGATTTCTTCCTTATTCCACCTAACGCTGAACACACACTGCGGTGCACTGTCTCTTAACCATCTTATTTTACCATCTTGTTTTGCCTACCTACATGGATGGTCGGTCCCCTGGGGAACAATTTGTTTTGGAGCTGGTACTGTCCTCCCCAGTCTCTACCACAAAGGTTCACAATCAACGAAGAATACAGAATTGAGGTTATGAAAAACTGCATGAGTAGGGTTTCTTTCCTCCCATTTACTAACAGATAATTTTGTGCAACTCACTGAACCTCTTTCTGAGCCTCAGTTTCCTCATCTATAAAACAGGAGGTAATATTTACTCTATTAGTGTTGTTCAGGGGATCAAATAAGAAAACTCACAAAAATGTTGAGTAAATGTAAAATATTGTTATTATCCTGTCTCTGGTATTGGGGAACATTATTGCTAAGCTATAGCTGACAGTGCACTATTAAAAATGCACCATTTTAACCAGGAAAGAGCCTGGTCAGTGTCCATCTGGTGTTATTACAAAACGCAGAACTAAAATAATGGATAAACAGTAAGATTAGGTGGTGCTGCTTCTCAATTTGAATGCAAAATATTACAACTGTGTAGTCAACATAAGTGAAATTTTCGTATTTTTTTCCTGATCAAACTAAAATATAGTGAAGATATAGACGGCAAAACAGGCAGCAGGGGAAGAGGAGGCTGTCTTTGCTTTATTTCCGGATTCACGGATTTTCAAGAGACAGCATGGTTCTGCAGTGACGTACGATTTAGTTTAAATTGTAATGGCTCACCAGGAATGCAGTGACAGGGTCACAGGACGGGGTCTGGCAGCATGCATGCTTTGAGTTCATCAGATTATTACTAGTTTTCAATAATGGCCATTAACCACCCCTATACCAAAACTAGATGTACTCTGAGAACATCAGACTCTCTTTTCACCCTAAACCATTTATAAATGTTCCGGGGTTCCCTTGCAGGCACATTTTTCTGCCACAGAATTATCCCCAGTGGCAAAAAATGGGTCTCCTTATAGATAGTGCACAGTATGGGCCCACAGCTGCTTTTGAAGAATGACATGTTGTGATTTGGAATTTCCAGAAATATCAAAAAACAAATTGCTTTCTGACCCACATTTGTACCCAAAACTGGGAGAAAATTTCCCTAAGATCTCCAGGGGAAGTTTTAACAGGAATATAATTTTGCTTTTAAAGTTAAATCTTCTACACTGCAGCATGCTGGCATGTCAAAGAGTGATTATTAAGTCCCAGAAAGGTACTAGGGTAGGAGATGAAAGAGTAAATCAGGAAAAATAAATACATAAACTAACTATTCACCGAAGTTAATACAAGAATATTTTGAACAAAATTATCAAAACAGAAGTAGAAAGTGCCTCATCGGTCAATGTAAGAATCTTAAATATTATTAAAATTGATTTTTTAAGTAAGACATCTCTTTAAATGAACAGTCATATGTCATTTCATCCAAGTTATTTGAAACTTATTGATCTTATCATTTGTACAAGGACCAGACTCTGCCATCAGTTTGCTGAAAGGATAATGGAGCACTCCCAAACTGTTATGATAGGTTGGATGCAAACAGTGGTCCTCATTTAAACACACAGAATAGCACTACAAGTGGACAAATTCCAGCCTCAGCGATTGTATATTACATGATAAATTAGCGACTTGGTCTGCTTTGCCTCACATCAAATCCAATACAGAGCCTTGCTATTTTAATTTGCAATCAGAGCTTGAGCATCAGAAGATGTACCTGAGGTACATTAAAGAGCCCCCATGCAAGCCATCTTCTCTCGTTATACTGTGAGCACAGAAGGCCAACAATTACCAGCAATTGTATTTTACCCCTAGAGGACAATACCAGAACAGTTAAAACTGTCTCCATGCAAGCAACCAGGGAAAATATACTTAAAAGACTTTATATGGAAAATTACATTTTGGGGAAAAAAGTTCAATAGAGGACATGTATCTTTCTGTATGGGCAACTAAAAAACCTCTCTTAGTATATTCAAGTCTATTCTGTAAAATACTCTCCCTATTCATCCAACTCAAAAGCAAGCTACATTCCTAGGCTATAATAGGTCACAACTAAGTACACAGTACCTTGCTTCAGGAATAATTTTGCTTTGTCTGTCAACTGTCAACAAAACACAAAGAGCTCATGCAACCCAGTCATGTACTGTGGATGTTAGAGATCTAACAAAATACAAATAACAAGAATACAAGATTTTCTAGCCACCCTGCTTTCATTTTATATGAGAAACCGAAAGCATTTTCCTTTCCACATTCCATTAATCTCTATTATATTACAAATCTTTTCAGAAAATACTTTTTTCCCCCTATATGAAGCTACAAGTGACTTGGGGATGTAACATTCCAACTGTAATGAATGTCTGACTTTCTAACATGAATGATAATAAATGGATGTGTCAGGTAAGGCACATAGTCATTTCAACAAGGGAAAGGAGGAAAGAATCAAATAGAATGAGATGGTAAAATGGTTACTCTGGTGCTTATATTAATGTTTTAGTGATGAAACCTCTAAGAAAAATTGTTCATTACTTCCAACGCCATTCCTGCCTGTCAAGTCTTCACTTCTGAAAAAAACCACCACCTTAGCTATGTACACACAATAATGAATAAACTTCAAAAGTGAACTCAAGGTTTGGTTTCATCACTATATGCACAAAAAAAAGACTGGAAGGAAATACTCTACAATGCTATCACTAGTAATCTCTGTGGTTTCTTCTTCTATTTCTGTATTTTCAAAATTTTCTACAACAAGTGTATATTGTTCTTATAATCAGAATTATTAACGAGGAGACAGTTTTGCCAAGAGCTTGCAATATAATTAAATCACTAACACAGCTGAAAAATATTCTGAGCTATACCATGTGTATGCTTGCTGCCAAGATAAATTTTCAGGGAATGTGCTTATGGGGAAAGAAAGGGCACATGAAAAAAAATAGTCTGTTCTTAAAAAAAATTTTTTTTTTTTTTTTTACTAAATCTAAAATTTCAAAAATAGGTCCATTTAATCACATAAGCAATTCTCAATGAGAAAGTGACAGGGTATGTATTAGTAGTATTAGTATCATTTGTTAAATTAAGCCATTCACTAAAATGCACCCAGTCTTTTATGGAATATGATTTGAATACCTTTCTTTATGATGGTGGATCTCTGAAGGTAGGTAATAAATCAGTTTTAAAGAAAGGTGCCTTGTTCCCCACGCCCTCTCCCCTGCCTTTATTCAGTGTGCACACAGATCAACTCAGATGTCCTGGGGTAAGAATCAAATAAAACAAAATTCAATTGGAATGGCATGCATGCTTAAAACCTTCTTACCAGAAGAGTTTTTCTTTGCTCAAGTCTAGCTAAAAGTAATTTTTATTGTTTGTTTGCTCAGAGACTAGTATTTATTGGTATGGTTTCAAGTGATATGCCTTTGGGTAGTGAACGACAAATGTTAAAACTGAACTATAGCTACTACTGCCTCAAAGGACATCTTAAAATCAGAATGGAGTTCAAACTATCACCAGGCAATGTTTGTTCATTTAACTTTAATTATTTTCTCCTTGAGAATGGTACTAATGAAACTGAATATCTTTCATGGTTTCGAAGGGCCGTTTGAATAGTCTGTAAACAGAACTAAGGGTAGACAAGAGATCTGGCTGAGTCAGGAGGTTGCTAGGTGATGTAGAATGTAAACCCACAAACTTGTTAAGGTTTGCTTTGCTTTCATGCCACTTTCACACACTCTCAAAAGTTTTGAGAATTGATTTTTCAGGTGGTCACTAAAAAAAAAACAAAAAAAAAAACAAAAAAAAACTCCCTCCCTCCAAAATTCACTCCCTGCAGATGTTCTGCCAGATTCAGAAGAGAAGAAATCCATCTAACCTTTGGCTGCAACATGGGAAACTTTTGGTTTTACATGAATGTAGGATTATATATTTTCTGAATGGCCATAATTTAAGAAACAATTGCAAGGTAGATTTTAACATTCAGAGAGACACTTCTAATCTCTTATCTAACTTAAAACTAAAATTTCTCTTCAGAAAAAAAGCATGATCACAGTTGGGAGATCTGGGGCACAAAAACCAAAACCCTGTGGCAAACGCCTTAGCACAAATCATCATGGTGACAAACCTTTCAGTTTAGCCACTTGTCTTTACTCTTCTGGCCTGCTCCAAGACTCACTGCCTGTGAGGCTTCTCCCTCAGGCCCCCTCCTCCAGCCTCCTTTTTAAGTAGCTGATCAGAGATTGTCCAGTAAGAGCACTTTATTAGATCATCAGCCAGAGGGGTTCACAAGTACTGAGAGCAATGGGCTCAAATGCGGCACATCAGTTTTAATAGACCAGGGGCTACTAGTAAACTGCAGATACTGCTGAGAACTTTCCATGCACTGAACTCTTGAAAAAGCACCGTCTCTCCAGCTTAAATGCAGCTGCCTCTTTCAATGCCGCAAATGGGTAAATTTGACAAAAAAGCCACCATTAAGACTACATGAAAGGCTCAAGACAACATCCTTTCAATGCTTTGTACTTCAGTAATCAGATGTACTTACTCACCCCCTCCCCCAAACCCGATCAAGAACTATTTCTGAATGGTAGGAAATAATTCCACTTTGTACATCTTTTAGTTAATCAAGACTTTCTATTCAGCAATTTGACCTTTTGTTCAAAACAGGATTATCAGTTTTTTCGCCAGTTACCAAGGGCGACTCGCATGGTGAACATAATTGCAATAATTTGCAAAACACCATGGCAACCCACATTACAACTAGGTAAATACTGGGCTTTTGTGCTACATTGTTATTTTCAGAGATGCTGAAGTCAAAGAACGAATGACAAATGAACACAAAATTTATATTTGCTTTGTCTCAAAAGAGAAGAAAATTGATAACAAGAATTGGGGGGAAACCGACTACAGCTGTAATTTCTAACTTGATTAATTAGGATGGTAACAGTCCTTAACAGTATATTCAACAAACAGCCCTGACTTCGTCTCTCCACCCACCTCTCTCCATACCACTACCACTATCCCCCCCCCCGACCCCAGACAAATTTTTTCAGCTTAGAGAACAAACATCCCCCATTTGCTCTTTTCTTCAACTTAATGGAATCCTTAATTGCAGAATATTGTTCTCATGCTCTTCATGGCAATGAAAATGAGAGAAAGGAGGAGAGTGCCAGGGCAGACAGGGAGCTACAGTCATTTTTTTTTCCTGCCTCTTTTGGACACCCCAGGCCCAATGATGAGACGGCATTTTCCTGGAATCAGCAGCTGTTTCATAGCAGACAATAAAGTAAAAACTATTTGGCTTTGCAGAAAAGCCACTTCTTTCCTCTTGGCAACACAAGGTAAGTCTACATGCCGAGATGAAGTTTCATAATTTAAATGCCAGAACATAAGATGAGAAAATAATGCTAACAATAAAAAAGCATACATTTGTCTTGTAAAGAAATTATTAACTGTAGTACTGTCCCGAAAGCTGTTGAAATGCATATGCTTGCTATTTGAGGAAGATGTTCAATATCACCAATGTGCTGAAAACCACTTTATACTCAGAGATCCCAATTCACAAAACAATCTAAAAATATAAACTGAGTATTCAGAAATTAATATAAAAATCAACATATTTTAGTAAACACCACCTCAAAAATAATCTTTTCAATAATAAATACGATTAGAAAAGTTTTATCAGAATTTTTTACTCAGGTATAAAAGGTAGGTTCTATTTTATAGTAAAGGAGCAGTTTTTTTCTAAGAGGCACAAATTCTGTCATAATACTTAGCTTTTGGAAATTATCAAAGCTGACTTTCTCATGCAAGATGGAATATTTCAGGATGAGAAAAGAAAAATACACACAGAAAGGGCTTGCAGAAGTTATACTGCCGAGATCTCGAGAGAGAAGCAGCTCCAGATGCATTCTAAACACAGCCCAGTTTGCTTCCCTTCATCTGTCTTATAACAAGCAAGAGCAAAAAGAGAAGTCTCTGAAACGATCTGCATATTTCCCTTAACTTTTGAAAAATCAAATGGACCTGATACTATAATGGGTCCATTCTTATTTTGTCAGGGCTGAAGACTCCCTGACAGATCTCTAAGATTCAGCATAGAGAAATCACAATTTAACATTCTTCCGAATATGCCTCCGAAATTATAGATACTGTGATTTCTCTCAAAGAGTAGAAATCAAAAGGATATATGACACATTAACTCCTTCTCAGTCAGTGATAACTTCTTTACACTTTGAAAATATATTTTATTTTCTGGCTTAGTTCACTCCAAATTTACCATACCTGTATTAAGTGCATTCCTATCAAAAGTCTGAATGTTAAGAAGAAATATAACCCTTAATGCCAAATTAAAGGGCTGAACAAGCCTTTGGTACTTTTTGATCAGATAGAATTGATGATAGATCTTGAAATGGGCCTAAAATCCCCATCACACTTGAACTCAAGAAACCCTTACATATAAATATTTTATAATCTACCTGGAATTTCTTCACTTATAACATTTTACCTTGTATATTCCTCCCCCCTTCTTTTGTGGCTTCTGTTCCAATGTGATTTTTTTCTTTTCTCCTGCTTTTCCTCCCTTTTCGCCTTTTTTCTTTGCCAACTGGCTGAGATGCTTGACATATATTTGTTTAGAAAGGCTCATCTACGAGTGATTGCAACATCCAACCTTCTATAATGTTAATAAATTACCCAAATCACTAAATCAGGAATGGCAAACACTTAGCAGGTATATTGCAGTTCCGTTTCCAACTCTGTCCTCAAGACCACTATAGGATGGAAGCTGGCACTCAATATAAAACCCATCTGTTAACCCTGTTCCAAATACTTCTTGCTCCAGAATTCTTAACTCTGGTGGCACACTGGAATCACCAGGGCAGCGTTACAACACAGCGCCACCCCCAGAGTGTCTGATTCAGTAGGTCCTGGGTGGGGCCTGAGAATTTGCATCTCTAACAAGTTCCCAGGTGATACTGCCGCTGCTGGTTTGGGACCTCAGTTGGAGAACATCAGCCTGGGATACGAAATGAGCTTTGGGATGTTAAGAAGTTCCCCCAAGTGATTCTAATGTGCAGCTAAGGTTGAGAACCTTATTATTCTCATTCTCTCTCTTGTTCAAAAAGAACTACCGGTGATTATTTTCTGAACAATGAACTTCATAAACAGAATTGTACTTAAAAAATTATCTCTCAACTCTTTTTCTCTTTCTACATTTACTCTTTCTTTAGATATTATTTTGGTGGTTCACTCTTGCTCTTCCAAGTTTTCCATGCAGCACTAGAATTATCAAAGCCTCAAATCTGACTTAATTGTATTACAAGAACTAAATGGTTTACATCATGTACATAGCTTAATAACATTCTTCCTTTAAACAAATAAACAACCTCAATCTGACAATAAAATATAGTTCTTAAAATATGTGCTTTACTTAGAATCACAGAATTTTAGGAGTGCTGGTGAAAACAGTGTCTATGGAAAGCAACCACAATTACACCCTTGACTTTGACAAGTAATAAGAAATGATATATTTAAACCCTAAATTTTAAAATTGGAAGAGACTTTAGAGCTCTTGTCTAATCTTTTGTGTTGTATGTGAGGAAAATGAGACCCAGAAGAAAGTACGTTTTTTGCACACTGTCACACAGCATGTAGACTGAACTTCTAGTCCAGTGCTTTTTACATACTACATCTATGCTACTTAATATATGAGCCAGTCGCTGTATGTGGCTGTTGAGCACTTGAAATATGGCTAGACCAAATTGAGATGGGCTGCAAGTGTAAAATATACAGCAAATTTCAAAGACTTAGTTCAAAAAAGGAGACTATAAAATAGTTTAGTGGTATTTTTAACACTCATTACAGAATAAAATGCCATTTTGGATATATTGGGTTAATTTAAAATTTTTTAAATTTTAAATATTATTAATACAGACAGGGTTTCACTATATTGCCCAGGCAATCCTCCTGCCTCAGCCTCACAGAGTGCTGGGATTACAGGTTTGAGCCACCACACCCAAACAGGTTAATTAAAATGTATTATCATATTATGAATATCTCTAATTTTTTAAAAAATACAAATGAAAGTTTATCATATACACTGTTCTAAATCCTGCTTTTTTCACTGAAAAGTGGAGGAAATTATGTCCTGTCAGTACATATAGATCTGCAGTGTTCTTGTTAACGGTTGCACAAAATTCTATTATATGATAGTAATAATCTAAGGAATTCTCTCCTGATCAACAACAGGTTGTCTTCAGTCTCTTACTATTACTATTATAACGCTGCAAGCAATATCCTTGTATAGTACCTTTGATAATATCTGTAAGGACTGTACATGTGTAAGGAGAGATACCCAAATTAGAATTGCAAAGTAGAACGGTATGTTCATTTACAATCTTGATGATGTTGCCAAATTGTTGTCCAAAAGGTGTACCATTTTTCATGCCCACCAACAGTGTATGAGAGTGCTCCATTCCCTATACCCTTTCCTAGGCTATATATTACCTAAAAGTCTTCCAAAATAAGTGGAGCACAGAGGATTTTTAGGGCAGTGAAAGCACTCTGTAGGATACTGTGATGGTGGAGGTATGTTAGAAACATTTGTCCAAACTTATAAAATGCACAGCACCAAGAATGAACCTCAACATAAACTATGGACTCTGGGTGATGATGTATCAATATAGGTTCATCAGTTGTAACAAACATACTATGGCAGGGGATGTTGATAATGAGAGAGACTATACGTGTGTGGGGCAGGGAGTATATGGGAAATCTCTGTACCTTACTCTGAAATTGTGCTGTGACCTAAAACTGCTCTAAAAAATAAACTCAATTATTTAAAAAGTCTTCTCAATTCCACAATTATTAACAACATTACTTTTATAGTTCCATTTTCTAAGTTTAAGTTTTTGATCCTTCTGAAAGTTGTTTCAGTGTAAGGAACAAGGAAGAAATCAACTGTATTTTTTTCCAGATGATTATTCCTACTGACGTGAACTACCCCCTTTTAAAAAACAAAATGCAACTTTGGGTCTATTTATGGGCTTTCTATAGTTGCTCCACTGAAATCACCAAATATTTTTGCACCAAAATATTTTAAATATCCTAATTGTAAAAACCGGTAGGACTGGTGGGTCATTTTCTCTGTTAGAATTTTCCTGCGATTTTCTTTTAAAAATTGAGGAAGCTTTAAATTTATGGATAAACTTAGGGGAACTGACAATCCTAAAATGTTGAGTGGTCCTAGCCAAGAATATATGCTTTGCCATTTACCCAAGTCTTCTTTTAAGCCATTCAGAGTTCAAATATATCTAGCACATTTCTTGTTAAGTTTATTCCTAGGTATTTCCTCTTTTTAACCTGTATTATAAATGAGATTTATAATCTCATTTATAAATGAGAGTTCATTATGTTTTCTAATCGGTTGTGTGTATACAGCTGAAAGCTACTGATTTTTAGCACTGATTTTATAACTAGTAACCTTATTAAAATTTTTTGTCTGTGATAGTTTCTTGGTTGATTTCATTGGATTTTCCATGTTAGAATGATCTGTAAATAATAATTTCCCCCTTCTTCCAATTTTTATATATTCCTTTTTTTGGTCTAATTACAACGGTTAATATTTTCAAAATGTGATATTTATCAACATTTCCACCGGGCTGCCTCTAGCAGATTTCCCAAGGATCTAAGTCCATGGACCTAAGAACTAAGCCACCCAGGAATCTCTGCAACTGAAGAAAAGTAACTTTATTAAAATCATTACAGATTCTGTAGAGACCTTTGTCTCACAGTGCCTAAAATCAACTTTGGGACTGAAACTTTAGCTAAAGGACATTGAATGGTTGACTAAATATTAAAATAGCTCCTTTTATATTTGGGAAATTAGTCCTCTTAAAAGATCCCTTCCCTAACATAAGTCTTATTTAAATTAAACTATAGTATTCAATCATTTCTCCTGGCTCTGCCTCTAAAAACCACAACTTGAAATGGGGCAGAGCTGAATTTTAAGGGCCTCAGTCCCTTCTTTCATAAAGATGGGTGTTGCATCAGGATAGATGACTGTAAGGTCTGTTCAAGTGTGAGAATTCTCTAATTCTACAACATAATTTAAAAAAAAAAAAATAAGGTTCCCCATAAGCCTTCATGATTTATCCATAACTGAGGTTAGCAAAATATACACATTCCTAGCACTGAAAGTATTTCCTCTTAACTAAATCTCATTACTCCACCATTAAGTTAGGATTTAGTGTTACTACTGTTTTCATTCAAGTGCTCCCGGCTGAGTAATATATGTCGGTGAATGTCTACAGCAGTGGCTCTCAAAATGTGGGCCTGAGATCAGCAACATCAGCATCATTTGGGAACTTGTTAGAGATGCACATTCTCTGGTCTTTACCCCAGACCAAGAATCAGACACTCTAAGGGTGGCACCCAGCAATCTGTGTTTGAGCAGGTCCTCACTGGTGTGACAGTGATAAATGGGCATGTATTTATACAAATAAGGTTTAATAAGTATAAATCATGAGACTAAATGGCATATTCTATCAAGTTGTGAAACATATAGAAGCCAGGTTGAGGCAGAGTGCTACAATGACAGATAAAAGGCTTAAAATATATATATGTATCAATCATTAGTTGTTAATCCTGACATCTGCCCATTATGCTGCCCCTCTCAAAGCCCAAAATACCTTATTCCCCTCTGAATACTTTGGTTGCTACGGATTTTAATACACATTCCCAGGGCCTACAATTTCTAAATTGCAAGAACCGTAAGGAAAAGATCTGCCATCTTAGGAGATGTTTTCATGTGTTATTGAAACAGGTTCAAAGAAAAGTTCTTTAGATTCATCTCCAGAGCTCTCTTGACCTAGCTCTGAATCTTCTAACAAGCCCCTGAATCTACTTTCATGTCTCACTCATCTGTGGCAAGCCTAACATGCCTCCCATCGACACTAAGATGATTTTAGGAATGCCTGTCCATTTGCTAGTCCATTGCCTTACTTCTGATTCCATTCTAGGGCTTAGGAGATGCTGTTAGGAAAAGATTCTCTTTGGCTCCTCGTTTGATGTTTTATATAATAAAACTAAAGAATTTGACATGGCTGCATAAGCACTGTCACTGAGTGTTCCTCCAGGAAAGAAGAAAATGGGCCTGGAGTAGGTCATTAATTTACTAAGAACAGAGAAGTCTCTACCTAATCAACTCTTCTTCCCTGGGAACACTCTCAGAAGGCCTTGCACATTAGAAGCCAGCAGAGAGATTTACATTTTTACATGCTGGACTTCAAACTATTGTCAAGGAAAGAAAGCCACTCGTAACAGGATGAATTTTTTGAATTCCTTGGGGATGAGTGAAGGACTAAGATATTGCGCTAACTGGTCACCAACTGTACACAAGGTTACTGAGCATACAAAAGCCGGGTGCTTCAAGTGGTCACATACCTGGGGCATTTTACATACCAGTATGAAATGATGAAGACTCTCTACTCTATTGCTACATTTACAATGTCACTAAAACATTGAAGATCATAACACTATGTGGGTACAGTTATCTGGAGTGGGGATATAGCTATTCACATGTCCAGCAAACTGATTCCCTAAGCAGAGAGGATTCATCCTTCTTCTGGCCCAGCTTACATCCTCGCTGCCCATACCAGGAACATCACTATCAAAATAATATGTAAAGTCACTGTTAAAGTGAAAAACCTTCAAAAGGGCTGTACTTTGTACATATTTGTATGAATCACTTTCTTCAAATAATTAAAATGAATGCTAAGGGCAAGCAACATGCTGGGTCTATATTAAAACAGTTTCAACAGCATCGCTTGGGGAATGGCTCTTTTTACCTGGGACACCTGGAGCGCATGAAGGTAGGCATGACTTTAAGTGCAGGAAGAGGTCCAAACGTGCTAATATATAAGAGGACAAAAAGTTTGTGGATGGAGGAAAGAAGGAAAGAGGTAGAAGAAAGGGAGACAGAAGGCCACCACCTCAGCCCCCAAGAGCTCTGAGATGCTATCATTCAACTTTGAGCCTCTATAGTCTAGGATAGTGTCTGATGCATTGCAGCAGATGAAGAAATATTCTTTTAATTTTACACTGAGGGAACTAAACTCTCTGATATCGAGATTAATTCAGATGGCTGAACACTCTAGCCTCCCTCAGGCTAGGCTGCCTGTGAGAGTCCAAAAACCCATCCGAACCTTCCTTCACTGTGCCCTCCTTGCAGGAGGTAGATAAAGAAGCCCTGTGGCAAAATGGAAGGGCAGGAGCCAACTCAAAGATCTCTTCTCACCTCACTGCTTCAGGAGCCATGTGCCTTGGGCAAGCCGTTCACCCTATCAGCCTTTGGGTGTGTTCCCATGGATACTGCAAGTGTACCTACCCTGCCTCTTTCATGGGATGACACTGTGAGCAACATGTAAGACCAGTGTCCCAAACTGCCATAAAAGACTTGTGTGATCAAGAGTAATTCCTGGCCAGGCAGAGTGGCTCATGCCTGTAATCCCAGCACTTTGGGAGGCCAAGGCGGGAGGATCGCTTGAGCTCAGAGTTTTGACACCAGCCTGGGCAACATGGTGAGACCCTGTCTCTATAAAAAATTTAAAAATTAGCTGGGCATGGTGGCACACGCCTGTAGTCCCAGCTACTTGAGAGGCGGAGTTGGGAGGTTCGCTTGACCAGGAGGTCAAGGCTGCAGTGAGCTGTGTTCACACCACTGCACTCCAGCCTGGGTGACAGAGTGAGACCTGCCTTAAAAAGACAAAAGAATAATTCCCACATACAAGCACTCATATCTTCTCTCCCAGCAATATACAGGGCAGTATTTGTGGGCTTTTCTTCTTTCAGGAATGTTTAAAACATTTTTATCCGAATGCTGTGGAGCCACTGCCTAGTGATGGATTACTTACAGGTTATGATGTGACCCATATTACTTGGAAAAATGGAAAACAGTGCATCTTCTCTATGTCCCTTCACAGCAAACAACTCAATGATGATCGCATTCATTAAATATGTGACCAAAATATATGGTTTGTTGGTTAATGAGAGGCAAATCTCAAGTAAAATTACATTTTTAGAAAGATTATGCTTGAAGTTAAAAAAAATTCTCATCACCTACTTTTTGGTGGGTAACCAGGCTTCCTACTGGAAACAAGAGTTTTCAGAGAATTCATAGATACTGTTACTCTCTTGCCTCTTCTCAAGGCTTCTCAAAGTACATGACTTTGGGAAGTAATGTTATGCTTCACATTTCTTATCCCAGGATGATTTTTAGTGCTATTGCACAGTGATACAAGAATACTCTGGCTACCCGAGCAGTTTATGAAATATTTTAGATGTATGTAAGTCCTGTCTGAAAGCTCCAAAACAATCCAGTGCACCATCTATGCTGGCCAAAGAATGAAAATATGGGAACACAATCTTCTACCAAACAACCAAAATGACTCTTCCCGTTTGCTCACGAAGAAAAGCTCAGCATTATTTAACCTTTCCCCTAACGTGGACAACATTAAAAAACATTTCACTTATGAATTTAGCAAACTAAAAGTAAGCATGAACTGGAAATGCCACAGAGAACTGCCATTATGTTCATAATTCAACTTTGCATTACTCAATGCAACCTAAGGGGCAGCTTTCGTACAGCACAAAATACGAACTACACATTTCTGAAAGGTCATGGGAACACTAGGAGAAAATAATAGAGTGAATTAGTGAAAAATGAATCCAGGGCAGATTTTTACACTAGAAGTCAGTGTTAATAAAGTTTCTTACTAACAAGGTATCATCATTCTCAGAAATGGAAAAGCTGTAATATTAAAATAACTTGCTAAGTGTTTCATGTAATTGTTTAGATTTTTCCCTACACGAGGCAGGTGAAAAGTTCTCCTTTCCTTTCCCTCTGTGTGTACAATTTATTGTTTGCCTTAGAAAAGTAATTTCCTAAAAACGCATTTTTCTTTATTAGGAACTCCAGTGACTCAACAGCTAAAAATGGGGAATCTAAGAGGGCTGAAAAAGATTTAGCTTGATATTAAATTATATTTTCATTACCATTAAAATATTTTTTCAAGTTCACTATAAATATTGATGTAAATTAATGCTTTAAAAAAGAGCATGTAAGTTATTTTTTGATAAAACAAATCCTCTGTAAAGGTTTCATGTATTTAAAAATACAAAAAGACGTTTCAAGTAGAAAACTAGCTTACATTCTTTCTGAAGAACAAACACATTAAATTAAATCCTCAAGGCTAAGGAGACTAAAAATGAAAAGACTAAGTCCTTATAATTGTATTAGGGAGCCAGAAAACATAGTACAAATGAGACTAGAACTTTCCGAGTAACTCTAGGTCAAAAAGATACACATTCCAAGATTATTTCCAAGCTAAAATCGTCACAAAATAAATAGAAACAAAGAATATAACACTATCATTCATAGAAAACAGAAGATGTCCTACACATATTGAAAAAACCCACTAAATTGAGAAGGATAAAAAAAAGTCAATTTATTGGCTGACCTACTAAACATTTCAAGAAAATATTGAATTTTCAAAGATGCATGATAGACTAGAACAAAAATTATAAATGTCAAAACAATAAATCACTTATGCAAATTAAAAAAAAATCAAGTTTTATTGTGATATTGATACTATATAAAACAAATATAAAAATATAAAAGTGATCAAAATATTTTCGTTAATTTTGCCTTCATAAACAATTAGCTTACGATCTATACTAATTTTTTTTACCTCAAATGAAGAAATTACTTTGTCATTAAAGTAGTACTTTTAGGCCTATCTAGTCTATTTTACTAGTTTATTTTAAAATAATTTAAGAAATAAGAAGAATAAAGATAAAAATCTTAATAAGCAGTTTGGTAAAGTTCAAGTTGGTCTTTGAACAACACATTTATCTATCCAGTAAAGCTTGTGTTAATGCGACATAAGAGTTTGGCAAATTCAACTTTAATGGAGCATAAAAGTGCTTTTGCTTGAAAGTGAGATCATTTTTAAAAATTCAAAGCATGATCACTTTTTCTTTTTTCGTAGGAACAATCTGATACAAGCAGCAAAGCTTAAATAAACTAGAAACATTTCAAATGATCCACAAAGGATTAATAAGCACTGCAGGAGGTCCTATAGGCTCAGCATATACATTTTCCATCTTTTCCCCCCATGATGGGCATGATATGAAATTCTAAACAGAAGTGAAGTTTCAAAGTCTCTGAATGTTAAAGGATTGTTGAACTGAGGTGAGAAGTCAACCTTAGGGATCTCTAATTTGAAATGGATCAAGATTATAATGATATTAGGACAAGAATCATTCAAATTTGGACATTCAATTAAAAAGGTCTTCTTGCTGATGGGAATAGCCAGCGGTCAGAAGCAAAACTAAGGCAAAAGGAGTAGTGGTAAGCTACGGGCCACTAATATAACAAAAACAAAATGACAGCTATTATTTTGGCAGAGATAATCTATGCTGAAACACAAAACACACACGCACACAATTTCTTTCAATACAATTTTCTTGTCTTCCCACTGACTCCTGTGATTACCACGGAAAGCAGGGTTCTAAACACATTTCTCAATTGAATCTTCAATCAATAATAGTAAAAATTCAGATGGAAAATATGGGAAAATGCATTATGGCATTAGTAACTGTTTACAAAATAGGCTGAACTTATCAATATGCGTGGAAGTTGATAAGAAGAAACCCCAGATACCTAAAACATCGTATTTTTGTCACCCCAAAGCTCAGTCACATTGCTTGTGCTCATCAAATCAAAGTTCTTTTCATTCTTAGGTTGGCAATCATCCTTCTTAATCCTTATAATCATTAATTCTTTGAGAATAAATACACCTCATAAAAACTCCTGTTTTAAATAAAAAATGTAAAAAGCCCCCAAAAAGTACATCAGCTGATTTTCTACTAAAGATAAAACACCAATTTCTCCTTATCTATAGACATAATTACAACTCAGCATTCTATCCTAAATTGAAGTCAGTAAGACCATAGCTTTTTAGTAAGTGCCCAGGTTTACTCCTGAATAAACACTCAGAGAGGAAATAAAAACTCCATTCCGTAGTTTTTATATGAAGTTTAGAATATGCATATTTAAAAATCTCTGTGTTTTAATAGTTCCTTGACAGAGGCATAAATTATTCATGCTACTATTATATAATGAAATTTACTCTCTTAAAATGAAATACAAATACTAAGTGAGAAAAGAGACATTTAGCAATATCAGTGAATGTTGGAATCAACAAGAGAAAAGCTTAAAAACAGACAAACAAGTAAAAAAAACTTGTCTCAAGTAAACAGCCTTAATGTTGGAGTACAACTGTCAACCTTTCATGTACTACTAGCCTTTGGTGAGAATACAAAGGGCCCTTACTAAGGCTTTGGCTATTTTATTGCTGATTCATATTACCACTAGCTGATAGGTAAAAGAAATGAAGTCAAAGCAATTCAGATTTCCACAGTCATAAATTTAATCATTTACTGAACACCTATTCTGTTTTTTGAACTTTCTAGTAAATTGGCAGATTAGGAAGCAAATTGCCACTCTTTTATGGAGGAGGCTTTCTGAAAAGAGCATATAGGCTTTAAATCAGAGAGGCCCAAACTTAAATCTCAGCTCTACAATGTATTATTACCATTCTAACATTGGTTGTGTTTACTACAAGATTCAGCTTCCTTACCTGTAAAAATGGAAAAAATACCACCCACCTCACAGGGTTGCTGCAAGAATTAAATGATACCATTTAAAAACGTACATACGTAAAAAATATTTAGCAAGTGTTTGGCAGCTAAAAAAATATTAGTCTTTCTTCTTTCCCCTGTTCTCCAGAAGTCTACAACCTTATAGGGAACAAAATGATTTGCCAAATAAAAGAACGACTATAAGAGACTATATTAAAGAAAATGGGGGGAGAAAAGTTATACTTTTAAAGTTCTTTAGGGATTCAGAGGAAAAAAAAAAAAACATTCCATAGCTGTGATGTCCACGAAAGGCTTCCTAGAAGTGAGATGGGTTTAGGTCTTAAAGGTGAAGGAGAATTGAAAAAGATAAAAATGGCAAGTGGGTGACGACAATCCCAGCAGTTGTGTGAAAACAAGGAGGTCTGTCTAGAGGAATGATAATTTGACAGTGTTGCTGGATGATAGAGTCTGTGGAAAGGGAAGGTTGGATTTATAATGTCTCAAATGCCAGAATAAAGAGTTTGGCTATAATGCTACATAAATTTAATTAAACCACTATAGCACTCACAAATATGTATAAAGTGTACGTTATATTCTAGAGTGGTATACAAAATAGGATAGGATGCTAACTACAGAGTTAAGGTAAAAAATTTGCTCAAATTCATTTGGCTTACATACACTATAATCTAACCCACAAAGAGCAATCACGATTAAAAATAAAGAGTTCCAGCCAGGTGCGGTGGCTCACGCCTGTAATCCTAGTACTTTGGGAGGCCGAGGCGGGCGGATCACCTGAGGTCAGGAGCTCAAGACCAGCCTGGCCAACATGGCAAAACCCCATCTCTACTAAAAACACAAAAATTAGCCAGGCGTGGTGGTAGGCGCCTGTAATCCCAGCTGCTCGCGAGACTGAGGCAGGAGAATCACTTGAACCCGGGAAGTAGAGGTTGCAGTGAGCCGAGATTGTGCCACTTCACTCCAGCTTGGGTGACAGAGCGAGACTCCATCTCAAATAAATAAATAAATAAATAAATAAATAAATAAATAAATAGTTCCAGAAAAACGAAAATGAAAGGGAGATATGAGTGCTACTTAAAAATACTTGGGAAAAAACCATAAAGGAAGGTGGGTATACTCATGTAACACTGAACATAGGTATGTAGTAAGAAGTGAGGCCTAGAACAGAGAGAAGAATGTTTAGATTAACTATGAGGAAAAACTTCTCAATATGGAGCTTGTGAAGATGAGGAGAGAGCCCAGCAAGAGACTGCGGGAGCACCATTAATGCAAAATATTCAAAAGATTTTCAAAGCACAGTGGCACAAAGATAGATTTCTCAAGATGCAGTGTTTTCGCCTGGGTGACCCGTAGACGACATGTTAGTTCTACAATTTATGACTTTTGGATTAAAGCTGGGAGAGGGGGGTGTCCTTCCAGACATGGAGAGCCCTTAATGATAGCACAGCTACACAACTGCACAGTGATCAAGAGTTACTGAACTAAGAAAAACCTTGGCAAGTATTCCCTCAATTATTTCGGCCCTTGGGCATTTCGATGGGAAACTACTCATTGATATTATTCTTTTTCCAACATTCATTTTATAGAATATCAAGACAGAGTCAAATGTTGACTTACTATGGTAAATAGAGGGGAAAAAAGCCTGCTTTGATTTCCTTTCCTTTATTACCACCTTGGTTTTGTGTTGTAGAATGTCGATTAGGTTTGAAAAGAGGGTGGAAGATGGGGGGGGGCATACTCTTCCCTTCAATGAAGACAAAAGATAGCAGCTATTTCATTCTGTTCTGTGAGTATGCTACCCCCCTTAATTCTTTCACCATCATATTAAACTATGATTTTCAACAGGGTCCTCAAAAATGTATTACATTTTACCTTTATTCTAAAAAAATTAGTAAGCAATTATAGAGAAAGGATAAAAGTAGGACAAAAATGTTTTTGTTTTTTTAGACCAGCTAAAATTTTCAGAGTTTAAAATGACTAGAAAGGCAAACTGTTAGGTATTCAGAAGGAAAATGTGAATGTTTTCCCAAAGGCATTATTAACAATTAATAATCATTACACTGGTGCCTTGTTTACCTGACCTTGTGTAAATTCAGCAGCCTGGTAATTAGACCCATATTTTGCACATTTGTATATTTCCATGCATAGATTTGACTCATTCATTCATCCATTAAAATTTGCTTGACAGACGTAGATGAATAATCAAGCTACAATTTGTATTTACTGGATTATAGAAAATTGCCCAAACTGTTAAGTTCAAGGAAAGCACATTCTTGTCTCTCTCTTGTGACTGATGTAAAGCAATTACACATCAGAGGATTGCCCCAAAGCTCTCAAAAGAAGTGGCACTGCTTTTGCAATCTGGGGTCTTCAACAGTATCTTTTTTCTTAATGCTAGAGATTGTTTAAAGATTAACTAACACAGGGAAGAAAATCTCCCTGTGCCTGTAAGTTTATTATTTAAGTCATTACACTGCCGTTTTACAGTAAAAAGCAATGTTCTGATCAACCTTCCACATCCAAAATAAACAATGATGCAACCTTATTCTGCAAAGTCATTGAAAGGCTTAAGGAGGAGAAATAAGGCAACTTTTTTTGGATAGGTTTGTGAAAAATGCTTTTTCCCCACGTTTCTAGAAAACAAATTATCAACAAGACCTGACCAGACCTCTTCCTAATATTAATCAGTGAGAAAGGCACTGTAAGATTTCAAATTAATGTATTTTCATGCAAAGAAGCAGAACACATTTTAGTACTAACTGCTCCCTAAATGCAGATGTTTAGTACTAGTCAAACATGCTGTCAGGTGAAACTGTATTTTATACTATGGTATTTATTTTGCTTTTGCAGTCACTAACCAAACCATCACTAATATACATTTTCTGGTCCAAGGTGCAGTATTTCTTTTACACAGCTGAAGATACAACAATTTTGCTGTCTTAAATCAATCTCTTCAAACTGCTTATTTTGATTGTCTACTTTAGAAGAAAAGGAACGATTCCTGACTTAAAAAAAAGTGTGCATATAGCCAGCATTATCAAATTTTTTAAACCTTAGATCATAAAACAAATTTTTAAAGAAATATACATAAAGATGCAAGTATATATTTATATACTTTTTACTACAGACATTTAGCACCACAACTGAAAAAGAATTGCTTAGAACCCGTTTTCATAAACGTTAACATTTATGCAGTTCAAAATTTGGCTTGAAGTAAATTCTCTGGTTAGGTAACGGTTAGACATCATGCATGTCTTACTTATAAATTCAACAAATAAAAAGGTTCCCTAAATTTCTGAAATATACAACTGATTCTCTTAGTATTACCAAAACCTAATTTGTTTCTTCCAAATAGCCCATCTTTTCTTCTCATAAGACAAACATCGTGATGGATATCTAACTTCTGTGATGATGGCCTCCAATCACAAAAAAGATTACCAGAGAACCAGGTAAAGCATTAGTTTAGAAAATGAGTTGTTCCTATAATCTACATGCTTATAAATACAGAAATGGAATTCAGATCCTTCTAGAGAGTGTGACTTCACATAAAACTGAGTGTTGGCTGGGTGTGGTGGCTCACACCTGTAATCCCAGCACTTTGGGAAGCTGAGGCAGGCAGATCACTAGAGCCCAGGAGTTCAAGATCAGCTTGGGAAACATGGCGAAAGCCCATCTCTACAAAAATACAAAAATTAGCTGGGTATGGTGGCACCTGCCTGTAGCCCCAGCTACTTGGGGGGCTCAGGCGGGAGAATCGCTTGAGCTGGGGAGGCAGAAGTTACAGTGAGCTGAGATCACACCATTGCACTCCAGTCTGGGCAAAGGGAGTGGAAACCCTGTCTCAAAAAAAGACAAAACAAAACAAAAATAAAAAAATACAACAACTGAGTATCTGCTGAGTCTATGGCATTGTAATAGATGTTTCAGGGGTTTTACATCAAGAAGACATGGTCCTGGCAGTTTAACATGATAAAACAACTTTGATTTTAAAGCCAAACACAAAAGCTAGGTGTCTGACTCTTGCCCTCAACAGAACACTGAGAGAGTGGTGGTGGGGACAGGGTGTTAGGATTCTGAAAGGGGAGGGACTGCTGTCCAAGGAGTCAGAGGCTGCTCAGAGAAAGCTTTATCCAGTGTGTGACTTAGGTGATTTCTTTTTGGTTTGTTATCTGTTTGGTTGGTTGTCTTTTACAAGGTTCCAAGTGTTGCAAATTATATTTCACTCTATCTGTTAAAGACAAAAGGAAAGTAACACAAAAGTACAGCTCTTCTATCAATGGCTAGTGATGGTCTGACAAAAAGAAAAGCCATCTAAACTCATGTTCACTCCTTTGCTCTAGCTTATTCCTACAGAGTTGCTTCTACTAGCAACCCCAGAACAGAAATGAAATACTGCATTACTATTATCTGAAAATACTTAATTCTGTACCACATACTCAAGTTATCTTCCAAAAATGGGAAATAGCCATTCTGAAGGTAGACAAAGGGGACAGGTTCCCTGAAATCAAGGCCATACAATTCTATAATGAGCCTTCTCTGCTGAACTATCTTCTTCTGTCAGACAATTAGGTGCTCCATAACTACCAGTCAAGTATGGAACAGGAAGGAAGTCCACTGGGCATATGACCAATAAATATAACAGCTCTCCAAAAGGAGGCAAAAGCCAACTAGGCTCTGTCATTCTTGTGCAAGAGTGCACTTGTGCATGCTAGGGCTAGGAAAAGAGCATGTAAAACCAGACAAATACACATGTATATACACATGGTGCTAAGGGCTTCTCAAAACTGTACTCTGGGTATTTAATTATGGTGTTAATAGGAAAAAGATATGACTGACTAGTTTTAAGAGAACCTAAACCAACAAGAATTTGAAAATCAGCCTTGGTGCTAAGAAGCCAGTTTCCTGGTCATGGTCGTGAGGGCAGGAAAGGTGCTATTAAGTAAAAGAAAAGATCAATACCACACCTGTGGTTCAAGAACAAGCTAGAAACACAGAAAATAATTTTAAGGTGAAAACCTGCAAAATATGTGTATGTGTATGATGCAAGACTAAGTTTAATTTCTTAGAGATTCCTAAGGTGATTGAAGTTTAGACAGCAAGAGATTAAAGATGACATTTTAGAAAATGCCATCCACTGGCTGTGAAGTCATTAACAATAAAAAGTAAGAATTGGGTATTCCATCAAACATAAATACTACACCCACAGCTTTTCTGAAGGTTCCAAAAATCACTCCCTTGCTCAAATAAGCAAATCCTGTGTCAGCCATGTCCCTGGCACTATGCTTTGCTCAGGTGACATGAAGCTAAACGCAACACAACACAGCACAGCTTGTGTTCACAAGGAGCTCAAGGCCTGTGAGGGAAAAAGAGCCAATCAACTTGGCAGTAGGTGCTGCCACAGAGGTGTGTACAAAAGGTTATGAGAGCATGCAGAAAACAGTAAGACATTTTGCCTGGACAGCTGAGTGAAGAAGGCTTTCCAGAGACTGTACCACTGAAGGCAGAAGAATTTCACAAAGTGGGATGTCACAAGTGGTGGGCTATGGTACTACGCAGAGGAAATGGCAGGAGTGAAAGTGTGGAGATAGTCAAGCATAAGGGATCCCTGAGGAATGCCAAGCTCTCCAGTGCGGCAGGCAGATGGTCTGCAAGGGATACTGAGGGTAGAGAAGGTGGAAAGGCTGGCTTGGGGCCTAATGCAGTGCTCCCAAATCTGAATTTTAATCGGTAAGAAATGAACAACCACAGGAGGTTTTTAACCTGGAAGATGACATTAATCCTGTTTTGGAAAAATAATCCTGGAAATGATATAGAGAATGGACTGATACAAAGACAAGGGAGATCGATTAGCAAGCTAAGAACGAGATGACCAGGAATTGAATTAAAGCAGTGAGAATGGAAGAAAAGGCAATGTAAGTGGAATATAATACAACACCACGATATCCAATGTGGAAACTTGTGGGCTTTGGTCATCCTGGGCTGGGAAATACTGGAGGGTATTGCTCTGAATACCTCACAGGAATACTGTGAGGGACAAACTAGGTACAGTATAAAAAATGCTTTGAAAACTGCAAGGTACTGTGCAAAATACAATGTATATTAACAATAATGGAATCCTCTTTTAAAATCACTTTTTGAAGGCACTTTAAATACTTTTGGTGTGTGAGAGCAGGGAAAATGGTGTTTAGGGAGGAGGGTTCAGACAGCCTACTTCAGTACTGACATGCTTGTGTAGACAGGTAGCTAAGTAAAACAAGTTTGAAAAATTTTCAAAGTTCCCACAGGAACTGTGAAGAAGGCCAAAACATTTCAAAAGATGGGCAGTCCTGTATTTTCACTCAAGTTCCTATATGCTGAAGAAGTTGCAGAATCCCATTTCTGTTATCTGATTCCTACAAGGAATATTGAGAAATGCAGCCTAGGGATTGCTCCATTTTGACTTTCAGGCCCTGCTCATGGAGTGCTAGGCTGTGCAAAAAACTAGGCACTTCCTATAGATGGAAAGCTGAAGCTAGTCCAAAAGAGACTATGGTGAGTCACAGTCAAGGTCGAGAGGGTAGTGACAGAACTGAAGGTCTCAAAACTACTTTAAAAGCTTGGAAAGACCATAATTCCTCAGCATACTGGATCAGATGATGTCATGAAATCATTAGGCAGGTCCCCTAGAAGAGATACAGGAAAGATGACATTTCTATGCACACTACTCCTCACCTAGGTTTATACAATCATATTCACAACAGAGAAGAGGCGAGGTTGAGCAATGCTAATGATCCACTATTTGTCAAGAGTCAGCAATAAATCTGAAGACTTAAGAAGCATGGTAAATTCCCACTAAAAATGTATAAATACGAAGAAGATACAATGGTTATTTTTGCTTTCCAAAAATTATTTTGGGTCACATGAGAACTCATTTTTGTGTTTTAGAAATTTAACTCCCTTCTTATTTATAAGTACACAATCAACTTGATACAGGCGTGAAAGTATATATACCTTTTACTTTCATATTCTCATATATAGCACATGGTAATTACATGTTAACTATTCAGTGGTACATTAGAATTCATTAACATGTATTTTTAAAGGGTTTTCAAACCCTTAAAAATCCTTTTAGAAATCTCTCTAGGCGTATATACACATACAGATATTTATGTAAATCTAAGAATTTTACAAAAGTAAAATTACAATACAAAAGCTGGTATTTTAAAAACTTGGCAGTATTATGTGGCTGAATATTTGAACTAATCAATAAAGGTTTACAAAATAAAATTTAAAGGCTACATATTAACAATGCATTTATGTAGAATATTTTTAACATTTCATGGATCCTCAGTACTCTTTTGAGAACCAAAAGGTACTCCTTAGGTATATAAATCTAACAAAACATGTACAGGACCCATAAGCTGAAAACTATAAAATGTTAATGGAAGAAAACAAAGAAGATCCAAATAAATGAGACATAAAGTGTTCATATATTGGAAGACTTGACATAATAAAGATGTCAATTGTTCCCCAATTGATACGGATTTAACACAATTCCAATAAAAATTTTGTTAATAAGGACAAGCTGACTCTAAAATTTATATGGAAAGGCAAACAAACTAGAATTAAGACATTTTTGAAAAAAATAAAATGGAAGAATTGCACTATACAAGACTTACTATAAAGCTACAGTAATCAAGGTGTGTGGTATTGGCAAAAGAATAAACAGAGAGATCAATGGAAGAGATCAAAGAGTCCAGAAATAGACCCACACAAATATGCTCAAATGGTTTTTAACACGGGTGCAAAAGCAATTCAGTGGAAGAAGGACAGACTTTTCAGCAAATGGTGTTGGAACAACTGGACACACACAGACCAAAGAAAAAAATTGAACTCTGCCCTAACTTTATAAAAATTAATTCAAAATGGATCATAGACATAGATAATATTTGAGTTCTTAGTCATGAGATCAAAAGCACAATCAATAAAAGAAAAATATTGATATACTGGACTTGATAAAAATTAGAACTTTTTCTCTGTGAAAGACACTATCAAGAGAATGAAAAGACAAGCTACAGACTGGGACAACATATTTGCAAATCACATATCCAACAAAGGATCTGTATCTAGGATATATAAAGAACTTTCAAAACTTAGCAATAAAAAAAAAAAATCCAATTTTTTTTAAATGGGGGAAAACTTGGGACACTTCACCAAAGTGGATATAAGGATGACAAATAAGCAGATGAAAAGATGTTCAACATCATTAGTCATTAGGGAAATGTAAATTAGTATCATGATGAGCTACCATTCCATACATATTAAAATGTCTAAAATAAAAAATACCAACAATATCAAGTGCCAGTGAGCACGCCCAGTAAATGGAACTCTCATACGCTGCTGACGGGAATGAAAAAAATACTGCCATTCTGAAAAATAGTTTGGCAATGTCTTAAATGGTGAAACATACACTTAGCATATGAGCCAGCAACCCTACCCCTGGATATTTATCCTAGAGAAATGAAAACTTACGCACTGACAAAATACCTGTACGTGAATGTTTATAGCACCTGAACTCATAATTTCCCCAGACTGGAAACAATCCAAACATCCTTCAGTGAGTAAATGGATCAAACAAACTGACAGATCCATATGATAGAATACATTCAGCAATAAAAGGAATGAACCAAGGGAAAGAAGATAGTCTCAAAGGCTGTATGAGTCTATTTATATGACATTCTCGAAAAGACAAATTTCTACTGATGAGAACATATCATAGTTGACAGAGTTAGGAGTGGGAAGGAGGGTGTGCTTATAAAGGAATAGCAGGAGGGAGTTTTATAGGACTATTTTGGGAGTTTTTAGGGTTTTTGTAGGAACTGTTTTCTATCTTGATTGTGGTGGTGAATGTATGAATCTATATACATGCTCAAATTTGTAAAAGAACAAACTCAGCTATAGACTTGAGTAGGTTAAAATGGATGCATATTTGAATATAGGAAAGTTATCTTTTTACATGGCTTAATATCTAGGTTTAATTTCTAGAAAGCGATAGTAGTAAATATACAGCTGATCCTTGAAGAACACAAGTTTGAACTGTGTGGGTCAACTTATACATGGATTGTTTTAGACCAAACCACATGAAACCCACACATATGGTGAGCTGGCTTTTCCTATCCGAGGATTCTGCGGGGTCAAGTGTGGGACTTCAGTATGCACGGGTTTTGGTATACATGGAACACTGCCCCCCACCCCTAGTATACGTAGGGATGACTACTTGACTGTTGGAACCACTGATCATGGCGTTGAAGTTCTCTGTCTTCATGACCCACTGGAAGGACGAAATGAATTGAAGATATGATTTAGTTTTCTTTCCCAAATCCTCAGAGCTGAAATTTTCTTGTGACGAAGCTCCAATGGAAATGTTAGAATTTTCCTCCAATGTCCTTTGGGGGAATTGTCCTTCAAATTTCATTTTATATTCACAGATCATGTACCTACCCACTCCTTGCCAAGCAAAGAAACACACACCTTACAAAGTTTCATTCTGTGCATCTTTGGGATTGGCAGCATATTCAGTATGGTGGGTCGCAGATGGAAGATCATGCCAGAAAGTATGACCCTGTTCTGTATCTTGACTGTGGTAGTAGATATATGATTCTATGCATTTGTCAACACTCACAGAACTGTAAACCAGAGTGAATTGTACTGAATATAAATTTAAAAATAAATTTGCAAAATGCAAACAACACCCCTCCCCCCAAAAGTAACACATGCTTATTGTACAACACTTAGACTAACAGAAATATAAAGACACAAATTAAAACACCCATATCCCTACCACTCAAGATGATCACTATTAACATTCTTGTATTTATCTTTCCAATTATTTATTTACACTTGTCTATATGTACATAGTATCTTTATCACATAACTGAATCATTCCTTATATACTAATCTGTTTCCTCCTTTTCTCCCCCGTTAACATTTATCTCACATTTTCCTGTGTCTTTATTCTCACAAAATGTTGCTACAATTGCTCAGATCATATACTTTTCCATTGATATAGCATAATGTATTTAATAAACATTTATTCTTAGATATATCCAATTTTTTTTACTACCAAAAAGAATAATTCATCAATGTATATTCTTGCACATAAATTTTGGGCTTTTTTTTTTTTTGAGATGGAGTCCCACTCTGTCGCCCAGGATGGACTGCAGTGGCACAATCTCAGCTCATTGCAACCTCTGCCTCCTGGGTCCAAGCGATTTTCCTGCCTCAGCCTCCCAAGTAGCTAGGATTACAGGCATGTGCGAAGACGCCAGGCTAATTTTTATATTTTTAGTAGAGACAGGTTTCGCCATGTTGGCCACACTGGTCTTCAACCCCTGACGTGAGGTGATCCGCCTGCTCAGCCTCCCAAAGTGCTAGGCTTACAGGCGTGAGCCACCACACCCGGCCTGGGGTACATTTCTTTAGGATAAATTGCTACAGTCAAAGGTGAAGGTTCTGGAGTCCATAAAGTCAAAACATTTTTTATAATATTACGATGATATTATTGGTGTTTTTTCACTGTGTTGACATTTGCATTAATGGTGCAAAGTCAATGATGGGTAAAACTCCTGGCACATTAGCATCAATCAAAGTAGTGGCCCCCCGTGGCCGGGCGCGGTGGCTCACACCTATAATCCCAGCACTTTGGGAGGTTGAGGCGAGGGGGGTGAATCACCTGGGTCAGGAGTTCAAGACCAGCCTGGCCAACATGGTGAAACCCTGTCTCTACTAAAAATACAAAAATTAGCCGAGCGTGGTGGTGGGCACCTATAATCCCAGGTACTCAGGAGGCTGAGGCAGGAGAATCACTTGAACCCAGGAGGCAGAGGTTGCAGTGAGCCAAGATCGCGCCACTGCACTCCAGCCTGGGGGACAGAGTGAGACTCCGTCTCAAAACAACAACAACAACATAGTGGCCCCAAACTGTACTATTCATCATTGTATTTCTCATCATCACATGCTCAGGATCTAACAAATAGAAAATTAAGCCAGTTTCACTAAAGAAAGTCCTCAATGAAAGTAAAATTTTATTAAATTGCAACCTTTAAATATATATCCTTTTATTATCATGTGTTGAAGTACAGTATTTGTTTCCAGGAAAAGCACCTGTGTAACTGTCTGAGCTGCAAGCTGAACTAACCACTCTGTTCAAATAATACCATCTTTACTTGAAAGAATAACGGATAGATAACTATGGTTATCCAGACCTGGGTATCTGGCAGACATCTTCTCAAAAATTAACCAACTGATCCTGTAACCTCAAGAAAAACCAACTGACAGTATTTGTAACCAACGACAAATTTCTAGCTTTCAATTAGTTTTCACTGGAACATTTGTATCCACCACGATGAGCTCAACAGCTTCCCAATATTTAGACTTTTCTGATGAGACTGGTGATGATATGAACAAATGCGATTTCAAAAAACTATATAATGAATTGGAAATTCTTCATGTCAGTGAACCAGTATTTTCTAAGTGACCAAGGCATGATGTTACAAAATCATGCATGGGTAAATGATCTGCTCAAAGTGCAAGACAGAGCAATGGATTTTAATATACCAGAGCACAAAAAGTTTACCGATATGATTTCAGATTCCACATTGTAAATAACCTTTAAGAAACCATATCATTACCAGATTTGGTGTAGTGACAAAAAAAGAATATCCACATAAACTAAAACTCTTCATTTTCCTCAGTACTTTAAGAGTATACAGAGGTCCCACAAACCAAAAGGTTTGAGAACCACTGTGCTATACCACTTGCATACATTCGTCAGTAAGAGAATCTATTTTGCTGGAAAATTTTAAAGAGGTCTCTCTTGAATCTGGGCTTTCCTTTGATCTTTCTTTGCTGATCAATTTCTGGAAGAAGTGGCTCTTGAGGGAAAGCTGTAGTTGAGAGAAATCATCCTCAAAAGATTAGCCATAACTTTATCCACATGATTTATAAATCGTTAGTATACATATAGATGTAAATCCTGGGTAGTTTTCTTTTTTTCTTGCCACTTGATGCCAAGATTCTTGAACATTCTTTGATGGTGGATGGAGACGGAAGCCCTGCTAGGCTGGGCTCCTGAGAGCTGGGCTGGCAAATCATCTAGGTTCCCAGAAACATCAAGAGCTCCTCAAACAGCCAAGAAACCATGAGCACTTGAATGGTCTGAATGAGGCCAAGGATCTTCCGGGAAACAAGCTGGGTGATGGACCTCACAAAACTACCCACCCTGAGAGTTACACTATAGCACAGTAAAAACGAAAACAAAAACTTGGAAGAAGTGTCAAGAGTCAGATGAGTTTTGAACCAAGACAAAAAGTTATACACTGGTTTTCAAAAGCAAGCTGAGGTCAGCCAGGCATGGTGGCTCACGCCTGTAATCCCAGCACTTTGGGAGTTCAAGGCAGGTGGATCACCTGAGGTCGGGAGTTCGAGATCAGCCTGACCAACATGGAGAAACCCTATCTCTACTAAAAATACAAAATTAGCTGAGGGTGGTGGCACGCGCCTGTAATCCTAGCTACTTGGGAGGCTGAGACAGGAGAATCGCTTGAACCCGGGAGGCAGAAGTTACAGTGAGCCGAGATCATGCCATTGCACTCCAGCCTGGGCAACAAGAGCGAAACTCTGTCTCAAAGAAAAAAAAAAAAGCAAGCTAAGGTCAACACGTGATTTATGCCAAGCTCAAAACAAACCAACACCCACCATTTGAAAAACACCAGTGCTCTAATTCTCATCAATAGTAGTATTTCTTGGAATCCAGGCTTAGAGAATTTTTCCATGGTACCTTGGAAAGGCAGCTGAATTAACCCACTCCTAAACAGAAATATGGTTATTCCATTAAGACAAGACTAAGGTAGACAGGATCATCTGGAAATTCCTATCTGTAACTATCTACAAAGGGCTGATTTCCATATGTGAACCAAAATGTACATTCTCTGGGCAAACCAAATATGAAAAACAGCCATCGCCTGGGGCGCTCTCCTCCCATCTCTTGTTGACGCATGCAGCAGAGAACTGATAGTCCCGTTTTGTTCCTTGAAGTCAAGAAGGTCAACTGTGTGAAAATCTCACTTTTGAAAGGTTAAATGAAATCTGTTCTGGTTCAATTTCTTACTCTACTACAAGACAGTAGCTCTAGATGACTGGAGTTAGACCTGAAGTTGAGTTTTTCCTAAATACACCAGGTTAGAGAAATCAAACTGAAGAAAGGAATTCTACTGTTTTGGCACAAGTAGTTTTCTGTTTTTACCCACTTGTTTTCAGATATCTGACAACTCCTATGGCATTTCCTCAGCATTTCAGAAAGCTTTCAATTTTCCCGTCAGAGGAGGCAAACCATAACAGAAGTCGCTGAAACCCCAGGTTCAACACGTGCTTCCTTTCAATGGCTGTACTAGTCCATTGCTGGATGGCTATCATCAGCCTTCTGGACTCATGCCCCAGTCAGCCTTGTGACCTGGCCTAGCTTGTAATGCGAATAGCGAAGGCTCTTGATCAATCCTGCTCTAAGAGTGACTGCAAAGAAGATGCTAAGCAACTTGGTATCCATAACTGGCTGTCTTCCAAGTTATTATGGGCAGGATACCGGACTAGGGTCTCCAAGTATGGTCACAGTCTTGATGCTACTATGTGTGACCTGGGAGAGTCACTTGATAGCACCAACCTCTCAGGACATCGTGAACTCATTCAATAAAATTTACCGAGCACCTATCACGTTAGGCACAATACTGGGTGCTGCAGTATTCTGTGCTATTGTAATATTCTGTGCTGTAGTATTCTGCAGTATTCTGTGCTATTGCCTTGAAGGAGTTATAGCTTAGTATCCATTTCCCAATGCTGACTTTGAGACTCTATTCACCAACACTGAAAAGGAAACTACTTTACTGGCAAACTGAAGGGAGGGCCAAGAGGAAACACAGCACAGTTTGGTATCCTTCTAAATGGATGTGAGAGGGAGAGCATAAGACAAAAGCTTCCAGATGAATACCTTGGAGATACCTTGAAAAGACCTGGGCATCACGGCCCTGGCCCAGGTCTGAATCTCTGGTGTTTCTGAGCACACAAAAGGAACACAGCTGAGCCATGTTCATTCACTATGTCTCAGATTGGAACAGTGATAATTAATAACGAGCTCTCTCTAGGCACTTTCTCAGCACCTTAAGTGCATTATCCCATATAGTTCTCCATCCCCGACAAAAAACTTAGGAGGGTGGATATCCATATGTGGGAAATGATATGGGTAAGGGAGAGACTACGGCCCAAGCTCAGATCTCGTCAGTGGCTCTGGGGGTTAGTCCTCAATAGGCAACAATATTCTCTGCAGTTTCAGCACCTCAGAATTTGGTGATGGTTCCATGTTAGTCCCCCAAAATCATGCTCTAGATCTGAGCCTCCCCAAACCGGGTTCATGTCATAAGATTATGATTAAATGAAATAAAAGAGAAAGGGGTCTTCTGATAAATGTAGAAAATACAGGTAAATGTTAGTTATTCTACGAAGGATAAAAGTCAAGTGGCATAAATGGCTGCATCTGAACTTATTTGCTTATTAGAACTCCTTTACAACAATTAATACTATATACCATGATAAGCTGCTTGTATAGAATACATAGCTGGCATGTTTTAGGGAATTGGATTTGATCTGTTATTCACTTAGATTTGTACAAGGATAAATTACTTACAATGAGATTCTATTCCAATCACCACCAGTCCCTTGTTTCTTAATTTTTCTGTGAGAACATGCCATGGCATAGCAGCAAAATGTTATACCTGACTCAAAATGAGCTTGCTTGACAACAACGACAATAACAACAAAAATCAGCCATTCATGAATAAAAACATACCAACCCTCCATGAATGGACACTGGTGTTAGAATACCACATTTAAGGCCAGGCATGGTGGCTCACGCCTGTAATCTCAACACTTTGGGAGGCCAAGGAGGGAGGATTGCTGGAGGCCAGGGGTTCAAGACCAGCCTGGGCAACATAGTGAGACCCTGTCTATACAAAACTTAAAATAAAAAATTAGCTGGCCGGGTGTGGTGGCTCACGTCTGTAATCCCAGCACTTTGGGAGGCCGAGGCAGGCGAATCACGAGGTCAGGAGATTGAGACCATCCTGGCTAACACGGTGAAACCCCGTCTCTACTAAAAATACAAAAAATTAGCCAGGCTTGGTAGCAGGTGCCTGTAGTCCCAGCTACTCGGGAGGCTGAGGCAGGAGAATGGCGAGAACCCAGGAGGCAGAGCTTGCAGTGAGCTGAGATTGCACCACTGCACTCCAGCCTGGGCGAAGAGCAAGACTCCGTCTCGAAAAAAAAAAAAAAAAAAAATTAGCTGGGCATGGTAGTATGTGCCTGTAGTCCTGGCTACTTGGGAGGCTGAGGCAGGAGGATTGCTGGAGTTCAAGGCTGCAGTGAGCCATGATCGTACCACTGCACACCACCCTGGGTGACAGAATAAGACTCTATCTCTAAAAATTAACAATAAAAAAGGAATAAACATAAAGAATATCACATTTTAAAAATGCAGTTGGTATCCCTGACATTCATTTATGTTTGGCTTCCCAATCAAATACTATGAAGCGAAAATAAATACTAATTTTCAATATGTTCTTTTCATTTGGTTTTAACAAGATTTAGGATGAGTTCTATGGATTCCTAAAAAAATTATCCTTCTTCAAGCGCTGCTGGGCAGCATGGATTGGGCTGCCTGTGATGTTGAATGGGTGGGATGGATATCTATTGCTTCTTTGTATGCCTTTGTACCACTTATAATTATGCTGTTAGAGTCTACAAAAAAGAAACCAAATTTATTCTATTTAAATGTTCTAAATATAAATGCAGAAGCAAGGAAATAAACAATAATTCCAAAAGTGCTTAAACTTTTTGAACTAATATACCTGTGATTCTACTGCATATTGCAACCTATAACCTAAAAACTATCAAACCACATCACCACAGGTAAGAAATGAGAAATTTTGAGGGTTATTGAACACTGCATATTTGCAATGAAACTACAGTAGAGTTACTGAATGCCACTGCATGGCTCTAAAACTCACAGGTCCACCTGCACAAGATAGCTCTGTTGAGAAGTGAAAGACAATGGAAATGAGAAGCCCTGTTAGTGATTTACATGGGTGTGGGCAGGAGGGATAGAGTGGGAGGCTGCTTCATCTCTAATTTATCAGATTTATTTATTTAGTTTTGTGCATTCCTAACAAAATTACCCTTTTTCAAGTATTGTTGGGAGCCATGAATTGTGCTTACTTGTGATGCTAAATGGGTATTTTTGTGGAGCAAATATTTTAACCAATATTTTACCCTGCCCTCATTGCACTTTTGATAAAAGGCAGCTCTAATTCAATCCCTGGCTTAACAACATTATGCTTGGGGGTTGTTATTAATTTTGTCTTCAAGGAATGCATATCCACTTTAAAATTTTAAAGTTTTTTTGTTTAACTTGCAAAGATGAAAAACAAGCTTAATATGGAATCTTCATACACTACAAAACATCCTACTCTACTTCCTGGTGTGTGGCCTCGTCCAAAAGAACTCACAGCTACCATGCTAAGGCTCAGCATCATTGGTCAAATGCTCTCTTCTTCCCTAAGTGCTTAAACGTGTGCATAAGGAAGTTTTTGCATCATAAGGCGACATACACTGCACATTATTTTTTAAATTCCTCATAAATGTGGGTCCAAAAGAGATTTTAAAATGTGGCTTATGACACAATATACTAAGAAGTAAAAGAGAAAAATACAAGGAGAGAACAGAAAGAGAGTAACAAAGCTAGGCATCCACTTTCTTTGCCACGTTATATAGAGATAGATTCTTCTATCTGGACAATGAAAGTACATTTAGGCTAGGTGCTATTGTGCATCATGATGATATTTCTGGTTAATGCCTCTTTGCCTGGTATTTGGTTTGGGGAAAAAACAAATTAAAGCTATTGAGTTGGGGACAGGCATATACTGAAATGCAGAGTTGTCAGTGCCGTAAAAAATAGAAAAGTAACAAAGAGCTTTATTTGTCATGGCTTTCATGACCTTAAAATATTGTAGAATTTTGTGTTAACCCAAGAATCCTGTAGGCCACTAATAAGTCTTCCGCCAATCTGACAGCAATGTAAAAAAATTTAAGGAAAAAACAGCAAAATATAACCTTTACTTGTCAGTTCCTTGGCTACTAAACATCAAGATACACGTACTTCTGAGAGCAAGGGCTGTGGCAGAGATCACACATAAAACAGAAAAGAAAGCACAGCCCCTGTCCTCAAAAAGCTTAATTCAGGAAAATCCTGAGATTATAAAGCCTACAACAACTTTCTATGGAGTGAGACCACCAATTTCTGGCCCTAGCAACTATCAGAGGTTATCATATGCATGGTACCAACAAGCTGTTCATGTGTTCTTTGAGATGGAGGGCCAGCCCCATCTAGGGCCAGCAATATCGCAATGTTTAAAAATCATAGTAAAGTACTCATATAATGTACAAGTGGCTAGAAACACTAGAAGGCTGGTGGGGAACACACTTTACCCAATCAGAATACTCTAAAACCTGCATAAGCCATCAGTGAAAATTTAGGAACGTATTTGAGTTGACTATTACGATTGCATCTTCTAGAGGCTCCACCGTTAGAGGCAAATGGCTCTTTAAGTATTAAAATGAGAGTTTAATATACTTTAAAAAGAACAGTACTTGAGATGAATGTAAATGACCCAATATCCTCCTCCCAGGTACCAAGAGGGGTCACATTTCCCATTTATCAGCAAGTCATCAGGATAGGCCAGCTTCTCAATCTCAGACTCTCTTCTGTGGCTGCTTCTTGGATGGCTGAGGGGAACACTTCAAAAATGAACCAGCTAAACAAACTTCCCAGCAGCACTTGACAGAGCTACACCTATTCTTCCCATTTCCAAAGCAGTGGAGAATTAATTACCAGTTCTATGGATCTATTGTAAGTATAATAGACTAAAGAGCTATCACAGACACATTTATTGTAAAAGCACAATCCCAAGAGTGTCTAGTGGAGGGCCAAAACGATTAACACAAATGCTTTGTCAGATCAAAGATAAAACCTGCACCGCCCAATTGAGGAATGAATTAGAACAGTGGGTTATCTTTCAAATTAACCAGGGCAGTTAGTGAGGAAAATTTCATGAAAGTGTAATTCTTAGCCTTTGTGAATCCACACAGCAGGCATTCTGCCAGCTGACAAGATGATGAAATTTTCATGCTTAAAAAAAGCCCTCTTCATTTCCCAATTTAGATTAGCTAGTGTTTCTCTCCCTTTTGTGTGTGTATGTCTATTTGCTCTTCTGGAGCAGAATTTAAGGGGAGGGGGAACACATATCAATTTTTCACTGTAAAACGGAATCTTTCAAAAACAACCCTAAAAGCTTAGAGTTATTGTCTTTAAGCTGCCTTTTTATGATTTTCAAAAAATACCAGTTCAATTTTAACTTTATACAAAGGAACCAACAAGGACCAGGGCATGAAATCAACTTAGAAATAAGGCTTTCTGTGCTACCTCGAAGTCTTTCAACACTTCATCAAATCTCAAGACAAAGCACAGAGTTATCTTCTTCCTAAAGAAATTAATATATTACTTAAAATATCCTGGCTCAGTGCTTTCTGTATTTCTATGTATATCAAAGTTTAAATGTTATAGGAAACTAGAATTCAGGGAATACAATCATTGCTACAGATGAGGAGCAAAAAGCCTCTCCTCTCCCATAAAGGAGCCAATATTTATTAAAATATTATGATGTGATACAGTTTGCTTCTCAGATAAACTTAAACAAATATTTGTTATATCATATTTAGTCAGTCCTGTTAATTCATGACAGAAGGTAACAGAATGTGATGTACTTTTCCAAAATTAAAGTGATTTAGAAGTATACTTTGTTACCCCAAACTTTTGTCCCTTTTTTCTTGACAATCTAATTTCTTAGTCATCTAGAACTATGCTTCTTCGCAGGTTATAGTGTTTGGTCAAGTACCATATTCCATTCATCTTCCTGGAGTCCCTTTCTCATGAAGATACCTTCCTTTCTCAGTGCAGGTTGACTTCTCCTGCAGTGCTTCTAAGACTAAAATCAAAACAATATTGAGATTCTTGCCTTCATTTCACAAACAACTTTTATGTCCAGTGGGTAGTATTTTTTAAGTTGCTAAATAGGAGAAAACCATTTTGGTAATTAGCTTCAGAGACAATCACTTAACCTCAATACTTACTATCAATATCCTTACCTCAGTACACTTGCTAGATTAGTCTCCAATTGGATTACCATCACCATGATATATCACACTGAACTAATAACTGTAATCAGTATCACTCAAGGCACAATAACAAAAGAAACTCAATGCCATGTACCTCTAGGAGGAAACAGGATGGTCTACCAATAAAGTAGAACCTAAAGGTACAGGGGCTTTTTGTACAAAAGCTCTGATCTGGAAAATATTTGAAATATTTGTTTAGCATGAGGCCATAAGAACGAATAACGGATTTCGTTCTCTGCCATCCAATCACATATAATTCAGATCAGAAAGTAGAGAAATAAGTTCCTAATTTTCAAGACAGTCATATCAATTTTTAACCCCAGGAGTGACATATGGCTATTTTGATCAGAAATCCCTTAGAAATGTCAATCAAGTGGGCAGTTAACTACAAAAACCTGTTACTTGATGTTAGTGAGATGGCTGGCAAAAAAACAATTAAAGCAAATGCTCTAGAAACCTTGTGTTAAATATCTGGATCCCTAAAAGTAGGTTATTTAGCTTGAAAAATACTTATATAACCACCACCACAACATACACACAATTAGGTTAGAAATCAGTCTTTCAGTCAGGGCATATTTCTAGCTATACAGAAGATCATTTTTCAGAGTATTTGCAACTTAGTCAAAACAGACTATTCCCTCTTAAAGAAGGAAATAGATAAGTTTCTTCTAGTATTAACATTTCCATGGTGAAGATCTTGATAGACTAAACACAGAGAGAAAGCTCAGAATTCTTCCCAAGAGTCAAGCAAGGATCATACTCTGTTCAATGAGGCCTGTAAATGAGGAGCTGAATAGTTTTGATTTGGCCTAAATTTTCATGTGCTGCACATCTCACCTACTGAGGAATGTGACCCCACAGCCAACTTTTATTCCCATCCACTGTTCAGTAAGGGCAGCACAGGATTATTCACTAAAATGTTTCAGATTTTCCCAAAATGTAGTCATAATTATTATTTTTTAATAATCTTTAGGCAAACTGACTTGCTTTTCTGATAAATATATTCAACACCAAAATCATAATACTGGAACTCTATGTTTTTACTCTTCATCTTAATGATCTGATAGTTACTTTTCACATAATGAGTTCTATTTTAAAGAAGAAAATGCTATTATATGTTAACTAATACGAGTAAAAAGTACAGAACAATCTTTAGAAAAGTCATAGGCCTTAACTAAGACATGAGCTTTTTTTTTTTTTTGAAATGTGTTGCCAATGTAGCTTTTAAAAAGAAGTTACAGTAAACTTTCAAGTAACAGAAAATTTGTTTAGATGACAAATGACATACTGAAACACTAAGAAAAATCACGTGGGAAATGTGAAATTTTTAATTTTTGAAGAGAAAAAAACTAATTCATGTGAAATGCGTTAAAAACAAAAACTCTGAATAAAAGCCTTCTTTCCAATGAAGACAAATCACTCACTGTTCTGGCATTTTTACTATAAATTTATAAAAATTAGATATTCTCTTTTGAATGCCAGAAAAACTGCATTTAAATTTAAAAGATATTTGATTTCCTCAAAAAACTAGGGTATGGAGTCGTTTAGAGTGCTACATAAACACAAAGTATTAGTTTTGTGTGGGCAGTCCACTAAGATCACTACACACGATCTTATGGCTCTACTTGCTGACAATAGCCAATAGTGATTTTTTTCTTCCTTTATCCAAAGATCTAAGCAATCATTTAATTAGTCTTATTTAGGTAACAATAAACTAAAACATTTCTTAATTATATTCTGGCTTTTTCTAAAAGAAGTAAAAATTTCATTATTTAAAATACTGCTCGTAAATGAAAGAGATGTAATGCCTGAGAGAAATTATCAAATAATTTGTCATGCTAATATGCCAAAATTACATACTTTATCATATTTGTATTAATAGTATTTCACTAGGAATTTTTCCCAAAAGTCTTTTCAAAATTTTAGTTTCATGAAAACCAATAAACAAGTACCAAACCTCAATAAGTTGTGTATGTAAGAATATCATTATGGATACTTACATCATAGTACTTTTTAATGAAACGTCTAATGTCCATGATCAATTTGTTGCTCAGTTGTACTGTAAAGGTCAGAGGTGAAGCCTTACAATCGATGTTACTGCAACGATACAAGCTGGGCTCCATATCTGTTCCCTACATAAGTCAGGAGAAGTATACAAAAAATTACTGTGAGGCTATAAAAGGGTTTTTGTGCTTAAAAACTTACATGCTGTCCTAGTGTTGAATATTCTTAATTCGTTTTATTGGTGAGTTGTTAACCCTATCTTCTCAATTATTTTCCTCCCAAAGACCGCTTTAGTCATACATACCTTCCATTCCTTGCCATCATCATAATGGAGTGCAAAGTCAAAGGGAAAACCCTGAAATCACTATTTTACATTCACTATACGAGGGACTCTATGGATAAAATAATTTTCCCTCTGTAAATACCAGTGAAGTCATGTTACTGGAAATAAACCTCTTTCTCAGAGATACTGATTAAAAACTTTAAATTTGTATTTATTCATTACAAACTTGAAGAAAAACAAGAGCCTTTATCACATTAGTTTGTTTTCATCTTGTCAAGTTAATTTTAAAAATAAAGTCTAAAAGTTAAAAGTGTAGTACCACAAAAACAGTATCACTTACTGTCTGCTTAGCAAATCTAAAATTTTGGCAATTTTTCCAAAAAATGAAGTGTATTGGGGGAGGGAGGCAGGAGAAGTAAAAATTTGAAATAAATAAATATTAATATTTGGAGAAAACATTTTGTTTTGTTGTGTTTTGTTTTAAACAAAGACAAGGCAAATGTAATATATAGCAAAACTGTTGGGATTTCTGAAGCATTTGTTTTCCTTTCTGATACTTAAACATCTTGGTTTCCTGCTCCAATCTGGTACATAACCCTACCCGCCACGCTAAGCAATTCCAGGTGGAAGAGATTTCAGAGCTTGACATCGGCTCTTCCACAGTTAGCCCATCTGCAAGTCGTCAAGCCTCCATGCAATTAACTATCTTATTTACAGCTGTAATGAAGCAAAACTCAAGGATTTAGCAAGTATTGCTGATCTGTGTCTGCCTCTTCCTTGCACTTGCTTCCAAAGACTGCTTTGTTTTGATTCAAAAAAATGCAAAACATCTGCTGTTTGTCCAAATTAACTTAAAATAATTACTTTTAATTTAGATAAAGGGCGTCTTTTCTTTCAGTTTCAAGGTTTTACACAGTTCTGCTGCCTATTCCTTTGCCAATGGCTAGTACATGCATAACACTGCAGTGGAAATCAAGTAAATTGGCCAAGTTTCAAGCTCTGATCCAAGGTCAATAATACATTTTTTGGCAGTACTTCTTGAAAGGAATGTCTCCCTGTGACTTTTTAAATGTCTAATATGCAAAGACAGCAGAAAAGATAAGAGTACCTTTGCAAAATGGAGGTAAGTGGGATGTGTAAAGACAAACACAAACTTTCCCAAAACACTTAGTTCCCAGTAACTTGATTTAAGATAAGGAAAAATATTGGTCTAAGTCTTAATAGATGGGGGTTGACAGTGGGACAATACAGGTTACTAATTAAGAAATTATAATAAAAATACTTTAAGATAATTTAGAATTTTTAAGGGATTCCACTTAAAAACCAAGGTCAAGCACTCTAGGAAGCCAAAACAATATTCAAGCACATTCAAGTAAGAGTTTTCAAACAGAAATAAAAGCAAGCTGTGAAGGTAGATTTCACATGATGCTAAAATTCTTTAAACACATGAAAGCAACATGTGTGTGTTTATTTCGCCCTTTTTATATACCCCATAGTGGGGGAAGGGGGTAAGGCCTTTATACAAGTTCACTCACAAAATGAAAGACAGAAACAACTAACCGAACCATCAAAGACATTATCATAAATATTCTCAGTTCCACATGTAGGGCATGGACATTTGAATCTTTCACAGTCCCTGTATTTCTCTTCATCAGTGAGCTGTGCTGGGCCACCAAGTAGAGCATCATTCTCTTCATCTTTATGATAATGATGAACTCTAAATTGGGTGGGGTCAAGTCCTATTAATGTAAAAGAAAAAAACAAATTCAGAAAAGTATTCCAAAAATACCCCAAAGAAGAAAACTCCCACAAAAAATTATTTTAAATTCATGCACATACACACAACCATTTGAACTCAAAAGCACATGGACAAATGACTTCTCTTTTTACAAGAGATACTTTATAAATAAAACAAGTAACTGCAACAACACAACACAGAAATATGCCACTGAACATATGGGTTTGGAAGCACCTACTTCGATAGGATGTTTTTTATTATTCTCTTAAAGTTACAATGAAAACCTCAAATAAATGTGTACTAAGAAATTCTCTTAAAATCAAAGTCACAATTAAAACTGAGAATAAAATCAGGGAATAAAAATCCCATTAAAGAAAACAGGTTCACTGCCATTACAACTCCTTCAAGTGCAGACACAGCTAACCCTGATTTCAATGCAGTAGTCGATTTCATCTTGGCTCAGTAGTTAACAGCATGTAGGTTGCAATCTAATTCAGTGGTTAAAATTCAGTAGCAGCATCTGAGACAAAATGCAACATGGTTTTCTTGATGTTCGAAATTCAGAAATTTAAAATATGTGCAAAAACAATGGGTCTACAGATTCTACAGGCCAAAATGTCCCTGAGAATCCTGAAACCAAATATACCTTCCATATTTCATTCAAAACAACATAAGAAATCAATCAATGCATGTTTATGCTATTTTGTTTCCACAAACTAATTAAAGAAAAGAAACATTTTTAGGCCAACCAATTTAATTTACCCTTGGTCAAAACATGTGTGCCAAAATTTACTATTTGAATTTATACTTAAAAATAATTATTCTACACTGTTTCTTAGAATTTTAGGGATTGCTAAGGGATGCTTTCAAGAAAAGATTATAAGAGACAATATTTCTATCTTTTGGAAATCTAAGGAAAAGCTTTTGGAAATCTAAGAGAAAACTATCTTATTTTAGTATAAAGGTAAATAAGTAATATAAAACAGTCACTAAGCCAAAAGCTCACAAATACCAAAAATATCTAAAAATTGTTTAAAATTTATCAACAGCTACATAGGTAGATAAATCTAACAGATGCATTCAGAATTCAGTGACAGAATCCTAAATCCTATTTGGTCAGCTGTCAAGCGACATCTAGTAATTATAAAATACTGGAGGCTGACTCTTCACAGTTGAAAGGGGCCAAACAAAGAATAAGACAACTGAGACACAGAGTCTCACTTTTCTCACCTGCGAAACGGAGGTAGCATCACTGATCATACACTTTTGAAGTTTAAATTGGATAATATAGAACAAACCGAGTTCAACGCTGCCTACTGCGTGGCAAGCACTAAATAAATGTCATTTCAATGAAAAAATAAAATAGTGAATGAACATCATTTAATCCAGACTGTACTCGCTCAAGATTATGCATTTAGAAAACTATATGAGACATGTTCATGCTGCATATGAAGTTAATAGCTACTCGTTGTAGGAATTAAAGTATTTCCTAAAGTGGTAGTATATGATAAAAACAAAGAATACACATTCAGAACAATTTGAAAAGCTGTTCTTCATTAGTGACATAAATTATGTTAACATGGGCCACTTGTCACCAAGACACTATACATTCTTATTTTACAAGTTACCTAACCCCTAAGAGAAATAGTAAATTAGAGAATTATGTGGGAATACATATACTCTCACATTTAAAGCTAAGGATGGTCAGAGGAATTGAGAGAGACCACACCGCTGAATGAGGCCAGTTCATCTCTGTAGTGAGGGGTAACTGTCGCTAATTCAAACTCTAGTTGTGAATCCAAGTATTCACATAATGTTTTGATTTATTTGCAATTATGAGAAAGCAGCTTCACTTTTTCTCTGACCCTATGACTATTAATCAATTTCCCAGGCCAACACTAATCAAAAGATAAGGAAAAAGAAAATAAGCAAGATTTTTCTAAAAGGCAAGTTTCTTTCACAGTCCAAAAATAAAGGAACAAAACAATGCTGGTTTGCACATATACAAAATTGGCCAGGCTACGAAAAGGAACCAAGAGGAGCTACTCTCTACCCCTCCCCACCAGCCATGGCTCACTTGGTGCACCTGAGTGCATGAACCTGCAAGCACTGACCCGGGACAGCCTGCCTGCAGAGTAAGCTAAAAGTGGGTGTGGGCCATCTTGTTACTTACTCATGGAGAAACACCCAAACGACTGGCTGCAACTTGCGAAAAATACCAGGCCCTGTGAAATGTCTACTCTAAATGTCTACCCTAAATATCCATTTCTACAAATCACTCAATCTTCCCATGGCAGTAACAAAGTCAACTGGCTCAGCTAATTACTTCAGATTTATTCCCAAGGTGATTTTTTTTTTCCCCAGGGGAAGGAGCTTCAATCTCAATAGTCTCTTGGTCATAGTTCAATGCTAAAATGTAAAAATATAAAGGGAGAAGAGACTGTAATGAGCTTAAAATATTAGGTATATAATGATCCTTGTACAAGTTACTTAAATACCAAAATGCCATTAAAAAGTTATTTTCTTGGGAGAGCAGTTATAAGTTCAACAGGCAAACCACAGAGGGCTAAATTAAATCATTTTAAGAAAACATACAATGTCATGTTAAAAAAGTAAGGATCATTGCTGCTGGAATCTTTTTTGAAAAGGTGAAAATCCAGGGTTAAATAAGCCCCAAACTTAGTCAACACATACATTAGTTTTTCCAAATTCTCACAAAACTGGTAACAGCAGCTTATTTCGAAGTTTCAGTAGACTTTAAAGTTTTACTGCTTATACCCTAAACTCATTAAGTCTGGAGTGAAACAAGAAACAAGTATCTGGTGCTGCCACCTACAGGTAGAGATTCTGAATTTTAAAATGTGCAAAACAGCAGCTACATATAATTCCATTTTTAATTGTTGTCACTCCAAAATTAAACACTTCTGTCAAAAATGACATTAAAGCAAAATCTTTATTACTGCACTTGCCCTACATGCATCTACACCGTATAATTAATGTTACACTGCGTACATTAGTCTTTGAGCAAGAAATGCAAAACTGAATCCCAAATTCCTTATTGCTTCTACTGAAAGCTTTCTCTGAACTGGCTTAAAGGAACAAACTTTATGCCCCATTTGAGAAAAGTAACTTCCATTTCTTTTAGGCTAGCTCTTGACAGGTGACTTAAGTCTTTTGGTGAGGCACAGAATGAAGGAAGAAGCAGCCTGCCTGGGCTTTGCAAAACTAGTTATCTGGAGGAAGAGCAGCCGTGGTTTCCCCCCAGAATAGGCTGAGATGATGTATGCTTTAATTCAATTATGTGGCTTGTAGTGATGGACTCATTTGTGCTGGGGTTGAGGGTACAAAAGAGGCAGTGGAATGAAATTAAAATACTGTCATTTATAATTAGAAAATTTCTAGGATCTCACATTATTTTGGCAACAGGATCAAAACTCTCATGTTTCAAGAAGTATTTATAGAAAGTAACATCATAGGCATCAGGGTGTATGAGTTTAGCAGTACTGTCTTTACTTAAGTCACCATAGCCTTATCACACACACCCCCAGTGTGACATTTAGCACAAAATTATTTTTCTACCATTGCACTTTCTAACCATTGTAAATTATGCCTGTTTTTAGAATGTTCACCTGCCCCCACTCCCAAGGAGTTTTTAAACTGTTCATAACTTGAGACATATTGTTATTAGAGAGGCTGATACATTTAATCAAATACTTTCCTTCCTTCAAAAGACAAGGTCTCTATTAGTGCAACAGCAAATAACTACAGTAAAACCCTTACATATGTTCATGCAAGTGGGGAAGAGGGAAAATCCACATAAATGAAATTCCAAATGAGTAAAGGGAGTAACTGGTATTTACAAGCAGTTGTTTGTAATATGGATCATTTAATCTATGAGGGAAGCTAATTAACAGAATCCCATTGAGTGAAATTTTTTTGTAAAAATTTCTTAGAGGAAGTAAACCATTTATCTTTTGCATGAGTCCAGGCTTTCATATATCTGGACATCTTAGAGGACAATATGCGAACTGAAAATTTAGTATGATTAAAGAAAAAAATAATTTTCAAATGGTGAATGCTATATCCACAGAATGCTCATAGCAGCTTTATTCATAATAGCCAAAAATGGAAACACTCTAGATGTCCATCAACAAGTGAATGGATTAACTGGTATAATCTACCATAATACTACTCAGCTAATACTACTCAGCAATGAAAGAGTGAATACTGCTACATGCAACAAGACAGATGAATCTCAAAAATACCATGCTAAGTGAAAGAAGTTGCACACAAAAAGAGTATATACTGTAGGAAACCATTTATACGAAAATCTTGAATAGGCAAAACTAACTTATACTGATAGATTTCAGATGAGCGATTGCTACTATAACAGAGGTGCTGACTGGGAAGAGGCACGAGGGAACATTCTGGAGTGATGAAAATGTTCTGTGTCTGTGCCTAGATAACTGATTGTATAATACTCAAGATTTTAGCATTTTATGGTAAATTATGTGAATTATACTCTTAAAAAGCATGCCAAATAGGAAAAGATGTTTGTGTAGGTTGAACATCCCTAATCCAAAAATCTGAAATCCTCCAAAATTTGAAACGTTTTGAGTGCCAACATGATACCACGAGTGAAAAATTCCACACCTGACCTCATGTGATGAGTTGCAGTCAAAACTTTGTTTCAGGCACAAAATTTTTTAAAATATTGTATAAAACTGCCTTCAGGCTACGTGTATAAGATGTATATAAAACATAAATGAACTTCATGTTTAGGCTTGGGTCTCATCTCTAAGATAGCTAATTATCTATATGCAAATATTACAAAATCCGAAAAAATCCCAAACACTTCTGGTCGTAAGCATTTCAGATAACGGATACTCAAACTGTAATATATACTTCCAAAAGACTCGTAATTAGAACACATAGGAAATGCCTGCAAATCAATAAGAAAAAGAAAAGCCAACAGGACAACAGACAAAGACTTGAACAGGCACCTCACGAAAGGAAATACTCCAATGGCCAAGAAGCATGTGAAAAGGTGTTCAACTTCATTAGTCATCAAAGAAATACAAATTAAAACCACAACTCTATGCCACCATGTAAAATGAAGATGGAAAACACTATCTTACCAAGTGTTGGTAAGAATGTGGAGCACCCAAACACTGCTAGTAGGAAGTGTAAACGAGTAGAACCGCTTTGGAAAACTGGCAGAATCTACTAAAAGTAAACATACATGTCCCTGATGGCCTAGCAATTCTCCTTAGTACATCCCCAAGAAAAATACATGCTTACGTTTGACAGAGGACCTGTACAACAACTCTCAAAGCAGCACTATTCAAAATACCTCAAATGTGGAAACAACTCATAGGTGTACCTCCAGTAGATAGCCATACAGTGTGGTATATTCAGACAATGAAATATTATACAGAATTTACAGAAAGGAAGGACAACCACATGGATGAATCTCACAAACAATATTCAGTAAAAGTAGTCTAGACACAAAGAACAAAGACGCAATTTGTGTAATATCCCCAAAAATCCACCTCATCTATGTTATTAGATGCCAGGTATGTAGAGGATCATTTCTAGGAGACATGAGGGGCCTTCTGGGAATGTAGTAATGTACTGTTTCTTGAGCTCAGTAATGACTACACTAGTGCATGATGACCTTGTGAAAATTTATCAAGCAGTTTAGTTAGGTTTTGTGTACTTTTCTGTATGCATGTTATACTATGAAAAATTCACACTTGGAAAGGTGAGAAAATTGCATTCTAAATATTTCTTATGAAACATCTATGAATTTGTTGCAAAATGCATTGAAACTCAAATAGACATAAACCCCATTGCCTAGGAAGAAGTGTGTATTTTATATTTTAGAAAATATAAAATAAAATAAATTGAGCCTAAATATAATCACATCTTTAGATCTAACTATTTATAGGAAACATAGGAGACAGAGGAACATGTTAAAAGATACCACCAGGATGTGATCAGTAAACTCCAGAATGAGAAAAATTCTATAGGACAAAAAGCCCAGTTTCTTTAATTAACAAACTGGGAGGATCAACAAAGGAAAAAAAAAAATAGAAATTAACTACCAAGTTGACCCTGACTGGATTCCAATCCAAACAAGGAGCTTTTTAAAAAAAGTGTATTCATAGTGCAATCACGGAAATATAAACACTTGTTGGAAATTAGATGAAATGAAGGAATTGTGAGGTTTTTTGGTGTGATGTGATAATAATGTAGTTATGCTGAAAAGGGGAATCTTTTCTTTTAGAAATGCAAAATGGGCCGGGCGCACTGACTCACGCCTGTAATCGCAGCACTCTGGGAGGTCAAGGCAGGAGAATCACCTGAGGTCAGGAGTTCAAGAACAGCCTGGCCAGCACGGTGAAACCCCGTCTCTACTAAAAATACAAAACAAAATCAGCCGGGGGTGGTGGCGCATGCCTGCGATCCCAGCTACTCAGGAGGCTAAGGCAGGAGAATCGCTTGAACCTGGGAGGCAGAGGTTGTCGTGATCCGAGATCGCACCACTGCACTCCAGCCTGGGTGACAGAGTGAGACTCTTTGTCTCTAAAAAAAAAAAAAAGGAAATGCAAAATGAAATATTAACACACAAAATAAATATATAGGATATACTTCAAAATAATAGGGGAAGGTGGGAAAGAGGAATAATAAGATTGGCCACCAGTGCAGAATACTGAAGGTGGGTGATGAGTATATGAGGGTTTAATCTTACCCTATAATTTAATATGTGTGATACTAGAAAAAATTTTATATTCTCTACTACCATATATATATATATAATATACATTTTTCCATAATAACAAGTTGTATTTTTTTGTTTGTTTGCTTTGTTTTGAGGCGGAGTCTCGCTCTGTTGCCCAGGCTGGAGGACACTGGCGCAATCTCGGCTCACTGCAACCTCGCCTCCCAGGTTCAAGAGATTCTCCTGCCTCAGCCTCCTGAGCAGCTGAATTACAGGTGCCCGCCACCACGCCTGGCTAATTCTTTTGTATTTTTAGTAGAAATGGGGTTTCACCCTGTTCTGTTGGCCAGGCTTGTCTCGAACTCCTGATCTCAAGTAATCCACCCGCCTTGGCCTCCCATAGTGCTAGGATTACAGGCGTGAGCCACCATGCCCAGCCCAACAAGTTTTTAAAATACTACAGATCCAATTTAAAGATAAACAATTTACTGTATAAGTGTCAGACAACCAAAACTGTCTTTCACACCAACAATACACCTCTTCATAATATAAATGGAAAATTTCTGAGTATTTTAGAAGAAATAATAGCCGAGCCTTTGGTTTAAATGAATACCCAAGATTTTTATTTTCCTGGAGAAGATAATTCTCAAAATCTTGACAGAATAAAAAGCCTGATGAGCAGCATTCTCATGACTTCAATCAACTGGTTTTAATGCCCTTGACAATAGACACAAATATAAATTTTAACTTAACGAGATGTGTATTTCTTGGCAGGAAGCTTTTCAAGTGTCTTCTTCCTTTTTTTTTTTTTTTTTTTCTTTCTGAGACAGGGTCTTGCTCTGTCACCCAGGCTGGAGTGCAATGGAACGATCACAGCTCACTGCAGCCTTGACCTAGCTCACTGCAGCCTCGACCTCCCTGGCTTAAGTGATCCTCCCACCTCAGTCAGCTGAGTAGCTGGGACTACAGGCATGCACCACCATACCCAGCTAATTTTGGTATTTTTTGTAGAGATGGGGTCTTGCTATGTTGCCCAGGCTGGTCTTGAACTCCTAGACTCAAGCCATCCTCCTGCCTCCCAAAGTGTTGGGATTACAGGCGTGAGCCACGCACGGTACCTGGCCTTCCTTTCCTGTTTTTAAACCTGAGAAAAGATGGTAACTCTGTGCTGGAAATATATTTGGAATATAAAATAACACAAATAATAGTCCAAAGATTGCTTGTCTTATAACACAGCCTACTTCTCTTCCAGCTATGTTGGTAGATGCTGGGGAAAAACAGCTAGGCTCAAGGTCCCTAACCACCCACCTTCTAAAAGGTGAGTTAGTCCTGCAAGAATGGCCATAATCAAAAAATTAAAAAAAAATAGATGTTGGTATGGATGTGGTAAAAAGGGAACACTTTTACATTGCTGGTGGGAATGTAAACTAGTACAACCATTATGGAAAACAGTGTGGAGATTCCTTAAAGAACTAGAAGTAGAATTACCATTTGATCCAGAAATCCCACTAGTGGGTATCTACCCAGAGAAAAACAAGTCATTATACCAAAAAGATACTTGCACGTGCATGTTTATAGCAGCACAATTCTCAACTGCAAAAATATGGAACCAGCCCAAATGCCCAACAATGAGTGGATAAAGAAACTGTGGCATATATATACACCATGGAATACTGCTCAGCCATAAAAAAAAATATGACATTCACAGCAATCTGGATGAAAATGAAGACCATTATTCTAAGTGAAATAACTTAGGAATGGAAAACCAAACATGGTATGCTCTCACTCATAAGTGGGAGCTAAGCTATGATGACACAAAGGCAAAAGAATGACACAATGGACTCTGAGGACTTGGGGGGAAAGGTGGGATGGGGGTGAGAAATAAAAGACTGCACAGTGGGTAGAGTGTACACTGCTTTGGGTGCACCAAAATCTCAAAAATCACCACTAAAGAACTTATTTATGTAATAACCAAACACTAACCGTTCCCCCAAAACCATCTGAAATAAATAAATAAATGAAGGTGAGTTAGTAATTGCTTAACCATTGTTTTACTTCTGGTTTTGGAAAAAACTGTCTTATTAATAATAAAATAACAGTATTAATATTTTGTCAGCAAAGGGGGAACCTATAATTCATCACCTTAACCCTTTTCTATTTTATTCATACACATATATAATACAGTGTACGTGTATGTGTACAATGCTGTATAGTATTCAGCTTTTTTTATCCTTACCCATTTTTAGGTCTTATCCATTTTTCTATAAGCTACACGATCTTGATAAATGTCACTTTGGTGTACTTAATTAAAACAATTTTATCTTTTTAAAAAATTGATCTAATTTAAATAATTTGAGAAATCCGCAATTTTCCTTTAAAACCTCTAAGTGTTACAAAGCCAGAGTTGTTACATAACTCATACAAAAGTTCCAAAGCAATTATTCTAAACATGCTCTGGTTTGGTTCAAAGTTCTCAAAGGTCTCACTGCTTATGTGAGATGAGCAGTGTCACTACTGGCCCTCTATTGTGGGCTAGCGACACAGAAGCAACCCACTGTGTGCTCACTTTGTTGAGACTGAGATGCAGGACCGTTCAACTGAAACCCTTAAAGAGGCTCTCTTTGAATTCCCTAAAGTGCTTTGGGGGTGGCTGAGATAACACAGGTTACCCCTGCAGTTCATCAGGCTAGAAGAATTGGTAAGCAGTAGGGTGGGCAACCATTCCCAACTTCACACTAGCCTCTCCACAGCCCATTCCAGCAATGCCTCAAAATGCCTCTACTTTTATAAACTCTTCCGTGGTGGGCCCAGCTAGGAGTGGTTTCTGCTTCCTTTGAAATTTGATAACCCTTTATTTCACCTTTTTTGGGACATACACTGTGTTGCCCACTAGACTTGCCCACAACAGTGAAATCAACGAAATGACTGGGCTGTAATTTGAATAAAGGGTCCATAACTGACTCAACTTTGTATCCTTCACAGTGCCTATTATGGTGCTAGGCACAGCAGGTCTTCAATTAATATTGAATACAAAAGTAGACTAGACTGGGAGCATGAGCCACTGGATGATATGCTTGGAATGGCACTCCATCTTGTAAGAGATGCTCTTATCAGCTGATAAGATTTCCTTTAACATTCTGCAATGCATTTGGTATAACATTTTTTAATTTTACTATTAATTATGTTATAGAAAATATTTACAGTTTGGGGCCAGGAGCAGTGGCTCACGCCTATAATCGCAGCACTCTGGGAGGCCGAGGCAGGCGGATCACCTGAGGTCAGGAGTTTGAGACCAGCCTGGCCAACATGGTGAAACCCCGTCTCTACTAAAAATACAAAAATTAGCCAGGTGTGGTGGCACACACCTGTAAACCCAGCTACTCAGGAGGCTGAGGCAGGAGAATCACTTGAACCTGAGAGGCAGAGGTTGCAGTGAGCCGAGATAGCGCCACTGCACTCCAGCCTGGGTGACAGAGTAAGACTCTTTCTCAAAAAAAAATAAAAAATAAAAAGACAGAAAAAGAAAATATTTACAGTTTGGAAATGGTCATGTTTTATTTTTATAAGAGCTTAATAATGAAAAAAGGCAAAATTCTTTATTGACAAAGTAATACCTGAAGTACTCACTGGCGGCATCATTCTACCCCTACCCATCTGTACTTTACTCTCTTTTTTGTAGGTGGATCTCCCTGGATCTGTCAAAAGCACCCCCAAACATCGCTTGGCCCTGTTTCACCCACTGTCGCACTTATTTCTTAGATGATATTACTGAACCCTGTCTACTGACAAAAACTAACCTCTGTGATATGAGTGGTATGCATCATTTTTTTAAAAGGAAATTTTTGCTTTCCAATTTAACTCAGAACACACTGGGTTAAGTGTGTTCTGTCTTCTTTTAAGCAGTATTTTCAGAGATTAAATTCTAAATTCTCATGTTCTTCAAACCTCAATAATTTCTCAGGACCAATGAGAAAACTGCCCAGATAGCCAAATGCCTGAAATTTTATCACTGACCCCGAAGAAAGGTTCTTTATAACTACTGTACAAATCATTGCTCATTGGAGGAGAGATATTACATATAATTCTAAGTACCGTTATACATAAAACATAAATTTATTCAAAGATGAAATTCAAAAATGAACTTTAGACTATTCTCATCACTGGCCTAGTCAGCTAGGTATGGAAGACTATTTGGATGTTTGAGCATACTGTGAATATTTCATCCACAGAATACGGGAGAGCTTTCAATAGAATGAGAGAGAGAAAAATCTATAGTCTAGAGAACAAAAGCTAAGAGTTTCAAGTTTTAGTGGCCATGTTTCCCATAGGGCTATTGTATAAGAAGAGTAATACTATATTTTTTCCTATTCACAGATGGAAAAGAGTAAAATTTTGCTTTATTTAAGCCCAATAGCAATAATCTTGCATGGGTTTCAGAAAAATGATACATATTTTACTGTGGGATAATGAGGACCATTAGTTATTAGAACAAATTATTCTCTTTCAATTCAAGAGCCTTATTCATTCACTCATTTAATAGGCTATCCTCTCTCCCTTTCACTAAAATGGTCTCCCCATACGGAACACCTGGCCATGCAACATGCCACCAGACAGACTTCAGGAGGTATCTTGATGGGGAGAAATAGAGAATTTCCAAAGTGAAGCCATAGGATAAACCAACACTTGATGCTTGCCTTTCATTTCAAGGAAAGTAGTATAAAAGCAATAGAGAAAGAAAAAAGTAGTTGAAAAATATACTTGCTCTCCACAAAAGAGTCTTAAAAATAAAAAATCATGAGCTTAATAATTTTCCTAAATGAAATTATGCCATTATTCCTGATTTCTTTGTACTAACTAAAAGGACAAAGTATCAAACTTCACTAAAGTTTCAATACTACAATACATTTCATTAATCAAAGATAAAAACTACATTAAAAGCAAGAGAATTATTTTATGTCTGTGATTAGGCAGTTGGAGGGCTTGTATTTTATGTATACATTTGTATACTTCAACTTATTTAACGGTGTCAGTTCACTAGCTGCAGTTTTTTTATATAAAGAAAACAGATTTAGAATTTTAAAAACAAATTACAGTAATTTTATGCCTACAGCTTGCACCTCTTAGAAACCACGTACCCCCTAACACTTCTCTTACTTTGCCACCACTTCCCCATCTCCCTCCCTCCTCCTAAATACACAGGCTACAGTAGAACTGATAACAGGGGCCTCGAAGCCCCTACTGAATAGCCACCCTAATTTTTTATTTGGGGTAGAGGAATAAAGGGTGCAGATAAGAAATTCAGCTCCTGAATAGAGCAGGAGGCTAATGCCTGCAGAGATCTGCCTGGTGAGCTTCAATGTTTTCTACAGATCTTCATGATGATGGGGACTTGTGGGCCTACACTTCATTAATGCTGAAACTCCTGGAAGGGGGCAGAAGGAAAGGACTACAAGATTTGTTACTAATATAGATGGCTGTGTATATACTGCTGGTGCAGGCACAGGGTAGGATGAGAGAAGAGGACAAGCAGGAGAGGAGGACTACACAATGATGACAACTTCACACATCCGCGATATAAAAACCACTGTCAAGTGGCAGAAGAAAAAAAATGAGAAAAAGTAGCCAAAAGTGAGGAGCAGTTGCAGATCCCTCAAGGCCGAGGACACATTCCCTCCCATCAGCTTGACTTGGCTACATGGCACCAAGAAGGGACTGCCCAGAAGAGTGTCCACACAGCCATGGCTGCACCTAGAGAATTTTCAGGTTGTGAGGCAGGAGTGATGGGTATATGGGTGGGACCGTGTGCAAGTCTGGAGGGTTCTCTGTGTAGATTGAGATTGGTCAATAATGAGATAAAACATGAAACTTCTGAAGATGGGACCCACTTGTCTACTACTGGCTTTGAAAATAATTTGTGAAAACTGAATTCATAAGGCAGCCTATGATACAGCAGCTGCAGTTATAATAAAGTATCTGTCAAGTCAAAATCTGCTACTGTTCAATTTATAAACAAAAATCATCTTAACTATGACTTCTGGAACTAACAAAATCAGTCTGGTCCCTCTTAGTATGTCTGGCCTTGACACATCCAGGCAGGCATCAGGCCAATCCACCCAAGCAGGCTCCATCACCCTTTATTGCTCAGCTCTTTTGCTGACATACAAGGCTACGCAAGTCCTTATCTTAAATGTCATTCATGAGACAAGGCTTGTTCCATCTACCTCCTCTCAGTGCTGGGTCACCAAAAAATTCAAAACCAAAGAAGAAAAGGGCAACAGTTTTACACCAGGTTTTTGAAGACACAAATGGAAAAACTCGGAGATCTACTCTTTAAAAAATGGTTTTACTCAGAGGTTTTCAGTGGAGAGCGGGGGGGAGTACAGTGAGAAATAGAGGGAGCAAGAAAAACATGAAGCCCCCCATGCTTATACATCTATGCCACCCTGCTCCTGGTTGAAAACATCTTTCATAGCCTTTTAGAGCTAAGAACAGGCAATCAAGTTTAGCACAGTAGTTAAGATCACAACCTTTGGAATCACAGCCGGCTACTTACTACCTATGTGCCAAGACCAAGATAGTTACCTCTCTAAACCTTGGCTTCTTCCTCTGTAAAATGGAGTTAATCCAACATACCTTTGTGAGGTTGTCACAAGGACTGAATGAGATAACAAATGCAAAGTACTTATCACTGTATCCAACAGAGCAAACGCTCAATGTATAGCAGAGAAAAAAGTGAAGCTAAAAAATACCTTGCTTTTACAGTCCTCTCTTCCCAGCTGAGGATTTATAAACATCATCAAATACAACTCATCTTGGAGAATACATATGATAATTTTGGTGGTAGAATTTTATCTTCCTAATATTTGCTTAGGCAAATGTTAAAAATGAGCTTCCACTTCCAGAGTAAACATTGACGGGGTAGTGACGATGGGGGTAGCAGGGAGGAGCTCAGAAACATACTGAACAGGTGCAGGACAGAAAATATGTGACTTGATAATTCACCGATGGAAAAGCCAGTCTCATTCTACAAACGTAGTTGAGCACTAAGTATATACAAATCTTACAGACTGAAGGAATATGAACATATTTCTACTGACGCCTAAAAGAAGGGTGGGAGGTGGCTACCACTCACGGAGTCCTTCCTTTGCCCGAGACCTTGTGCTGAACATCTCACACATATCATCTTATTTCTCCCTCAGAGTAACTCTATTCCATGACTCAAGGAGCTAAGGTGTAGACCAAGGTTCAGAAGCTTGTGAATAGCAGAACCAGCACTGAAACCCGGGTCCCTATGCTGTCAAAGCCCATGGCTAAAGCTAGATGTTTTAGTAAAAAGAGGGGGAGAATCTTCCATGAAGCAGGGACAGAATGGGCAGTGCCATATTTGGGAGACACTGCGTAGACTGAATAAGAAATAAGGCTGGATACATAGGTGGGAGCTGGAAAGTTAAGTCTATAATTGCCAAAGTTAAGAGTTTGTGAGATGCCAGTGGCACCTGGGCTTGACTTACAAATAGTGAGGAGCCATCTCAGGACATTAGGCAGTACTCTGAAAACACTCATCTTTGCTTACCACAGAAGAGAGAGGAAAGGCCTTAAAAGCAATGTAACTCTTTATGTACTTGGTCATCTAAAAATGAAATCAGGGCTGGTTATGAAATACATTTCTAAGCAAAAGATAACAAAAGTAATAATGACACAGCAACGGAGACAATCTGGTGACATAGCAAAAAGCCAAAGTAATACTGAGGTCTCAGGGTTGGCTGGTACCTCCTCGGATGATGATAACTTAGAAATCAGCCAATTCCTAGAGGATAACAGTGGGTCCATTTTTAGAATAACTTATAGAGTAGGATTCTCACAATGAATTGAATATTAAAAATTAAAAATTTCATGTTAAAAAGCCATGTTTTCTCATTTGACATGAAAATACCTTCAGCGACAGAGACAAGATGAACCAATAATCAAGATAGCATCAATCTCCTTATAAATGGAGGTACACTAATTAAAGCTATAACAATGTAAACTCGGTGACTGTAACGGCACCTGAAATCTTCACTTTACCCTTTCTTTTGCCTTCCCTCTCTTCCCTCAGTATTCAGTGAGTATCAACTATGAAGCAGGCATGTGGTTACAGTAGCAAGTATGTGGAGCTCATAGTCTATGAGTGGAGACAGTACCAAACAACCACAAAAATACATTCTAAACTATAAACAAAGAAGTGCCAGACACAATACCATGCCCATAAGCAGAGATCTCAAGAGACAAGGAAGACTACATGTGCCCCTGTTACCATGTGAGGTTCTATGTGAGCTTGGGACACTTACCCAACCACGTTGCAATGAGGACAGCATCAATTCCGTCTATTGGTTCACAGATCCGAGCCACGACTGGGTGGATCTGCTGGGCCAGGTAGTACTGGGTGTCAATGGTTAGATTATCCTGTTTCTGCAGCTGCTCAGGCGCATAGGCCCTCTGACTTGCAGTGAGGTTTGATCCATCCTAAAAGAAGATATGATAAAAAGACACGTAAAAAGAAGACACAGGTAAAGTTGTGAGCAACTCAATCACAGACACTTGCTTGGTCAAACAGAGAGGCAACAATTTAAATTTTATGTATCTACTTCTAAACATCAAGACCTCTTTTTGACCTATTGTTGAACATTTTGAGTAGGAAAATCAAGGACAACATCTCAATCTTGAGATCTCATCCAGTGTCCAAGAATATAAATCCAGTATATGTTGTGTTCTATTTTTTGCAAAAACTTGAAACCAACAAGATAGCAATGACCAGATTAAATAATTTCACCTGCCATATCACCAAACACTGAGAAGGCTTAGTAACAATTAGTGTAGCCAGAAAGGCTTTTTAAGGAGTGATAATTTAAAAACATGTGTATGGTCTTTTTTATTATGTTAATGTCATCCCTTCAGGCAAGAATTCTAGTCAAAGTAACTCAAAGATCCCGGGAGTAATATTTTCTATGAGAGCCATGTATCACTGAGAAGCAAATGAACAAGTGGAAAAGAGTGGGGAAATGAAATCTATAGAGTAGTAATTTATATGCAAGATACAGTAAGAAGTAAAAATGACGTAGTGTCCTAGCAGAGTGGCAGGGCTCTAAAAGCCAAATATCTGGCCACTGGAATGAAGGGCATGTCATTTGGTATCATTTACCTGGTTCCTCCTCAAGAAAAGGAAGATGGGTCAGAAAGCCTCTTTTCAAGGGTTTTCTCTTTTACTCTATAAAAATAAAAGCTGTGAAATTATATATAATTGGCCCATATCCAGCCTTGTGAATGATGTCACCATCATCTCTGAACCAAAAAGTTATCTCTACTGGATCAACATCCAACAACTCACTCACTCTTCCTCTCATCTGAAACAGAATTTAATATTCAAACTAGTAAGTTATAACTATTCACAGTGCTCAGCTGCTCAGCAGAACTGATTATAATGTGAATCCTATTCTTTCATTCCTGCTACAATCAGTCCCTTTCCAGCTCAGCACCCAGCCCAAAGCAGAGGCAACCTTCCACACACCACTGTCTTTACCAGAGACCAGAGGCAGGGGCCTCTTTTTCTGGCTAGGCTCCTGATGAAAACAACCTGGGCCTGTTTATCAACCAGGTTCTACCTGTTCTAAGACAAAATGAAATACCTAAAAAGGAAGCAAACTCAGATTAAAAGACTTATTATTATTTGTCAGGAGTTTACAACATAGTAAAAGGAATTAGGCATAATTAATCAAGTTTAATTCTTGCTCTTTCAGAAGCTTGAATTGTTAAGATGATAATAAGGTGACAACCAATGATAAAAACCACGTGAAAAAATCCTCCGGCAGTGTCTTTTCACACAACTCAATTGTATTTAGACTGCCTTTTACCAAACACATAAAATCTGAACAATTTACGGAATTATGAAAAATTGGTCTACCCTTAAGATTACAGCAATGTTGAGTTTAACAATTTTTAATGGTGAATTAAAATAGAATTTATACATGTAAAATATTTTTTAAAGGCACCTGCCTTTAAAAATATTAGAGTTACTTTCTAATATTTCAGTAGTTCTCATAGTAAAGCATGGTTTTCAAAAAAGCAGTTGAAAACTTTCTGAGCATGCTTTCAGTTTAAAACGTTTTTATTCTAAATATTCACACAAAAGACTAGTTTTAACAAAAAGTGACACAAACATATTTCTTAGGGTATTTTAAAAATCTAAGCTCGAACATGGCTAAATTCAAAAGACTTGGTTAGATGACAGGTTTTGCTATGTCGTATTGGAAAAACATTTAGGCTATGACCTAAGATACATCCTTCGGCTGGACACAGTGGCTCATGCCTGTAATCCCAGTACTTGGAGAGGCTGAGCCAGAAGGATCACTTGAGCCCAGGAGTTCAACACCAGCTTGGGTGACACAGTGAGACCCCCATTTTTTTTTTTGACCAAAAAAAAAAAAAAAAAAAAGTTAGCCAGGCATGGAGGCATGCATCTGTGGTCCCAGCTACTCAGGAGGCTAAAGTGGGAGGATCATTTGAGCCTGGGAGATAAAGGCTGCAGTTAGCTGTGGTCATGCCACTGCACTCTTGCCTGAGTGACAGAGCGAGACCCTGTCTCAAAATTAAAAAAAAATAATAATAACCTTCAAAGATTTCATTCTCAAACCTGAGCAGGGCCCCATGGTATGTGCAAGAATACGTGGCATACATCTTTAAGAACAGATTAAGAAGCAACGCTGGTCTTCTTCAAGTGCCCATGTAGTAATTTGTGAACTTCACAAAGTACATACTTCAGAGAGACAACCAGGTGCAGTCGATTCATACAAAACTAGGTAGTCATCGTTAGTAGGAAACTAATGGGAAAATATTTTAAACTGGAGACAAGTGGGCCCCTTAAAATAATTATGTTAAAGGCATGCCTTATGGAAATTATGTCTAATGAAAGTTAAATAGTTATGGATTTAAAACCTAGCCAACAAATGGAAGTTGATTTAAGATCTGAGCAAATAATTCACATAGGTTTAATGCGCTAACAACCTACAATATAAATTACATACCAAAAACATTACTCTCTGAACCCATCTGAATAAGTTATCAGTAGGGTACTATTTCCTAAACGTAAATTTTAAACAAAACAAAACAAAACCTGTTTAGGATATAGGCTATTCTTGGAGGACACCCTTGCTTAAGGCAGCAAACAGTCCTCTTAAAAATGTGTCATGATGGGCCAGGAGCAGTGGCTCACGCCTGTAATCCCAGCACTTTGGGAGACTGAGGCAGGAGGATCACGTGAGGTCAGGAGTTTGAGACCAGATTGGTCAACATGGTGAAATCCCATTTCTACTAAAAATACAAAAAAATTAGCTGGGCATGGTGGCGCGTGCCTGTAATCCCAGCTACTCAGAAGGCTGAGGCAGGAGAATCGCTTGAACCCAGGAGGTGGAGGTTGCAGTGAGCTGAGATGGTGCCACGGCACTCCAGCCTGGGCAACAGAGCGAGACTCCATCTCAAAAAAAAAAAAAAAAGTGTCATGATACATTTTCAAAAGCATATTCTAAAAATATGGCTGCATTATGAAACAGAATAATTTGAGTGCTTAAAAGCAAAAAATTTAGGCAGATTTGGCTAGCAAACAGGTTGAAAGGGAGCATGTCCCATGGGTAGGGTACAAAGGCAAATTAAAGTCCTATAGGTTTTCTTGGGATATGTTAAGGAGAATAAGTTAATAAAAAGAAATATGAATCATACTTTTAAAAAGCAAATAAGGCACATACCAGTGGATGGAAATTGCTAAAAATACATAAAATTGGATGTACTGTACTACATTAGCAACAGCATTTTGAGCCTATGCATATCAATAAGACCTGAGAAAAAGGAACCTTAACACCTAACATTCAGACATCAAGGGACACAAAACAGACTTTTAAATACAATGATCATCCTATTTTATAAGTTACCACACATCTTCATTGCAGGTTTGGCCAAAACACAATTGTGGCTTGATTTCATTATTAATGCTATTTCACTGAACCTATATAATTTTTCAAAGTTGTATGCTGCCATCTGTTCTTCTCATCACCAATCTAAGAGCTTTTCCATGTATGTGAAGACATAAGTGAAAAAAAAAAACCTAGCCTATTTACCAAAATCTTTATTTGCATAATATGAAAATTGTTTTTTTGAGATGAGACTTGTCAGAGGCAATATGCAAAGCACATTAAGGGCTTGAGCGAGTCAGACATTTATGGAAATATTTTCCTGCAGGAATTGGCTTTCTGTAACAGTTCTTAATCAAGGGTAACCCTAGGGGGGAGACAGAGTCAAGTGCTGATTCCTGTCCACGTACTTAAATCATTTGTTATGTACATCCACAGCATATAGCAGGTATCAGCAGACTACTTTTAAATTTTCAAAAGACTCTGATTTAAAAACACATTGATTGTGGTTTGACAAATATCAATCATATTGCAATTACTTTTTAGGTTTATGTAAAACATTTTTTTACTGTAACAACACAATGCAATAACAATTAGGATAAAACTTAATTTCTTTAAAAAAGTTTTATTCAGATAAATTATACCTTATGGTAAGTAGTCTATACCATTGTAATTTGAAAGAATTTGGATAAATGCTATGACCCTGACTTATCTTTACAGATAGAAGGGATGAGACCTCTCCTTTGTTAAAATAGTTAAGGGCTTCGAAAGTCAAAAAACTGCTCTTCTCTCTTACTCTCTCTCCTCACCCATTATAGGCATGCTATTATCAAAAGAACTGGTAGTGGCTTAAAACTGTGTTCCAGAAGGCCTAGAGGTACCTTGTGAAACGGAGAAGGAAGGGTAAGGAGGTGGGCCCTCTCCACTTGAAGGAAGAAAAAAAAAAAAACTGGTTGAATTGTGTGGTTTCCTCATAGGGTATGTTCATAGGATCTCTCAACTTCTCCGTATAATCATGTAGTTCATATTTTTTCACATAATTATTTGGACATTTGCTAGGGAAAAAATGGCATTTATTCTTTTATTATTCCACTGATATTTATAATGGGAACTGCTGCAAAAGGAAAGAGATAAATGAGGACTACTGCTGAACATATGGCGAAACTTACATTTGCATTAAAGTTAATTTAGGGTTAAAAGAGTAGCTACTGTTACAAATCTGTCATAAATGTTTTATGAAAATCCTAATGACATATGCCACACCTCTAATGTTTTTTAAATGCTATGAAACTAACCAGACTTTACAACATCAATTATTGGGGAGAATGCTAAATAAGACACTGTGGTAATTTGGATTTTACTTTCAGTTCTTAAGAGGTGTCAGAGTCTTACGAATGTCAATAGTTTACCTGACAGATGACATATGACACAGTATCTCCAGCTTTCACCTTTCTGCCTCCTTGAGAATTTATCCAGAGGGCAACATGTACATGAGGTAGGCTTTTTTTATCAGGGTAATCCTGGGGATCCTTTGTCAATGCCTAAAAGAGGGAACAAAAAAGTTCTAAGCCTTAAAATAAAACCCTTCTTACACAGATATACACTAAAAACATCTTTGCTAGAATCATACTAGCCACATAAACATAAAAAATGACAGAAGCTGTATGTAGAAAATATTGCTACAGAATCTTTAAACATCCCATCTTCAAGACTCCTCTCTCCTTTGTTCAATAACTAACATAACCAGATGCAACCCCAACAAAAAAGAAATATAAGTTAATGGGCCATATCACATGATACTTAGACATAAAAAGTTAAGACTATAAATTCAGTGTTATATGCAGTCTTAATGTGTGCAATTATCTCACTGAGTTAACTGATCAGTTGGGACTGATGAATAATGGCTACTCTGACTTAATGATTGTTTCTCAAAGGCTCCTCTGGCCTTAATAAATCCCAAAGGCACTAGAAATCACTGGATTTACTCATGCTGTCAATCAACCTCTACAGAGGTAGAATGAATTTGTAACAGAAAGTAAGTACTACGAGAACAGGAACAATGTCAGCCTTGCTCACAACTGCATGCACAGTGTTCCTAACGATGCTTGATATACAGTAGCAGCCAAATATTTGCGGAATAAATTATTTCACTCCATCTGTAATAATTCTCAGAATAATTTGTTCCAGTATTATAAAGTACCACAGGATGAATAAGACACAGTCATCTGCTATTAGTGGAAGACTCTCTACCCTCCACCTCCCCTCCAAAAAAAAAAAAAACCTCTAAAATAAGCTATATGTGCCATAAAGGAGATGTGAACAAAGTGTTATGGAGAGAACTTAGAAAGGTAAGAATGATTTCCACCTGAGAGAAGAAATCATGGAAGAAAAAACTAAGCTGGCACTAGAAGGAAAAGCAAGATTTTAAGAAAAGGTAATGGGGGCAAGAATATTCCAGGCAGAGAAACAAACAAAAAGGCAAAAGGTGAGAAAAAAACGCATTCTATTAGACTGGAACTCAGTATGCATAAAGAAAAGGAGGGGGATACCCAGCCCTGGAAGGGGTAGGTTTCAAAAGACAAGAGAAAGGATGGGGACCAGGGTACTGCTGGATGAGCTCACCCGTTCTCAAAGTGTGGACTGCAGAGCCCTGGGAGTTCCTGATATCCTTTCAGGGGGTCCAGAGATCAAAACTATTTTCATAACGATACTACCTGTACTGATGATACAGAAGCAATAGTGGGCAAAACTGCTGATGCCTTATAAACATGAATCAGGATGGTACTATCAAACTGTACTAACAGTCACTGTATTCTTCACCACCATGCATAGTTAAAAAAAAACACTTTCACTTAAGAATGTCCTTGATGAAACAGTAAGAATTATTTTTAAAGCTCTCAATAGCAAAGACTTGGAACCAACCCAAATGCCCATCAATGACTGACTGGATAAAGAAAATGTGGCACATATACACCATGGAATACTATGCAGCCATAAAAAAGAGTGAGTTCATGTTCTTTGCAGGGACATGGATGAAGCTGGAAACCATCATCCTCAGCAAACTAACACAGGAACAGAAAACCAAACACCGCATGTTCTCACTCATAAGTGGGAGCTGAACAAAGAGAACACATGGACACAGGGAGGGGAACATCACACACTGGGGTCTGCCGGGGAAGTAGGGAGGAAGGGGAGGGAGAGCATTAGGACAAATATCTAATCCATGCAGGGCTTAAAACCTAGATGACGGGTTGATAAGTGCAGCAAACCACCATGGCACATGTGTACCTATGTAACAAACCTGCACGTTCAGCACATGTATCCCAGGATTTAAAGTAAAATAAAACAAAACAAAAAAAAACAGCTCTCAACCCTTGAGTACAAGTCTACTATTTTGTGAGATAAAACAAAGTACACACAAGGCACATCTGAAAAACAAAGATTGCTCAAGGGAAAGCATTTGTGCAACTGTTTGAGTTGCAAGCTAAACTAGCTGCCTTTTTCACAGAATATAATTTTTACTTGAAAGAATAATGGGCAAACTACTGTTATTCTGACTTGGGTATCTGGCAGACAATTTCTCAAAAAAAAAGTGAGCCTGCCACTTCAAGGCAAAAAAAAAAAAATCTGACAGTATATATTGTCAATGATAAAATTCAAGCTTTCAAGTGCAAATTAGAATTTTAGAAAACTTTTCTACTTCTGTGAGCCGGAAAGCTTCCCAATACTTAAAAACTTTTCTGATATAAGTACGAATATTTTAAAACGTAATTTTTGATATTGTACAATGAATGTGTCTATTTTGGAGTATACTGTATAATTCAGGGAACCAACATTTAACAAATGATCAACTCATGCCACGCATGGGTAAAATATTCTTTCAAAGTACAACAGAGACCAACAGATTTTAATATAAGAGAACAGGAAAAGTTCATTGATATGGCTTCAGATTCCACATTACGAAGAAAATACCATCTGTAGACGTCTGGTGCAGGATCAAAGAAGAATACATTCAACTATCAGAAAAAAAATACTAAAATACTTCTCCTTTTTCTAACTACATGTTTGGGTTAAACTGGATTTCTTCCTATACTCCATCCCAAACCACATGTCACAACAGATTGTATGCAGAAGCAGAAATGAAAACCCAGATGTCGTCTACTGAGCTAGACATTAAAGAGATGTGCAAAATTGTAAAATGATACCACTCCTCAGGCTAAATTTTTCTTTGTTTTGAAATATATAGCTATTTTTCATAGAAAGAAATGCTATTTGTTGTAATTATATAATCAGTTTGTTGCTATTTTTAAATAAATTAACAAATGTTTTTAGATTTCTAACACACTAAATATCGAGATAAACCACATCAACACGAGCTCTTGGGGTCTTCAATTATTTTAAGAGTATAAAGGTGTCCTAAGACCAAGAAATCTGAGAACTGATGTAGAAGAATAAAGCAGGTCCTCAAACATGGCTGCACATGCCCAAGTTATGTAAACTTACTAAATTCCATACTCAGGGTAGCAGAGTGCCTAGGAAACTCTCCCAAGTATTTGAATCTCCTCAAACTTGGAATACGTGAAGTTTTGATTGTCTTGGACAAGCAATACAATATAAAAATCTTAACTGATATAACAGTACTTAAGAAATCCATTATCTTCTTCAATGGATTATTCTTCAGTGCAATGTTAAGAAATTCTAAATTTCAGCTGACATACTTTCCAATTATTAGATGTAGGCTATTTGGGGACTTTACAAGCTAGTTTTAGAAGGCTTCATTTAAAAAAAAAAAAATGCTTCCTGGTGGTTTAGGCTCAAGTTAGCCAGAGCTATAAAAATCAGCTGCAAAGTATTTTGTGTTACTTTGTGAAATATATTTAAGCTAAGATTGCAGTAGTTCAGCAAAATCACACATGCTGTTTTTCAGTTGCTTTTGGCAACACGGGCTAAAATCTCTAAAGGTAAATCCCATCACTTCATGCATGTCTCCACCCTAATTTAACCTGTCATTTTCAAGCCCTACCAGCATCACCTAAAAAAAAAAAAAAAAAAAAAAATATTGTCATGAGACCATCCACAACCAGTCACATACATAGACTCTTCCATTCCACTCTCCTTTCGAAGCAGTAAAATGTAGAAACTGAATAGCTCACAAGTTTTAAATAGTGCAAGCATTTAGACAAATGTTAAAGATGTTCAGGATATATCACCTTTAACAAATGAATAGCTTACTGTAAATAGATACAGAACTACAATAAAGATAGCCCTTTCATCAGAATTTACTGTACTTGCATCAACACTGCAGAAATTCTTCTCTATTAAATGAAAGTTAAGAATAATGGGACAGTAAATACATTTTTCTTTTCTTTTTTTTTTTTTTTTTTTGAGATGGAATCTTGCTCTGTCGCCCATGCTGGAGTGCGGTGGCGCCATCTCAGCTCACTGCAATCTCCGTTTCCTGGGTTCAAGCGATTCTCCTGCCTCGGCCTCTTGAGTAGCTGGGATTACAGGCGCCTACCACCTCACCCAGCTAATTTTTTATTTTTTAGTAGACACAGGGTTTCACCATGTTGGTCAGGCTGGTCTTGAACTCCTGACCTCGTGATCCACCCGCCTCAGCCTCCCAAAGTGCTGGGATTACAGGCACAAGCCACCGCGCCCGGCCGACAGTAAATACTTTTAATAGACCACCAGCATCTTGAAAATATGGACCACGTATTCCTTATTCAACTTTATATCCCAGAATCAGCATTGTGTACATAAGAGGTACTCCATGTTTGCTGAATGGATGATTAAATAAGCAAATGAATTCTTTCAATGCTTACTGAACAACTACTACTTGCCAACAGCTATGCTAAGTGATATGGAGAATATAAAGACAGTAAGTCACAGTTTCAGTTCTGCCACAGAAAAATCTATTCACAGCCCCTATCATACTAGACACTAAGTATTAACTATTATTGTTAATAATAGAATGTCACTATAAGTTGATAATTATTGAAGCTGACTAATGAATACATGAGGATCCATGATACCATGCTCTCTACTTTTACATAAGTCTAGAAATTTCAATAATAAAAACTTAAAAGAATGCAGACACTGTCAGTATACCTATGACTCTAAGTTTCTTTTTGCACACTAGTAATATTGTGTCATCATTCATATGAGGGGGTTACAGTGTGGGCCCACTACCCTAAAGGAGATGTGTTCAGTGTTATTTTGCCAATTATGCAGTCATGCTAGGACTGACACTCCCAAACTCATCCCTGGAAGCCCTTGTGATAGAAACCCAAGTTTCTAGGAAGGTAGACAGGATCAGGGATACAATATGCAGAATTGATGCAAAAACTGACCAAAAGAAGTCTTAAGTCGTAACTCTTACTCATATAAATTTTTGAGAAAGAAAACAAAATCTAAAAGGAATCTACTTTCTAGATGACACAGTGATTCCATGCCAATATGTGTACACTTCATCACTTAAAGTGGAGAGCCAGTGACAAGAAACATTGTCCCCTTCTAATGTATAAACAAATGTCTTCTTTCATGACATTAAGGATGCCATAGTCAAGGTACAGGAAACAACTTACCTAAGAATAAACATAAACTGTAAGAAAATATTCATCCCTTCTAGGAATCAAAGAAATGCAAATTCAATGCAACTGTGAAATACAGTTTCATATTCATTATGGTAGCAAAGTTTTATTTAAATATCATCACCACTACATGCAAAACTGTGGTGAAACTGGCATATTTTGCTATTATCAATTGGTATCATCCTTTTACAAAGCAATTTGGCAAAAGCCATACAGATATTCACATCTTTTGACTCAAATATTTTCCTTCAAGGAACCTAAAATAAGAAAGTAATTCATCCAAATGCAAAAAGATAAATAAACAAAGATGTTCAATAGAGTTATTTATAATAGAAAACATTAAATAATCAACAAATTTAAATAAAGATGTATCAGTGAAACAGATACATCTTTTTAATACACTGATTAATTTGATTTTTAAGGTAATATAAAAATGTGGGAAAATGTTTATGTTAAATGAAAATATATTTCTAAATAACACTGTAATTGCTGCAATATAAAAATGTTTTCAACAGTACAGAAATGTGCAAAAATGACAAGCATTACATTAGCACAGAGTACTATGAATGAGTCTTCATTCTAAAACTTCCATTTACTGTCAGCATTAGATTCTTTTATTTTTTTTGTATGCACTTTGACAACGAAATCTACCACAAAATGGGTAGCATTGTATTTGCAAAATTAGCTTCTGAATATATAAGGGTACTAAAATGGGAATAAATTTGTAACCTAACATTTTGTTTATTACACAATACTTTGGAAACCAAGATTCTGTTTTTCAAATTAGGTAAGAAAAAATATTCCCTATTTTCAACAACTAAGACTGTCCCTAAATAACTTTTGTCCCCAAAAGAATCACCATCTGTGAAGTTAAACACACACATGAATGCACACATGCACACAATAAGCTTACAGGCCTACACTCCAAACAACTATTACTTAGGGGAACTATGAAGAAAGTAGTGTTCTCCAGTCCTATGGAGTGATACAGTGATATCACTCCATAGGACCTCTGGAATGTAAACTGTATCACTCCATAGGACCTCTGGAAACAAGTCTTCCAAGAATTAAAGTAAGGACTAGACAGAGAAGGTCTCTGTGGCAGACATGGCAGTACCTGTGGCTGGAAGAGGTATGCTAATACTCAATCTGTGAGATAGTTGTTAAGCAGCTTTCATCACCAGCTAGAATTTATTTCAATTGCAAGGATGAGGTGGTTCTTCAACTATCTGAAGGAGGTGAAAAACACATGACAGCAGCTGGGCTCAGCAATAAATGCTACATTTACCTTGTTAATTTCAAACTGGCTCACTGGGACACTGCCATTTAGCACATTTTCTCCAATTTCTATCAGCCTCTTCTGAATGTTTTCCACTATAGTGTCCCGGCTTTGATCAGAAAGAATCTGGCCAATCACAAAGCTGCAAAAAAAAAAAAAAAAACAAAACAAAGACAGCAGTTGATTTTTTAATATATTTTACTAGTAAAGGAGAAGAAGGAAGAGAAATGCCATTAGATTAACATGTGGTTAACATTAGCTACAGTAAGAGCTAATATGAGGGTTAATGTCGAAAAGGCGGTTACTATTTGTTTTTTAACACCAACTCTACCGAAAGTTTGCCAGCCTTCTAATGTGGGGTTTGACCCTAAACATACAGATCATTTTTTATGTGGCAGCTAATATTTTATATAAAATGTGAAGAAAAGCATGTGTTCCATTATATTTTTATGCAATTACAAAATTCACAAGCAGTTATATTCTCCTCATAAGATAAAATTTTAGAAGACAAATATTTCACTTTCCTCACAAAGCACCAAGACATTATCTCTGATATCAAGATATCATCTCCACCTGAGACAACAACCATGCGCTAGATGAGTAGAAATATGAAGTCCTTTACATAAATTTTTTTAAAAAACAAAGATTTCAAACTTTTCTTTCTTCACCTTCATTTTGTTGCTCAGTGTTCTCCCTTACGCTATTCCTTAAAAACTTCATGTTATTCAACCAGACCCAAAGGAAAAAGAAAAAGGAAAGGAGTAAGAAAGCCAATATTTTATCCATTTCTGAGAAAATGCAGAGCGAGAGTTTGACAGCTGCATTATAATTTGCCAGAAAAAGAACCCCGACAAAAACATTTGTATAGCTTTAATTACTAATACATTTCTAACTCAAGAGAAATTTACTTCTATTATGATGCGTCTTTTCTTAGAAAACACAAAGCTGAAGAGAACACTCTAATCCACAGTCCATACAAAGTACTTTCCTCTTTGGGTACACTTGGGGGCAATGAAGCATTTCAAACATTTTTACATTTGGTAAAAGGCTCACAGTGACCTATACTCAGCTGGTCAACTTTGCCTAATCAAGAATAGTTTTGCAGAAGCAATAATTGTTCAATCTCCCAACTTGATAGCAAGAGGAAGACTAGAAAACAAGTTTATAAATGCCAACATTCAGAATATTAAAATTGATGTGAACTTTAGCTTTAAATAAAAAATTCTTCTACTTTCAGAATTGGTCAAGGTCACAAATTAAGACGGTACATGAAGCACCTAAAAATTCTTTTTTTTTTTTTTTTTTTTTTGACGGCGTCTCACTTCTTTGCCCAGGCTGGAGTGCAATGGTGCAATCTCGGCTCACTGCAACCTCCACCTTCAAGGTTCAAGCGATTCTCCTGCCTCAGCCTCCCCAGTAGCTGGGATTACAGGCATGTGCCACCACGCCTGGCTAATACTTGTATTTTTAGTAGAGACGGGGTTTCCCCAAGTTGGGCAGGTTGGTCTCCAACTCCTGACCTCAAGTGATCTTCCCGCCTCGGCCTCCCAAAGTGCTGGGATTATGGGCGTGAGCCACTGCACCCGGCCTAAAAATTCATTTTGAAATGGGTGCTTTATACATTAATATGACCCTTAAAGAAGCAGGCCTTATTATCACATTCTTCAGTCTCAGGTGCAAAGCTAGGAGGTCAATCATGATATTTACTAATTCTGAGGTACACACAGGATTTGAGAAGGAGCCCTTAACTTGGTATTAGTAAGAATCTTTTATATACAAATCATACGGGTGGGAACAAAGTCTCACTCCATGGCCCATTTTGAGTCCCAGAACATTTTAAGCCATAAAATGGGAAAATCTTAACAATTATGTCCCTCAAGAGGCTCTAGGAAGATTCAGGAGCACAAAACAAGGCACTTTCTAATAGCAACAATAGAGCAAAACAAACCAACATCAACGAAACCAACTCTATAAGGATCTGAAGTGTGAAGGTTTACCCTTACTATGAGTTAAAAACTCATGAGACGTATCTTAGAGCAGGCATTTCTCACTGAGCAAATTTGGCTTTTTCTAAGTTTTAATCTACCTATAAAATTCCATTCCAAATAAGAATGATTAATAATTCTTATTAATAAGAATAATAAAAATAACAAAGAAGTGTTCTTGGGCTTGACAGATTCATAAGCATTCTCTACATCATTCACACCTGAATTTTTAAAAGACAAACAAGAAAAGCAAAACTGAAAGCTGAACTCACTTTCCAGTGTCTTTAGCAAGATCACACCAATCTCTTCTAACTATATCTAATCCTTTGAGCTCCTGTTTGGTGACATAATTCCCATCCGACGTTGGCTCAACAACCAGAGCAGCGTACTTCTTTTTTTTCAGCAGTAGCAGAGACTTGAAAACCCCATCAATGTCTATTTCAAGCAGTTTGTACAACTTATTCACTTCACTTTTTACCTGTGAAAATTTCAAATATTAGTATTAGCTTCTCAAACATCTAATAGGGAGAAGATGAACATGTTACAAATTCCCAAGAGTTAATCTAAACAGAATTTGAAGTCATACAACATTGGAATTTTACTTGGCTTGTATGTAACATGATATTACATTGGGTATAAAGCAAAGACATTGAAAACTGCAGGGACAAAAATAGATTAAAAAAAAGAGAGAGAGAGAGACAATAATAGATCATCCCATGCAACCAAAGGACAGGACTGGCTGGATCAGCCCCAGGTAATATATGAAAATTATGAAACAGTCCTTGTTGAATGTAAAGACTTAATGCATACATACAGTACTTGCCTTCAAACTATTCAGTTAGTTAGTGAATAGACAGTCCAACAACTAAATATGTGACCAGAAATAAAGAAGTCAAACTTTGACTATTAAAATAATGTTTAAGACCTCCCTTAACACCTTGACTATAAGCAAACAACTACATGCTGAACAAATAAAGAGTCCTCTGCTCTTTCTGACAGGGTCAAGGCACAGAACATCACCTCCAGGGAAAATACTCAACTTTTCAAGGCCCAGTATGAGCACAATGTGCCAGGCTTGCTGTCAAGTGAAGACTACCATTCAAATTCCACATATTCCAGGAGGGAAAGATAGGAAGTTGTTAGTTTGTAAGATGACATCTTAGTTTTAGTTCATGGGGACAACATCTTAACATAGCAAGTGTTTCTAAAACACTGTGAATTGCGATTGCAAATTGCTATTAAGAGGCTACAAATGATTATTTTTAAATGTCCCCTTGACTTTTCAAATATATTTTAAGTACTCCTGTAAAAATCACAGTTGTGAGTGTATATGTATGTATGTAGGTATTTATGTATAAAATGCACCTGAATCCTACCAGACATATGAATCACAATGTAGTAAGTACTAACGTGAACACATCTTAAACATATAACACTTAGACTGTTTTCAAAGGAAAAATGTATCTACCATTTAAAGAAAAAAAAAAAAAAAACCTTTGAATTTCACCCTCGAAACAAACAGCTGGAATAGGAATTAAAAACAAGAGGGGGCCAGGCGCGGTGGCTCATGCCTGTAATCCCAGCACTTGGGAGTCCAAGGCAGGTGGATCACAAGGTCAGAAGATCAAGACCATCCTGGCCAACATGGTGAAACCCCGTCTCTACCAAAAATACAAAAATTAGGGGGGCGTGATGGTGCATGCCTGTAATCCCAGCTACTCAGGAGGATGAGGCAGTAGAATTGCTTGAAGCAGGGAGTCAGAGGTTGCAGGGAGTCGGAGGTTGCAGTGAGCCGAGATCACGCCACTGCACTCCAGCCTGGCCACACAGCGAGACTATGTGTCAAAACAAACAAACAAAACAAAACAAGACGAAAAAAAAAAAAAAGAGGATTGGGCATGGTGGCTCATGCCTGTAATCCCAGAACTTTGGGAGGCTAAGGTGGGAGGATCGCTTGAACCCAGGAGTTCAAAACCAGCCTGGGCAAAAAAAATCTCTACAAAAAAAATTGTTTTTTAATTAGCTGGGCATGGTGGCGAGTGCCTGTGGTCCCAGCTACTCGGGAGGCTGAGGCGGGAGGATCACTTCAGCCCAGGAGGTCAACGCTTCAGCAAGCCCTGATCGCACCACTGCACTCAAGCCTGGGTGACAGAGTGAGACCCTGTCTCAGAAAAAAATAATAAAGAAAGACAGAAAAATAGAAGAATTGAGAGACACCAAGTTTATTATTTTCAGAAGCACACACATTCATATACACATGAATTTATAGTGTTCCATGTTAGAAACAGAATTCACAAAAATAGGTAAAGCAGATAATTTCATAAAATTATCTCACCTTGTTTCCCAACTTAAATACTTCTTCCAGATTGGTGCTATTGGTGTTTATCATAATTGAATCTGTATCTCCATAAATAACTTCAAGATTCATCTGATGAAAAGCAAAAATTATAAAAATTAACAAAAACACAGTGACCATTACATACAATGAAACTAAAGATTTTCCATACTACAGAAATTACAGGCTCCACAGACTTTTCAAAAGTTTATGTTAATTATTATTTATATTGTCAGGGTATACAATTAAAGATTAAGCCCCTATAAACCAGAAAGGCAAGCAACCTGACATCAAGAAAATCTCTCAAATTTTCTTAAAATAGAGAGTGGAGTGGAAGGAGAATTGTGTCTAGTTTCAACTGAAACAAAATACCAAATTAAATAATGAGAAAAAAGAGAATAAAAGACTAGGAAATGGGGTCTATATTTATCCACTGTACCACATGCTTAGTGGTCATGGCAATTTAAGAAGCGGAAACATAATGGATTCTATAAATTCAGGGGCACAAATCCATATTAAATTCTTAATACAGTTGCAAACAGTATTTAGTAGAACACGAAGAGTGCCAAAAAAAATCAATCATAACAAACAACACTAGAGCACATACAGTATAAAGGCCTGGAAATAAACTCTAATTAGCACTGTTACTAATTTGTTTGAAACACTCACATATAGGCTTCAAGCAGGGGCTAGATCATATCAGCACTGGTAAAAGAAAAAAGCTGTAATCCATTAGGAAGGATTATAAATGTTAAACTAGGCAACCTAAGAAGCAATTTCCAGTCTGTTTGGGTTACAATTTTCCTTGAATACAAAAACGTTACCAGTTATGATATTTAAGTTTTACACAATGAAAATGCTCAACATTACCTTTTGTACCATCTCTTTCGTATGCATCAAAATCTAAATGAAACAAAAGTCAAGATTAATAAGTTACACAATTATAAAGACATAAATAGAAGCACATAGAGATAGGTAACTTTCAATGATTTGCCATTTCCATGTATTTCTAAAGCTCTTGAAGGTTTTCTAACAACAGCCCTTAAAATAACAGTAACATCAATATAATCTAAGTTTGCCTCTATGCTGATTCTGAGCCAGAGATATGCATGCATATATATACATATATATGTTTAACACACACACAATAAAATATCTCTATAACATGGCAAAAAAGCAAACTATTCTCATTACTAATACTTAAATAGAACTGCATGCCTAAAAAAAGCTTAACAAAGCATTTCAAATCTGGCAATTCTTATTCATGGTATTCAGGATCTTAAAAAGCAAAAAAAAGCACACTACATTTAAAATTCTTCTCTAGACTAAATTCATTGAAGAAAGAGAGTAGATGGATTTTCACTATATTGCCTGGAGCTACCCCAGTACCCAGTAAAAAGGTGGGGCTCAAGAAACATTCAGTGAATTAAGACGAACGTGGATATCTGTTGATAAGTCTGTCCCCAGGCCCATATAGCTACAGATCAGAGATATTTAGGTTACAACGTGGATAGAAATAAAAACTGATATAAATTATTTTGAGCCAGATCAGAAGTAACACATATTTAACAAACAGCCTCTTAAAAAATAGTAATATGACATAATTAGGACTCAGAGAGAAAGTGTGTGTGTCGGGGGGGGCGTTTAAAATACATGTGCTAGATGCTGTGCAAGGAACACCTTGTGCATTTTCTCATTTCATTCCCCTAGATCTCCAAGGGGTAGCTACTATTAATATCCTCTCTTGTTAGATGCCAAAAGACAAAGAGAAATTAGTGTCCTAGAATGACAAAACAAGGATATGAACCCAAGCATTCTGACTCGAGTATGGGGTCTTAGTCACTCCATGCTATTGCCTCTCTGCTATCACCCATCTTTCAAAGCATCAGCCTAAAGCTGAGGTCACCTTTCCAATAGACCAAATAAAGATTTACTTCATTTATATTTCTTTCTCCTACTTCAATAGTCCTCCTTGTCAACTAAGCTCAAGCTTCATGGTGTCATTTCTTTCTCGTCTTCCCTATTACAGAGCTTTGTAAATCCTGTCTTTAGAGTATCTTTTATATCTACCCATTACTTTCCATTTTTTATTGCCCTCTCCCCTTTATTACTATCTCCCAGTTTTGTTCAGATGTTCGTTGTATTAATATTATGTTCTTAGACAAGGAAGCCCTTTCTCCTACCTGGGGGGTGGTGAATGGTGGTGAATTCTGATGAGGCTAAGCCAGTGGTTTTAATACTGACTGTACAGTGGAATCACCTGGGGATCTTAAAAAAAAAAAAACAAACAATATCTGGCCCCAACAGTTTTCTTACATTTTCTTACATTGCAAGCTGGCTTAAGGACCATTGGCCTAAGATAATCATGGCAATTCCATTCTGGAAACTATGATCAGTTTAGGCGTGAGCATGTGAACAGAATCCTGGCCAATTAAACGTAAGGAGAATTCCTGTAGGATGCTTCTCTGAAAGGTTTTCCTTCCTGATTTGAGGGGGCAGGCGGTGGGGGACTACCTTTTTAGACTGAGGGCTGCTTGGAGCAGTGGCAACCATCACGGTGGCCATGAAGGGCCATGCCTAGGGTGCAAGCTAACATGCTGAGCAGGGCCGGCTGCAAGGTGGAAAGCGCCTGACTCCATAGCAATGAGGTTGTCACTGAGGATGAACCAACTCGCGTCTCTACTGGCTTTAGGTCTCATCAACTCACCCTGAATATCATTACCAATCTCCTGAATGTTTTCAATGCCTCTCCGATGCCTACAAGGTCAAGAACAAATTCTGCAACTGCACCTAAACCACTGTTCCACTTGTATGGCCTGTTATTCTTTTACATAGATCCTCTTGCTGGACAGAATAAATCTCCCAGTCTTCCAACAGTTAACTGTGTACAGACTCATCTTTTCATGCCTTCACTCATGCAGTGTGTCTCCTACCCGGAATTCCTTCCCCAGTCCTTTTCCTATCATTGAATTTTACAACCCTCGGCTCAAATCCTTCCTGCATGAGCTGACTGGCCCAGCCCATACCTGTCTCTCTCCTCTCATCTGTGTTTGAATTATTTTACTAGTACTTGAATGATGCTTTACGTTATTAGCTCCCACCTACCCACCCCAAACTAGACTACAAGCTCCTGGAGGTCAGACCACATGTTTGTGCCTAAGTGCAGACTTCACTGTAATAGGAACTCAAAAAACTGTTTGCCAGGTGACTGATAGGTCCTGTAGTAATCCCAATTACTTTTCCACTAGACACTAAAATTCAGCTAACATAAAAAACAGTCACTCTCCCCAACTTCATCTTCATTTTTTAACATTTAAATTATAGGGAAATGCATTGTGGGAGAATATTTGACAATTCCTTTAGGGAAAGGGCAATAATGAGACCAACCCAAGGCAAATTAATCACAGTGAGGACAGAATTACTTATCAAGAGTCCTCTTTACCCTCTGCCTCTTACAGTTAGCTAGGCTTAGCTTTCTTCATCACAATGGACAACACCATAACGTAACTGTTACCTCAATAAAATACCTGAGGAGCAGTTTGTCAACCTTTTACTACAACTCCACATATTCAATAACCAATTTCTTCTACTCTTGTTTCACAACATGAACCAAATCTACTATGTCATCCCTGAGTGTACCTTCAATGTGAACTGGCAACCTTCACCTTTCAGATCCATCATCCACCCCTACTCCATCCTGCCACCAACTCACAACCATTGCCATGCATAACCTGAGGACTGCTACCAAAACAATTTTCTCTTTGGTGGCAGAAATCTTTTGGTGGATGTCTTTTTTTGCAGAAATGGTAAACTATAGAGTATGCCGCAACTGCTTTTTTCACCTAGCACTTATCCTAGAGGTTATTTCAAATTCACACATAAAGAGCTGCCTTATTCTTTTCTAATGACTACATAGTACCCCACTGTATAAATAGAACATAATCTATTTAACTAGTGTTCTATTAATGAACATATAGGTTGTTTCTACTCTTTACTGTTACAACCATACTTCAACAAACAATCCCTATACATACGTAATTTACAAATCTGCCAGTAACAAGATAAATTACTACAAGTGGGTGTGCTGGGTCAAAGGTTGTTATGTTTCAAATTTTTAAAATAAATATAACCCAATAGCTCTCTATAGAGGTTGTACCGATTTCTGTGGACCTCACCATCTTTTCAGTGGGCCTCACTAGCAGCTGATGATAATGTTCCATCTCAGGTTCAAGGTCCTCACCACAGTTTGTCAACTCTTCAGCCCATTCTATACAAGACAACCCACAACCAGTCTGACCCCTAACCTCTCATGTTTCTTCACTAAGCAGTTCTAGATGGTGGGTATCACAGTGACCTCTCTAGTCCAATGCTTATCCAAGTGCTAATGAGCAGAAACACTCCAAAGCTGCCCTCAAGTCCAGCCCTCAATTCAAACTGCTCACTGGGGAGGGCTCAGATGTTATCTACTCAGGGAGCTACCAAATTCTTACTATCTACCAGAGGGCCTGGTACATGGGAGCTGTTAATAAATATTTATAGAATGCTAAGTGAATAATCCTAAGGGGTACACAGTATTATAAATCCCAACTGACAAATGAGGAAAATTAGGCTCTGAGATTTTGCCCAAAAGCTTGATCCAGAAGCTGGACTTTATGTTTCACTTTCTTTTCATTATGTCTCACTACCTTCTCAAAAAAAAAAAAAAAAAAAAAAAAAAAAAAAAAAAAAAAAAAAAAAAAAAAAAAAACCTCATACCACATAAATGTTCTAGAAGTCAACAATCAAACACTTATACATTACAGGTATTTTCCCCATTGAAGAAACACATTTTAAAAATAGCCACAAGTACCCAGAAAGGTCTACTAGACACAAGGTACAATGATTACAAGATGACCATTCATAAGTTCACTTTGAAGTGACAAGTGTAATATTAAAGCTGCCCATTCTGACAGAAAATCATTTTGTAAGTGCTAACGGCTAGAAAACAGGGCTATAAAGGCTTGCTAAATTCATTAATAAGGCAGTCTGCAGTTATCTGATTTCACAGCAACACCTGCATATTTATCTACTCATTACCAATTGGATGATGGAATTTTTTCAAGCACATTTCAAAAATCTGCCAACTTCAAGTATAAAAAAATAAACTTTGTGGTTAATTTTTCCCTTAACAAAGTACAGCTGTTGAGAATAATTGTTCAAGATCTTACCCTGTAATGTCAACTGCAGCAGAACAAAGAGTATTTAATTAGCAAATCTATCCAGTAATTCAACACCTATTATATAAAATGCCTTCGTGATTTTATTCAGGATAATTTGCTAAGAGGGTTATTACTGACATTCAGATGGAATTTAAAATTCCTACGCAAGTCGAGTCATAATAGCAGTAATGATCTCCCCAATCAGGAGACTCGGTGTCACACAAGGCTCTCTTGCAATGCAGCAGCCGATTTCCTGACTTCTTAATTCCTGGGCTCAGCTCAGTGAGAGCCCTTCACGCCGATATTTCAGTCAGCAATACATCTTTAATGGGACTCTATTAAAATAACTAGAACAAAAATGACTTTTTTTTGGTTAAAAAGAATGACAGCACTGCCATCATATCAATCATTGCAGGCTTTGCAGAACAGTGCCGTTAGGGGAAAAGAGGAGGGGGAAACAGGAAAGGGGTGGAGGTGGGGAGAGCAATAATTAAAATAATACGAAAAGGAATTTTAACCCCAGTCTGAGCTTCTGAAAGCTGGAAAAGGGTAGTGGGAACTAGAAAGGAAATTTAGATGTGTATCAAAAATTGTTTTCTAAAGAAAATAATGTGTTCATGAATATACCCACGATATGGTTTACTAAGCAGAAAGATGTTTTTTGTGTGTGCCAAGGTTAACAACAGCAACAACCTAAGACCAACTACTACTAAGATGTGTATTTGTAGGTTCTCCTAATAAGTTCAGGATAACACCTGAGTCTTTGTATCTTGTTAAAATAGAATACTGTTGTATCACAATGCATCCAAAGGTTATGAAATGTTTTTAGATGCTATTACAGACTAAAAGAGTATTTATTAATACTAAACAATAGAGAGAAAACACCAGCTTTCCACAGCTTAAAAAAAAAGTTTCAAGGTCCTATTCCGAAAACATGTCTACTATAGTATTACTTATTAACAAGAAACCCACTTTGGTGTATGATGCAGATATTAAACACAAAGAAAATCCTACAAGTTAAGAAAATGTTGAGTAAGGTGAAATTCTAAACAAATAATGCAAAAAGAGAATGACAACTGAAATCTCAATGGCTTTAGGATTCTTCCATTACCGATGATATAAAATTAGAAATAAACTGGAAATTAAACAATACATTAGCATAACAGGGGTAGTAAAATATAAATGGTTTTGAAGGCTAGGAAAGAGAAAGGCAGGTGAAATATTAATATAAATATTATGATATTTGATAATCCAACCATTACCTAAGCATTCCACATTCCAAATTTCAGCAACTGCCAAGCAGGACTCAGTGCTACTCAGTTCTCTCACTTGATGAACATTTATTTCCTCCTTATTCTATTAGATTGTCTTTTTCCTATTCTCTGTTATTCTTAGATTTGTGTCTTCCTCTAAAAATGTTCAAGAAATATGGGCTATGGATTTAATAAGCATGGTACTTTCTGTCTTCACTACTTAACACTTCTGTGATACTGGGCTACTTACTGCCTTTAAACCTTAGTTTTATTTTCTCTAATATTGGGGTGATATTACCACCTTGTTCCCTGAGCTAGGTAAGAATAAAAAGAACCACAGGCTTAAAAAGTGCTTTGCAAAGATAAAATGTTATACAAATATTCGTGCTTTTTTTTTTTTTTTTTTTTTTTTTTTTTTTAAGTCTAGGGTCTGAAATCAGAGCACTTGTTTAATCTGCCAATTACCAGCTAAGTGATTTGGGACCAAGTTGGTTTCCTTTTCTAGGTCTCAATATCCTCATTTATAAAATGAAGAGGTTGAGATTCCTCACAGGTCTAAAAATCTAGAATCCAACTTTGACATGTAGAAATGTCTCTTCATTATATTTGGTTGGTTTGTATTTCAATCACATTTACTTCTTCAGTATTAGGAAAAGGAAGTACTAGTGTACCTAACAAGGATAATTAGCGTTGTGAGGATATATTTCCATATTCTAGGTTGCTTTTGAGGGCTATGTGGTTGTAAAATAACTAGAAACACGTAAGTTCTCACAAGTTGTCTGGATACATCTTTATGCACTTAATGTGAGTGGGTACATTTAAAATACATAATAACATCCAACACCTGTTGAGATCTCTTTTCCACACTTCGGGGGTATATATACACATCTACATATATATCAAGATTTCTCAACTTCAGTACTATTAACATTTTAGGCTGAATAATTATTTATTATAAGGAGCTATCCTGTGTCTATTGCAGGATGTTTAGCAGCATCCCTAGCCCCTACCCACTAGATTTCATCAGTAGTATGAGTACACACATATGCCGTGTGCTCTCCTTCTCTCCAGCTGTGACAACCAAAATTGTGTCCAGATATTGTCAAGCACTTCCTAGGAAGAGCAAAACTGCACCGGTTGAGAATCAGTGATACACACTGATGACAGCGTTTTCTCTATCCAGGCACACATTCAACTGTTGGTCCCATAAGCATTCATTCTAAATCCCACCCATCTCCTCCAAACCCTTAACCAGCTCCAAACATGATAACTGGCCCCTCCAGAAACCTTCAACCAGAACCAAGGACTGGTTTCCTTTCTATCTTTTATTTTATTATTGTTATTTTTTTTTGAGATGGAGTCTTGCTCTGTCGCCCAGGCTGGGAGTGCAGTGGCACGATCTCGGCTCACTGCAAACTCTACCTTCCAGGTTCAAGCAATTCTCCTGCCTCAGCCTCCCGAGTAGCTGGTATTACAGGCAGGCGCCACCACGCCCAGCTAATTTTTGTATTTTTAATAGAGACGGGGTTTCACCATGTTGGCCAGGTTGGCCTGGAACTCCCGACCTCAGGTGAGCCACCTTCCTCGGCTTCCCAAAGTGCTGGGATTACAGGCATGAGCCACCACGCCTGGCCCCAAATGGTTTCCTTTCTAATCCAATGAGCCCACATATGCTACACTAACTATACTGCATCTTTCCAATGTGGCACCTTTTCTGCATTCCCATGTCCTTCCTTCAGACACCCATCACTCTCTTGGCCTACTTGTCTCTAGCATCACTACCTCCCAAGCCAATCTTCACACTTTGCCAGTGTTCTTTCTATAATAAAATGTACTTCTTGAAATAAAATTCAAACCCCTGAGCCTGTCCTTGAGACTCATCTAGTTGAGGCCTATCTCATCTTCTAACACTTCCTACATGCACCTTCAAACCAGCCCTCTCAAAATATTTTAGGTTCATTAAACAGGCTATGCTTTTCTTCTTGCTTCTGTGTTTTTACATGCTCTTTCCCCAAGTGGTTAAAAATGTGAGTTGAGAAGTTAGGCTGTGTGATGGTTAATTTTATGTGTCAACTTGGCTAAGTCACGGTACCCAGATATTTGGTCAAACACCAGTCTAGATGTCACTGTAAAGGTATTTTTTTAAAATGAGATTAACATTTAAATCAGTTGACTTTGAGTACAGCAGTATATCCACCACAGTGTGAGCGGGCCCCATCAAATCAGTTGATGGCCCTAAAAGGAAAAGACTGAGGTCTCTCAAGGGAGAACGAATTCTGCTGCAGACTGCTTTCGAACTGTAGCTGAAACATCAACTATTCCCTGGGCTGCCGGCCTGCCCTACAGATTTCAGACTTGACAGCCTCCACAATAAATGTCACACACACACACACACACACACACACACACACACACACACACACACCCACCCACCTCTCCTAGTGGCTCTGTTTCTCTGGAAAACCCTAATATAGGCTACCTGGGTTCAAAGCCTAATAGCACTGCTAATAAGCTGTGCGATGACCTCAGGCAAACAATATAACCTCTCTAACCTTCCAATTCCTCAACTGTAAAATGGAGATAGCAACTGAAGCTTCCTAATAGGGCTACTGTGAGCATTAAATTTAACGATGTATGTACTTTGTTTTGTATGGTCTCTGGGACATAAGAGCTCAATAAATGTTAGGGGTTATTATTACCTAACATCTACTTATTTCACAAGGAACTTAATACTGTCAGAAAAGCCTTCTCGAGACTCCCCAACCGAATGATATTAATGAATATCCTAGTCCTATGTATCCCCCAAAGTACTCTGTGCATACCACAACACACCACTCTCTTACAAAAGGTAAGATTAAGAGACCATAAGCAAATTATAGGCAGAGATCATATCATGGGCATTAAACCTAACGAAATGCCTGGCACAAAGTAATAATTCAATAAATATTTATTTTTTAGGCTCTAGTAAAAGGAGGAAAACTCCTAGTGGTCCAGCTTAAGAAGAGCAAACCATTATCGATCAGTAAGTGCATCTCCACAACAACAGGACCCTAAAGTTGGTTACAAAAAGCAGCAATTAAGCCCACACACAGTACACATTTAAATGCTGGCTTTTTCCATGCAAGAAATGAAGAGTGAATCAGTTTTGATCCCACCTTCAAACACAATGCATGTTATATAAACAAATATTCACTCAAGAGAAAAGAATTTCTATTCCAATGACAAAGGCCCATTAATTATAAACTTGACTATAAGTGTACCTCTCCCATACAACTATAGTTTCCAGATAAACTGATTTTGTTTTAAATCCTTAATTTACAACCTAGACCTTCTGGTAGCTCATGTATGAAGAATATAAAACACTGAATAAACAACAATTTCTGAAAGGCTTCTCCTCCCAAAAAGACAAATTTAATACGATTTATGAGTATCTCTCCATTATTGCCCTACAGTTTGACAGGGCTATTATTTTGATCCCAAAACTTAAAATACTACAAACTATGCCTTTGAATGTGTGAAAGGAAAAGTGAATTTCTTCCCTGTCTTATAACGTGTCTTATAATTTCTTGTCCCCAGCATGACTATTTATTCATCCTGTGGATTCTTAAAAACCCACTTCACATGCTGACTTTTAAGAACTCAGTTTTCACCTTTAAAGAAACCTTCCTTTCACAACATTCTTATTCTCCATTCCTCTTCCACTCCAACCTCCAGTTTAGAAGTTCATGTCCTATATGTTTCACTTGAATTTACAAGTATTGCTGCCATTCTTCGGGTTATATCTGACACAGGACAGTGGACAGCTTGTAGAGCTGGCCTTAAAGCACACTTGAACCAAATCTACTCACTGACACAAGAGCTCAATATGAGCCTATACAATCCTAAATATTACATCCCCAGTTAAAAAAAAAACAAAAACCTAAGATACTAAAATTAAAACTGGAGCAGTAGGTATTAACCTAAGGTCAAGAAATCTGAAAATCCCCTGAAACTGTCAGCAAAGATTTGAATGTGTGCTTACGTGCATTTTTCTAGAAAGAAGATCCACATATTTAATCAAACTTGAAATTCTGATTTGTTTAAATATAAGTACCATTGAGGATGCTCCAATTCACCGTAAGAATAGAACTTTCAGATTTCTTAACATTCACAATTTTCATTAAGACTAGAAACACACTCACCCAAAGGTCCTTGCCCCTTGCTTTTGAGGTGGGTGTTTTCAGCCCCTACCTACAGTTTATTTTGCTCACAGAAACATGTATATGTGAAAAGGCTCAGAGATTTGGCTTCCTGACTGACTCCTCATATAACTCATCCAGGGGGGCTAATTAAGACACGGCCAAACTATGTCCATGCTTTAGTGAATATCAGCACTCAAGCAAGTTTCACACAACCTGATTAAAATTGACTCAAAGTGTCTTACTTCAGTAATCACTTAGACGGAATGAATTTTACATTAGTGGGATCAAGCATGCACCAGGCCTCAGTGGAAATGAAAAGGGCTTATAGTAATAGGATTTATAAACCCACCCATTAGGTTAATGGCTAAATGATTTACATGTAACTTTCTCCCCCACCCCGCCTTCCCTCACCCTTTAACTCAGTAAAAACTATGCTTGGCATTTTCCACTGCAGTGCCACACACAAAGGAAATAGCCTTTCTATTTTGGGACATTCTAATTTCTAATAATGGCTTGGGTAGCTACCATTAACTCTTTCAAAGCACAAATAATTGGCTAATAAAATTAAGTATTCTATAAGGCCTAAAAGTGCTTAATTGATCATAATTGTCTATTTGAGAAGAAGGCGTCAGGCTGGCTATGCTCAGATAATGAAGTTGGGCAATTCTGAAGCACTGCAATCAGTGTAATACGCTAAAAAGGACATTGGCATTTTCTAGAATCTGTAACGTTTTCTTTATAACTAAGGTCATGGGAAAATCTGACCAGAAAACTTTGAGCTCCCAGCTCCCACAAATGGCAGATTTAACAAGCTGTCCCTTGTCATTACTAAACACCTGGTCTGAAGCTCAATCCTGGAAGAGCACACAGCTGGTAGTCTGGAGAACCCGAAGTTGGACAGTGACCAAGGTGGTGCTGTCACCATTTTGACAGAAGCATTCTGATCTCTAGAAAGCTCCTTCTTAGGATCAGTGTGTGACAAAATAGCCATTGCAGTGTCCATAATTACTCTCTTCTTCAAATGAAGTGAGACGAGGGAGAATGTTTTAGGCCCAATACCTCAGAGGGTAATTCCCTTGCTCAGTACCAGAGCTAAATACTAAATTATGTTCTATCATGACCACACTTTCTAGACGGCCTCTTAAAGCAACTCTTTATTTTTTTACAAAGTGGCATCCCTTGCCCACTTCCATTCTACTGTAAGTTCAACAAACAGATTCTATGAGCTAGCTATGATTAAAATACAGAGGGGTCCCACTTAAAAAAAATCTTCTGAGAAAGACTGCCTAGTTTTAGGGAAATGTAAACGTGTTCAACTGTCCAGAGAAACATGTGTTGTAGACACATGTTCAGGCATGACTCTAGAATAAATACAGTTGACCCTTGAACGATGCGGAGGTTAGGGGCACCAATCCCCTTGCATTCAAAAATCCATGTATAACTTTTGACTCCCTTAGAACTTAACTACTAATAGTCTACCGTTGACCAGAAACCTTGCCAATAATATAAACGGTTAACACATTATTTCGTATGTTTATATGTATTATATACATATAAACAACAAACTAGAGAAAAATTGTTCTTCTTACAATATGAAGGTGGGCAATAAACTAGAAAAAAATGGTTTCTTAAAATAAACTATAGAAAAAAATGTTACTAAGAAAATTATAAGGAAGATAAAATATCTTTACTATTCATTAAGTGGAAGTAGATCATCATAAGGGTCTTCATCCTCATCATCTTCATGTTGAGTAGGGCTGAGGAGGAGGAGGGGCTGGTCTTGCTGACTCTGGGGTGGCAGAGGTGGAAGAACATTTATGTATAGGTGGACTCACACAGTTCAAACTCATGTTGCTTAAGGGTCAACTATATATTTAAGAATCAATCAAATGACATATTCCCATTTATCAATCACATTTTCTCCTGTCCCATTATACTCTATACTTTTGCTGGGAAGAATCCAGAGAAATTTTAAATCAAACAAAGATCAAGTTGAGAAAAGTAATTTAGGATGGAGATACAGAATATGAAGAAGCAATATAAAGGATATATGAGGTTTGGCTACTCACTGCTTTAAAAGAAAGCAATCTCCTTCACTTTTGAACTTTGTGCTTTTTTTTGGAAACAGGGTCTCGCTGTGTCACCCAGAATGGAGTGCACTGGGGCAATCTTGGGTCACTGCAGCCTTGACCTCCTGGGCTAAAGCAATCCTCCCACATCACCCTCCCAAGTAGCTGGGACTATAGGCGCACCCCACCAAGCCTGGCTAATTTTTTTTTTTTTTTTAAAGACAGGGTCTCACTATGTTGCCTACCCTGGTCTCAAACTCCTGGACTCAAGCAATCCTCCCACCTCAGCCCCCCAAAGTGCTGGGATTACAGGTGTAAGTCACTGCACCCAGCCTGTGCATTTCCACTCTCTAATTTGGCCAAGGCTCAAGAATTTGATATGAATTATAGGAAGCACTATATTCTCTTGTCATTTAGAACCTCAAGAAGGAACTCATTCATTCAAACACCAACAGTATTTACTAAACTCTTCTCATGTGCTAGACGTAGGTCATAGGGAACACAACTGTGAATGATTCAGACATGATCCCTTCCCTCTTATAGGGCATAACCCCCAGTAGAGCAGAGAACCAAATAGGCAATTGGAAAATACACACATACTACATACACACACATGTACATAACAGGGGCTCCTGGGGCAGGAGTTAGAGAAAAGTCCATAAAAACAGATAATGTATAAGGGGAAGGTGAGTATAGGGAATAACAGGAAAAGGAGGATGGAAGAACAGTGTTTGTGAAGATGCAAAGAACACAGGGAAATGCTGAATGGTGAGTAAAAAAAAAATTAAGTTTTAAAAAAACAAATTTTTTTTTTTTACAAAGGCAAAGAAAATAAAATGTATGGTTGAGGCTAGAATGTTCAGGGGAAATGGAGAGAGGGTGGGAGAGAGGCCCAAATGTGAAGGGCCTTGTAAGTCACATTAAGGACTTTAAACTGGGGAGTGGCATAAGCAGATTGGCAGTTTAAAGAGTTCTCTCTGGCTATAAAACATCTGGAGAATACTTGAGGGGGGCAGTGTCCAGGGAGATGTAATGAGGCCTGAACAGCATAATTGCAGTGACACTGGAGACAGAGAATCACAGACATTTAGCAAGTGCAATCTACAAGACTTGGCACTGGGCTGGATTTGAGGCATTAGGAAGAGATAGGAGTCAAGAATGATACCCATGTTCCTGGCTTAACAACTGGGTAAACAGTGTCATCATTCACTGAGACCGGGAATCAGGGAAGGGAAACAGGCTGGCAACCAGAACTGCAAGGGCAGTTTTGGAACTGAATAGGATATGCCTGTGGAACACCTCAATGGAGATCACAGAGAAGCAGACAGAAGCTAAGACATTCAGCAGAGGGGATGTAAGGAATTTCAGGTACAAGAAATTCAACGCTTAACAGGGATGCAATATATTAATATCAATAAACCAAAGCAATATCAGCATGCAGACAATAACAGAACTCTTCGAAATGCCTGGCACAGCTCACTGAAGGGGTAGCCAGAGAAAAGGGAGACTAGGCAAGTTAGCACCAAAAACCATGGTAATGGTGCTAGAGTGGCAGGTGCTCCATGGTTCTCCTGATTCCTCATTCCTCCTCTAGTACCTTCTGTTCCCTTTGAGCTATCAGATCTCCATTCTTTCTGTTACTATTGGCAGGTGTCACACAAACCAGGGGCCACTAGCAAATCTGATGCAGGCTGCCATAGTCAGACAGTCAGGCACCACACAGTGACCTTTAATGAGAATGATCCTAACAGGTGGCTAGTGCTTAATACAAATAATTGTATTAAGCCTCTGAACAAGGTCAAAAAAGGAGAGCACCTTGCTTTGTCATGTGCAACCAAAACTACAAGCTGTGGCTTAACAAACAGCAGGCAAAACCTTTGCAATAGCTCCCCTCCTTGAGGCCATGTTGATGGGCTCAACAGGGAGACTGAACACCAATCAAGTCACAAGAGCCTCCTAGAGCCCTCTACACCTACATAACCATAACCACCCTTTTCACTGCCTCTCTTCTGCACTGGAGAGGAGGAGAGAGGTGGGGGTAGTTCTATTTTATGTTAAGTTTGGTGCCATTTGCTAGCAGTTACCATTTATACTTATTCAATAAAGATAAGTATACCCTTCCAGAGAAACTAAGTCATAAGTGATTATATTAATTGCTTTTGTCACTAATTAGATTTTATAACATCAAATGTCTCACAGTTTTCATGGACCTTTAACCTCAGAGCAAGCCACTGTTCAGACACAACAGACAGCTGTGGGGTGGATGGGGGTGGGAGGAGCCTATGCAACCTTTTCGGAAAGACAAACACCTCTATCATGGCCCAGAAATTCCACTGGGTGGTAAGAAGCCAGGAGTCCTGTGACCTGCAGTGGGAACCCATGTGCTGATCTACAGCCTTTCTCCTTGACCTTTACATCCAAAAAAAAAAAAAAAAAATCTTTCTTTCTCTTGGAGACAACTTCCTCTACTCCCATCCTCTTAAACCTTGTGACTGCAAATGGCATGGCTAGAACAAGTCACACACCACTGGCATGTCTGTACCCAGATAAAGAATCTAAGCAATAGATCTGATTCCTGTCAGCTGCAAAAGAGCCAGCATTTCAGCTGCTTCTCATTCTTTATTTTTAAATGGCAGGATGGGCTCAAGGGCATGGTGGCCTGTCACCCAAGAAGAGATTAAAGATTAAAAAAGATAAAACCAACACCATTGAGGGTATACAAATTCACAGGAGACTGGGAATTGAAAAAGTGCTTCAGAAAAGCACATAAGTCATTTACGAACCAGTTATAAGTGTGTTTCTCTTAGTGACATGGTAGAAGGAAACTGATTATGGGAGCAAGAGAAGAATCAAACCAACTACAGATCAGTTCCTAGTCAATGGGACTAACAGAATAATTCTCCAGCTGCTAATTTTTAAAATACTTTCAGAACCCAGAGCATTAAAACGTTGGAATGCGCTCTCAACGATCAAGTTTCCTAGTCAATCGGTCCTCCAAAGCTAAGAGCATGTAAAATTAAATGTAAGTCAAAAAAATTTAAAGAATATGGTTAGGAAGAAGAACTTACCTATGCAGAATACAAAATGTAATTTCTTTTTTCCCCTATACCACTATCAACACCACCAGATAATTCTCAACTAATTCTTACAAGCTGAAGACCAACTTGGATTTTGATGTACAAACTGCTTTTGACGATATTTCATTTTAAACAGATAAACACTTTTAAAAAAAAAAATGCAAGCCGAAGACACCCTTTTGAGAAACTAAGAAAACAGATGTTGAAGCCATTTGTTTAGATGAAGAGGAATTTTCGCTTTTATAGGAATACAATGATTCATGAAGAGGAAAAAAGTCTGTCATCAAGTTTACTTCAATAGATACTCTTGGGTTTGAGGCAGCTTTCTAAATATGGCCATTGCTTTTCTTCACATCTCATCTCTCCTGAAATATCTCAAACTACCACTAACAAACATTACTTTTATTGTCTTTGTTCTTTTAAATTTTCTGCTTAGTTAATATATTGTGCAGGGGAAAAACCACAACTCTGGTACTACAGCATTACATACTTGCTTTTATTGCTTAGGTAGCGGTACAAAATACCTACTGCTTTGTTGATCTATCACAAATATGTCAGCTTGAGAATATTACAACAGGAATACAAGAAACCCTAACAATAACTTCTTATATAACAGCTCTCCTCAACCCCAAAACAGATGGAATAAGAGAATAGTGAAGTTTTCCTAAGAAGTTCTAACAAAGAGAAAAATCACCTTTCTTGGTTTGTGTTTAGTGGAGATGCTAAGAAGAATTAAACAGGGAAGGCCGGGTGTGATGGTTCACGCCTGTAATCCCAGCACTTTGGGACGCCAAGGTGGGCGAATCACTTGAGGTCAGGAATTTGAGACCAACCTGGCCAACATGGTGAAACACCATCTCTACTAAAAAAATACAAAAATTAGCCAGGTGTGGTGGCACACACCTATAGTCCCAGCTACTCGGGAGGCTGGGGCAGGAGAATCATTTGAACCCGGGAGGTGGAGGTTGCAGTGAGCCAAGATCATGCCACTGCACTCCAGCCGCCTGGGCAATAGAGAGAGAGAGAGACTCAGTCTCAAAAGAAAAAGAAAAAGAAACAAAAGGGCATTAGGAAGGGCAACAGGTCTCTTCCGAGGGGATGGCGGGGTCCATCCACCCACAATCAAGAGGCTCTCTTCGGACGGGCACGGTGGCTCACACCTGTAATCCCAGCAATTTGGGAGACTGGCGCGGGCGGATCACCTGAGGTCAGGAGTTCAACACCAGCCTGGCCAACATGGTGAAACCCCATCTCTACTAAAAATACAAAAATTAGCCGGGCATGGTGGTAGGCACCTGTAATTCCAGCTACTTGGGAGGCTGAGGCAGGAGATTTGCTTGAACCTGGGAGGCAGAGGTTGCAGTGAGCAGAGATGGTGCCACTGCACTCTAGCCTGGGCAACAGAGCGAGATTCTGTCTCAAAAAAACAAAACAAAAAAAAGAGACTCTCTTCATATAACAACCCTCCTATGACTAGCACCAGAGTTCACACAATTCTCCTGTGATTTCACTATAATTGCCCACATTTTTGTGAACAATCTCTTTATCAAATCCTATTAATACCAATGTCATCTCTTTCCTGCCAGGATCTTGACTGATAGACCAAATAAATTTTAAAACAAACAAACAAAAAAAGCAGTTTTGAAATGTCTTCTTGAAACCTCATCCTCCTGAAAGTAGACTCACACAAAGCAACACCTTTTGAAAATCTAGGCCTTTTTTTTTTTTTTTTTTTTTTTTTTTTTGAGAGGGAGTCTATCTCTTCTCATTCAGGCTGGAGTGCAATGGCGCGATCTTGGCTCAATGCAACCTCCACCTCCTGGGTTCAAGCCATTCTCCTGCCTCAGCCTCCCAAGTAGCTGGGATTATAGGCACCTGCCACCACACCCGGCTAATTTTTGTATTTTTCGTAGAGATGGGGTTTCACCATATTGGCCAGGCTGGTCTTGAACTCCTGATCTCAGGTGATCCACCCACCTCGGCCTCCCAAAGTGCTGGGATTACAGAAAATCTAGGCTTTTAAGACTTGTAAATAAGAAGATATGCTGTGAATTTTCTTTAAAGAGCAAGCCTTTGATATCTCTCTTTGACCATGACATATTAATAACGCTCAAAGTTGAATTTCCGTCAGCCCAACTTTATCCCAAAGAGAATGAAAAATAGTAGAAGACTACCTCCACCTTATGATCTTGACAATTTTGGAAATTACTATATTATTAATATATGTTAATTTACATAGTTATATTTCCATACACTGCACATTAACACTGAGGACCAGGACCGTGTCTTACGTTTGTTTTCCTCACACTAAATCATGCCTTGCAATAGTTCCTTTAACAGAGGATATATCTGAAAAATAATTTCTTGACAGTTGGAAATAGTATCAACAGTAAAAGAACATAAGCAGGAAAGCTAGCCCCAAGAGATATGCTTGGTTACTTTGGTATTTTCTTATTTGGCATGCCTTATTAAATGATTCTGCCACCAGAAGAAAAATAAAAGCCTCACTGTTAGGTGAATATAAAATTTTAGGAAAACAGCTGTATAACCATCAAGATTATTTTCCACAAGTAGCTAACATGAAACAGAATTTACAACAGAGGCAGGAAGAAGAGTAGGTGTAGTTAGAATAGAAGGAAATGAGGAGGCTCAACAAGAATTAATTACTGGTAATTACACATGCTACAGCCTCTCTTTTCTCCACCCTCTAGCTAATCAACAGTGGGAACAGATGTGGTCTGTGGTATTGGGGAGGGGGGTGCTTAACAGCTGTTTGGAGAACATGCCATTAAAAAGCAGCCTTGTCCACAGAAACCCAAGAGTTTTAGTGTTTGAAAAAAAAGAGGTAATGAATAATGACCACAGTCTTACTCTGAACTTCAGCTCATTCAGGCCAACAATAAAAAAAAGTCTTTCTCCTGATTTCTAATAAACTATGGCAGTAGCTTTGATATTTTCTGTTATAAGAGTACCTCAATATTTCAATATTTGAATCTATTTCACATATCTCACCCAAGTAGTCCCAAAACCAGTAGAAAAATTCAACTTTTTTGAGTAAACATTCAATAAATCTTAACTATAATGATTATCACAAGAAACACTCTAAAACTCCCACTATAGAGAATACCAAATTAGGATGAAATAATCCTAAATTTGCTAAATCATCTTTTTGGACATTTTTTCATGGATAAGAACTCTATGCAACACGGAACTTGGAACATCCCAGCTTACTTCTTATAAAATCTGAAGCATGTGGCACAAGGTCAATGTATATAATCATTCCTAAAAAATAAAAACACAAACCAATTCCAGGGATAAATTTTAAAAAACAATACAATAGGCCGGGCGTGGTGGCTCACGCCTGTAATCCCAGCACTTTGGGAGGCCGAGGCAGGTGGATCATGAGGTTAGGAGTTCAAGACCATCCTGGCCAACATGATGAAACTCCATCTCTACTAAAAATACAAAAATTAGCTGGGTGTGGTGGCCTACACCTGTAATCCCAGCTACTCGGGAGGCTGAGGCAGGAGAATCGCTTGAACCGGGAGGTGGAGGTTGCAGTGAGCCAAGATCGTGCCATTGCACTCCAGCCTGGACGACAGGGCAAGACTCCATCTCCAAACAAACAACAACAACAAAAACAATCAAGGCTTTAACAGTTTAGCGTACTCACAGAACAAAAGTTCCAACCTGTTTGTGCTTCCTCCAAAGTCTGATGACTACCAGTTGGGCAGGGTCAGTGACATCTCCTACCTCATCTAGGATACCCCCAAGTTTCAAGGAATGAGGATAGATGACACAGGTCTGGCTTCCGGAATTTATAGTTGACTGCTACTTATGATCTGAAACCCTTATGCTGGAGTAGCAGAGAAGATTTTTGTCTTTGGAACCATTTAGGCTCCAAAAGGCTGTATAATAAGTCCATTTGTTCACAAATCCAAAGCACTGCTCAATAAACGATTATGCCACCGATTGACAGTAAGCATATTGCCTGCTTTTGCTGAAATGTGCAACTGTGTTAGAACCTCTGAAAGTTCTTGAGCAGCTTAACAATTGCAAGTTCTTCTTAGGTTAAATGTTTTATATATATATATATATATATATATATATACATATACATAAATAAATGAGTGGGGGCTGTATATACACGTAAAATGAGTGCACATATTCATATACACTTGCAGGATATGACACTAATTTCTCATATCTAATCTTATTAAACTGAACTTGCATATTCTCAATTTTACTTCTGTGTATTTTTGGGGCAACTTCAAAAATTTCATTCAGTTTCAGTATATGTAAATTGCACAAAACTATGATTCAATCCTGTTGGGGATAATTAGAGAAAGATGAAGCTGCAGTTGAGAATAGGAAAGGAAGGTAAAAGCTAATGTTGGAACAGAAATAAAGATTTTTAGAATGAAGCCAAACTGACGACATCTAAGTCAGCAGGAGGGAGCAGGATGTGAGTGGGGAGCTCCAGGGAGATGGACGTCAACAATTTCTCCATTTAAAAATCAGAAAGGCAACGAACAGTGTCAAAGAAAATTAGCCATAGTGGAGGAGGGGAAATGTCTCAAAGCATGCTTATCTGCAACAAAGCCAATTTTCCCTTAAGGGATAGTAAATGAAAAAGAAAATGGATCCCTTATTACTAAATAAAAGAGTATAAAGGGTCATTTGTATTACATTGAGAAGACTTAAATGAATGTAAATACTGTTTGTTCTTAAGAATTTCCATAGACACACTCTAAACTTTAAACCTCCTGCAACTATAGTTTCTATGACGTCTAAAGTTCTCAGAGTTAATTTCTACATCCAACCACAGTTTTCAGGAACCTCTTTCTCCTGAAGAGTAAAGGACTGTACCTTTCCTTTGCAATTCACCAGGATAAAGCTATTCTTTTTGGTGTACTCTGCAAACCCACCTTTAGATTCTGAGAAATAATTCTAATTATCTGCAAAAGAGTACATAAGAAAGTTTAAATTAACCCTTCATCCTGAATTATGTTGCTTTTCTGCATCAGCAAAGACACATTACCATGCAAAATAATGAGCTTTTTTTCCTGATAGAGAATGTATTTGGGAGAGAAATGGGAGTTTCTGGCAAAAAAATAAAGGCTTCATTACTTCAGCTTTAAATGTAAATTAGGCACTCAGCGGCTTTCAAGTTGGGACAGTTTTCCCTACACAAGATAAGATGAATTATATTTTATTCCTTAGTTCTTAACAAGAGTCACTTCTTTAGACATACCTAACCCTTAAACAAAGGCTGTTCTTTGTCATAGCTAGGGAAATGTTTTTATTACTGATGTTCTTTAAATACGAATAAAAATCTCTTTTCCATACTCATGCTTATAACAAGCTGTTACTTCAGCAAAGAAGATCTAAAATGCATATAGAAAAAAGGGGACTACTTGCTTTCTCTGTGAACATTACACATATCACCCGACCTAACGGAAAGGCCTTAAAAAAAAAAATCCATGAACACAGGCCCTTTCCATGTTATTTGTGTCTTCACTTTCTTTCATCAATGTTTTATAGTTTATAATGTATAGGCCTTCTACCTCCTTGGCTTAATTTACTCCTAAGTATTTTATTCTTTTTTATGCTATTGCCAATGAGATTTTTCTCTTAATATCTTTTTTCGGATAGTTTATTGTTAGTGCATAGAAACAACTGATTTTTGTATGTTGATTTTGTATCCTCCGAATTTACAGAATTCACTTATTAGTTCTAACAGTTCTTTGGTGGAATCCTTAGGGTTAGGGTTTTCTATATATAAGATGATGTCATCTGCAAACAGTTTAACTTCTTCCTTTCTGATTTGCATGCCTTTTACTTTTTTCTCTTGCCTAATTGCTCTGCCTAGGACTTCCACTACTATGTAGAACAGAAGTAGTAAAAGTGGGCTCTTTCTGCTGCTCCCCAGCTCTCGGATACAGCCGACACCATGGGTTTCAGAGACCTGAAAAGCCCCGCCGGCCTCCAGGTGCTCAACGATTACCTGGCGGACAAGAGCTACATCGAGGGGTATGTGCCATCACAAGCAGATGTGGCAGTATTTGAAGCCGTGTCCAGCCCACTGCCTGCCGACTTGTGTCATGCCCTACGTTGGTATAATCACATCAAGTCTTACGAAAAGGAAAAGGCCAGCCTGCCAGGAGTGAAGAAAGCTTTGGGCAAGTATGGTCCTGCCGATGTGGAAGACACTACAGGAAGTGGAGCTACAGATAGTAAAGATGATGATGACATTGACCTCTTTGGATCTGATGATGAGGAGGAAAGTGAAGAAGCAAAGAGGCTAAGGGAAGAACGTCTTGCACAATATGAATCAAAGAAAGCCAAAAAACCTGCACTTGTTGCCAAGTCTTCCATCTTACTAGATGTGAAACCTTGGGATGATGAGACAGATATGGCGAAATTAGAGGAGCGCGTCAGAAGCATTCAAGCAGACGGCTTAGTCTGGGGCTCATCTAAACTAGTTCCAGTGGGATACGGAATTAAGAAACTTCAAATACAGTGTGTAGTTGAAGATGATAAAGTCGGAACAGATATGCTGGAGGAGCAGATCACTGCTTTTGAGGACTACGTGCAGTCCATGGATGTGGCTGCTTTCAACAAGATCTAAAATCCATCCTGGATCATGGCATTTAAATAAAAGCTTGAAAGATTAAAAAAAAAAAAAAGAAGTAGTAAAAGTGGGCATCCTTATCTTGTTCCCAATCTTAGATGAAAAGCTTTCTGCTTTTCACTGTTGTGTATGATGTTAGCTGTGGGCTTGTCATACATGGCCTTTATTGTGTTGAGGTACTTTCCTTCCATATCTAATTTGTTGAGGGGTTTTTATCATGAAAGGATATTGAATTTTGTCAAATGCTTTTTCTGCATCTATTGAGATTATCATATGATTTTTATCTTTCATTCTGTTAATGTGGTGTATCACATTTACTAGTTTGCATATGTTGAAACATTCTTATATACCAGGGATAAATCCCATTTGATTATGATGTATGATTCTTGTAATGCCCTGTTAAATTCAGTTTGCTAGTAGTATTTTATTGGGGATTTTTGCATCTGTGTTCATCAGGGATACTGGCCTACAATTTTATTTTCTTGTAGCATCCTTATCTGGCTTTAATATCAGGTTAATGCTGGCCTCATAAAATGAATTATCATCTTTACAATGAGAATTAATATTGTTAAAGTATCCATAATCCCCAAAGCAATCTATGGATTCAATGTCATTCCTATCAAAATTCCAATGGCATTTTTCACAGAAATAGAAAAAACAATCCTAAAACTTGTATGGAACCACAACAAAAGACCCCAAATAGCCAAAGTAATCTTAAGAAAGAACAAAGCTGGAGGCATCACACTCCCTGATTTCAAACTGTATTACAAAACTATGGTAATCAAAACAATATGGTACTGGCATAAAAACAGATACAAAGACCAATGGAACAGAATAGAGAACCCAGAAATAAACCCTTGCATACATGGTCAACCGATCTTTGACAAGAGGGTCAAGAACTCACAACAGGGAAAGAAAAGTCTCCTCAATAAATGGTACTGGGAAAACTAGATATCCACATACGAAAGAATAAAATTAAATCCTTGTCTCATACTATATACAAAAATTAACTCAAAATGGATCTAAAACTTAAATGTAAGACTGGAAACCATAAACTCCTAGAAGAAAATATAGGGAAAAAAAGCTCCCTGACATTGGTCTTGGCAATAATTTTTTTAGATATGACACCAAAAGCACAGGCAACAACAGCAAAAATAAATAAGTAAGACTGCAACAAACTAAAAAGAAAGCAATTAACAAAACAAAAAGACAACCTACAAAATGAGAGAAAATATTTGCAAACCATATTATCTGATAAGGGGTTAATATCTGAAACATATAAGAAACTCACACAACTCAATAGCACAAAAACAAACAACCAGATTAAAAAATGGCCTGTAATCCCAGCCACTCAGGAGGCTAATGTGGGAGGATCACTTGAGGCCAGGAGTTCAAGACCAGCCTGGGCAACACAGCAAGACCCTGCTTTTAAAAAAGAAATTAGGGCGGCTATGGTGAGTGGATCACTTGAGCTCTGGAGTTCAAGACCAGCCTGAGCAACATGGCAAAACCCCATCTTTAAAAAAAATTAGAGGGGCATGGTGGTGCACGCCTATGCCTGTAGTCCCAGCTACTGGGGTGGCTGAGGTGGGAGGATCTCCTGAGCCTGGGAGGTTGAGACTGCAGTGAGCCCTGACTGTGCCACTATACTCCAGCCTGGGCCAGAGGTGAGGCCGTCTCAAAAAAAAAAAAAAAAAAAAAAAAAAATTAGCCAAGCCTGATGATGATGATGCACACCCACAGTCCTAGCTACTTGGGAAGCTGAAGTGGGAGGATCACTTGAGTCCAGGAGTTTGAGGCTGCAGTGAGCTATGATTGTGCCACTGGACTCCAGCCTAGGAAACAGAATGAGACCCTGTCCCTAAAAATAAAATAAAATAAAAATAAAAAATAAAAATAAATGGGCAAAGGACCTGAATAGATATTTTTCCAAAGAAGACACAGAAACGGCCAATAGGTATATGAAAAGGTACTCAACATCACTAATCATCAGCGACACGCAAATCACAACCACAATGACATATCACCTCACATCTGTTAGGCTAGCTATATACAACAAATGTTAACAAGGATGTGAAGAAAAAGAACCCTTGTACACTATTGGTGGCAATGTAAACTGGGATAGCCATTATGGAAAACAGTATGGAGGTTCCCCAAAAAATTACATCCAAAGGAAATGAAATCAGTTATCTTGAAGAGGTTTTTCTGTACGCCCATGTTCACTGCAGCATTATTCACAATGGCCAAGATATGGAAACAACCTAAGTGTCCGCTGAGGGATAAACGGTTGAACAAAATGTGGGATGTATACACACATACAAAATGGAATATATTATTTGGCCATAAAAAAGGAAATCCTGCCATTTGCAACAACATGGATGAACCTGGAGGACATTATGCTAAGTGAAATAAACCAGCCACAGAAAAACAAATGCTGTATGATGTAACTTATATGTGGAATCTAAAAACATTGAACTCAAAGAAGCAGAGAGTAGAAGAGTGGTTATCAGGGTCTGGGGAGTGGAAGAAATGAGAAGACGTTGGCCAAAGGGGATGAACTTTCAGTTATAAGATGAACAAGTTCTGGGTATGTATGGTACAGCATGCATAGTGATGGACGTGTTAATTTGGTTGTGGTAATCATTGCACAATGTATATGCATATCAAATCATCACATTGTACACCTTTCATATATAATCTTTGTCAATTAAATATATTTTTTAAAAAAACAGTTGCCCTTTAACATTGTTTAACTTTGCAAGAAAGTAATGACTTTTAAAAGTGAAAAAGGGATTAAACATACATTCAATCATACAGAATCACACTAATGTAACAACTGCCAGTATTTGTGGTACTTTGCTCTTGTTTTTTGTAAAAGGCAATCACTTTTTCGAAATTCACACAATTTTCTTCACCTATCTAGAATTTAGTATGTATCCAGATATACCTCTGTCCTACAAAGCTCCAATTCTGTCCTTCACCATGGAATAGTACTGGTCACCCCCAATAAATATGCCTCTCCATTATATTCAGCCACTCATGAGACCATTCTTACACAGGCAAGGATCAAAGGGGTTTCTCTGGATGTTTTGTCCCAGTTAAACTGAATATATTATAGGATACTACATCCTTAAAACCTCAAGTTCCCTGAATCACTCATGGCAAAAATACAGTCTTTGGATGTTAGTCTGGATTTTTCCTTTCATTCTGTACAATGTGAATATATAAGCAGAAAGAGAAAAAGCAAATTTATTATCGTACTGAATTAATTTGTAACACTTAAGAACCTAACAAGTGATAACACATTTTTAATATCAGCTATACATTTGAGAGATTCTCCAACTGCCAAGTGCCTTTTCAAGCTAAATCCCCTAACTAATATTTTATCTGAGAGTATGACTGACCTGAATTTTTGCATCATGAAATCTTAATTATGTGAATCATCTTAAGATTACTGTCAGTCGGTCGCTTCTCCTTATATGATGGCTACGTGTTTTCTGTTTAGTGCAGAACAGTGTACCTGCACCTATCTTTTCTGTTGCACTTCAGCAAATATCCACTGAAGGGTAAAGAAGCTGGGACGTTTTTATTATTACATTAGTGTCTACTTCAATTCCCATTGCTGCTTACCTGTGAGACCTATAACTTAGGAGGCGCTAAGAAAATAAAAGGTTTATATAATGTTTTATTTTTATTTATTTTTTTGAGACAGAGTTTTGTTCTGTTGCCCAGGCTAGAGTGTGGTGGTGCAATCTTGGCTCACTGCAGCCTCTGCCTCCTGGATTCAAGTGATTCTTCTGCCTCAGCCTCCTGAGTGGCTGGGACTACAGGTGCACGCCACCACACCTGGCTCATTTTTTGTATTTTAGTAGAGACGAAGTTTCACCATGTTGGCCAGGCTGGTCTTGAACTTCTGACCTCAGGTGATCGGCCCGCCTCAGCCTCCAAGTTTTATGTATATTTTTAAAAAGTATATGTAAAATAGTATTTTACATCATCTAGGCAGGCTCAGTAGATCTATTTAGAAATATAAATCTTGGCCAGGCACAGTGGCTCACGCCTGTAATCCCAACACTTTGGGAGGCTAAGGTGGGCGAATCACGAGGTTAGGAGTTCGAGACCAGAGTGGCCAACATGGTGAAATCCCGTTTCTACTAAAAATACAAAAATTAGCCGGGCATGGTGGCTTGCACCTGTAATCCCAGCTACTCAGGAAGCTGAGGCAGGAGAATCACTTGAACCCTGGAGGCGGAGGCTGCAGTGAGCTGAGACTGTGCCAGCTTAGGTGACACAGTGAGACTCCATCTCAAAAAAAAAAAAAAAAAAAAAGAAATATAAATCTTGCAGATAAAATGATAAATGGTAGAACTGTTTGACTATCTTCCCCCCCAAAACTAAGCAGGAATTAGATTTCTAGAACAACGCTTTCCAATAGTACTTCCTGCAATGATGGAAATGTTCTATATCTGTACTCACTGTAGTCACTAGCCACATAATGGCTATTGAGCACTTGAAATGTGGCTAGTGTGACTTAGAAACTGAATTTTTATTTAACTTTAAATAATTTATTTAAATAGCCACCTGTGGCTAGTGGCTACCATACTGGACGGTGCAAAATCAGAACACTGATATCTGCACAAGTAATGTAAGGAAAACTGTTATTAATTGGGATATATTTTAAGAATGGTGTGGAGACTAAAAAATGGTTGAGAATGGCCTGGTATTTTTATTAGCTTAAAAAAAATAAATCAAGAAAAGACTTTAAACTTGGTGTTAAGAATCCTTAGAAGCATAGCCTAAAATTTCACGAAATAATTAAATTTGTCCATAAAAGAAGGTATTTTGGCAGTCTGAATGGGGAAAATAGATTTTCCTATTTCTCAGGCCAAAAATTTATAGTACAAAAGAGTGTAGGTAAGGTTATGGTTGACTAGAAAGCAGAAATGGTTACCAGCATACCTACACATTATATATTGCACTTGTGAAATTTAGATAATTCAGGTGACAGGGCTCTGTGAAAAAACTACAAAGCACTACACACATATATCACTATGTGCTTTCACTATTGCTATTGTTGTTATGGTTGTTGCCTCCAAGGAACCTGCAAACAGGTACCTGCCAAGGCTTTGCTGGCTGACCATAGGTTTTGGTGGATATATGGACAGTGATACCACTTTATTTGTACTGAAAATATGACAACCATGGCTATCACTGGGTCTTAACTTCGTTTACTTTTTTTAACAGCAAACTGAGTAGTACTTTAACCTGGATTGTGGGCCACTGGTGTACAGACAATAACTGAAGGAACAATATAAGAATCTAGTATGTGAAAATGGCTCACAATTCCAATGTTTGGGTCTCTATTAGACCTCAAGGCATGTGATTCATCCCTAAAGGCATGTTCCCTGGATCTTTTAAAGAGAATTCCAGTATATCCCCTCATTAAACAACAACAACAAAAATCAAACATGTATGCTTGGGTTCCAGGACTTTCTAGGTTTAAGTTTAGCTATTTATTACATTTACTACATTTTCAAATAAATTCATTTTACCTTATTAAGACAGATTAGCCTCTCCTGTGGAAACATGGTAGAAGTGGGGACTGATTTAATAAGGGTTTGGCATCAGTAAATCATATAAAAAAACAGAAGTCAAATCTTCCATTACCACTTGAACAGAATAAAACGGTATTATTGGCAGTACATGGGGACCACTATAAGGGACTCAAACACTTCCCCCACACCATGGATGTAAGGGGGAAAAAAATGATACCCTCTGAGGGTAAAAACGCACTTGCACAATGGCTAAGGTAGCACTCTGTTGAAATCAAACAAGAGACTCTCTACAGGTGTGTACCTAAGCTCAGAATTTGGAAGCCTCTACATGTTTCCAAAGGTGATCTAAGTTTAATCTTAGGAAGCAGGCCTGGAATGTGCTTGTCATTTAGTGAACTGTATTGCAGCTTGGTTTGAAAAAGATGGTGTGAACAAAGGAAAATGGTCAGCATAAAAATAAGTCTGAAGACCCAGACACTGGCAAGCTTTACTGCTCAGCACTACTTAGGGAAAACCCAAATAGTCTCTGTGGCAGGTGTGTCCTAATCATGGATTATCTATCCAAGTCCCTTTGTTTTGATTCCATTCTCACCAAGCAACCTTGTGATTGTAATTTGGCTTCCCATGTGGGTTGTCTATAAAGAGAAAATGCACTAATCTCTCAGTTCGACCTCACCAGTCTAATTAACAGCTGTACTTCTCATTTCAGATGAACAAATTGGCATTAGGGCAAGTACATGTGAGTCTGACCATCTACAGTGTGCTAACAGGGTTAGATTTCTGAGCTTCTAAGAATATAAGCTCCTCATTCACCACTGAACCTCCTGTGCCTAGAACAGTGCATGGCTCCTGACAGCTACTCAGTAAATACCAGGCTGAGATCCAGAGACCTAAGATGACTTCTAGCATTTTTTAATTTGAATTACAATATATACTAAAATTGGCATAAATGCTCAGTATAAAATGATCAGAAAATGGATTCCACTACAAATAAAATATTTAAGTATCATAGCATTAATATGACCTAATGATAATTTACTTGATACAATACACATTAAGCAATTAGAAATGCTTTGTTTTTAGGCCTAAAAGGTCATCTTCTCTTGAAAAACTTCCCCATGACAAGCAAAAGCACTCAAAATCATTCAGAAGCTTAACATATTCAGTACTCAAAATGTTCGTTTTTTAAAAAGCTCACTTTTTAAAGTGACAACAATTTCTCCCACTGAAAATATTTTGAAAAGAGCTAACCCGACATTTCTCTTTTTCACCTTTTCCTAACTCTGTAATTTACTCTAATATCCAGTGGGGTTATTCCATATGAGATCCAATAAAGGCAACAATGAATAAACAGTGCTGCTCAATTATCCAGTTCCACACTTTCACTGCAGCAAAGCATGTCTGGCTTTGCTAGAATGTTACAAAACCAAAACCCAGAGATGCCATCTTCAGCACTGGGCAAAAATAGCCTCTTACCGTTGATAACCTCTGGACAATGTAAAAAGCCACTACCTGAAGGCACTGGAGCACAACGAAAAACTTGCCAAAAATGGAGGGATGTCTACAATTGGTAAAAAGGAAAGGCACCAGGCAAGATGCCCATTTCTTCTGGCTTGAAGAGCCAGAAGACAGAGTTCAGGGTGACTACCATCGCTGGAAAAAAAGAAAAGACACAAATTACCAACATCAGCAATAAGAGATGACACCATTACCAATTCTAGATATTAAAAGGATAAAAAGGGAATGTTATTTAAAAACTTCGTGCCAATAAATCTGACAAATTTCTTGAAAGACACAAACTATTATACTAAAGCTCACTCAAGAAGAAACAGACAACTTGACTGTCTGTCAAACAAATTGAATTTGTAGTTAAAAATTTTTAAACAAATAAAAGTCCAGGCCCAGATAGTTTCTGTGGTGAATTACTCCAAACATTTAAAGATGAAATAATACCAGTTCTACACAAACTCTCCCAGAAAATGGAAGAGGAAGGAATATTTCTCAACACATTGTGAGGGCAGCATTACCCTAGTCTGACCAAGACTGACAAAGATATTACAAGAAAAGAAAATTTCAGACCAATATTCCTCATAAACATACATGTAAAAATTCTAAACGTTTTAGTAAATAAAAATCCAAAAATAAAGTATTCATAGACATGACCAAGTGGGGTTTAGCCCAGAAATGCAAGGTTGACTTAACACCTGAAAAGCAATCATTATAAATCACCATATTAACAAACTAAAAAATAAAACAGAACAAAACAAAAAAAATCTCATGATCACTTCAATAGACATAGAAAAGGCATTTGAAAAAATCCAACACTCATTACTGGTTTTAAAAAACCCTCAAGAAAGTAGAACAAAAAGGTATTTCCTCAATTTGAAAAAGGACATACAAGAAAAATCTTCAGCTGACAACATACTTAATGCCGAAAGGCTAAATGCTTTCCCCCTAATACCAGAAACAAGATAAGTATTTTTGATCTCACCACTTCTATTCAACAGGATACTGGACCAACATGCGTTGGCTTCACTGGTGAATTCTACCAGACATTTAAAGAACAGCAATCTTTTTCAAATTCTTCCAAAAAAGTGAAGAGGAAGGAACCCTTCCAACCTCATTTTACAAGGCCAGCATTACCCTGATACCAAAGCTAATCAAAGATATGAAAAGAAAAAGAAAACTACAGGCCGAACTCCTGATGAACATAGATATAAAAATCCTCAATAAAATACTAACAAACCAAATTCAACAGCACATTAAAAGGATCATATACCAAGATCAAGTGGGATATAATAATAACCACAAATACGCATTGTGGTAAGGTACTGAAATGCCATAGAAAGAGCTCAAGCTATGTCAGATTGAACTATAAGAAATGGCTGATATTCAACCATTTTTGCTCTTAAAAAAAGATGGCAATTATATATGTTACAACCATGAGGAGGGTTTGGAGACAAACTGGAGCCAAAATGACTGGATTTGCATCCTGGCTCTACTCATTACTAGTTGTGTGACTTTGTGTATGTTACATAACCTCAGTTTTCTCAGCTGTAACGTGGGTATATAGCAGTATCTGTTTCATAGGCTTGTTCTGAGGAGTTAATGAGTTAACATATATAAAGCCTCTAGAACACTGCCTGGCTCATGGTAAAACTAGGTCAGTGTGAGCTATTATGCATTAAATCCTGGCTCTGGCACTTCCTTTTTTAGTGACCTTAAGAAGGTTCTTTTACCTGTTTCCTCAAATGGTAAAATGCAGAGGTTGAATTTGACTACCTAGACCAAGTCAGGACCAGTTCTTAAATTCTATTATTGTACAAGTATAAAAGCAGAGGACAAAAGCCATACTACATGAACAAAACAATATCATTTGCTAAATGATTGTCTGAGGTCATTCTTTAGTTTCTCTTGGAACTCACACATGGACCTCAAGGTTAGAAATCAATGTCTAGGCCGGGCGCGGTGGCCCACGCCTGTAATCCCAGCACTTTAGGAGGCTGAGGCAGGTGGATCACAAGGTCAGGAGCTCGAGACCAGCCTGGCCAAGGTGGTGAAACCCCGTCTCTACTAAAAATATAAAAATTAGCTGGGTGTGATGGTGGGCACCTGTAATCCTAAATACTCAGGAAGCTGAGGCAGGAGAATTGCTTGAACCCGGGAGGCAGAGGTTGCAGTGAGCCGAGATGGCGCCACTGCACTCCAGCCTGGGTGATAAGAGTGAGACTCCATCTCAAAAAAAAAAAGAAAGAAAGAAAGAAAGAAATGTCTAATCAGTTCCTGGATTGAAATCAATTAGCTAAATCAGTAGTGTCCAGTACAATGGCTTCCTATCTTATTTTTATAGCAGACTACTTCATCTCCAGTCATTCTAAGAAGCTCAACAGATATAAATGTTATTTGTTTAAATCCTACAATGTGCTGAGTGCCAAGAACATTTACATGCTCAGTATGGAGTAACATCACAAAGCAGTTAAAATGATAAATGTCAACCCACAGCCAACCACCTGGGTTCAAATCCTAATTCCATCGTTACATCTATGACCTTAAGTGAGCAATTTAACCTCTCTATAGCTGCTTTCCTCTTCTGTAAAAAAGGAAAAATAATATCACAGGGTTTCTATGAGGATTAAGTAATGTATGTAAAATACTTAGGATAGTGCCCAGAGCATAGGGAAAAAAACTCATATTAGCTAGATTAAAGTCAGATGATTTTTCAAAAGTTCTCAAAACCAAATTAATTTTAACATATTTTAGTTCAGAAAATAAGGGTAGGCCATCCAACATGTTTAGGATGCCTCTCAAAAGCAAGCAGCTCACGCCTGTAATCCCATCACTTTGGGAGACCAAGGCGGGCAGATCACTTGAGGTGAGGAGTTCAAGACCAGCCTGGCCAACATGGTGAAACCCCGTCTCTACTAAAAATACAAAAATTAGCCAGGTGTGGTGGCGGGCGCCTGTAGTCCCAGCTACTCAGGAGGCTGAGGCAGAAGAATCGCTTGAACCTGGGAGGTGGAGGGTGCAGTGAGCCGAGATCGTGCCACTGCACTCCAGAGCAAGACTCCATCTTGGGGAAAAAAAAAATCAAGTAGCAACACATTATCCAAAACTTAGATGCCAAGCTGCTCTTACCTTGTCTCACAAAAAGGAAGAAACTATTAAGAATATATGACCACTCTAATCACAGGTAAATCCGAATAACAAATCACATCAAATAAAGTCACTTACCAACTAGAACATCTTTAGTTTTTTGCTCTTTAAATAATCCCATCTTTCATTTCCAAAAGGTATACAAATATTAAAATAATGCTTTTCTTTTAACTTGGTATTACTAATTCTTATTGACATCGGATATATGCACAACTATTTACAAGACCATATAACATTACTTTTAACTGTGTATACTTTCCACCCTGAACCATTAAGCCAGTCCTTTGTTTCACTTCCTCTTTATATTAGTAGCCAAGTGATTACCTGCCCACACTTTCAGTTTCTTTAGCCCATAGAAGCAATTAATGGCAACAAAAAAGCTTAAATGCTTTATAGAGAAAGGAGCTCAACTCTGTACCCATTAAACAACTCCCTCCACCTCTCCCCCCTCACCTTAGCCCTTGGCACCTACCACTTAAGGATTCCATGAGGATTAGAGATAGATAGCAGTCTTCTTCCCAAGATCCCCAAAGGCAAATATCTACTTCTTACTCTACTGTAACTGGCAGTGAATTGCGTAGTGCACCTGTGTTGTGTGCACCTGCACACTTAAAAATGGTTAAGATGGTAAATTTTCCATTATGTGTTTTTTTAATACAAGACAATACAATAAGCTTTTTAAAATAAAAACACAAAGACAAAAAAGTTAATTTGAAAAAATATATTCAACTAATATCTTTTCCATTGCCTTAACAAGAACATTTAACACAAATAGAATGCTACTTAAGTTCTTCCCAAAACAATACAATCTCAGCATTTCAAGTAATTTTAGCCCTACACACCAAAGTTAGTTGCTCAGAATGTCTTTAGTGTAACCAAAAATTAACAAGACATTTTCCCTGTGAGCAGGATTTTACCAAAATATACATACAGCAAGGATGATTAGAAAGTTATTTGGTCAAATCTTTTTGTATTGTATTTCACGAGCACAAACCCAACTTAGCTGAAACTCCCTCTCCCTCAAAAAAGCAGAGATAAACTGATAAAACTGTATGTAAGTCTGCCTATTACCAGTACTGGTTTTTAAATATGCCTTGAGAAAGCTTGGGATTCAGTCAAACATTGCTGAAAAAACACACATCTTGACCCAGTACTGAATCCTAAGAATAATGTCCATCAATAACTGAAATAAAGAAATCCTCTGAAGTATCAATTCTCAAGGATTAAACAAAAGATTTGCTTGAGTTTGAAGGTAAAGCAATTCTGGTTAAGAAAGAATGAATGAGAAATACAGTTTCAGCTTGTCTTAGGCCTAGATCACGTTCATCAACAATTTCAAACTCATGTTCTTCCTGGTTAAGTTTTGCTATCATTTGTTTGTATTTAAATAGTTTACAGGCACCTAGTTTCTCTTTCTCATAATACTGGCTGCCACAATTCTCAACCACAGATTTTTTAAATGTCATAAGCACTTGAGAAAATAAGAAATAATCATGTAAAAACAGTGAGAATAAACCAAAGCAGTTTCTCCATCAGAAAATGAGGCCCCATGCTCTGTGACAATCATTCTAGGGAAGTTGTTTTGACAGTCATCAATAGCAAATAGAAATCTGTCCCTAACCTATATTAAAGAAAATATTTAAGTACAGTTTTGTAAACTCCAAACTATCCACAGATCTATAACAAGGTTGAGAAAGGCACAAACTACTGTCTTTTCACACGCTTTGCTATAGCTTATAGCTTTTCCTGAATAGTCTTCCAGCTCTTATCCAATTTAGGAAAAGGGGGGAAAATGCTATATAAATCAGATCTACCCAACTAAACTGGGAAAAAGAGGAGAAAAGAGCCTTTAAAAAGACCGTGCATGCAATAATTATGTTTTCCTACTTTACCCCCTTCCTTCACCATGCATTACATTATCAGCATGAGTCTTCCAGATGACTTTTAAGTGGCAATAAGAGAGTAAGCATTCTGTTAACTGGGTAAAAGGTGGATAAAATAAATATAGTCAGCTCAGACTTTCTGAAGACTATGGAACAGCTGAAGTTACTTAATACAAACGATAAAACCTGCTTGGACTATGGACTCAACAACTACACTGTTTTACTGAGAGAGTCATTTTCTTACATAATGATTCAGTACTTTCTAAATGCTACAGTGGTGTTCTATAGCAGTTACAAGAGCGGTGAGATCCAACCAGATCTGGCTTGGGAAGGAAGACCTCTAGGTTTTACATCAACCCTGATTCAGGCTCAGTGGGACCTTATGGACTTATATTTTTTCATCTGTAAAATGAGGGGGCTGGACTAGAAGGTTCCTTTCAGCCTAAATGAGATGAGTCTAAAAATCTAATGTTTAGTAATCTTTTAAAATATCATCTACCTCTGTTGTTTCAATTTTAAAAAGTTCTACACTGTGCATATAACACAACACAAGAGTAAACACAGACACGTTCCTCTTTATGGTTTCTATGTTCCAAGAATCTTTAGAGCTCTATGTACAATCCTCCTATTGAAGACTACAAAGCTGTTGGTTTCATAAACTCTAAAGACTAAAAGGAGAAGCAAAGGCTTCTTAAGGCAGTAGGATTAACACTCTGGCTCAGAATATATGCAGTGAGACTCTAGGCCTTGAAAGCATCAGAACCATCCCCACAGTGCTCGTGTGTACACCACTGTTTCAAATCACTCTGATAATGCATGTGCGTGCTCTAGATTCTGGCTGGTAAAATGATACTACTCAAAAGGAGTAAAATTAATACGGCTACAAAAGAACATCCACTGTAAAATTCCACAGATGCTTTCTCTAAAACATATTAACCCACCTGGCACACAGAGCAGCAACTCTTTCGGCTTCTCACTGTACAGCATGGACCTCACTTAGTGCTTCTGTACCACAAGCTATAGACACACACTAGTATCAACAGCAAAATGCGGTGGTGCCAGGAGTTTATCACTTCAACCATTCATTACCAGATGGCAAAACTAAGGACAAACCACAACATTAAAAAACATGGAGTGGAAAATTTTTTCAGGACTTTCACTCTAAAGTTTTCCTGAGGTATTTGCTAATAATGGATTTTATAAACACAAAAAAGAAAAAAAAACACATAATTTAAAATTTGAGCAGTAAAAGTTCATATGTACGTAACATCACATTTAAAAAAAAGACATGGTGTGATTATATCTGTTTAAAATCCCACTAGTCATCTAACAAATGAACAGTTAAACCTTTTGCTTTCAAGATAATACCAAGTTTCATGAAAGAATCTCAAAGAACCTTGTATACTACGTGTCACTAACTCCCATAAACCCTTGACAAGTGTGGCAAAAAGCCAATGCTCCAAATATTATAAATGGGGAGAGCAGCACAAAACAATTACACAATTGATGTGTCAGAAATTATTCAGCAAAGAACCCTGAAAAGAAAAAGCAATTGGTTGGGCTCCCAATTCAGCTTTCTAACTTTATTTTGAAGCTACCTTTAAATAGCATAAGGCAAGGAATCAGAGTTCATGACAGAAAAATAATCTCAGCCAAAGGTATACAAGCCCACATAGTATATACAACAGTGTGGGCTCAACTGCTCCTTCCCAGGGGATTAGAATATTGATGCTGAACTTAGGCAAGAAACCAGACAAGCAGAGAAACCCAGTGCCCAGAGCTGCTGAGCAAAAAAGGTAAAGTCCACCCTTGGCCCCGAATAAAGCGACAAGAGTACATCTGGCATGGTCAAAACTGTTGCTTGTTTTTTTAAAATACAATTCTGAGATACACTTTGCAGGCAACAATCTTCTATTTTCTTGTATGCTTATGAAAAATGTGCCCTTGGTTCATATACTCATCCTCTAGGCATTGCTGCTGAGGAGGGAGCAGCCTGGGACACTAAGCTGGGCTGTAAAACTGAATCAAGCTGAGGAATGGGCCACTGTCAGGCTGACACACAACAGGTGAAAGAAACTGAAGCAGAGAGGGCAGAGTGGGCAAGGATTAGCAGCATCAACCCTTCCAAAGATGTACTCGTGGGGCCTTATTGCATGATATGTGATAATCCTACATATGCCACTCAAAATCACAGAATCAGCCTAGAGTTGGAAGGGACTTTAGAGGTCATCTAGTCTCACCTCTAGCCAAAGAAGCCCTCTCTTTTCAATTATGTACTTGTAATGGTCTGGAAGCTTGTACCTGAATTCTTCCACTACCTGAAAGGGCAACTCCACTATTGAGTAGAGCTAATTGGTAGAAAGTATCTTATCACTAATTCCTATCAATAAACCGTATCTCTACCTTCTGGAGCTACACAGTATAACTCTCAGCCCTATCTTTACATGACGGTTCTAATATTATAAAACATAAATGCAAAACTTACACATCACATTTCATTTGCAATATGGACCCATCCCACCAGCATACAAAGCATTTATGACACTGACTCAGGCATTCATTTAAGAAGTGTTATCTACCATCTGAGAGAAAGATTAACAATAGCAGCTCATCTTTATTGATCACTTACTAAGGACCAGAAACTACTCTCAGTGCTTCACATTTAATAACTTATTTAATCTTCCCAACAAACGTCATGAGGTAAATATTCTGTTGATTCCTGTTTTATTATAGATGAGGAAACTAAGACACAGAAAGGTTAGGTAACTCTGCCCAAAGCCACACAGCTAATAGGTAGCAGTTTGACTCCAGAAGGAATGCTCTCAGCACTCCAGCTCCCTTGCTCAGGGAGCCCACAGTATGGTACAGAAGAACTTATAGCCATCCTTCTCACTTTGTGGCATACCTGGAAACCTGTTAAGCTCATGTTCTGTTTTCATCAAAATCACTGTAAATAACATTGTTCAGGACAGGGTCACTAAGCCTCACCACACAAGGTGTCCCTCCCAGTTGACAATAACCCACTAATAAAACCTTTCCAGAGTATAGTTGTTCTGCAAACAAGAGATCCCTGATTCTATCTGCATTCAGTTCACATTGTTTGATTGGACAACAAAGATATCATGAAAAACTTCGTCAGGTCCTTCGATAAAACCAAATTATATATCTTTGTTTAGTAAACTTATCAAAGGTGGAAAAACAAAATTGGTCAATCCTGTTTTTTCTCTTGGTCTTAGAAGTAACAGCTAACTGTGGCGATGTTTTATCAGGGAGGTTCTTTCACACATTGCTAGTAAAAGCAGAAATGAGTATATCTATCATGTACGTACCCCCATTTTCTTTATCCAGTCTACCACTGATGGGCATTTAGGTTGATTCTATGTCTTTGCTATTGTGAATAGTGCTGCAATGAACAGACACATGCATGTCTTTATAATATCACAATTTATATTCCTTTTGGTATATATCCAGTAATGGGACTGCTGGGTCAAATAGTAGTTGTTTTTAGGTCTTTGAGGAAGCACCACACTCTCTTCCACAACGGTTGAACTAATTTACAGCCATAAAAAAGAATGAGATCATGTCCATTGCAGGAACATGGATGGAGCTGGAGGCCATTATCCCTAGCAAACTAACAGAGTAACAGAAAACCAAATACCGTGTGTTCTCACTTATAAGTGGTAGCTAAATGATGAGAACACATGAACAGACGGAGGGGAACAACACACACTGGGGCCTCTCGGAGGGTGGAGGCTTGGAGGACGGAGAGGATCAGGAAAAATAACTGATAAGTATTAGGCTTAATCCCTGGATGACAAAATAATGTATACAACAAACCCCCATGACACAAGTTTACCTGTATAACAAACCTGCACATGTACTCATGAACTTAAAATTAAAGTTAAATAAAAAAGTAACAATAAAAGATTAAAAAAAAGAAATTAGTATATCCTTTATGGTAAGAAATTTAGAAATATGTTTTCAGAATTCACATCTTTTAACCTGAAAATACCTCTTTTGATAACTCATTTTAAGGAAATAATCAGATGTGGACCAGGATTCATGTAGAAGATGTTTATTGCAGCACTATTTATTTATAATTGTAAAACACTGAAAACAATACGAAAAGTCCTAAAATAGGGGTATTGATAAATAAATTACGTGACATCTATCTCCTGAAATCATAAAAATTTAGTTTATAAATTACTAATTACAGAGAAATGTTTATGATAGGTTCAATTTAAACAGCCAGATAGTCTCTAAAAATGAACTATAATCCACAGTAAGTTTTTTGAAAATATTCTGGTGAACAGATTTATACGTGTGCATATGTATATGCATGGAAAGATGGAAGTGCATAAAATAGATTGTTAGACTGTAATTTTATTTTCCTCTATTTTTCTAAGTGTGCTACAATGAACATGTATTAATTTTATAACCAGAAAAAAATAATAAAAACCATTAGGATGAATCACATGAAACTGTTGATATTCAACTGCTTTTAACTTTTAAAACTAGCACTTTCATGTGCTAATTTAAGCCTAATATTAAGACTAAAAGAAAAAAAATACCAACAGTACCTGTTCTGGGTGAGCCAATAATGATCCTTGGTGACTGCCATAAAGTGCTGAAAAATTGCTTAGCAGTTTTCTCTAGAATTGTATTGTATAGTTCATTCATCTACAAATTTCTAGAGTTCACTGTTTAGAAAACAACCAACACTCCTTGTCTTCCATCTTCTGGACAGAAACCCTCAAGAAAATCCTGACATGGTTACATAACTTGCATCCCAGATTACAAGAGTTATGACTCGATGACCCTGCTGTTTTTGCCCTGAAAAAAAGCACTGAAAGGTTCACCATCTTTTACTGTATGAGGTACTAAAGAATCCCACCTTCAGGCAAAGAGCAATGTCTAGGTACTGCTTAGTACTGTGTTTATTAGAGAATTGAGAGTGTGTGAAACATTCTGACTGATCTTTTGTTTCTTCATGTCCTCCCTACAATTCCTATCGTATTGTGATCAAAAAGACCTGAAGACTTTTCCTAGAAATCTGTTCTAGGAAGGGAAGGTGGTCTCCAAGTTTGGCAAACTTCAGAACACCTGTTATCCTCAGAAGTCCTCAGAGATTACTAGTAGTCATTTCATAATTGTATTATTCTTCACTGATCATACACCAAAGATGAGGCACTGTGCTAGGAATCACAAGAACCTTCAGCATTCTGGGCTGAGATGTAATGCATCTCACTAGGAGATGGAATTTATAAAAGAACTCTTCAATATTTGAAAATTTTTTTCACTTATCTTGAGTTGTGATTTATACTTAATGATTTATCCATAATTTGTGTTACTGTTATGGAATGTGAGGCAGCAACTTTTCATCCTAAAAAAAACTAACCCCCTTCCAGTTCCTGCCCCCCAAAAATCAATACAAATTAATCACAGAAGATTTCAAGTTCTGTTGTCCCATGGCAAACACTTATTATTGAGTACCAGTTATGTGAAAGGCACTATGACAGATGGAACTGTAGAGGTTATCGGTCACCTCCTAAATTAGTAGCTGAGTTGGAATTAGAACCCCCCTTCCCTGCCACCCTTCTTGGTCAGAGATGGGGGTAAGGAAAGGTACAGCCTGAGGACAATTTAAAATTAAGAAAACAAAAAGTTTACTGGATGTAGAAACAGAAGATTCTTTGTGTACCAAAAACAAAACAAAACAAAAAACTTGGTTACCCTCCTGAGTTTAGACCTCTAGCTAGAAAAGAAAAGCCCCCAAGTTTGTAACATAATATGGTTCCTCTTGGGCTTCACCCTGTAAAGACGACATCCCGTACCTCTCTGGACAAATCCTGGCAATGACCAAAGAATCAATGGATCTCACAGTAAGAGATATTCTGTGGGCATGGGCATCATTCTGTAATCTCTAGGCAATGTTTACCTTTCCTTTTTTCTTTAAATTTACCTTAGTCATATGGCATGGAATTTGTTCACAGGGCAATTTCTTTCCTTTCCCTCCACCTCTACTCCCAACTCAGACTATAATCAGGGACCAGGGACCATGGTCTGTCTCACCTTCATATCCCCAGGATTCAATACTGTACCTGGCACATAGTAGGCCAGACGACTGAACTGAATTTGGTCCTAAAAATCTGTAATTTTAAGAAAGAGCTCTCTGTTAAAGTGCAATAACAAAAAAGCTATTATAGCCTTTTCAGTGGTTGTACCACACAGTATTTTCCTTAGTAAGCATACAAAGATAAATACTGTTGATGTCTGTGTTTCCTGTATTTCAGAAGAGTGGCACAAATGTGAGAAGCCATATTCATTTTAGCCACTTACAAATAAAGAGGCCTTGGCAATTTACTTAATCCCTTCAAGACTTTTTCCTCATTTGTAAAAAGAAATAAGAGCCCCCACCCGCAGGGCTGCAGGAGATTAAATGAAATAGAGTAAGTACTGTACGTGGATAGCAGGCACCCAGCCAGAGATTTCCTAGCTTCCACTTCATCCAACCAGGCTGTCTTTATCAATCACCTGAGTGCTATTTTATGTTTTCAGCTCTTCCACAGGTCACATCAGTGCACTTCAATCTGAATCTAATGAGGAGTTCATTTATCCCCTTCAAGTCCCCTTCCCTCCCCAACTTCATCAAATCCTGCCATGAACCACCAATGCCAGAGGCTTGTAACTTTGGCACCTTGATGTTGATAGGTCTTTCCTTCTGCCTTCCCACATTTAGTTCTTATGACTACTCTTTGGAAAGGAAAATTCTGAGACCAAATGGAAGATGACCAACCTCCTGACTCTAGGAATCTGATTCCTTGGGACCTAGGCTATAGCAAGATTCAGGAATTAAGAAGACAGGCTGCCCTGGAAGGAAGCATTACACTTCCCATCACATGAGAATTCAGCACCTCAGGTTCATTTTCAAGAAGACTACAGGCAGCAGAATAAAAACCCAGAAGCCCATTACCAACCTGTAAATAGAAAGGGCAACATGAGACCGGGAGAGCACAAATGGCCAACTTCCATTAATCCAGCCAATGAAACCCCGTGCCAGCACATATTTCAAACCCCCGAAACTAATTAGTTCCAAGGAAAAACATCACCTGACATGATTATGAACGGGTCCAAAAGCTAAGAGTAATTCTTACATAGAATGAGGAAAAAGTGACAGAAAAGAAAAACCCTCCAAATTCGGTGAAATCTACAATACAAAATTAGTTGAAAAACTGGAAACCCCTACTGTGTAAAGCATTAAGAAAAATTAGAGTGGCTAAAACAGAAGGTAATATGCAGTATTAGCAATAGCATGACTTGGTGGCTTCAGCACATAAAAGGGACACACAAGAGGCCAAAGACAGGACACAAAGATAGATAATGTGTGTTAATTCTCCCTTTTCCTTGCAAGAAACAAATTACAACACAGGTTCACTTCATTACACTGCATGTAAAAGAATAAAGCGCTGTTTCCGGGCAACAAACACTTTAGGAGCTTAATATTCACCGTGCAGAATCCTAAAAAGTCAGTGAGTGTCTTGGAATTTCACCACACAAACTTGCGTCACCACACTCTTTTGTGTCAGACTGTTTCATTATCTTCAAGGCTTAACATAATTGGAGCCTCAGCCTAAAAATAGGCTATTTTTGCTTTGCGATGTGATTGGTAAATAAAAGTTAGGGGAGTTTTTATCCCCTTCACTTGTTTTAAACAACTGCTAGCTTCTGCTCATCAAGCAAAGATTACTGAATACATTTTCTGTATCTATTTGTTTATTCTGCTTAAGGCAAACAACCTATGACCTTCACCATTATAACAGATGGTGAGTGGTACAGACAGGCTACACAAAGACATCTTCCAGAACCATGCCAAGTTTGAGCTGTGGTGCATGGCATCACTATTTTATTCCACAAAATACATACGACAGAAAGAATTCCTCCTCATTCCCCATCTTACCACCCTTGCTTCATCACCCAATCCTCTTCCTTAAGAATTCTGTTCCAAAGGCCACATTAACTATGACCATTCAAATTCCATTATGACTGCTGTCAAAAGACTGAGGAAATATAAAAGGAAAATTGAAGCTCTCAGAAAATCTATAAAGTGGCAGCAAATGCTAACCAACCCAGGATGACACACACTAATACAGTACACATCCTTTCAAACAAAAATGGCTCCAAGTACTGTGAAGATACAACACTATTTTCTCCCATCTCCTAATGCCTGTTGCACAGGCAAATACTCAAAAACACAGGCAATGTACTGTGGCAGTTAAGAATGCTTGGACTGCCTAGATTTGAATTATGGCTCCATTTATTCACTAGCTCTGTGATCTTGAGCAAGTTACTTATACTTTCTGTACTTCAGTTCTCTCAACTATAAAAGGGAAATAAAATAATGACATAAAACCCCATACTAACTTGCCACACAATCAAGCAAAGTCAGATCTAACTCAATTGAGGATTGCTTCCCATCCTCCACCCAGCTCCCACTTATAGGAACAGGGTAAAGCTTTTACCAAGGGAGTGGATGAGTAATAGGCAGGATACTAAGAAATGACTAGCCTGTAACCATTTAGATTTTCTCAGTTCAGTACATTTCTACACATGTAATAAATGCAAACATTTTCTCCTCCACGCCCACCTCCACTAACTAGAAATTGAAGATTACAATTTCTCATAAACCTCAAAATAACATGACTCCTACATTTTATACAGTTAGAAAAAAATTTTTTGGACTGTGCTTATATGTTTACTATTCATATAAAGTGCTTAGAACAGTGTCTAACAGGATCATATGCTTAATATATCTCAGCTATTATTGTCTCCAATTTAACTGCATGTCTAATTATTTACTATTTACATGCAAAGGAGACAGTGAGACCAGATCCTAATTCTCTCTGGAAGTTCATAACTGATACCCAACCTAAGGGGGGCGGGCAGTCAAATGTGCCACACTAAACTGAGTGGAGGAGGGGAGAAACAGTATACTCCAAAATGAAAAAGAATAAATTAGGAGGCATTACCATAGTATTTAACTATAGCTACATTTTTTCCTCCAATAGCTAACTTCAAATATAATTACAGTGATTCAATTTATCAGCAAATGGCTTACACAGGCTACTAGTGGATAAAATGAGATGTCCTGTACTAGAATAGAGGTCCAAAGTGTGATTATAGCAGCAATCTCCATTTTAAGAAATCCGTTTGTTCCCGTGAATTCGTCTTTCCTCTCTACATGTGAATTCAGTAGGTGAACATCAAGTAGTTAAATCTGAAGTCTATGATGGTAAGGAAAACACTGAACAGCTTCAAAAGCAAACAGAAAACACAGAACACATGCACTGATTCAGTGAACTCTAATAAAAAGGAGAATTTTAAAAAACTAATTGATTTAAACAATCTTGCTTTAAGATCAACAGCCCAATTTCTTCTCATGCTTTTTAATCTACGATCCATATCTCCTACACCTACCATAATTCTAATTTTCTAATTTTCACATAGAATAATTTTAGAAAATAAACACAAAATCCTCCCACCCCTCTCCAAAATCCTATAATAATAAGGCAATGATACAGATGTGGAAGGAGCCCACAGCTGATAAACCCAGCTCCTTCAATAACCAAAACTAGTACACATAGTTCCTTGCCAACCATCATCTCCAAATTTTGAGATTTTGGTTTGTTTAAACCAAAACAAATTATTTATAGCTTTTTTTCCTCAGCTCCTTCCCATGCCAGGTTTACCTAATCACCTATAATCACTATCCATAGAATTTGGCAACTCACCTCATCAGTCTTCACCTTTCTTCAGAAATCTGAAAACCAAAGCTCAAAAACCAAAGGAATGAACTACACAAAACAGATGGAAAGCAGGTAGCTGACTTAATTCAACAAATACCAACGAAGCACCTACTATGTGTCAAGGTCTATGCTAGGGGCTGTGTTTGCAGGAGTGAGTTAAACACACTGCCTACCCCAATGGAGCTCACAGCTGAATAAGGAAGATGTATATAAACAAGCAAACACATAAGTCAGTGATTACAAAATGATGAGTGCCAAAATGGGAATGAAACAGGGTGTTGAGCTAGAAAAGATCATGACAGAGAAACTCTTGCACCTGTGTACAAATAGACAAGTAGAGGAATGCTTACTTTTCATAACAGTAAAACACTGACGACAATCTAAATGACCATCACTTGAGAAAGGGAAAAATACACTGTAGAATATTTGTATGATGGAATACTATACAGCAGTTCAAATAAGTGATCAGATATGTATACATCAACATGGATATCACTCAAAAATATAATGTTGAGTGAAAAAAGTTGCAAACTGAAAAATGATAAGATACCATCCACATAAATTAAGTGAGCACATTCATAGGTAACAAAAACATGGAAAAAGGAAAGATACATATCAGCTTCATAACAGTTGCCTCTGGAGAGGAAAGGAGGAAACTGGGGAAGGGCACACATTACCAACCTCAACTATCTGTAATGCTCTCTTTTACTTAAAATCTGAAATAATTATGACAAAATCTTAACATGTATTAATTCTGGAAAATTGGCACATGGGTATATTTCACCCTATAAAATTAGTGAGAAAAAATTTTTTATTTAAAAATGAGAGATGGCGGTGTGCTGGATGGATCTATTTAGAAAGAGTAGTCAGGAAAGGTCTCATCAAGAAGGTGGCATAAGGCCAGGCGCAGTGGCTCACGCCTGTAATTCCAGCACTTTGGGAGGCCAAGGCAGGTAGATAACCTGAGGTCAGGAGTTCAAGACCAGCACGGCCAACCACGGCGAAACCCTGTCTCTACAAAAAATACAAAAATTAGCTGGGTGTGGTGGTGCGTGCCTGTAATCCCAGCTACTCAGGAGGCTGAGGCACAAGAAATGCTTGAACCCAGGAGGTGGAGGTTGCAGTGAGCCAAGAGCACCACTGCACTTCAGCCTGGGCAATAGAGCAAGACTCTGTCTCAAAAAAAAAAACAAAAAAAAAAACAAAAAAAACACCACGCACACACAAGAAGGTGACATATAAGCTGAGACCTGAAGAGAGAAAAATACAACCCTGCACCAAGCCTGGGAAGGAGCATTCCAGGCAGAGGAAACCAGATGCACAAGGTCCCTATGGAGGGACAGAATTCATGTGTGTGAAGAACTGAAAGAACAGGGTAGCCCATGTGGCTGGACTAAAGCAGGGGTGCAGGTGAGGGAGCAGCAGGTAGGAGGCACAAAAATGAGGTAAAAGGAGAGGTGAAGTGATCCACGTAGGACCTTGGAGTCCAAGGTAAACTGAAATAGGAAGTCAATGAGGAATCAAAGCAGAATGATATGATGCAATTACACCTTAAAAATATAGGGTTGAGAATAGATTGGGGGGGACAAGAGTAGAAGGGAGACACCACAGGGAGGCTGATGCAGTGATCCTGGCCAGAGATGATGGTGGTCTAAACTAATCAGAGCAGTGGCAGTGTCAATGGAGAGAAATGGATTAATCCGAATATTTTGGAAGTAACACTGGCAGGACTTAGTAATAACTGCACCTTACGACTGTAATGAGAAGAAAGTGACAGGAAAGAGCTATTTCTTAAATAGCATAAAAATACTGTTTGCCATTTTGTACCCACTACTTTAAAGCATTCTACTACATGTTGCTGAAGGACATGAAAAAACATGCCTGGCCCCTGAATCTATTTAGTAAAACTGAGTGAACAAACTTCGCAAACTCATGAATATCAAGCTCCTAAGAAGAAACAAATGTAAACATAAGCTGAGCTCATTAAGTTGCAGAGTGAAGAAAATCAGTTTTAAATCAGTCATAAAAAGTGAGTTTTGAGGAAGACTGACAGAAATTACACTACACAGAAATTAGTGGTGTAGGTGGACAAAGGCACTAAAAGCAGGAGAAATGGCAAAGTAAAAACACAAACTTGAAAAATAACTGGGCAAATAGCATACAAACTGGCCTTTTTAGAGAAGACTGCTAAGCATTAAACAAGAGAAAAATGTAATTGGAGGTAAGAGGCTCTGAGGAGAGGGCAGACAGAACGGTAGAAGGTTGTTTATTTTTTAGCTAGCATTAACTGAGTACTTATTATGTATCAAACGCATTTCAAGGCATTAACACACATTATCTCATTTAATTTTCCCAACAACCTCACCGGGCATTTACCATTATTAAAAATGAGGAAGCAGAGGGTCAATGAGGTTAAGTAACTAGTTAATAGATCCCAACTCAGGGAGAAGCAAAACAGGGACACAGCTGTGTTTGCCTCTTCAGTCCACACACTCACCTAGTAAAGCAGTAAGCTGTAGGTAGCAGGTATACAGAACAGGGAGCCTGGATTCCAGTTCTGACACTTAGGTGAGCTGTTTTACAAGTAACTTCCTTGTGCCTCAGATTCTTGATCTATAAACTATGGATAATTACATTATCTTCCTATAGCAAATCAGTCTGACCACCATTACTGCACTCAAACAGCACCAACTAAAGTAAAAGATCACCTCCATATCCCAAAATTCAATGGAAATTTTTCAAAACTATCATCAGTGTCTCTTCCTGACAGTTGCCTACTACTTCCCTGAAATGCTCTTCACTGGTTTCACAACACCATGTTTTCCCACCTCTTCTCATTCTCTGGCTGCTCTTTCACGGTCTACTTTTTAAAGCCTGTCCTCCTCTACCAAGTCATTAAATGCTGGGGTTCCTTAAGACTGAGTCCTACACCCACTTCTCTTTCCACTCTCTCCTCTCTCCCAAAGTAATCTCATCCATGTCCATGGCTTCATTTAACAATGACTATAAACCAATGACTCCCCAGTTTATATTCTGCAACCTCAAAATTAACATGTCTACGATCAAACTGTTCATCTTTCCCTCCTCCTGCCCCAAACCTGGTCATCTTCCAGTGCTCTTCATCTCAGTGAAAGGTACTCCATCTTCCTACACAAGTCAGCCAAGAGTTGACCTTGATACCTTCCCCATCCTAAGCCCCACATCCAATATACCACCCAGTTTTACTGATACTTTTTCTCTTAAATCTCTCTCATATCTGGGTCCTCCTCCCTCCACTGACTGCCATCACACTAGTCAAGCTACCACCATCACTTGCCTGGAATTCTATTCTAATAATAGCCTGCTAATCAGTTTCCCCTCATCCACTCTGGCCCCTCCAACTCACTGAGGCAAAGTGATCTTCTCAAAATGGAAATGTGAGCCAATCTCCCCCAACATATAAAACCTATTAACATCTGGCCGGGCGTGGTGGCTCATGCCTGTAATCCCAGCACTTCGGGAGGCTGAGGTGGGTGGATCATTTGAGGTTAGGAGTTCTAGACCAGCCTGGCCAACATGGTGAAACCCCAACTCTACTAAAAATACAAAAATTAGCCAAGAGTGGTGGCGCACACCTGTAGTCCCAGCTACTTGGGAGGCTGAGGCAGGAAAGTCACTTGAACCCGGGAGGCAGAGATTGTAGTGAGCCAAGATCATGCCACTGTACTCCAGCCTGGGCGACAGAGCGAGACTCTGCCTCAAAAAAAAAAACCCAAAAAACTATTAACATCTGCCTCTTGGTCAACGTGGCCTGCAAAGCCCATATGGTGTGACCTTGATTACCCCTCCAGCCTTGCCTCCTATCACTCTCCCCTTCCTTTCTATACTTCAGCTACCTCAGCCTTCTCAGTGCCCTGGCCACATAATGCTTCCAACCACCACAGGACCTCTACACATGCTAGCCCTCACTCTAGAATGCTTATTCTTCCAACTCTTTACCTAGTTAACTCCAGCCCACACTTTCTAGATCTCAGCTCAAGTACCAAAGGATCAGGAAAATTTTGACTTTTCAGTCCAGGTCAAGGGCCTTTGCTATCAAGACTCAGAAATTCATGTGCCTTTTCTTAGCACTTATTTTCTTTCAGAATGACATAATTATTCATTGACCATTTGATTAACAGCTCTCACCTAATGGACTGAACACTCCATGAAGACAAGGTCCTTGAATGCTTAAGTTTACCACTGTCTCCCTAACAGCAGCACCACGTGGCATGCCTGACACTTGCTAGGTACTCGGAGCCTTGCACGAATGCTTCCCCTGGGTTGTTCTGAGAAACAACAGTAGATAGCTACTCTATGTTAAGGTGCTTTGTAACTGAAGCCCACTGAGCAGTAATTATCATCATCTAGCACCCCTCTGACAAGTGAAAAACCAAAGGCAGAATGGATGACTTGCTCAAAGCCACAAAAAGTAAACAAGTGGGTGAGCACCCCTGGTGTGCAGTCCAGGGCTTTCTCCAGTGCATACTCAGGCATTTCAGTAAGATTTTTGCACCTACAACAGGTCCTTTCTCTTGTTTACTAGTAAGTAATCACAAGTTTAGCTTCCCAAGCTCTAGCTCTAGTTTTACTGGAATCATTACCGAAGGCTTTCCTCTCAAGGCAGTGGGTCACAAGCAATGTCATTTGTCTCCATTTCCCTCCATGTACACACTCAGCAAATATCACTTGAAGAATTCCTGGCTATGAGGCAAGAACCAGTAATTGAATTAAATATATTCAGCCACTCTAAGCCAATCTTCTGAAGACAAATTATTTTTTTCTGCCCTATCAGGACATCATTAAAGAAGAAATACCCGGATTTTTCCTGTGATTATCAGCTATCCATCACATCGTGCCATGCAGTCCAATGTAAATAGAACACGCACCCTACCCTGTTGGTCAGGGCTCAGAAATGTTACATGTGGCCTCAAGAACAATTTACATTATTAATAGCCCATGAGCTGATTCCTTTCTCTAAGCCACCACACCCCAACCCTCCTCCTCCCTGCCTGCAGAAGGCACACCACCCTCCTGCACAGGGCTGAAAATGTCGTCTGTGGTTAAGTCAGCAGCGATGAAAAACCCATGAAACAAATATAGCCAAATGTCTGACACTCCAAATCATAAAAGAAACCTAATATCTTTGTTCCACTCCCATCTCCGCTCAACTCTTAGTCCTAAGGCAAAATAAATAAAAAAATAAATAAATCAATCTCATCACTAGCCTCAAAACAGCAAATCTTTTGTCAAATGTAAAACAACAAAGCCAATAAAAACAGGTAATACAAAATCAAACCCAAGCCTATAAAGAAGAATTAGTAATTAGAAGAATTCCAAAGATGACACAGAAACCATTTCTGGAAATCACTCATGCTTTGTTGCTCTTTTAAAAATGTGAGTAAAAATTCACTTTTCAGCTACATTCTATTTCATATTGCTTTTTAAAACAGAATTTTCAAAGAAAAAATTTTAATGTTGAGACTCATACATTCAAGTTTAAAAGGGATACAAGCCAATTCAACCACAAAATTAACAATAAAAAGGAAACAAGGACAGCTGCACAACCTGACTCTGGTACTAAATTTCAAAGTAAGTCTAAGATCTCTAAAACCATGACCACAGGGCTCAGGAATCCCTGGCTGAAAATCAAACGGCTTCTTCACACATACATAAAACTATTCTTCTCCCCGCCTTCCAAAACTCCCACAACTTACCAATCTCAGTTCATTGTAATTTAACACAGTATTTATGATCTGGCAAATTGACACAGGCTCATGCTGCCCACTGCAATGATAACACACAAACAGAAGGTACTAATTCTATTAGTCTTCCCTCAGTCAGCTGGTCCTGAGCCATAACAAGCCCAATGAGCTTGTTTTGTTTTCTAAATTTGACAGGGATGTGTCTTTAATGGGTCTGACCATACTGTTGTGACGGGTATGCTAAAGCCACCAGGCAGCCGAGGCTGCCAAAAGTAGGTTTTTCCAATTAGCAATAAATAGACTCAGCATGGCTAACATAAGGAGACAGTGTGGTAACATCCTGTACACCATCAGATTCAAACACTTGAGCATGTGATTCATTTGGGGGGTGGGAAATTTGCAATGTTGCTGAGTGCTGCCATGTCACCCATAAATGTATACCTGGGCAGATGAGGAAAGGGAAAGCCTGTGAGGTCAATATTTTGGTTTTCTAGTGATCCTTTCTCTCCAATCCATCTATCTGCAATTTGTGAAAAGAAGAAAAAAAAATTATATGGGAGAAAAAAGTGAAGTTATATGATTATTCTTCCCTTTCCTTAAGAGAAGCACTATCCAGGAAATTGCCTACCTAGACCAACTGTAGAACCAGACAATTAAACCTTATACCGATTTCTATGCCACTGGTGAATAGTGGTTAATAACTTCACACTTTTCTTTTTATCGCTTAACAAGGAGGGAATGGCACTTTCCAAATCATTACTGCTCTGTCATCTTGGTTCACTGCCAAAGCAAGGGCTTCAAAACACCTGTCAAATAACACATGGCTTGTGAAAAAGAAATAGATACCAAAATAGGTTTATTTAAAATTTTCACATATGGAGAAAAATGGAATGAATTTGGGTTAACAAAGTCACTCATTCTGGTGAGGGGTGGGGAAGAAAAAGATTTCCAGGACTCAATTTATGTGATTCTAGTCAAAGTAATGAAACTTAATCTATCTCAGCAGAGATCAGTGGTGCTGACACAAGGTCAGTCTTAATAGCATTTATCTTCTCATCCTTAGCCACATTCCCAATGGTTTCAGTAATTAAAAAGGCAAAATTACAAGGCAAAAATACTCTGTCCCTATCTTTTCAGATAAAAGTTCCTAGGTTCCCACTACAAATGTACGAATTATCCTTTTTCTTGTTTGAGTATCCTGGCCATTCTTATAAATTCAAAATAGGCTTAAATATCAAGACCTTCTTTAAAAAATATACCACTTCCCTATCTACCCATCTATAACTACAGAAACTACCAAGTGAGTGTGATCCCAGAGGTAAGGCAAACAAACATCCACTATGTAGAGCACAGGGCTTAGGGGCTAGGTAGAACAAAAAAACATCTGAAATGCACTCCCTGACAAACTGAAGTAGAGGTTGGAGAATACAGAAATAATTTGAGGCTGCAGACTTTTGTTTTGTGTTAATACAAAATTTTTAAGTATTGATACTAGTTTATGCAGACCCATGTGAAAAATCTAGTAATAAGAAATCCAATATATGGGTGGAAAAAGGCACAAATTTGGATTGAGAATAAGGAAATTCCATCTTCCTTGATGAAAGAAGCCCTGGAATTTTAAAGATTAGTATTGACTGAAGATTCAGCAAGACTGGAAAGGCCAACTCACAACCCCAGGACCATATCTTATTACCTTTGACACTTAGTAGTATAATGTATGTGTAGGAGAGGGGTGCGGGTGCCCACACCTGGATTCCTTAAAGCACAGGTAAAACTAAGATGTGGTGACCACTCAAAAACTTCAGCAAATGCAGGCCAGGCACAGTGGCTCATGCCTGTAATCCCAGCACTTTGGGAGGCCAAGGAGATCGAGACCATCCTGGCTAACATAGTGAAACTTCATCTCTACTAAAAATACAAAAAAATTAGCCGGGCACGGTGGCGGGTGCCTGTAGTCCCAGCTACTCGGGAGGCTGAGGCAGAAGAATGGTGTGAACCCGGGAGGCGGAGCTTGCAGTGAGCCAAGATCACGATGCTGCACTCCAGCGAGACAGTGCGAGACTCCGTCTCAAAAACAAAAAAACAAAAAAACAAAAAACAAAAAACTTCAGCAAATGCAAAGGGGATAAACAAAAGATGGCTAAATGGCCTCCTTGATGTAGCTTTCTTCTCTTACACTCACAGACCCCAGGCAAGATTTGACCTAGTCTTTCTCTTCCCAGCTGTCTCTTACATCAACTGGCTTGTGTCCTCCTAAACCTGTACCTTTCAATGTCCAAAAACCTAAAAGGCACACAGAGGCCAATATCCATGCATCTTAGAGATATGCTAGTTTCCAACTATTAAGAAAGAAGAATAAGGTTATTCTGAATTTGTCTCAAGTCTAACATCTTAGCCATTTTGAAAGAAATACTCAGTATTTTCAAGCATATAGAGTAATTAAAATCAAGCCTAAGTGTAACCCACTTATTTAATCTCTATAAATGCAACACTGTTATAATAGATTATATATAACATATATATTATATGCTTACCATATATTTTTCATATAAGTATATATTGTTTATTATAATGCAAGCATATATAAGCATAAATTATTCTATATACTTGAATTTTTATCATCGCATTTCTCTCAAATTACTGAAAGTCTAAGTTATAATCTGGACTGGGCTTCCATGGGGTGTTTCCAAATTACAGCTTCCTTTTTTCACCTTTATTTGAAAGTACCAACATTACTTTCATCAATTTTTGAAAGAATGTAGACAAATGGACAAGCAAACAGATGGTTCCTTAGTACAAGTTCATCAATATAAACGATCTGCAGATAAAATGCCACTTACTTAAATGTAGATAGTTGTTTCTACAGTACAGGCTGAGTATCCGAAATGCTTGGAACCAGAGTGTTTGAATTTGGAATTTTGGAATATTTACATTATACTGGATGAGCATCCCTAATTCAAAAATCTGAAATACAAAATGCTCCATGAGCATTTCCTTTGAGTATCATGGCGGCACTTAAAGTTTCAGAGTTTGGGCTGGGCGCGGTGGCTCATGCCTGTAATCCCAGCACTTTGGGAGGCTGAGGCAGGCAGATCACAAGGTCAGGAGCTCGAGACCATCCCGGCTAACACAGTGAAACCCCGTCTCTACTAACAATACAAAACATTAGCCGGGCATGGTGGCGGGCGCCTGTAGTCCCAGCTACTCGGGAGGCTGAGGCAGGAGAATGGCGTGAACCCAGGAGGTGGAGCCTGCAGTGAGCCGAGATCGCACCACTGCACTCCAGCCTGGGCAACAGAGCAAGACTCTGTCTCAAAAAAAAAAAAAAAAAAAAAGTTTCAGATTTTGGAGCATTTCAGATTTTTAGATTAGGGACACTCAACCTGTATTTTTAATGGTATATGAAAAGAACCTAGGCTCTGAAATAACTATTAATGTGTACTAAGAAGAATTTCAACTCATTCCATCTGAATTACCACAAATTCTAAATGAGTAGAATGTGAATTAATAAAGCTGAATAGTATGTGTTATCAGTTCTGAAGAACTGCCGGGAATTTAGAATCCAAACATCCCTGAAATATGACAATAGAAACGAAATTTAAAAATTATCTGGCTTCAAATTTTATAATGTAAGCAACTTTGAAAGTGATAGGTAATTCATGATCACTAACAAAGGATATTGCTTTTTTTTAACATAAAATATGTCTGCCAAAATACATTAAACCTTCATATTAGCCTTAAAAGAAATTCTCATATTAAAAAAAATCAAAATGTTAGTAGGTCAGCTGAAGTTAAAAGTAGTCTTAATGGTGGCTATAAAAATTCTGGAGACAGAATTAGAACTCATCCCTCCTACCACCCACACAGTTTAAATGGGTCTGGTTTGGCAAGAAAATTCTTCGCACTGCCATGTTTTAGGTGACAAAAGTATACATTTTTAAGGCTAAAGTTTCCCCTCAAGTTACATAAGAGGCCAGAAATGAAACATAAGAACCAGCGTTCTTTATCATTTTTCACATCATGGTCCCCTTTGAGTCTCTTAAATGCTATGCATCCTCTCCTCCAAAAAAGTACACATATGCACAGACACACAAAATATTACATACAACTTCAGAGGATTCACAGACCTCCCCTTTACTCTACTTGGGTTGAGGGAAGTTCTCATATGACAATCTAAGAATCAGTAAAATTTCAATTTTTTTTTTTTTTGAGATGGAGTCTCACTCTGTTGCCCAGACTGGTGTGCAGTGATGCGGTCTCGGCTCAGTGCAACCTCTGCCTCCCGGGTTCAAGCAGTTCTCCTGCCTCAGCCTCCTGAGTAGCTAGGATTACAGGCACCTGCCACCACGCCCGGCTAATTTTTTGTATTTTTAGCAGAGACGGGGTTTCACCATGTTGGCCAGGCTGATCTTGAACTCCTGACCTCAGGTGATCCACCCGCCTCAGCCTCCCAAAGCGCTAGGATTACAGGTGTGAGCCACCGCGCCCGGCCCAAACTTTGTATTTTTTACATGTCCAAAAGATTGTTTTCCTTCCTTCTTACAACCTTTAGTGTAATTTCCTCTATTTTCACTGACTATATCTGCTACTGTTGGAAATATGAGCTACTCTTTCATGACTATCTTTTAGACCATGGGTTTGCAAGCTTTTTCTGTAAAGAGCCAGATAGGACATATTTTAGGCTTTGGAGTTCACTCAGTATCTCTGGCAACTACTCAACTCTGCTGTTGTAGCACAAATGCAGCCATAAACAAATGGGTAGGGCTGTGTCCCAATCAAACTTAATTTACAAAAAAAGGCAGTTTTGAGTTGAGTTAGCCCATGGGTCAAAGTCTGCCAACCCCTGGAATACAGGAACAATACAGGAACGTTCAATAACTCTACAAGGAAGCAAACAAGTACAATTAGATTCCTAACTTGTATCATTCCTAAAAATAATTTCTAGAAGGATTAAAGACCTAAATAAGAAAATCCAAACCTTGCAACTTTTAGAAGAAAACAGGGGAGAATGTCTACGTCACTAGAGGAGGGAAAGCTTTCTTGTGGGAAAAAAACCCACATAGTGTAAGGAGGAAAAAATTAAATATCTGGCATTAAAATTAGAAACTTCTGCATAATGAAAGACTACAAATAAAGTAAAAGGACAAGCCACAGACTGAAAGAGATCTCTGCAGCACAAATGACAAAACAAGGATTGGCTTTTGAATACCTAAGAATACTAAGAGACATACAATCCAACAAAATAGAACATCTATGTTCTATTCAGACAAGAAAATGGAAGAGTTAATAAACACATGAAAAGATGCCCAACTTAACTAATAATTTTAAAATGTAAATTAAAATCACAATGAGATACCCTTTCATACCCATGAGACTGACCAAAAAATAAAAACTCAGATAATAAGTGCTGCAAGGATGTGGAATATCAAGGATTATGCAACAAGTCTAAGTATATATATAGTAAGTTTAAAATGCCTCAACAGAGAACTAAACAAAAATTCAAAGAAGCAAAATTGTATATCAAAATCCTTTCCAATTCTCTTAAGATTAGCCTCTGACACTGTGACTGAGGGAGTTACGTATTGTGGCTCCAGCCAGACATATGAATTTAGCTACTTGATTTTTAAAAATGAGCTTGCTGTGATAAATTAAATGGCTGCTCTTATCAATAAAGCCTCATATACTGCTGTGGATGTTGTACAAATTCCACTCCTAGAAATATACCAGAGAAACTCTCACAAAGGTGGTATTGTCTACTTCAGTACTGTTTGTAACAGCAAATAATTAAGACAAATGAAAACTTGGAAACCTAAAGATATGGATGATGGCAGAATTAAAAAATACACTGTGCTATATTCATCGAAATATTATACAATAGTTAACATGAATGAATCAAATCTAAAAATGTATCAAGATGAATATACTTAAAATGTGGCATACAGAGTAGAGTTTTTCTCCTGCTTTTCCAAACTGCAAAAGAATATGTATAGCATGACACATACATGGTAAAAACTTTTAACACACCACATGTATATACACGTTGCAGAAGCAAAAAAGAACAACCCATGGGCAAGAATGACAAAACCAACTCTGGGCAAGTTACCTCCGAAAAAGAAAAAGAAATGAGAGAGGATGGGGAGGAAATGGTCTTTAGTTGTCTCTATAATATTTTATTGCTTTTACTTTTTTAAAGAAAAACTAGGCTATTAAGAGATCACAGCGGGGTGCGGTGGCTCATGCCTGTAGTCCCAGCACTTTGGGAGGCCGAAGTGGGCGGATCACCTGAGGTCAGGAGTTCAAGACCAGCCTGACCACGGAGAAACCCCGTCTCTATTAAAAATACAAAATTAGCCGAGTGTGGTGGCACGTGCCTGTAATCCCAGCTACTTGGGAGGCTGAGGCAGGAGAATCGCTTGAACCCGGGAGGTGGAGGTTGTGGTGAGCCGAGATCACGCCATTGCACTCCAGCCTAGGCAACAAGAGTGAAACTCTGCCCCCCTGCCCCCCACAAAAAAAAAAAGAAAGAAAGAAAGAAAAAGATTGCAAAAGTGAAATTTTTGGTTATTTACAGGTAAAGATGAAAGACTTCTCTTAATATTTAATTGTAAAATTCTTCATAGTCACTCATTCTCTTTCATCACCAACATCAACAAAGGCTAGAGCCCTCTGTCCTAGTGCCATTTCCCAAGGGATCCTGATAGGTGCTACCACATCACCAAGAAAATCCCAGAAAGGCTTGCCAAGATTGTAATGTTTGCATTAATGATTTGGATACACTTTTAATGTGCACAAATTCCAGCTCCAACACAACTAAAAGCCAGGCAGTCTACGACCAACTGGCAAGCAGGCTGGCAAAGCTTATTTCAGCCTATCAGGTAGGAAAATGAAAATGCATGGACTCTATACCTAAACATCAGAGCATACATTTTAAAATGCAATAAAAAATCCAGACCAAAAATGGCTTTCTCAAGGACACAGAAATAAGAGAGTAGAGAAATAAAATAATACCAATGTCAGTAAGTACTAATTATTCCATCAAGACAAATATTCCCGTTAAACTAAAGTTATGCAATGAGTATACTTATAAGTACATAGTCAGTTTTAAATTCCCCAATAAAGCCAGGCACAGTGGCTCCTATCTATAATCCTACAGCTTTGGGAGGCCAAGGTGAGAGGATCCCTCGAGGCTAGGAGTTGGAGACCAGCCTGGGCAATACACCAAGACTCCATCTCTACAAAAAATAAAAATAAATTTGCCAAGGATGGTGGCATATGCCTGTAGTCCTAGCTACTAGGGAGGCTGAGGGGAGAAGATTGTCTGAGTCCAGGAATTCAATGCTGCAGTGAACTATGATCACACCACTGCTCTCCAGCCTGGGCAAGAAAGTGAGACCCTGTTTCTTAAAATAAAATAAAATAAAATAAAATAAAATAAAATAAAATAAAATAAAATAGGCCTGGCGTGGTGGCTCATGCCTGTAATCCCAGCACTTTGGGAGGCCGAGGCAGGTGGATCCGGAGGTCAGGAGATCGAGACCATCCTGGCTAACACAGTGAAACCCCGTCTCTACTAAAAATACAAAAAATTAGCTGGGCATGGTGGTGGGCGCCTGTAGTGTAGTCCCAGCTACTCGGGAGGCTGAGGGAGAGTAGAATGGCGTGAACCCGGGAGGCGGAGCTTGCAGTGAGCCGAGATGGCACCACTGCACTCCAGCCTGGGCAACAGAGAGAGATTCCATCTCAAAAATAAATAAATAAAATAAAATAAAATAAAAAATTTCGCAATAAAAAAACAAATTCAAAAAGGCAAAATCATATATCAAAATCATTTCCAATTCCCTTTAGATTAGCTTCTGATACTGTGACTGAGGGAGTCATGTATCGTGTCTCCATGGCCAGAAATCAGAATTTAGCTACTCGATAGAAGAATTAACTTGCTATGATAAATTACTGTTCCTATCAATATAACTAATGATTAAAAAATCATAATTATTTTAAACACTAGAGTATTACAATCCTTTGGGCCAGTTTTAGCTTTTCTTTAATAGTTCCAAAATTAATAAAAGTCTAAAATGTGGACAGATTTAACTCATTAAATTGCCTTCACTATTGTTCACAGAATAAAATCCTTAATTGATTAATGATCTCAGGGTGTCTATCGCCATCTAGTGAACAATCACTTCAATTACCACATCAGACATTTGACAACTGATACCCCTTTTCTTCATGGTTTAAAAATATATGTCCACTCAGTGCCATAGGCTTGCCCAATTTCTTTTTTATGCCTCTCTACACACACATTGAGAACAAACACAAATACAGATGGTATTTCTATAGATCCACAGAGTACTCTGAAACACTGACTTCATTACTTTTAAATAACGTACACACTGTGAGATCCCTCATACAATTCCTTACCCATTAGCTCATTCCTCTACCACAAAGCAATTCAAAATCATGGAAGAGTTTAAGCGTGAAAGATCACACCTGTGAAAAGACAATATTGATGCCCATTTGACACAACTACTAGCACTTTTATTATAAACCTGTTTTAAAAAGTACAATTAGTAATTACTCTGAGTATTCTAGCAGCCATAATACATTTGATTACAGAAATTATTAGGTCGCTAGAGCCAAACGTGCACGATTCCAGGAAAACTGAGCAAACACAAAATAGACTTAAAAATAAAAAGGAAAAGGGGGCTTCAAGGCCTCCCTAGGCTGTGTATTAATCCACATCCAAATGCAAAATTTTATAATCTTTTGCAATGGCATGCTACCAGGTTTCCTTCTCATTAATTTCCACTTGAAACTTAATCTAATTTATCCCACAAGGACTTTAAAAGCAAAGAATTTGTAAGATCTGCAGGTTACTATATTATTCTGCCCACTCGTATCTTGTCACAAAAAATACTAGTTTAATAAGTTACAAAGGTATTCCAAAATCTCAGCACACTGGCTCTCATTTTCACTTCACTCCTCCTACCTCTTTAATAATTAAGAGACGCTAACCCAAAGAAAGATATCACATAGACTACTTCCATCCACCAGTGCTAACAATTATCACCAATACTTTAAAAATCATTTTTATATTAGGAAATAATATTTGTAAGTGACTTTGGATCTTCTTCTAGAATAAGATTTCCTGGGAGAAACTGCGTAATTATTATTTCTCAGTAGCCTCATATTACTTTAAAGGCCTACTTTCCAGAGTTTTATTTATCCTTATTTGAGGGAAACAGCAAAGGGTAAAGAGAAAAGAGGAAAGCAGATACCAAGAATTTAAATCACAAACAAGTAGTTCTAGATTCGTCTGAAATCCTTTGTTTTTTAGTGGAGAGAACAGGGTTTTTTATAGTTCATTTATTAAAGATTTGTTATTGTTATATTTTATATAACAGAAAAATTAAAATTGTGTTTAAACTCGCTATTAAAAATCCAGCTAAAGAAAACCATTGCCCTTAAAATCCAATGGATTAGGAGAGTGGGGGAGATCATTGGACAAATTTGGGGCTTATCATTATCAACAGTGCCCTTTTAAGCTTGTGGATTTCTGAGCCAATGTGGAAAATGTAACAACAGGGATTTCCCAGCAGCAAGAGGCACTCTCCAAGGGAGTAAATTGTCAACTATTGCCTCTCGTGAGAAACTTAAGAGTAACCTTGATCCAATCTCAATAGTCAACCCATGTATTATCACCCAGTTGGGGCATAGTGAGTGCATTTTCTAATACAAAAATAAGATGGTATTCCATCAGAAGCCACTGGATACTTGTAAAGAAATAAAATTTAAATAATTTTAAAGTAAACTTAGCTTAAGAAACTGAAAGCATCCTTCCCTTCCCTCACTTCAACTAGCCCCTAAAACACCTATATCTTTCTCATGTAAAAAGAGACCTGTGTCTTGAGATGGGTACCAAAAATCATGATCTTCCTGTAATAAGAGGTCGAATATAAAGCAGAACCAGAGTCATAAATGACATCTTGAGATGGAAGAGACAACCCTACTGTACTAAAAGGATTTACATTCAAAATAACCACTTGTTATACTTTATCTCCTTGAGTTTTAACTTCCTCATCTAAAAAATGAAAACGTTATTATCTATTTCAAAGGATTCTTGTGTAATTTCAGTGAAATAATGCATAGGAAAGCTTCTATCACATCACTGGCGTTCAATACATGTTTTGCCCTTCCTCACTGTGCCCTAAGACAAATCTTTGAGATACGGCTGCCAACAGAAGAGTGATTCTGAACATCCTGACGTTTATTTCATATACCAGCTAGATCTGCACTGTCCAACACAGTAGCCACTAGCTACATTTGTCTATTTAAGTTTAAATTCATTTTAATTATAATTAAAGCAATCTAAAAATCCAGTTCCTCAGCTAGTTGGCACCAGCCAGATACCAAGTGCTCACTGGCCACTTGTGGCTAGAGACTACAGCACTGGATAGTGCAGATGGAGAACGTTTTCATCATCATAAAGTTCTACTGGACAGAGTTGATCTAAACTCTAAAGCAGAGGTCAGCAAACTTTTTTTCTAAAAAAGACCAGAGAGTAAATATATCAGGCTTTGCGGGCCATGTGAGCCTCCATCTTTTCTACTCAGCTCTGCTCTCGTAATACAAAAGCAGCCACAGATGATACATAAATAAATGAGTTTAGCTCTGTTCCAATAGAACATTATTTACAAAAATAGATGGCAGGCTGCATTTGCCCCGATGGCCATCATTTGCCAACCACTGCTCTAGAGCATTCAGAGTACAGACCCCCCAATATAAGCATTTTTCCCATGACCACTACCTACCTCCTTTAAGGCTAAATAGTCTTAAACCCACAGACAGGGAGTTAAATGGAATTTAATATTCAGCGTAACTATTCTTTTACAAATTAAGAAAAACCCATGCACATAGTACTAAAACAGTTGAAGCTTACAGTGTCCATAAAGTGATGTACCTAAATTCTATTTGGTATCTGGCCCATCTTATTAAAGCCAATAACTCTCAATCCATAACTCCTGTCTTGATGTATTCCTGGAATTCTGGATCTATACATCCAATGGCCTCCTTATTATGTCTGGAATTCTATTACTCATGCCAAAGGCAACACATCCATGACAGAATTCTTAATCCTTCTTTCCCAGTTTCCTCCATCTTAGTAAAAGGCTCTACTAGTTATCCTCCTGATTTCTACCTTTCACTCACACTCCAAGCTAATCCATCAGCAAAAAAAAACTCTCTTAAGTCATTCTCATTCATGTCACCTCCTCAAAGAAGCCTTCCCTGACCAATCTAAACCAGCCATCCAAACATTCTCTAGCCCACCATCCTGTTTTAATTATCTACAGAGCATTTACTTCTATCATATTTTCTGTTATTTCTTATACATGTTTATTTACTTATTTAAAGTCTGTTTTCCCAAACCACCCTCTCACCACCCCACATTCCCAACCCATGTCGTCCCCAACCCCAAACCCCTCCCATTCTGGGTAGAATGTAAGCCTCATAACAGGGATCGTTTAGGTCTTGCTTGACACTCTATCCTGAGAACCTAGAACAATGCCTGGCATGCAGTAGATGTTCAATAATAAATACACACACACACGAATTAATGAAACCTTATTTAAATGCCTATTTGTCTCAAACCTGTCATCCAAAGAGAGGGGTACTGTATTTGATGCTGTACAACTAGGTAATAAACTTGACTCTCCCACACTATAACATGTATAGTTAAAAATACTCTCATATCTAGAGATGTGAATGTTATTACGCCATTTACCTCCCTTCCTTTGTATGTCACCAAGGCAGCCAGTGGTTTGGCGTAAAATCTGCTATAGGAAAATCCCAGGCAACCATACATACTGTTCGCTGTGAGCTTCAAAGCCTTCTGTCGAATGTCATACTGCAGGCCACACAGAACAAAAGACAAACAACAACATTTACAGATGGTTAAGCATTACATTAGATGTCTTTCTAGATCTCCAATAAAAAGGGAAACCCTCAATATCCCTGAATAAAAAAGAATTAATATACTCAACCCATTCTCCTGGATCCATGATTCCCTAACCTCCTAGAAGCAGCAAGTAAACACAGACTCCAAAGCTCCCAGGAGCCAGAAGTATCTTGCTCAGATACAATCTTTGTAAACAAAGGTGGCTTCCATTCTGAGGCACTCTAGTATTTTTAAATGGTCACCTATCCACAAACTTAAAATAAGTACCTGCAATTGCCCAGCATCCTGTTTACTCATAAATAATCAAACTGTAAAAGCTGAGACTGTCACTCAAATGTTTCTTAGTGAAAAGATATACCTGAAGAATAAGGTCTGGATTTAAGTCTTGCTGTTTCATTAGCTGTTTGACTTGTTTTCTCCGTTCTACCAGTTTCCGGATCTCTCTGGGCAAAATGCCCATTTCTAAGCTTGGATCTGGCAACTCAGGGATCTGTTCTTGTTCTCCATCCTGATAAACACACAACAAATTTCACACAAATCAAACTTTTGCGAAATAAATTTCTACAGTAATATTTTATAGGAGCTTTCCCCCATGATCACATCTTGAAAAGCTATTATCTTATACAAGGTCAATAATGCATGAGTAGTATAAGAAAGAGCTGAGAGGGTTGTAGAACAGGTCATGATTGCCCTCTTCTCTCCCAATTATATTAGGCTGTCATTCCCAATATCTCCCACCCCTGTAGTTAGACACAAATTTAGATTTCATTTAAAGGGATACATTTGGCCGGGCACGGTGGCTCACACCTGTAATCCCAGCACTTTGGGAAGCCAAGGTGGGCAGATCACGAGGTCAGGAGATTGAGACCATCCTGGCTAACATGGTGAAACCCCGTCTCTACCAAAAATATAAAAAATTAGCCAGGCGCGGTGGCGGGCGCCTGTAGTCCCAGCTACTTGGGAGGCTGAGGCAGGAGAATGGCGTGAACCCGGGAGGCGGAGCTTACAGTAAGCGGAGATCTCGCCACTGCACTCTAGCCTGGGCTACACAGCGAAACTCTGTCTTAAAAAAAAAAAAAAAAAAAAGGGATACATTTTTACACATGCTATCTCTCTTCAACAAAACTGGAGAACAACATGTTTGGGGAAATTGTTTTTAAAATACAAACACTAAGACAGACCTCCAGGATTAAAAAAACAAAATAACTAGCAGCTAAACTACTATTTTAAATCATTTTACTACCAAACAAAATGCTATAGAATTTTAAAACTATGGAGAATCATAGCAGTTATTGTAAATGCTGTAGACTAATAATTAAAAGCTAATAAATCAGCAAATTTAAGAGTTCGGAGCAGCCAGGAGCGGTGGCTCACACCTATAATCTCAGCACTTTGGGAGGCCGAGGCGGGTGGATCACCTGAGGTCGGGAGTTCAAGACCAGCCTGACCAACATGGAGAAACCCCATCTCTACTAAAAATACAAAATTAGCTAGGCATGGTGGCGCATGCCTGTAATCCCAGCTACTCGGGAGGCTGAGGCAGGAGAATTGCTTGAACCCAGGAGGCAGAAGTTGCAGTGAGCCAAGATCACAACATTGCACTCCAGCCTGGGCAAAAAGAGCGAAATTCCATCTCCAAAAAAAAAAGAAAAAAAAAAAAGGAGCTTGGAGCACATTTAAATAGGCCATGACATTTCTAAAAACTAATACATACATATCCCTTAACATTTATGTAGTACCTTTTACCTATAAATTGCTATGCAATCGGCAGAAGAATAGCAACATTTCAGAAAAGCAACCAGCAGTCTTCTTATATTAAAATTTACAGGAAGAAAAAGCAGGGGAAGCATTAGACCATTTTTCCCTAGCCTCCGTAAATTCTATTAACAGCTACAAAGAAAAAAGCCAGGCACATTTGCCCTTTCAAAGGTTCAGAATTAAAAATAAACCTCTTGGTTTAAAGTACATCAAGTCAATGCCATTTGATAACCTAGCCTTTACAAAGCATCTGATTTTATAGAGATCAATATCTTCAAGTGAACACTGTTACAATAGTAATAGGGACCTACTGTTTTCCAATATAACAGATGATGATAGTAAATCTATTAAAGAGATCCTGGTACACATTCTAATTTATTTACAGCAACTATGAAAGTCAGATAAAAAGTAAACTGAAAGATGTGGAGTCAGGAAGTTTACAATCCACTCCTAGCTCTACAACTACTACCTGTGTGACACTAACTGTTCTGAGGTACCATGTATGAAAATGATTCAGATCTATAAATTGCTACATGTATAGTATTTCTTAGATGACCTCTGAGGTCCCTTCCAACTCTAAAATGATTCTATTATATATCCAGAATCCAAGCTGGAAAGCTCCAATAAGCAAAATGGTGGTGGGCAGAGGCTAAATAATATTAATTATCACCATGCTGGCACAGTAGCAGAACAGAGCTCAAATATTAATTGAATGCAGTCATACCTTTTGGGGATGTCTACCCAGTATCTTCTCTGTAAAAGTATCCACTAGTCCCACAGAAAGGTCCACCCTTAGCAGCCAGATCCGTGCCCTGTGAACCTACTCTTGTGGTCACAGGTAACGGGGACCTGGAGTGCTCACCAACCTAGGCAAACCTATCAGATTCTCTCTTCTGGGAATATGAAATTGGGATTGAAAAACAGGTCCTAAGCTTGCGGTGAGAACTGACATATAAATTCAGGAGCTAGAGGGCAAACAGACATCTTCTGCCATGTATTAAAAAAAATTACAAAAAAGAACAAAATGTGGTGTATGTGTATACACCTACACATACACCACACACGCATATAAAATGGAATATTATTCAGCAACACAAACGAATAAAGTACTAGTACATTCTACAAAATGGATGAACCTTGAAAACATTATAAGTGAAATAAGCCAGATACCGAAAGGCCATATAATGTATGATTCTATTTATATGAGACGTCCAGAATACACAAATCTATAAAAGCAAAAAGATTAGTAGTTGCCTAGAGGTGGAAGGGATGGGGATTGAGGGAGGTGACAGCTAAAAGGTTTCTTTGGGGAATAATGAAAATATCCTAAAACTCATTGTGATGATGGTTGCAAACTCTGGGAATACACTAAAAGCCACTGAACTACACACTTCAAACAGGTGAAGTATATGGTATATGAATAATACCACAATAAAACTATTTTAAAAAGACACAGATCTTCCTTCTTTAAGCAATTTTTTTAAACTCAATTTCAAGAGTCCCAGGTTAAATACAAACCTCTGTAACTTTCTGTGCCTCTGAAGCAACTCTTTGTACTGTTGTAAAACAAATGTTAAATTCCTGAATGATGGAAGGATATAGACTGTTGAAGTCCAGAAGCAAAATGAACTTATCATAAAAACCTGAAATTAAAAAGCCACGTCATAAAAAGTCTAAAGAAAAGCAGAATTGTCAAAACATCATTATTAAAAGCACTGTAAGTATATTAGAAACTATATACTATCCATATACACTACCCAGAGCTGTGAAACAGACAAAAAGGGAAAAAAAGAATCAACTACCATTTCATAAAATGATGCGGATTAGTGAAAAGCCAGATCACAAAAGAAGAGGGAGAAAAAGATCCTGTCTCTCTTTAGAACCAGCTACAACCAGTCCTTTCCCCAGCTGTCCCCAAAGCACACCATTATTATGAGCAAATACCTTCCCAATCAGCTATCTGAGACGTGTCACATCCATTAAAAAAAAAAAAATGTTCAACTCTCCTTCAAAGCAAGAATTCTTTGAAGAATCCTCCTACCTACTCTCCCACCCCCCACCCCAAATAAAACCAAGTGAGTGGTTTATTTTTATTTTTATTTTTTTTTTTGAGTCAGAGTCTCACTCTGTCTCCAGGATGGAGTGCCATGGCGCAATCTCAGCTCACCGCAACCTCTGCCTCCCGGGTTCAAGTGAGTCCCCTTGCCTCAGCCTCCCGAATAGCTGGGACTACAGGCGCGCAACACCGTGCTCGGCTAATTTTTTATATTTTAGTAGAGATGGGGCTTCACCATGTTGGCCAGGACGGTCTCGATCTCCTGACCTCGTGATCTGCCTGCCTCAGCCTCCCAAAGTGCTGAAATTACAGGCGTGAGCCACCGCGCCTGGTAGAGTAATTTATTCTTTTACAACAGCTTCAAAAAATAAAATGGACGGCACATTTACCTGTACAAAAACTGAGCTAAAATCAAACAAGAGACACATATATATAAATGTCAGTAGTGGAACGACCCACCCTTTTTACTTGCAAAGGAAGAACAGAAAGCTACTATATTTCTGTAGGACATTTACAAAGAGTTATCTTCACCTTGAGAAGAAACTGAATAAAAATAAATGTCCACTATTAAGACAATAATAATTGCAAACATATAGGATAGTTTATTCTGTGTCCAGCACTATACTAATTTATCCTTAAATCCCTGTGTGGTAGATATTACTCTTAACTCTATTTTACAGAAGAAACTGAGGCTTACAGAGGTTAAACAGGCAGCCCAAGATCACACTGAATTCAAACCCAGACCTACATAACACCAAGTACTACTGCTCCATTTCATTATAACTAATAACAAAATCACTTTTGTCAAAAATGTTTCCTACTCAGAACTAACTTATTAGATAAAATTCACATTAATTCCTTCACAGCAATGTGAATATTCTTAACACTACTGCTGAACTGTACACTTGGGAAGGGTTGAAATGTTTTTTTATATATACAAAAAAATTAGCTGGGTATGCTGGCACACACCTGTAGTCCTAGCTACTCAGGAGGCTAAGGCAGGAGAATCGCTTGAACCCAAGAGGTGAAGGTTGCAGTGAGTAGAGATCGCACCACTGCACTCCAGCCCGGGCAACAGAGTAAAACTCTGTCTCCAAAAAAAAAAAAGAAAAAAAGAAAAAAAAATTATTTCTAGCTCTGTGTACCACAAAACATCTTTGCCATTCATGACAATAGGGAAAAAGATATTCTCCTATTAAAGTTAAATTTGGTGGTTATTGTCTGCACGTCCTTCAACTTTGCTGTCAACTGAACTGGTCAGGACAAACAGCTATCTATGTACTGGACAGCTATCTATGTATTAGACAAACTACGGCTACAGACCAAATCCAACCTACTTATTTTTGTACCACCCATGAGCTTAAGTATGGTTTTTACATTTTTAAATGGCTGGAAAAAAATCAAAAACAATATTTCATGACATATGAAAACTATATGAAATTTAAATTTCAATGTCTATAAATAATATTTTATTGGAACACAGCATAACAAAATTCACATTAAGTCTATGTCAGGTGACTGGCAACCAAGATTTTCACGTGAACGAAAGATAAAAGTCATGAGACCTATTCGCTGATCTATAAGATATAATTCAGTCTTCTAGTTTCTCAAGCCTAGATCCACATTAAGAAATTCCTTAATACTGGGAGAAAACCAATTCACTGCCCAGCCTTACCAACTTTGGGGTCCAAAACCAAGCCTCCAGCATAAGCTGCTTTCTTACGTCCTTTCTTGTATTTATTGGTATCTCCATCAATTTCTTCATCTTCATCTCCCTAATATCAAATGGAAAGATAACTTCACCAGCCAGCAACTAATTAACTAATTTAAAATTTTGATGATTCTCTCTTTTCCAATTGCAGGACTTAGTTCTAACAAACATTTCAGTTAGTGGTCCTATCTGTTGGGAAAGACAGTTATTGTAATATGTTCACGAATCCAAATGAATCCCAAGCATAGTAATTTCTTAAACAAATACTATATCCTGAGTTAACAAATATGAAAATTCTATTTTTATGTGTTTTTGAATTTACAGAATTTCATATTTTTAAATCAATGAATATTGAAAAATACCACTTTTCATGTTATATAAAATTTGAGATTATAAAACAGCCCTCTTAAAATCACTACTCTAACATTCGTGATGTAAAAACATAAAATACTTCATGCAGGTATTATCATTATCCCTATTATTAATATGGACACCATAAAACAAGTACATCCATATACTGAAAATCCATTCCTAAGTAGTTTATTACTGGCCAACATTCAATACCTCAGCAGAAGTTAAAGTCCTCTAAATGAATATGCCCTATACCAATTTTGATAATGTACATTAAAAAACAAGCAAATATGAGAACCTGAATCAAATTCTAACATTCAATTCCCATTTCTGAATTAATTAATATCAGTGCTAATAAAACAGTAGCTAAACTAAGTTTTAGTTCCAAAGTGATGGAGGCTACTTCAGAAACCTGACTGTGGGTGACCTTGGTCATACTAGTACAGAAAAATGCAACACAAAAATAAAGGCTCATAGGTTTAAGAAAATAAAAAGTTTAACTGGCATTTATCTTTGGATAGGGCTGAGGTGCCAGAACACATTCCATGTATGGTCACCCATCAGAGAGGTCTAATGCTTCCCTCAAAGAATTTCACATTTCACAAATAATTTTGTCTGCACAAAGTGCATTTTCCTTTTACAAAGTGGAAAAGGAAATGACCACACAAAAACAAGGGAATAAACTTGACACGGTTTCTTTAGTACACAAGGGATTAGCTATTTTGAAAGCAGATGTTATCACAGAAAAAAAAGGCTATCTAGGTATTAAAAGGGGGGGGGGGGTTAAGAGAAAACAAAATACTACACAGTTTTGGACCCACCAGTTTTTGCTGAGGCTTTCTGAAAATCTGCTTGTCAGGCACAATATAGTTGTTTTCGTAAAATGCATGAAGCAACAAGAACTCGTTACGCTCGGATCGTCCACCCATCAGCGTCCTGGACTATTAAATGGAATTTATTTTTTAAATTTGAGCTCAAAACCACAACTAACAAAAGCAACTTTGAGTCAGTAAGTTTAGTCACAGCACCTCCTTCAAAACTATTCCTAATAACGGTCTGCTTTTTTTTTAAAAAAAAAAAAGGTACTAAATTATTCCTAACGTTTTCTTTAAGCATTATAGCTAAAGGAGACAAAGAGAGCTTAAAATATTGACAACTTGGCTATTTATTTACTCCCAAATGGACCATTCCACTAAAAAGACACATCCAGATGTTAGAGAGATGATCCGTATGTTCACCCAAATTTCAACACGCTGCACCTGGCATTCCTCCCCTTCTCCCAACCAGTTCTTCCTTTTACAAAAGAAATCCAGCTTTCAGAATCCAAGTTACTCATTTTATAAGCATGCATTTAGACTCATTATCATATAACAACTACCCCAAGCAAACACTGAATCCAACAGGAAATGCTTTTTCCCCCTTTCTAAGTTAAATTTACCATAATGTTCCCAGCGATGTTAGTGATCTGCAATGCTAATGGAAGAACATTTAGCTCACACATGATCTGCAAAATGAACTTGGCATCTTTCCAGGTGTGTTCCAACAGGTATAACAGTTGAGAAGATTCACTGTACAGAAAAGTAAGAATGAAACAGAATCAAGTAATTAAAAGAAACAATGCCTATAATCAGAACTTCACAAAATATTATAAGGAATTCTGGGTGTAAGTAAATTCAGAGCAACAGCACCTTGGCTTCAGAAACAATTTAAAATAAGGTCAGTATGTAACTAGGAATTCATTCATACCACTGATCCCAATGCTTTTCTCCAAAACACACACACACACACACGCGCGCACACACACACACACACACACACACACACACAAAATCCCATAAGGAAAAACTGAAGTAATATAATAACTACAAGCCTGAAAACTACCTAAATCCTTTCATTCATTCCATCCAGTGAGTATGTATTGCATGCTTACTATATGCCAGGCATTGGCTGTGACCAAAACAAACAAAACTTCCTATCCTCCTGGAGCTTATGTCCTCACGGGGGAGACAGAGTATAAAAAAAAACAAAGAAATTAAGTATATAGTATGTTATATAATGTTAAAAGTTAAGCAACGGGAATATTAAGTATCAGAAGCAGAGACTGAAATTTTTGTTAGGAAACAGTGGAAGATTTTACTGAGAATGAAGATCTTGAAGAGGTGAGGGAGCAAGCCTTATGGAAAGAGCATTCCAGGCAGACAGGATAGCACATTCAAAAGTCCTGAGCTGCGTGCAAATCTGACAGTTCCAGGACTAGGAAAGAGGCCAATATGGCTAGATCAGAGAGAATGATGGAAAGAGCAGTACGAGATAAGGACAGAGTTAACGACATAGAGACACATTGTAAAGGACCTTGTAAGTAAAAATAAGGACTTTAGTTTTTACTCTGAATGAAACAGAGAGTCACTGGAAGGTTCTGAGCAGAGTATCACATCTGACTTGATTTTAGCAGGATAACTCTGATTCTGGATTGAGAATCGACCACAAGGGGGTAAGGGCAAAAGTAAGGGGATAGGCATATAAACCCAGTAATCCAGGGGAAAGAGGATAGCAGCTTGGATAGGATGGGTCCAATGCAGTTGAAAAGAAGTGGTCAGACTTAGATCTATTTAGAAGATAGAACTGATAGGATACCCTGATGCATCTACTGTGGGATATCAGAGAGAGGAATTAAAGATGCCTCAGACATGTGGGGCTAAGTAAGACTCTGGAAGTTTCCAGTGATAATGGAAAAAATACACCTATTAATTTAGTAAGGAAAGACTATAGGAAGAACCTAGGATAGAAGATCAGAGCTCAATTTTGAACAAGCTGGGAGTTCACATTAGATATCAAGTAAAATAGGTAAAACAGATACACTGAGTGTGGAATTTAGGGAGGTCTAACCTGAAGATACACAGGTGGGAAGCATAGCCATCCCATGGTATTTAAATTCCTAAGACTCAATGAGATCACCTAGAGAAAGAACAAAGTCAGAAAAGAGAAGTCCAAGAAAGAACTCAGGAAGAACTAGCAGGAATGAATGAGAGATGGCCAGAGGAGTAGGAGGAAGAAATAAGCAAGCAATACCTCTAACTTAATGATTGCTCAGTTTTTATATTTCTAAAATATCTACCCTAATTCCTGAATAAATGAATTAAGAGTAGAAATCTAAATCCAAACTACTGTTAGGAAACATCAAGATAGTGTTAACACAGGTGAGGGAGACGGAGATAAACTGATCAATTACAATAATTCAAGAGGTAAACTAGTTCAAATTATGAAAGTAGTAGAGACAATTTCCCCTCTACAACACCACTGGCTCATGTCCCTCCAGACTAAGGATAGTACTAGTAGTGTCCTGCTGTTGTTAATTTCAAGACAGATGAATTCTGAAGAATCTAGGATCATACCTGTACATATTTTGTATATTTTCCATTGGGATTACAACCCTTTCAGTTTTTAGAATCTGCTGAACAAGTTCAGACAGATGGTAGCTTTTACAACGAATCAATTCCTTTGCTGAAATTTCCACATCACAGATCATTCGACCACAGGTAGCATTTCTTTCACCAAATCCACTCCGGCCCTACAAGATGGGAACAAAAAGCAAACTTCATGAAAGAGCAGACACTGAGAACATTTCTTTCTAACCTATTTTGAAGCTGGCCCAAAATTATGATAAAACTCTCATTCTTCCATACATCAATCAAATATTTTTGAACATTTACTATGTATCTGACATTATTCTAGGCACTCAGGATACAGCAGTGATCAAAACAGAAAGGATTCCTGGCCTCATTTGAAATGTATAATAAAAAACAGACATCATAAACAAGAAATTATATAGTTTTAGGAGGTAACAAGTGGATGGAAAATGGGAAAACAGCAGGGTGAGGGGTACAAGGAATACGGGGGGACTGCCATCTTAAATAGGGTAATGGGGTATACCTCACTGAGAAGATGCCACATAAAGAAAATCTTGAAGGGGGTAAAAAGCTAAGCAAGTGTTCAGATGAAGTGCTAATAACAACTCTACCACCTTAAAGATATGAATAAGAAAAGAAGCAAGAGCAGTGGCCCCAACTTTGATCTGTAGTGGCAGAATCCTCTAGAGAACATTACGAAAAAGGTACAGATTCCTAACTTATCTGATGAGGCAACATGTCCATTTTATTTATAAGCTTTAAGTAAAATAAGATTTCAAGCACTGAGCAGTATCAGGTTTAGGAAGAAGGTGCTTCATACAAAAACTGCCAAAACCTCCATACATGAAGCAAGCAGGCAGAATGAAAAGTACACATTGGCTTTAAGAGTCACCCAGGCCTGGGTTCAAATCTCAGTTCTTCCCCTTACTACTTACATGATCCAGAACAAGTTACGTTACCCCTATGAGACTGTCTATAAAATAAAACTGGAGTTGTCATGAGAGGTAACTAACACAGAAAGCACTTAGTTTATTGCCTTCTTTTTTCCTTTTTTTTTTATTACAAGATATCAGCAAGCAATATTGCGTTCTTATACAACCAACATCAACTCCCTTCCATTCATTCTTCCCATTTTCTTCCTAAATGATAGCACTCAACGATTTCTGAACCATGCAACCTTGCCCTAAGGGCTATCACTTCAGGAATGACAAAGTGAAGGTAACATGTATGGGCTGTCTTTGTTCACTATCCCTAGATTCTAACCAATGATTTTAAAAACTACCAGAGGCTTTTTTTTTTTTTTTTTTTTTTTTTTTGAGACGGAGTCTCGCTCTGTCGCCCAGGCCGGACTGCGGACTGCAGTGGCGCAATCTCGGCTCACTGCAAGCTCCGCTTCCCGGGTTCACGCCATTCTCCTGCCTCAGCCTCCCCAGTAGCTGGGACTACAGGCGCCCGCCACCGCGCCCGGCTAATTTTTTGTATTTTTAGTAGAGACGGGGTTTCACCTTGTTAGCCAGGATGGTCCCGATCTCCTGACCTCATGATCCACCCGCCTCGGCCTCCCAAAGTGCTGGGATTACAGGCTTGAGCCACCGCGCCCGGCCAAAACTACCAGAGGCTTTTACAAATAAAATGCTGAATTCAAAGGAAAAGATGTTTAGTGCCAAAGTTAAAATGTACTGAAGTTCCCATAACAAGATAACCAATTCCTGTTTTAAAAAGTATAGTGTGTTCCTTGGTAGCTATCCCAAATTAAAATAAATAGATAAATAAGATTTTGAAAATTATTATTACCCCAAGCTTTGGCATGTTGGATCGCTTCAGTCGACCTATCTTGGACCAGTGAGGAGCTTTGCACACATTAATTCTCTGCAGTAGTACTTCCAGTTCAAACCCATAAATATTATGACCCTAGTCAGAAAAAGAAGGCAGCTGATAATGTTATAACAAATGCAAATTAGAGGATTTATCTTCATACGCACAGAATTTCTTTGCCCTTTCTTTTTCTAGTCTCTAATTGAAGACATCATGCACTTACCTCCGATTGGGGGTCCTTTCTTCTTCAGGAATTTATTCATCAGCAGCACTCATTAGCCTTGACATTAACAAGGCTGCTAAGCAGATTGCTGGAATAAACTTTATTTCATCCTAATTGATGCAAGGCTCATATGATATCTTTTAATTTGCAGCTCATGCCTTACGGTCTCGGAGGAAAATGCAAATTTAATGTCCCATACTTTTCATATGATCGGTAAAAGCTAAATTCAAATAATTCCATTTTGCTTCCTTAAAAACACAGAACCTGCCTGGTGTTGTATGACAGTTTATGTAAGACTTCTTCGAAAACTCAGGAACTGCATTTAGCTTCTTTTTAAAAATTGAGTTCAAACACTACTGATTTAGACTCATAATTGATATGCAACAAGATAAATATATAATACCACTAAATAGTTCAAATAAGAAACTTGTTAAAAACAAAGAAACAAAACTATATAGAGTAGAAATTATCTCAAAAATGCAACTAGATTTTTCATTTCCGTAATTTCCAACACGTGAACATGATTCACTTTCCTATGTTTATCAAAAATTAGATGAAGTTTAAAATAATTCACATCAATAAATATACTTGTTATTAAACTTAATTAAAAATATATACCACTACTTAGAGTAGTCAAAATCATAGAAACAAAAAGCAGAATGGTGGTTGCCAGGGGCCGGGGAATGGGAAGTTAATGAGTACAGCGTTTCAGTTTTACAAAATGAAAAGAGTTACAGAGATGGATCGTGGTGATGGTTGTATAACATTATGAGTGTAGTTAATACCACTGAACTGTATACTATAAAATGGTCAACATAGTTAATTTTATATGTATTTTACCACTAGATATTTATAGCAGTTTTGCTTATTAAATTAGAAGACCCAAAGGCCTTGAGGAAGTCTCACTTACAAATTATAATACCTAGAATCAGGGACCCATATTCATGTCAGAATTCCATCTTACATCTAGATTTCTCACGCATAGACTTGGCTCTAACACCTGAAGCCAGGCCAGGTTTCCCAGGCTTCATGGCATCTCCTTGGGGTCCAAGAAACTGTTGTTATTGGAGGCTGACTGAGGGCCTGGTGCTGAGACAGAATGTCACAGTCCAACACTGTGGACAGAATCTTTTTGGAACTTTAAAGATAGGTCTTGAAATATCATAAGGGAAGTGGGTGCAGAGATATCGCTTCCTATCCACAGGAACTCAGGATGCTAGCTATACAGTTGCCAGATAAGGTATCCAAGAGTAAAAATGAATGTAGGGAAGAATACGGCAAACACTTTTGCAAGACTTTAATGTACCCAAATTACCCATATCACATCCAAAATATAGGCATTTATAGCCTACATTCCTCTGAAAAAACAAAAACAATATGATTGATCCATTAACCTAGAAAAAAGACAAATGAAGGAATTCCATATTCTACAAACTAGAAAGGCCAGAGGATATATAAAACAAAATGTTGCCTTATGACTCTCAGGAATTGGGGCAAAAAATAGCTCAATGAATTATTAGCTCAAGCTATCTAGTGGGGATATACTGGATCGTCAAGAGAAAAATCAATTCCGAGCCCTGAGTTTTCAAAGGAATATGTCATAGAGATCCACTGAACTCATAAAATTAAAATACTTAGTTTTGTGATTTGCACCAAACCAAGGGAATTAATAAACTCCTGTGACCACTATACAACTACTAAGTCAATATTTTGGCGATAACTCCATTTGTACATGTTTACTTATTTATGTGCTGGTCTCTAAGCATAAATAGCCAGACAATCCTTAACTTCAACACTAAGTCATAGGTTGCTTTTATACTAGAGAAAAAAAAAAACTATCTTGCAGTGGGCTTGCTATTTTTTTCTCCTATTAGCAGCAATTCCCACCAGTCCACAGGATCATTTTACTCTGAAAAGATTATTTGCTGCTCAAAAGCACCAATAAAGTCACACTGAAAAGAACTAAGAAATGAAGAGCTTCCCCACAACATGATCAAACATCTACTCACCACAATGATATCAGGATCAATTTTGTGAACTTTTGCAAGGAAAAAACCTAGCAGTGTTCTTTCTGTTGCAGCAACCTCAACCTTCACATTCTGTTAGATAAAAACACACCAGTCACTGACGACTCTTTACTGTCCGCAAGTACTGTATCTTGGCTTCTTGTTCAACTATGGTAAGATTTCTTAGGGTTAAAAGAAACCATCCATTTCAAAACTAAATGTAGCAATGAAATTCCTGATTGTAGGTTTCATAGTAATAATTTCAAAGTCTCTGAGGAGCTCATTCTAGTAATAAGCATGTGAATAAAGCAAAATATTTTAAGTGCTGAGCAACATAAAATATAGAAATGTCCCTCCACAGGGACATGCTTGTGCATCTGGACACATTTAGAGCATATGAATCAGAGTACCTATCAAAAACATTACTTTCCTATATAATCCCTGGTAGACTTCACTGTTTATGTATTTACTGGGCAAAGAAATCCCAAGGATTGTATAAAATAATCCCAAATGGTAAGATGAGAACTGATAAATAAGAAACTAGACTAAAAACAAACATATTTAAGAATTATAAGTGGCTGGGCGCAGTGGCTCACACCTGTAATCCCAGCACTTTGGGAGGCTGAGGCGGGTGAATCACTTGAGGTCAGGAGCTTGAGACCATCCTGGTCAATATGGTGAAACCCTGTCTCTACTAAAAATACAAAAATTAGCTGGGCGTGGTGCCACGAGCCTGTAATCCCAGATACTCAGGAGGCTGAGGCACGAGAATCCCTTGAACTAGGGAGTGGAGGCTGCAGTGAGCCAATATCACGCCAATGCACTCCAGCCTGGGCAACAAAGCGGGACTCCGTCTCAAAAAAAAAGTCGGTTTGACTCTAATGGAATTTTCCTAGGTCATTTTACCTGGTTAGGTAATTCACGGCACTTCACAAATAATAGCCTAATCTAACAGTACCTCCCAACTACTGGACTTCTCAAGCCAATTAAATAAAATAAGTAGAACCTGACAAGGTTGCTTACTTTTGTCAGATGAAGACATTAAAAAACAAAACAAACCTAAAAACGTATCAATATCATCACTTCGTAAAAGAAACAACATACAATCCATAAAAGAAAATTCTTTTAATTGAATACATTTACCTTTGTGAAAAATTCACTACATTATACTACTTCCCACTCCTCCCCATTTTATTAAGGACCCATGAAAACTTCTTCATGGAGCACGCTGGAATTTAGAGATCACTGATCCATTTTGGCCAACCCCATGTCAACTTTGTCAATACATGGCTCTTTAACGTCCACAGTATTCCCAACTTCATTTAGCTTCCCTCAAGCTGGGGAGGGACTCTACCCAACACCTTCCCAAAACAGGAATCATATGATCATGCATTTTAGAGAAGCTTCTAATTAAGCTATTGGAGGGGGGTTTGAGCCTATCCAACCACCAATACAGTACAGAATCCCATTATTTTCAGGTAGTAAAACATTTAAACATTGTTAAATAATGCTTCTAGGTGTATGTCTAATACATTTTAATGGGTCGATGTCATAGTCCAATCTGGCAGGAATGAATCTAATAAAATATAAAACACCTTTTTTCTACTAGTCCATACCACCCCCCTTTTCTTTCTCGCTCCAAACAAACAGGTGCTTCATATAATGAGCACTTTACCTTTTTCTCAATGACTTCTTTGAAAGCATATGGAAAAATACAGTCCTTTGGTTTAGACACAACTGTAAAAAGGAAAAAAAATAAAGATTCCAACACCCATCTTAGTCTAATTTCAGGTAATCATATAGTACATGTTTCCAAACGAAACTGTCTTAAATATATTCCCCCCAACCCTAAAGAATTAGGAGGGTCATCAAATACTTCCACTGGTCATGTTGATGACCTCAAAAGAATGGTCAAGCACAGAACCCTAAGTCCCTGCAGTTGTTAAAACTGCTTTGATGAAACATTTGCTATCTATCCACTGAAGCCAGAATGGAAGATTTTAGCAGTCTTCCTCAAAGGAAATCCCACCACCACCAATGCCGCAAGCAACATACAGCGGAGAAACTCAGTTCAGCCTTCTGAAAAGGTAAAATTGACCAAAGCTTCCCCTATTACACACTGTAAGTTCCTTACCATACACAACAGCTGTTCACATAGTGACGTACATAGAGGAAGTGAATAAATGCGTGTTGAAATGAACTCATGATTGCTCTCTTCTACATATTTTCCAGGCTATTCTCATCACCATTTTGTTCCATGTGTTCCACCCACTTAAGGGGGAAAACTTCACAACAATCATATCTCATACTCCCTTCTCTGCATGTTTTAGTCCTACTTTCCTAACACCCAAGAAAACCAGACGAGAGGCTCGCCAAGTTAATCTCTGCTTCTGGGCTGAAAAAGATCCCAGGAAATATAATAGGTCAATGGTATTATTCCCTTTTTTAAAAAACAGCAAAATGCTTAGGTAACTGGCCAAGCTCTCAACATGGAATATATCAGAATCCTCCTTGGAGACTGACTCATAAAACACATATGCAGAACTTGGTGGAATTGTTTCATCCATTGAATTTTATGCATAGCACAACCCAACTCCAATTCTTATTACTATAACTCCTCCCAAATAGGTAAATATTTATTCCTTGGCATCTTGCCTCATCACACAGAAAACTTTGATCAAGCTTCTATGATAGGCTATTAGAATGACATCAGAAAATAAAGTCTAATTTTGACCCAGGAAAAAACTACTCAACCTCAGTAGAGCAACCATTGAAACAAAAAAAAGATGTCAAATAGACTCCAGACTTCTCCTAGAAAAAAAAAAATGAACCAGCTGAATAGGAGGCAACCAACCCAATAAAACTTAGTTTCCATGGCAAAAAAAAAAAAAACAAAAAAAAACAAAACCCTCTTTAACAATATGCACTATTCTTGAAAACAATTTTTGAAAAACAAGTTACTGATCCAATAGCTGGAGAAAAAATAAGGAAATTCAAATCAAGCTGTTAGTAAGCCAGCTTAAAAAAAAATACATACCACAGAAGTGTGACTGAAAGGGAGGCTTTGGGGCTGCTTTATCCAATGCAAAACTGTGATGGACCAAAGCTGCCATAGCAATAATCTGCAAAGAAAGGAGGAAAAAACCCACTTACCAGACCGCTACTATACATTCTGCATTCTCACCAAAATCACCAAGAATATTTAAAGATACACATTTAAACACATATGAAAAGTTTGGCCAGGCGTGGTGGCTCATGCCTGTAATTCCAGCACTCTGAGAGGCTGAGGCGGGTGGACCACTTGAGGTCAGGAGTTCGAGACGAGCCTGGCCAACATGGTAAAACCCCGTCTCTACTAAAAATACAGTACTTAGCTGGGCATGGTGGCGTGCACCTGTAATCCCAGCTACTCGGGAGACTGAGGCAGGAGAATCACTTGAACCCAAGAGGCAGAGGTTGTAGTGAACTGAGATCGCACCACTGCGCTCCAGCATGGGTGACAGAGTGAGACTCTGTCTCGAAAAATAATAAATACTTTAAACTTTTTATTATAAAAATATGTAAACACATTAAAAATAGACAAAATAAAATTAACTCCTGTATAGCCATCATCCAGTTTCAATTATCAACTCATCTATAACCCTACCTACTTCCTTCCTCTCTCTAGATTATTTTGAAGCAAAACCCAAACCCATCATTTTATCTGGGAAGATTTCAGCATCAATCTCTAAAACTGGGTTTCTCAATCATGGAGCTATTAACACCTTGGGCCAAATAATTCTTTGTTGTGGGGGCTGTCCTGTGCTCTGTATGATGTTAGCAGCATCCCCAGCATCTCCCTACTAGTTGCCAGTATTACCATTCCCAGACCCCCTGAGTTGTGACAACCAAAAATGTCTCCAGACATTGTTAAATGTCCCCTTAGAGGCAAAATCTCACCCAGCTGACAACCACCACCACTCTGAAAGATAAGAAGTTTGAAAAATATAATCACAATACAATTATCTCACCTAATACAATTACATGAATAGTAATTTCTTAAAATCATTAATTATCCAGGCAGAATTTAAATTTTCATATTTTCCAATTATCTCAATTTTATTTACCACACAAGGACCATACTTTGTAATGGCTGATATGTAAAACTACAGGTACAACCCTATCCCATCTGTCATTCCCCTATAATTTACTTGCTAAAGAAACTAGGCTGTTTGTCCTAGAGAGTGCCCCATAGTATGGATTCTACTACTTGTGTCCCAACAGTGTCACTTAACTTGTTTTTCTGTCTCCATACTGTCTATAAATTCATAGTTAGGTCTAAAAGCTTGATCAAAATCAGGTTCAATTCTGGGGCAAGAATACTTTAGAGGCGCTGATTACTTCTATCCAAAGGCACAGGCACATAATGTCTGCTCATCTCTACCTTAGAGATATAAGTACCCACTGGTGATCACTTCCTAGATCCATTATTTCACCGGCAATTACAAAGTGGTACTATTCCATTTATCTTTCATTTATTAGCTGGAAACCGTCTATGAAGAGAAACTTCCCCTCATCAATTATTTGGTTGCCTGAGGTATAGCATGTGTTCAGAAAAGTCAAAAACCTTCATTCAATCCCTTTATCAGTTTTCAAAATAATGAGTTGGTTCCCCAGCTTCCTTCAGAAGTGATCGATGTGGTGTCATTGCAGACAATATCATTATGAACTCATGGATCTGATGTGTTGCAATCTGTTCAACTTATTCTTACCCTCACATTGTCCCATCTTTGTTCAGTAGAAGACTCTTCAAGTTGATTCCTGAGTCCTTTTGACATATCTTCAGTAGATTTTAATACTGTCGTTGCTTTCTGGTATAATAAGATGTTCCAGACTTATCCTGGACATTTCCTTCCCTGAATCTGCCATTACTCCAGAGCGCCCAATTTCCTTTTATTAGAAAATGGGGTTGGGCATGGTAGCTCACGCCTGTAATCCCAGCACTTTGGGAGGCCAAGGTGGGCGGATCACTTAAGGTCAGGAGTTTGGGACTAGCCTGGCCAACATGGGGAAACTCCGTCTCTACTAAAAATATAAAAATTAGCTGGGCATGTGGTGACGCACACCTGTAATTCCAGTTACTCAGGAGGCTGAGGCAGGAGAATCACTTGAACCCGGGAGACAGAGGTTGCAGTGAGCGGAGATCGCATCACTGTACTCCACTCCAGCCTAGGCAACAGAGCAAGACTCCATCTCAAAAAAAGAAAAAAAAAGAAAAGAAAATGGAATGTGGAAACCTCATTCTGGACACTAGAGGTGGATACTTTCTTAAAATTTTAACTACTAATTAAACTTCTCCCAAACACTTAACTATGAACTATGGCCATCTACAGTATTAACTATTATTAAAAGATCACGCCGGGTGCAGTGGCTCACGCCTGTAATTCCAGCACTTTGGGAGGCTGGGGTGGGCAGATCACTTGAGGTCAGGGGTTCAAGACCAGCCTGGGCAACATGGTGAAACCCCGCCTCTGCTAAAAATTAACCATGTGTAGTGGCCCGCACCTGTAATCCCAGTTACTCGGGAGGCTGAGGCAGGAGAATCACTGGAACCTGGGAGGCAGAGGCCACAGTAAGCTGAGACTATGTCACTGCACTCTAGCCTGGGCAACAGAGTAAGACTCTGTCTCAAAAAAAAGAAAGAAAAAAAGATCAAAACACATACTAAAAAAAAAAATCAGAAAATACTGAAAACACTGACAAAATGCTGTTAAAAAAGATCCCTATCAATGTCAAAAGGACTTAGGAAGTTAAAACATAACAACAAAAATAAATAAATAAATAAAGCATCAGTCACGACTGCATGTAATATAGGTCCCAACTTCCTACTAGGACAACTGGCAATTAAAGAGAAGGAAGTAAGCATTTATCCTGTCTTTCCTGTGTAAACCATTATGGCATAACCAAATAATACTGGCTAAAGAAAAAAATTTAATTTTATAGAAAAATTTAAAAACCATGGACAGAATTTTTAAAAAATCACCATTTTACGACTTCTAATGAAATTAACTAATTCCGGCAAAAATGACTAATAAATGAAGCCATTAGCTCAGTGGTTCTCAACTGGGGGTAATTTTATACACACATACACATCCCCTGACCCGGGGACATCTGATGATGTGTTTGTAGGCATTTTTTGGTTGTCACAACTAGAGGGGACGGATGCTACTGGCATCTAGAAAGTAAAGACCAGGGATGCTGTTAAACATCCTACAATGCCCAGGACAGTACCCCACAAAAGCATTATCCGGCCCAAAATACCTGTAGTGTCAAAGTTAAAAAACCTTAGATGAAAAACTGATGGAGAATTACAATAGTTATCATTCATTCAACTGCTAATCAGACACAGACTCACTAATAGCAGGTTATTTTTTTCCACTGATCCCAGCCTTTGTCAACTAATAGCAGCTTAACCAGACATTGTGTCTTCTGATATGATGCAATATGAAGTACACTGCATCACCTATAAAGCATTTTGGCTAAAAAAGTTGAACCTGAATCTAATTTGATCCTTTAGAGCTCACTTATAGTATGCGGAAATATGAAGGATAAGGCAGGGTCAGCACACTTTTTCTTTCAAGAGCCAGACAGTAAATATTTTAGGCTTTGCAGGCCTAAATATGGTCACCGTTACTACTCAATTCTGCTGTCATAGTGCAAAAGCAGCTGTAAACATGCTGTCTTCCAGTGAAATTTGACTTGCACAAATAGGTAGCAGGCTGGATTTGGCTCACAGACAATTGATTGCCTGCCAACCCCTGGTATAGAGGAAAAGTCCAATGACACCACAACAAAGCAAATAAATAGAGAAAACGGGATATTCTACAAGACAACCAACAATGATTCTTTAATTATTCAATGTCATTAAAAAAACTGGAGAGTAGGAGTGAGTTCTTCCTGTTTAAAAGAGATTCAAGAGGCACATAGATTAAATACCATCTGCGAATCTTGTGTGAATCCTGATTCAAACAAACTGAGTTTTAAAAGGCATCTTGAGAGACAGAGTCATGTAAGTATGGACTGGGTATTTTAGATTATACCAAGGAGTCACTGTTAATGTTATTAGGTGTGCTAATGGTATTATATAAGAAATACCACATTTTGAGAGAAGCATACCAAGGTTCACAGGGAAAATGACACAATGTCTGAGACTAGCTTTAAAATACTTCAAGAAGAAAAAAAGGAGGGAAATAAACAAGTGTAACAAAATCTTGCTAACTGCTGAATATGAGTGATTGGTATGGGGAGTTCATTTTATTATTCTGTCTGTGTCCATTTGAAGCTCTCCTAAGTAAAAAATTTAATAGACAAAAATAAAAATAAGTTCAGCAATTTAAGTCTTTAAGAAAAAACTCCAACACTAGACAAATTCAATTCATTCTCTATAAGAGTTTAGTAGTGAATTAGTATTCTTTCCCCTCCAAAAAGAACAACTTTCTCTTAAAGCAAAGCTGTGCAAGTTCAGGCAAGTAACACATCTAAGGCATGGGTACAAAATCTGTCCTATTTTTTAAACCTCATTTTGATGGTTCTTTGCATTCTGCATTGTCTTCATGCTGAAAGCCATCACGACAAGCGGTGGTGGACTGACATCCTTAATTACATTCACCAGGTCTGGTTTCAAAGCCATTGCCTCAACTTTACACCAACTGACTGGCTGATTCAAGAGCTCTGAAAGAGAATAGATACAACAGATCAATAGCTATTTACTGAAAAAGAAAAACTACTATAATTAAGACATCTGTCATTAACTGGCATATTCTTCAACCCTGCCTTCTAATAAGAATGACATATTGTAACATCTAACTAAAAATAAGCCACATTATTGGGTTGTATGCAAATCCTCACGTGTGTGTACATATGTTCATTTTCCTGGGAAAGAGGTCTATAGCTTTCATCAGATTCTCCAAAGCATCCAGGACCCAAAATAGGTTTTAAAAAAACTGAAACACTGCCTTGGAGGAATCATGAAACATTTTTAAGACAAAGCAGACTATCATAGAAGCAATTACTGAAAAACATCAGGTAACAGGAAAAACATGCACTATCCATATTGAATAGTGATTCTCCTCTCCTTCAAAGGTCAGCAGTTCACTATGCACAACAGCTGGGCCACATCAGCCAGGTCAGAAGTACATATGAATAACAGCATAATGAGGGATGCACCCCAAACTAAGGCCTCCCTCAGACTAAACCGCCAGGCATTACCGAGATAAGGTGATTCCAAATGTACTCCCTATACTCACTCAACGAAAACTGAAGAAACAAACAGAAAAGGAAGTAGACACATTAAAATAAATAGATCAATTTCCTAACTTCCCTTTTAAAAACCACATCTATCAGCAATCTATTCAGCATTCTGAGCATGTATTTTTCCTTACGTGGACTTTTTACTTCAAGCCAACAAGGTCCTTTGATCTTTCTGTTCATCAAGAACAGTTCCAGGCTAGATGTGTTGGTCCCAAATACATGAGAAAAAGTTTCTCCTTTCAAATCTTGAGGAAGCTGTGGCATTTCAGCCTGAAAAAGGAAAAAAAAAAAGAATCTTTTTGTTTAAAACTATTACTTTGCATTTTCCAAAGTCTATATTTGAAATAAACAAAAGCCTCTCTATGAAGCACAGAAGAAAACCCCTTTGATATATATGAAATGTAATTTGCCACAAATGAAATCCAAAACAATTCACAGTAGGAAACAAAACCAATTCACAATGACAAAATAATGCATCTTGATGACACCCATTAGAAGAAAAATAGGCCAAGAAGCTCCCCCAAAAGAAAATTTCTGTCCAGAGCTGTACATGCTTTACTGATAAAGAATAGCCAAGTAAGTACCACTCCATTAGAAGAATGAAAGCAACAGAGTGGAACTCATTGAAAATACTTTTCATCACCACTGTCAGAAATAGTTCTTAAAAGTTTTCCTTTTCCAACGTTGTGGGAACAAAACACTAGAACAGAGGTAAAAAGAGGTTAAGGTCCAGTTAATTAACATCCTATAGCAATGACCTTGCCTGTCACAGGAGCAAGAGCAGCACTATAGCAATGCTACTGACACTCCTCTCTCACCTTTCCACTGCTCATAAGGGACACTTCAGCAGACTAATGATGTCCAACTCCATCATGTGGCATTCATTCCACTTGACAAACAGTCGTGCTGTTTCAACTTATTTATTTAAAGATGCATACTCAAAAGCAGAGAAAGGCAGTGTAACCTGTAGTCTATATACTTAAATTAATTTTATCCATTTCAATTATTCATTACTATAAATCCACCTCAATGAACTGTGGGCTTGAGAAGCCCTGCCAATACTCGTAACTGAAAGTCAGTTGAAAGTTCAAAAACAGAAAAATGTCATTCTCAAGCAAAACCCAGTAATTTTCTTTGTTTGACTTACCGAGTATTTAACTTCCAAGTACTCAGATTTTTCTGGAACATCAGGTATCTCAAAAGCATAGTTCTTTTCCACTGGCTGGGTAAGTAGATATTTTAAAAAATCCTTAAGACAAAAACTTCACAAACTAACCAGTATTACAATACATGCTCTTGTATTTAATCATCAAGAATCCTTATGGAACACAAAGGTAAATGAAGCCAAAAAGGTACCCTTTCCTCTTTCAATTGGAACTAAAACAACCAGTGTCAAAATGCTAAAAGGACTCATCTTGGACACTACAGAACTCAGAAATATTTGCATGCAAGAGGGGCAATAAAAATTTAAAATTTTTTACAATGTTAATGCATTAAATGATTTGCTACTATTTGATATTAAGCAACTCCATCTTGCTAGATTAATAATTAGCATTATAATTATAGCTTATATTTACTGAGTGTTGGCTATCTGGCAAGGACTGCTCTCATCATCTAATATGAATTAATGGATTTAACCCTTCCGGCAACTCTTGAAATAGGGCCCTATTTCTCAGATGAAGAAACAGGCATAAAGAAGTCATTCGGCTGGGCACGGTGGCTCACGCCTGTTATCCCAGCACTTTGGGAGGCCGAGGCGGGCGGATCACTTGAGGTCTGGAGTTCAAGACCAGCCTGGCCAACATGGTGAAACTCCAGCTCTACTAAAAATACAAAAAAAATTAGCTGGGCATTGTGGCGGGTGCCTGTAATCCCAGCTACTCAGGAGGCTGAGGCAGGAGAATTGCTTAAACCCAGGAGGTGGAGGTTGCAGTGAGCCAAGATCGCACCACTGCACTCCAACCTGGACAACAGAGCAAGACTCCATCTCAAAAAAAAAAAAAAAAAAAAAGTAGTCATTCAGCACTTGTCCAAGTTACATGCTAGTAAGTAATAGGGCTAGGACTTAAACCACAAGCAGTCCGGCCTCAGCACCTAAGCTCTTCACCAGTATATCACAATTGCTTCTAGAATTATAAAGACTTGACTCATCAGCGGCAATTCAAAACTCAAATAGTTAATACTGTTAGCCTTATCTTCAGCAACTCAATCCTTCCTGCGATCATTATTAATAGCCAGTATTTTGAGCAGGCTATAGCCCCCACGATTATGGCCAAAGACATCAATATCTCACTAAAATCAAGACAATGTATCATAACTAGCACATGAACCAGAGATTTTCATTCTATCAGACTGTATCATAGTCCCTGACTTTTAAAAATAAAACCTTACTTAACTTTCTAACCAAAACATCTTGGCAACAACTAATATAAACGAGATCAGAGCAGTTTCTTCTGCACTTGGGAATGAGAGCACAAGACATGTTGCAAGCACCAGAGGCAATTAATTTGCTATGGATTGTCTTTCTATTCAAATTAATAAACATTATTTTATAAGCAGTTTAAAGAGAAAGAAAAAATATTTTTGCAAATCTAATATACTGTTTTTACATTCATACCTATGAAATTTCCATTCAATAAATTATAGCTGCACAGAAGGCATTTTACACAAAGAAAATATGCAATAACTATTTGCTAAATCAGAAAATAAACAACAAACAGAGCTGGAAAAAAATCATCGCCAAATACAAACCTTAGACTTGAACTTCATAATTTTATATTTTGTTGCTATTTTCTCATCAAATTCCTCATAAACATCCTTCATTGAAATTGGAGTTCCTGTTTCTTTCCCCGTATTTAGATCAATTTTCTGTTATCCCAGAGAAGGGGACAGAGGGGAAAAAAAAGTATCTGTACATAAATGATCTTCTCAACCACCAAAAATCCAAGTCTATATCAATTTTCATCCTCACCCATTTAAACATTTAATAGCAGTCTTACAGATAAGTTCAAAGATACAAACAGACCCAAAAAATGTACTAAACCAAATGCCCAATTCCTCCCAATGGCATCATAAAAAACAAATCAGCGATAAAGATGATCAAGTCTACAAAATGGAAGAATAAGTGTTGTAAATCCTGACCAAGAGACTCCACAGTTCAACTGATATAGGGAGGGGCTGAGAGGGAAATGGGGATGTTAAGTCCCAATAAAAAAGGAGAAGCAGACTGAGCGCAGTGGCTCATGCCTGTAATCCCAGCACTTTGGGAGGCCAAGGCGGGCAGATCACAAGGTCAGGAGTTTGAGACCAGCCTGATCAACATGGTGAAACCCTGTATCTACTAAAAATACAAAAATTAGCTCAGTGTGGTGGCAGGCGCCTGTAATCCCAGCTACTCGGGAGGCTGAGGCAGGAAAACTGTTTGAACCCAGAAGGCGGAGGTTGCAGTGAGCCGAGATTGTGCCATTGCACTCCAGCCTGGGCAACAGGGCTAGGCTCCGTCTCAATAAAGAAAAAAAAAGAAGCAAATAGAATTGAACTTGTTAATAAATGGCAATGGAGGGAATATCACTGCTGCCTATGCAGCAAAACCATGAAAACTGGGCCAAATGCCATGTCACATTTTAGAGACTTATAGTTCCAACCCTGATTATTATGGAAATGAGGAGTGAGAGAAAGAAAGCATTATATACTAAATCTCAGAAACTTTTATACTCTAACTAGTTGAAAAACTGAGTTCTACTTTATTTTTTCTACTTTTCCCAACCTCTAATAGAATTGCTGACAATCAGTGGTCACCAGGCAAGCAGCAAGAAAGAAGCATCAGGATTGTAGAGAATTTGTAGCCCTATTGAAAGAGAGAGAGCTGGCTGCAAAACACAGAATGTGTGGCAGATACAACGACTGAGAACTAAAAGCTAATCACTAATGTTTACCATTTCACGGGGAAGGAAGTAAAGCGTTCGCTCGATATTTTTCACCATGACACAACAGCTCACATGGGTCTCGGCTGATTCAATCCAAACTTTCCCAAACAGAAATACCACACCTGAAAGAATAAGTGAAAATCACGAGAAAAGAAACATTTCAATTTCACCTAATTAAAGGAACAATATAGAGGCTCACTGAATGTGTCCACACATTTATACCTTCATGATAACTCATTTTGACAGCAAATATATCCATTTCCCACTCCCCAAGACCAGTTCTTTACTCAGTACTGATGCCATACTACACTAACACAATGATACAGTGTATGACCACTGGGAGGACAGGGGACAGAATGATTCTCTAACTTGCATAAACACTTTCCCCACAACCAGGATTATACAGATTAAGAGAAACAAAACAGGCCGAGCACAGTGGCTCATGCCTGTGATCCCAGCACTTCGGAAGGCCGAGGTGGGCAGATCGCTTGAGCTCAGGAGTTTGAGACCAGCCTGGTCAACACAGCAAAACCCTGTCTCAAGAAAAAAAAAAGAGAAACAAACATAAGGAAAGTATTTTCCAACAAATCTCATAATTAAGCCTCTTGTGAGATTACAGATCTGAGAATATAATTCTAATTTTTTAGCGCTTGTATTTACCTATAAAAACCAATATTCATGTATCAGGATAACTAGTGCATCAGTGTTTTTCTATATGTAAAACTGTGTTTACAAAAAACATAATTTACTTCTTATTTCTTATTCCATATAATAATAAATACCTCACAATAGGGACTACTATTATCTTCTATTTCACCTTTTCTACCTCACAGCTACTTAGGACATCTAACTAGGTAAGTGTTTATAATGTTCCTTTCTATTCTATTTCAGTAATTTAAGTAATGAATACCATAAAGTAAAACCACACCTTTTTAGACATCAAATCATTGTTTATGAAAATTGGCCACGAAGAACAGACTGCAAACATTTGTTAGTCAACCCAGGAGATGGTCACTGTGCAAAATCCTGGGCTCCATGAATAATTAGACAGCAGTAATCAACAAAGCCACTCAACACAGCCACTTATCTGAGACACTAAGAAAATTCTGGTACATGCAAAGGCTACTGTTCACAAGGTCAATTACCCCAGTTTGAAAGACTACTCATCAGTGACTCCTTTTTTCACACATCCTGGTAGAAATAAGACGATCTAAGAATTTTCATTTCTGCAGATGATTAAAATTCTTACAAGAGTTGTGAGACTTTCAGCTTGAGGGGGTAACGGAGGGTGGATGGGGAGGGAGAGGGAAGGAAGGACTATGGGAAGATTAAGAAAGAAAAAAAATCACAGTAACTCAGAAAATTAAAAGTCATCCTCACAACAGTTAAAGATGGAAAAACAAAATGCTATGCAAAGAAAAATAAAGACCCTAATATTGGATTCAAAGATTCAAATAAGCTCATTTTACTGTCAAACTAATATCACACTTCATGCAACACATTTGACACTGTTTATGCCTCATTTGACACAACAAAGATCATGGTAAACAAAGATCACATTCCCCCCAAAGTTACTAGCTGAAACCAGGTGCAGTCAGGATTATTCAACCTTGAAAAAGTCATAATGAAGACAGGATATCTTCCCATATGCAAAGAGTAAGATTCTTTTCATAATTATGGAGCATTCAGCAACAACTGACTTACTTAGAATCTGTTAGAAAGTGAGAAACAATAACAGGGTCTTTTGGAGTACTTCATTTTTATTAGCAGCATTGATTTCACCAAAGCTCAGTGATCATTACCTGCTATCACAATGAAAGTGTTCAACACTCTGAGATTAAAGGAGTTTTTTTAAGCTATCTTATTTAACCCGTTGGCATCAATAACAGAGAAGATGTGCCATAGGAGAGAACACAACTTGAGAAGTACCACGGAACCAGAACAGCAGAGTGGACTGAGGGTGAGAAGCCCAAGCTTCTACCACTAAAGAGCTATTATATCTTTCAGAGCCTCAGTTTCTTAAGTGCATAACTAGACTAGATGATCTCTGAGGCCTTCTCCAGCACCAGAAATTTCATTCTGCCTTAGCATTTGGATGACAGATCAATAACAAATTAGTATCTCTTTCAATTGCAAAATATTTTCCAATATTGGTTGAAAAAGCCTATCCATGACTATGGTCAGTACCAGGAATTCAACACCATCATATATCATAAACTGGTTGCTTTGCAAATATAACTGTGCTTCAATGCTTCAATCTTCCAACACTTGTCACTACAGACCAGCACTAGTTGAAATAAATTTCTGTGATGATGGAATTGTTGTTTCTGAGCCATCCAATATGGTAGCTACTAGCCACAGTTGCTATTGAACACCTGAAATGTGGCTAGTGACCAAGAAAATAAATTTTAATTTGTATTGCATTTTAATTAATTTAAATGTAAAGAGCTACAAGTGGCTGGTGGCTACCACAGTGGACAATGCAGCTCTAGATCCTTACCCTGCAAAACAATGCTCTGTTTACTAAGAGTATCAGCCAGTAAACGAAATGTAGAAATAACCAACTCATTTTCAAATAAGAAAGAAAGAAGGTTGTTGCTTCTTAAGGTTCTAATCCTTGGCAACTGACGCTGGCAATATGAAGCCTTATGGATGTATTTACTTTGTGGGGTTGTGGGGGAGTGGGGAACCATTTGCTTTTGTGTTACGCATTCTCATACCCCACAAAGCTACAAGGCATTAAGATGCAAACTCAGGAATAGTAGCAAATGCAACACTAGTCTCTGAAATTTTTCACCTGCATCTACAGGACTGTCAGTCACTGTGCAGTTTATTTCAACAACTATTTATTAAACACGTACTATGTGCAAGGCATTGCTGCTGGATGCTGGAAATAAAAGATCCCAGCCCTCCAGGAGCTTACAGGCTTTGTGGCAAAGAAAAACACAGACTCAGTTCATTTCAAAATAATAGGACAAACGCTACAGTGGGAAAGGCTATGATGTAGTCACAAGGAGAAAGGGCTCCTAGACCCGTCTGGAGGTTTAGGTACACTCCCAGGAGATAACATCTGGGCTGAATTTTAAAGAATGAGTCAGATGAGCACATTCCAATCAGACAAAAAACAAGGAGTAAAGGAACACAGGTATAAAGAGCAGAAAAGTACATACAGAGAATTATTTCTAGGGAACAAAATTCATAGACAGCAGGCATCAGAAGCCTTGCTAAGCAGTTTGGACTTTATGTTGTAGGCAGTAGCCACTGAGGATTTTTTTTTTTTAATGACGACTGACATGGTCAGAATTGCCCTTCTGATCAGTCCCTCTAGCAGTGATGTGGAAGACGATAGCTAAGAGATCAATTAGGAGGCTGGTGCAATTGTTTCAGTGGGCAAGAAGGGATCAGGGTGGTAGATATGAGGAAAAAGAGAAGGTAAGTTGTCCACTTTCGGCAGAGAAAACTAACCAGACTTGGAAAGGAAAGTGAGGAAAAGGAGGGAATCAAGGATGGCTCCCAGGTTTCTGGTTTTGATGGGACCATTAACCAAGATAGGGAATGAAATGCAGCATTGAGCAGATGCAGCAAAGTACGGGGAGTAATACTGGGATAGCCAGGCCAGTGTGCTGCCCAGCTCCAGGGAGCACCAGTCACACTGCTGTGCTCCAGGAAAGTCACGTGAAAATGGTATTCCCTGAGGTTGTACAATGGGGCAGCCCTGGGTTTCAGCAATGGATGGGAAATCATCTGCTTAGCCTCATGTAATCATACTTGCCAGACTTCCAGCAGAGTAACAAAATAGTCAAAGAGGTGAGGGGGTATAATCAAATCATTTTGTCCTAGCTAAAGTAAATTAAGATATCATTTCTAAAATTGATTATATCTTTTCCTAAGAAACTAACACATGGCAGTGTGCTACTCAAGTGGCTCAAGAGTTTATATATATTTGATAAGCTGAAGCATATTAATGCTTCTGACCGCCCCCACCCCTGCCAGAGATCATTAACATTTTTCCAATTAAAGTCAATGCCTGGTTATCTTTAAGGTAAATGTGGCCTTCAATTTACTCACACGCTTGCTTTGCTGACATCTAGGTACTCCCTCTCTTTTCACTAGATACAGCCTCCAGGAAACCGCTTTGAAAAATACACTATTTGCATGTACCACAGATCCAAAAAGGATCTAAATAAAGACAACTCTGTTTAAGAGTGCATACTGTATTTAACATTAATCTGACAGATCTTGCAATGCACAGTCCCACAATGAAGACGGGCTCAAAGAGGCACAAAAGAATACCGAACAGCCTCCGGGCTTTTTGTGAGTCAAGAATTCACAGTATTAGCTCATTAAGATGACCTAGAAATCATCCTTGATTCCTCCTTTCTGTCACCTCCCCCATCCAATCCATTAACAAGTTTGTGTCAAAAGACATGTCAAATGCCTTTACTTCTCTCCTCTCCAGCCACCAGGGTCCAAGTAACTAGCAGCCCTGCCCTGGATTGACTGATCTCCAGGGCTTCCACACTTCCCCATTACCCTACACCAGCCCATCCCTCCACGTGTGTGTGCACACGCACACATGCACCACAGTGCTTATTCTCTACACAAACCACTGTTCCTGTTAAAATGTAAACCCAATTACGTGACCACCACCCCCTGTACTTAAAACCCTCCAATGCCACCCCATTGCTCTTAGAAGATTCAAACTCCTTAACGAGGCTTTCAAAGTCCTACATTATCTGGCCTTTGTCTTTATCTCCAGCTTCATTTTATACCAATCTTGTCACTTGATTACTATGCTACAACCACACAGGCCTCCTCCTTCCTCTCTCTAGGCCTTTGCTAGTACTTGGCTCGTTAAGCTGAAATGCCCTTTCACCAGCTCTGCAAATACCTCAAATCTCAGCCCAGTGGTCATTTCCTCAGACAGGCCTCCCCTGGCCATCGCCCAACTAATTTTCTTTACATCATTTATCAATTTATCTCATTTACTGCTAATGTGCCCCCACCCACTGCCACCCTCCTAGAACATAAGCTCCATTATAGTGCACGAATTTGTCCAGCTTATTCATCCCATCTCAGTGCCTAGCACACAATAGGCATTCAAATTTGCTGAAGAAACAGACAAATTAATGACTGATTCCCTTTAAATTAAAGTGCATTCCTGTAACTTCAGACACATCAATAGTGAACTACAAACACACATTCCAAAACCATATGTAACTGATTTTTGGAATAAGCATCTTTAAGGATTATTCGCACCATAGCTCTTCTCCATCAGGGTGGCGCATTCACTTTACAATGAATGAGTGTCGCTCTCTTACAATACATGTTAAGTGAGGGCAGGGCCTGACCTGAGCTAATTACAGTGACTCAAGTATTTAAGGATAAAGAAAAAAAAAACAGAAATAAACTGATTAAATAAAAAGACAAAACACACAAAAAGAAACAAAAAATAAAATATTTAAGGGAAAAGTCCTACTCTGAGTTAAAGGCATATAGTTACCTTATATATGATTACCTGGTTGGTTGTACTGATCCTCATAAGCATCCAACCAATAAAAGTGGAATACTTGTTCCTCATCTGCCCCTTTTACCAATGGGAGGTGACTGGAATCCACTTGAACTTCTTGCACTGAGAAACTGCTATCACCTTCTTGATCAATGTCCCAACAAGAGACATCCGGGAGAAAACTTCCTCTGCAGAAATCACATTTTCAAAAACCTTTCAAAATCCAACAGAAAAATTGTGGTCCTATTTGCCAGAAAAGTCATAAAATGCTCTTACAAGTAGGACACGGTCCCTTTCCCAGAATCCGCCTCTTGTTTCACTTCCTCTGCTGGCTCACTCTCTTTGTCCCAAGCCTTGGCAGCCATAGGCTCCAGGTCCACCTCTTCAACTTCCATGGGCTCATCAAAGTCACCATCTTCAAACTCCATTGCCCCTGACTCCTGCTCTTCTTCTGTACTCTCGACCTGTACATCATCGCCTGTAGGCATCATCACACATTCTTGTCATGTGTTATTGCGATGACACAAAGGCACACAAAGGCACACAAAGGCGCACAAAGGCTTATCCAACACTAAAATAGCAGCCTGTCCCTTTTCTATACTATGTTTGCATTTCTCTTTAATCTCCAAATTGGGTGTTTTTAACTTTTACTGAAATTTTTATGAATTCAAATCTTCACATTTAAACTTGCCATCACAACACCTTCAAAATCTCCTCTACCTCCTCCATCATAGGGCCTCCATTTTTGACAGAAACCACTCAACACTCTTGCAATTCTGCCTGACATCACACTTACCAGCAAATTCAGCACGTTTAAGAGGAACAGGAGTTAATGGAGGCTCCTTTCTGGAGACAGGGGAAGCAATTTTTCCTGAAGGAACTGCCTGTAAACGTTTTTAAATATTTAGTCAGTTAGACCTACATACTAAAAATATGCAACTGTCCTACCCTGACCAAAGATAATGACAGTTCCCTTTTATAAAAAGATTTTATGTATTATTAATGTAACAGCTTCAATTATTTTACTGTTACCTAGGTTTACAAAAAAATACTTGCTTCTGGGAGGAAAATTATTGCATTTACCACAGTTGTAATACCTATAATAAACACACACTAGTTACTGCAAATTTACTATGAAAAAGGCAGGCACATGCTATTTTTGAAATACATGAAACTATAAATTGAATGGGAGTCCTAATTTAAAACAAAAATCAAAAACAAATGTAAAGGTATTTCCCTCATACAGAAAAGCAACAAAATAAGTTTAAAGCAATACTATAAATCAAGATTGAAGGTATCTCTACACACTTTACCGTGGCGGTGTGCACAGAGAAAGGATTCGGTGAAGCTCCAATGGATCTTTTCTTCTTCAGTATCATTACAGGTGGTGGAGTTATTTGAGGTGTCTAAAAGGAAAGGTAAGACATATTCACTGCCATGCTTGGTTTACCACAGACAGAAAAAGTATACTTCTTCACTCATTGAAGCCCAATAAGCAAAGCTTTCTTTTCTTTCCCTTTCCCCCTCCCCCCTCCCATCGATGTCATGTACTGTGGTTACTATAGCAACAATACTATAGAAATCACAAGAAAACTAAAATAGATATTAAATCTACCCCCTCCCAAATTTTTTCTTCTTAAAATTTAACATACTTTCACTGACCCTTTGAGAATATTACATTTAAAAATTGTCAAGATAAAACTACATGGTGTTGTTGTTAAGTCATTTTAATCAATGGTCACTTTAAAAGAAGTACACTTCTAAATGAGAGCGTAGTCTTTATGGGAAATGGCCAAATCTCAAATTCACAATGCAGCTAATCCTGTTTGAGTTCTATCAGGGATAGTTCACTCACTCTTCCTTCATTCCCACTCAGAATTCAAGACAAGGCTCTTATACCTGATTGTGCAGATTGACAGGCTTCAATCTATTTAGGGAACATACACCACAGCAACTGAACACAAGCAGTGAGCACTCACAGAACTGACTCCTGGGTATATTCTTACTACTTCAAACACACACCCACACATCCCTATCTACATAATCACACAGCTCTAACAGCTGGAAATACTCACCTAAAATGGTGGGATAAAACCAATCTGAAGGGGGTTTCTTTGTTTTTTGGTGGGGGGTTTTTTGTTGGCGTTCTTACATTTTAAAAAATTCTGTCAACAGGCCGGGCACAGTGGCTCACGCCTGTAATCCCAGCACTTTGGGAGGCCAAGACAGGCGGATCACGAGGTAAGGAGTTCGAGACCAGCCTGGCCAACATAGTGAAACCTAGTCTCTAGTAAAAATACAAAATATTAGCCGGGCGTGGTGGCAGGTGCCTGTAATCCTAGCTACTCGGGAGGCTGAGGCAGGAATCAGGGAAGAGGAACCTGGGAATCAGAGGTTGCAACGAGCCAAGATCGCACCACTGCACACCAGCCTGGGCAACAGTGCAAGCTACTGTTTCAAAAAAAAAGAAAAAATTCTGGCAATAGTCTGTTTTGTATAATTACTAGAGTGTTTCTTCAGTCTATGTCCTCTGCATATTTTACAACTCCTGGAGATTCATTTACCTCAGTGTTAAGATCCTGTAGAATGTCACCTAGCAGACCATCCTTGGACAAGTCTACAGCTTTCTGGAAATGATAAAGAAAGGTAACATGAGAAAGCCTTGCACTTAAAATGTCTCACCAAAACTACACACATGTATATGAAAGGAAGGACCTAGCCAGTTAGTCCTTGCCTCTTCATTCCTCACTCTCTGAGTGCTCATCTACATTCACAGATTTTAACAACCACCTGTGTATATAGCATTCCTACATCTATAGCTCCCATCCTCTACTTTCGCCCTTAATCCATGATCTTCCTGCTACTCACTAAAATTAAACACACTCTCAATTCAGCTTTTCTGTTCAATTCTCTTTTCCATTTCGCAAGTTCCAACCACTGAGGTGCCTTAATTCACTTAGAAATCTACATCCAACTTAGTGAGTGAAATTGGAAAAATGTTACTCAAATATATACAGAGCACCTGTTATCTGTATAATCAAATATTAAATTCACCTCACAAAGGAAAATACAAAAAATAAGGAAACCATGAAACTCACATCTGCAGTTTTCTTTCCAGCACAAGCAATGAACATTGACTTAATGTTGTTCGGTTTTGTCACTGCGAGCTTCTTTACATTCCTCTTGTCTTTATTGCGTGCTTTACCATCTTTTCCTATTGGAATATGAATTATTTAGAAACATGCATCAGCAAAAATCAAAATGGAAAACTAAAAGCCTAGTCACTTGATCTCTATTGGGAAGAAAAATGTTAAGAATTAAAAATACATCATGCCTGTATTCCCAGCACTTTGGGAGGCCAAGGCGGGAGGATCACGAGATCAGGAGATCGAGACCATCCTGGCTAACACAGTGAAACCCTGTCCCTACTAAAATACAAAAAATTAGCCGGGCATGGTGGTGGGCGCCTGCAGTCCCAGCTACTCCAGAGGCTGAGGCAGGAGAATGGTGTGAACCCAGAAGGTGGAGCTTGCAGTGAGCCAAGATCACGCCACTGCACTCCAGCCTGGGCGACAGAGCAAGACTCCATCTCAAAAAACAAAACAAAACAAAACTATGAGATTCTATACAAGGTATGTAGGAAAAAATATTTTAAATGAGTTTAATTCAAGAAAACATGGGCCAAATGTTTTTATAGAAACTAATGAAATACCAGTTAAATATCAGCATAAGTGTGACTGCTTAACTGCTATTGTTAATGTGAATAAAAAGCTTTTTAAAAAAGTGAGAATTTGGGTTTGTTTTCCCCACAGAAATAAAAAGATAAAGCTAATCTTGAACCAAGAAATTAGCCTAGTAGCCTTCATGAGATCATCTCTTTAGCTGTATACTGAATCTGATAGGAAAATTTAACTGTGAAGAAATGGGATTACCAATTATGATATGGTGGCATCCTAATTTCCATTTTATGAGAAACAGCAACCAGATACACAGTATGTCATATCAACACTAAACAGCACAGAGACATCTGCTCATTAAAGAACAACTTTTGCTGGCCGGGTGCGGTGGCTCACGCCTGTAATCCCAACACTTTAAAAGACCGAGGCGGGCGGATCACGAGATCAGGAAATCGATACCATCCTGGCCAACATGGTGAAACCCCATCTCTACTAAAATACAAAAAATTAGCCAGGCGTGGTTGCCACATGCCTGTAATCCCAGCTACTCGAGAGGCTGAGGCAGGGAAATCGCTTGAACCCCGGAGGCGAGATTGCAGTGAGCTGGGATCGCGCCACTGCACTCCAGCCTGGCAACAGAGCAAGACTCTGTCTTGAAAAAGAAAAAAAACAAACAAAACTTTTGCCATATGTTTTCTCTTACGGCTATGTGTAAATCACCTACAAACTTTTCTAATACCGTCAATTTTACTCTCGCTTTCTGATTCATCCCAGAATAGTCCTGATCTCAAAAAAAAGCCAACAATGAATAATTGAAAGAATGTGGTAGGCCAGGCGCGGTGGCTCACGCCTGTAATCCCAGCACTTTGGGAGGCCGAGGCAGGCAGATCACGAGGTCAGGAGTTCGAGACCAGCCTGACCAACATGCTGAAACCCTGTCTCTACTAAAAATACAAAAATTAGCCAGGCATGGTGGTGCATGCCTGTAATCCCAGCTACTCGGGAGGCTGGGGCAGGAGAATCGCTTGAACCCAGGAGGCAGAGGTTGCAGTGAGCCGAGATCATGCCATTGCACTCCAGCGCTCCAGCCTGGGCAACAGAGCAAGACTCTGTCTCAAAATAAAAAAATAAAAAAAATAAGAATGTGGTAGTGGCATACAAATAGACCAAATGAAACAGAACATAAAGTCCAGAATAAGACCCAATTACTTATGGAAATTTAATATATAATGAAGGTGGCATCCCATATCACTAAGGAAAAGATGGACTTTATTAAGTAGTGTTGGCTAGCCATTTGTAAAGAAGTAAACCAGTATAAACACCAAATGGATCACAAATCAAAATTTTTAAAAATGAAACTTTACAAAAACCTTTTAAAAAGCAATTCCTTTGCAATTTGGGTCCAGTGAAAATCTTTCTATGACTCAGAATCCACTTGCAAGAAAAAAAATGATAAATTCAATTACACCAGAATTGGTGTAAAAAGAAAAACCAAGAAAAAAGAAAACCAAGTTAAAAGAAAAATGAAGAAAAAATTTGTGCAATATGTATCACAGATAAAGGACCAATTTCCCTGACAAAGAACTTTTAAAAACTTAAAAGATAAAAAGCCCAAAAGGAAAGCAGGCAGTAAACACAAACATATATAAATAGTTACGTTTTATGAAAAGATGATCAATTTCATATGTAAAAGAAATGCATATGAGGCTGGGCATGGTGGCTCACATCTGTAATCCCAACACTTTGGGAGGCCACGAGGCGGGCGGAATACGAGGTCAGGAGTTCGAGACCAGCCTGGCCAACATAGTGAAACCCCATCTCTACTAAAAATACAATAATTAGCCGGGCATGGTGGCACACACCTGTAGTCCCAGCTACTTGGGAGGCTGAGGCAGGAGAATCGCTTGAAACCAGGAGGCGGAAGTTGCAATGACCTGAGACCGCACCACTGCACTCCTGCCTGGGTGACAAAGTGAGACTCAGTCTCAAAAACAAACAAACAAAAAAAAATGCAAATGAAAACCACACTGAAATGCCACTTCTCACATATCAGAGTGGCAAAAATTCAAAAGCTTGAAAACACTGTTAGTAAGGCTGTAGAGAAACAGACATTCATACATTGTTCATGAGAGTGTAAAATGGGACAGCTCCTATAAAGAATAGGCAATAGCTAATAAAATTTTATGTGTAGTGGGCTGGGCGTGGTGGCTCACGCCTGTAATCCCAGCACTTTGGGAGGCCAAGGCGGGTGGATCATCTCAGGACAGGAGCTCGAGACCAGCCTGGCCAACATGGTGAAACCCCGTCTCTACTAAAAATACAAAAATTAGCTGGGTGTGGTGGCAGGCACCTGTAATCCCAGCTACTCAGGAGGCTGAGGCGGAAGAATCACTTGAACTCAGGAGGCAGAGGTTGCAATGAGCCGAGATCGCGCCATTGTACTCCAGCTTAGGCAACGAGCAAAACTCCATCTCAAAAAAAAAAAAATTTATGCGTAGCTACTCTTTGAGCCAGCAATCCCACTTCTGGGAATTTTCTCTGAGGAAAACGCCATATGCACAGAGTTATTGGATGTGGCATTATAATAGCAAATTACTCAAAATAATCTAAATGTCCTTCCAAGGAAACCATTTGAATAAACATTGTGCAATCCCTATCATGGAATACTATGCAGCTACATAGAAATAAATAATTAAAAACAAGCTCTCTATGTTCTAATATGGGGTAATTTTCAAGACATCTTGCTACAAGAAAAAAGCAAAGTACAAAACCTCTATAACATTATCTTTTGTTTAAGAAAGAAAAGGGGCCGGGCACCGTGGCTCATGCCTGTAATCCCAACACTTTCCCAGGGCAAAACGGGCGGACTGCTTGAGCCCAGGAGTTTGAGACCAGCCTGGGCAACATGGCGAAACTCTGTCTCTACTAAAAACACAAAAAATTAGCCGAGCGTGGCAGGATGTGCCTGTAGTCCTGGCTACTCGGGACACTGAGGTGGGAGGATAGCTTGAGCCCAGGAGGCGGAGGTTGCAGTGAGCCCAAATCGCACCACTGCACTCCATCCTGGACGACAGAGCAAGAATCTGTCTCAGAAAAAAGAAAGAAAAGGAAATAAAAATACATATACATGCCAGCGCGGTGGCTCACACCTGTAATCCCAGCACTTTGGGAGACCAAGGTGGGCAGATCACGAGGTCAGGAGTTCGAAACCAGCCTGACCAACATGGTGAAACCCGGTCTCTACTAAAATACAAAAATTAGCCGGGTATGGTGGCGCGTGCCTGTAATCCCAGCTACTTGGGAGGCTGAGGCAGGAGAATCACTTGAACCCGGGAGGGAGAGGTTGCAGTGAGCCAAGATGGCACCACTGTACTCCAGCCTGGGTGACAGAGCGAGACTCTGTCTCAAAAAAAAAAAAAAAAAAAACCACAACATATACACAATTTCACTCCTAGGTTAGTACCCTAAAAAATTGAAAGCAGGCATTCAAACAAAAACTTGTACACAAATGTTCATAGTAGCACTACATACAATAGCCAAAAGGTAGAAACAATCCAAATGTCCATCAACTAATGAATAAACAAAACGTAGTACATCCACACAGAATATTATTCAGCAGTAAAAAGGAATGAAGTACTGATACATGCTACTTGAAAACATGATACTTGAAAATCTTCTGCTAAGTCAAAGCCAAACACAAAAGATAAAATACTGCATGATTCATTTATATGAAATGTAAAATGTCCAGAATACACAAATCCATAAAGATAGAAAGCTGACTGATGGTTGTCAGGCTCTGGGGGAAGAGAGATTGGGGAGTGACTGCTAATGGGTACAGGGCTTCCATTTTGGATGATGAAAATGTTCTGGAACAAGATGATGGTGATGGTTGCAAACATTGTGAATATACTAAATGTCACTCGTGGTAAATTTTATGTTATACATATTTTACCACAGTAAAAAAAAAAAAAAAGGCGCCGGCGAGCGCCGCCCGGGAGGCAGCGGCTGGAGGAGCGGACGGGCCCCACGGGGCCCGAGGGCAAGGAGCAGCCGCCTGCCTTGGCCTCCCAAAGTGCCGAGATTGCAGCCTCTGCCCGGCCGCCACCCCGTCTGGGAAGTGAGGAGTGTCTCTGCCTGGCCGCCCATCGTCTGGGATGTGAGGAGCCCCTCTGCCTGGCTGCCCAGTCTGGAAAGTGAGGAGCATCTCCGCCCGGCCGCCATCCCATCTAGGAAGTGAGGAGCGCCTCTTCCCAGCCGCCATCACATCTAGGAAGTGAGGAGCGTCTCTGCCCGGCCGCCCATCGTCTGAGATGTGGGGAGCGCCTCTGCCCCGCCGCCCCATCTGGGATGTGAGGAGCGCCTCTGCCCGGCCGAGACCCCGTCTGGGAGGTGAGGAGCGTCTCTGCCCGGCCGCCCCGTCTGAGAAGTGAGGAGACCCTCTGCCTGGCAACCACCCCGTCTGAGAAGTGAGGAGCCCCTCCGCCCGGCAGCTGCCCCGTCTGAGAAGTGAGGAGCCTCTCCGCCCAGCAGCCACCCCATCTGGGAAGTGAGGAGCGTCTCCGCCCGGCAGCCACCCCGTCCGGGAGGGAGGTGGGGGGGGTCAGCCCCCGCCAGGCCAGCCGCCCCATCCGGGAGGGAGGTGGGGGGGTCAGCCCCCCGCCTGGCCAGCCGTGCCGTCCGGGAGGGAGGTGGGGGGGTCAGCCCCCCGCCTGGCCAGCCGTGCTGTCCGGGAGGGAGGTGGGGGGGTCAGCCCCCCGCCCAGCCAGCCGCCCCATCCGGGAGGGAGGTGGGGGGGTCAGCCCCCCGCCTGGCCAGCCGTGCCGTCCGGGAGGGAGGTGGGGGGGTCAGCCCCCCGCCCGGCCAGCCGCCCTGTCCGGGAGGGAGGTGGGGGGGTCAGCCCCCCTGCCCGGCCAGCCGCCCCGTCCGGGAGGTGAGGGGCGCCTCTGCCCGGCCGCCCCTACTGGGAAGTGAGGAGCCCCTCTGCCCGGCCAGCCGCCCCGTCCGGGAGGGAGGTGGGGGTGTCAGCCCCCCGCCCGGCCAGCCGCCCCGTCTGGGAGGGAGGTGGGGGGGGTCAGCCCCCCTGCCCGGCCAGCCGCCCCGTCCGGGAGGTGAGGGGCGCCTCTGCCCGGCCGCCCCTACTGGGAAGTGAGGAGCCCCTCTGCCCGGCCACCACCCCGTCTGGGAGGTGTGCCCAACAGCTCATTGAGAACGGGCCAGGATGACAATGGCAGCTTTGTGGAATAGAAAGGCGGGAAAGGTGGGGAAAAGATTGAGAAATCGGATGGTTGCCGTGTCTGTGTAGAAAGTAGAAGACATGGGAGACTTTTCATTTTGTTCTGCACTAAGAAAAATTCCTCTGCCTTGGGATCCTGTTGATCTGTGACCTTACCCCCAACCCTGTGCTCTCTGAAACATGTGCTGTGTCCACTCAGGGTTAAATGGATTAAGGGCGGTGCAAGATGTGCTTTGTTAAACAGATGCTTGAAGGCAGCATGCTCGTTAAGAGTCATCACCAATCCCTAATCTCAAGTAATCAGGGACACAAACACTGCGGAAGGCCGCAGGGTCCTCTGCCTAGGAAAACCAGAGACCTTTGTTCACTTGTTTATCTGCTGACCTTCCCTCCACTATTGTCCCATGACCCTGCCAAATCCCCCTCTGTGAGAAACACCCAAGAATTATCAATAAAAAAATAAATTAAAAAAAAAAAAAAAAAAAGTATTTTCATGAGCCTAAGATTGTGAAAAGGATTGTAGGACATTTGTGAAAAATGTGAGACAGGAGATCTGTATCATCTGGAGCACTCTGAAAACAGAATGTAATTAATAGTCAAAATGTTTAGTATATAAAATTCAGGTCTTGATAGTGTATGAACAGAGGAGGTCAACAGAGGTTTGAATAGCAAGGAAGGCTTCATGAGAGGGCTTTAATCTCACCACTGTAGGTTGGCAGGATTTAGACAGAAGGATAAAAATTTGAATACAAGTAAATATTTGAGGTGGAATTCTTCCACAGTTTAGTGTTTCTGTTTTGTTTTATTGCATTTTCCTGCTAATTTTTCTTCACTGGGACTTGGTTGATATTTTTCTCTATGGTTTTGTTTTGTTTATTCCTGTCACCCAGGCTGGAGTGCAGTGGCACGATCTTGGCTCACTGCAACCTCTGCCTCCCGGGTTTAAGAGATCAAGAGATTCTCAGCCTCCCAAGTAGCTGGGTTTACAGATGCCCACCACCACGCCCGACTAATTTTTCTATTTTTAGTAGAGATGGGGTTTCACCATATTGGCCAGGCTGGTCTTGAACTCCTGGCTTCAGGTGATCTGCCCACCTCGGCCTCCCAAAGTGCTGGGATTACAGGCGTGAGCCACCGCACCCGGCCATTTTTCTCTGTTTGAAAACAACATCCCAGGAATTAGAGCCACACCATAGTTGACTTTTTACTTCTAAGCAAAACTTAGTAATTTCTTATAAGCCTTTAAAGTACATTGCAGAAGTCCATTTTCCTTCCTAGGATCTTGTGACCTTACTGGGCTCCTAGTAATGGACACTAAAACAGTGGGGACTTGTGGGTGAATGGTGGTGGCAAAGCACGAAATAAAAATTTCTAAGACTAGCTCTCTTCCAGATCAAATCATTCTCTTCAGTAACTTATTACTCGGAAGAGATAATATGATGACTATGGAAACACAGAGATGGCTCCTTTATTCAACAAAACTACATATTTACTTTGAGTCCACTACTGTGATTAGCACTGAGATTACCAGGACATGAGTCCTTTCTTTGAGAAGCTCACTGTCCATTCCAACTTCCTAATTTACAGCTGACAAAAACTCAAGTCCAGATAGGTAATGGGATTAGTTCAAGATGACACCGCCAATTAACAATAGAACCGTAACTCTAACATAGGCCTCCTCAGTTCAGGGAGATGAAAGTGGCACATGAGCTCATTCTCTTCTTCATGGACTCACACAAACTAGAAATACACAATTGGCCACATTGCTACCAAATGGTACCAGTGTAGAAAATTTCCACATTATACAGGTTGGCAGAACCAGGAAGATGGTTCACATATTCTAATTTAACTAATAAATCAATGAATAAATAAATAACATCACACAGAAAAAAATACATATGCTTATTTTTTTGTAATAAACCAGAAACTAATAAAAAAGTTACTGATTTTCATTTTTAAATCATATGTTTTACAATATTCAGAAGTAAAATTAAAAGGTTTTAAAACTGAAATTTGAATACAAACAAAAAATGAACCTACATAGTAAATCAATACAAAACACACAAAAAATTACTTTATATAGCTTCTGAACACAATACTCTGACTATAGACCCTTAGGATATATAACAAGAACAAATAAAACTGTAGAGAAATCATAAATTTTACTTAGAAAGGTTGTTAGTACAGATATTGATTTAGTGATTCTGACATTATTTTGTGTGTATTTTAGAAGACAAGGGTTTTCATTGAGGGTGAAGGCAGATACAAATATAGAATTGGGAAGATAAAGAACCCAGTGATGTTGGATTTCAACCAATCAAATATATCTGTATGAACTCATGACATATATAATTTCCTTGTTCTGTTCACTGAAAGGGCCTAGAAGCCGTTACACCCCAATAGCAATGAGTACATCCATCTCCCATATCTGGATACCATTCCCCACTAAAAGGAACCAGGATTCTTGGGAGAAATGGTTGGTTCCAGGTCCAGGGCAGGAAGAATGCAAGCTAAACCTGGAACATCTTATCCTCTTGGCCCAGAAAGCAAGGAAATCCTCAAAGACTGATGGAGCCATGTCAAAAGAACATAGGAGGTGGCTTAAAGGGGCTCTCACCAGCCAAATCTGAGATAATTTGAACATAAAAAGGAAAAATGATAATAATGGCTACTGAATTAGAACAGTAAATCTTTTAGAAATACATGAGTCTGAAGCATTAATTTTTAAAAGAAGAGAAAGGATCAACAATAGATGCTAAAAGCACTGGGTAACAATTCATGGGGAAATGGGATATACACATGGTCTCAAATTATCACCCCCTATTTTGCATTAATTACAAAAGGGAGGAAAGTAGCTTTACAAGGAAGAAATCTGACAAATATCATCTTAACCAAAAGATCAAACTTAGTATCAACAATAATGGTACAAGTGACGTCATATGCCCCTGATATGGGAAGGACAGACTTTATATTGTAGGTCTTGACAAAGCATTTATTTATAACTATTTATTTATTGTTGCCAAAATATTTAACCCAAATCTAAGCACAACAAAGTAGTTGGGCAAAACTCAGATTGTGGGACATTCAACAAAACAAACAGCCTGGTCCCTTTAAAAATCAATGTCATGAAAGACAAAAAGAGGCCAGGGGCAGGGGAGGGGGGGAGGTGTTGCTGTTCTACACTAAAAAAGACTAAAGAGACATGAAAACAAAAATGGAGTCTGCATTTAAAATAGCTTTAAAAGATACTATTGGGCTAATTGGGAAACTTTTAATACAGACAATATATTAGATAATATCATGATAATGTTATTGTGGTTAAGTAGTCAGGTATCCTTATTCTTAGGAGGTCACTGCTGAAGTTCTAAAAGTTCACTGAGCAAAAAGTCTCTGTGTATGTGGTTGGAAGGAGAGAGAAAACTAATGGTGCAAAATATTATTCTGCAAATGAGGATCCAGACAGTAAAGGGCAAGACAGCACAGATGTTAGGCTTTTGGTCACATATTCTTTTGTTACATATTCTTTGCATTTTTTATTTTTAAAATACCGCTTAAAAACATAAAAACTATTCTTAGCTCGAGAGCCACACAAAAACAGGCAAGATTTCCATTTGGGGTAACAAAAATGTTCTAAAATTGATTGTGGTGATGGCTGCACAACTCTGTGACTATATTAAAAGCCACTGAATTGTATACTTTAAATATGTGAATTGTATGGTATGTGAACTGTATCTCAATAAAACTTTTTGTCAAAAACTGGTTGTGAGAGGGCCATAGTTTGCTGACCCCAATCTACCACTCAGTAGTAGAAAACTAATTAACAAACTAAACAAAAAAAAATACTGAAGAGAATTTTCCATTCCCATTTTACAGGAACTAAATCAGGATTGTTTACTCAAAAAAAAATTGCCAATGATTGTACAGCTAAGACAATCTGACACATTCACCATATTATTTTAAATTTCAATTAGACAAAGCAAGCTGATTACTCTAGTTCTAAACCTTGTTATTGTGCTATACAATTAGCAAAGAGCTAAAATTCTAAGTATATAACTTCAGTAGGAATTAAAAAAGATCAATTACTGTTGCAGCCCTCAAAATCAGCAAGTTTTAAATGACCACGGGATTGAAAACTTCAAAATAAGTAAAGACCACACTACTTGAATAACAGAGACATGAAACTTCATTTCCTGATGTTGTTTCTGCTTTTTATGTTTAATTTTCCACAAAACCATACTTCTCTTCATCTTAGAACATATTCCGTATCTAAAAACAATGGTAGTTAGGTCCTTCTCTCAAAGGTAAACTATCAGAGTATCAAGTCATCTCTAATTTTAGAGAATTCTTTAAATCTCAAAACAACACCCTGGAAAACAAAAGGTAGGTACCTTTCTCATCAGCATCAAGGGCATCATCTTCAAGGTCATCATCAAAAATCTCTCGGCCATCTTCCACATAGCCAATACCATCTGCAGGGACAAAATTTAATACTGGGATCAAATTTCTAAAAGTGGCCAATAATATTTTAGCCATGACCAAAAAAACCTTTTATACCTGCTCAGATGTTTTCCTGGCCTGTGCTATTTTTAAGTGCAGCAGAATTCTGTTCACACAGGTGTCAGACAATGCACAGCATCCACACAGCAGGTGTGGAGTCAAAACCAAATGATATATATTATACCTAGTCAGGTGACCTCAGGAAACGATTTGGCCCAAAGGATCAAAGTCTGCCACAATAGGATGCTTTATAGCAGTTTTACTCTACCAGAAGAATAAAAAGTAAAAGAATCAAGATTACCACAAGCCCAGAGAGATATCCCAGTCTACAAGGGAAAACTGGCAATATAGCTGAATCCAACTACACAAGTAGAAACATAAATAGTCACAGGCACAATCTACATGCTCCCTGTGGTCAGCATTCACATGGCCATGAAGTCAGACCCTACAAGTGAGAACCAATGAGCTTTCAGAAGGGGCACAGGACATTAGGACCAGCCTTTGTATGGTGCTTTCTACTGACCAAGTTAATTTTCATACCTAGAACCTCATATACACCTCACAACTCTGGGAGAAGGTAGTTTTCTCATCCCCATATTACAGATGAAGACTCTAAGGCGCAGAGAGATTAAGTGACTTGTCCAAGGTCATAGAATTGGAAAGTAGGAATGATGGATCCCGAACCTGCATTCCTTAATTCCAAGCGCTGTGCATTGGCCCCACAGACAAGGGGCTCCTCCCAATTCTTACACAGCCATTACCTGGAGGATTTATACTACATCCTGAGGTATGTGCCTAGATTCTCCAAAATATCCCCAAATAAATGTCCTGCTATTCTGCTTCCTCATCCTCAAATAATTAAAGGAAAATCCAAACCAAAGGTAAGATCCTAACAGTGCCTTACATTTGCCCAGGCAAAGCAGCAACTCCACCACATGAGTGAGAATCTACAAGAAGCAACTAACACAGTGCCTAGGAAGCAACATCCCCGCCCCCACCTCCGCCCCACCTACCATCATCCACAATCCAGTCATCATCCTGGCGTGCCTGAACCAGCTTCGAATACTGTTCTTCATCAACTTCTTCATAAACACCTGTGAAGTCCTCGACCTACCATTATACAAGTTTCAGGAAAAAAGCTTCAAATAGAGGAGTCAAAGTGTTAAATAATTCTGATGAAAAAATTGTCAAATTGAAACTGGAATGGCAGACTGAAGGAGTAGCTGCAACCAAATCATGAGTTCTGACATTCAACACCACTACAGGGTTTTCCTTAAATAGACATCAATTAACTTAGTATTCCTTTTAGGTGGGTGTTAACATAAGATATTAAATGATTCCATTAGCATAATACACTTGTCATACCATCAATTACTCATCTATTTCATAAAAAACAAACTGAATTATAGCCAATTCTTCATTAGCTGCTTTGGGGAATTATTCACTTGTAATTTCTAGACTGGTTTCTCCTACACTTAGCAAACCTGTAAGGCATGCCACTTCCCTCTCCACTAGCTGATGTACGCTCTGCAAATAGACGATAATTTTCATGCCTGTTCAATCAACCAAATACAATTCAGAAGGAAAATCTCCCTCATCCATCCCCTTCCAAAAATTAGCAAAACAAACATATTGCATATTCTACAGGCAAACCAGAAATAGTTTTTGAGTGACCCTGTTTGTATTACCACTGAAACTCCACCATCCTCAGGTCTTGAAACCACACAAGGACTTAAACGCTGAGCTATTTGAAAGGCAAGTCCAGAGAGTGGCAGGTCCTCCAATCATATTGGCTGCCTGACTGCAAGAGGGTCAGAACACTATGAGCTACTGGTATGAGTAAAGCAGACAACCTCTGCACAGCTAAAGCAACAAATGAAAGATACACACCACTGCTGCAGCTGCCCATGGGGAAAGGCCAGTGACTTTCCAGATGAGACTCTGGTGGGCTGGTTTGCAAAATCTCATAGATACTTATTAAAAATTAACAAATGCTGGGCACAGTGGCTCACGCCTGTAATCCCAGCACTTTGGGAGGCCCAGGTGGGTGGATCACCTGAGGTCAGGAGTTTGAGGCCAGCCTGGCCAACATAGTGAAACCCCATCTCTACTAAAAATACAAAAATTAGCCAGGCGTGGTGGCATATGCCTGCAGTCCCAGCTACTCAGGAGGCTGAGGCAGGAGAATCACTTGAACCCGGGAGGTGGAGGTTGCAGTGATGCAGTGAGCCGAGATCATGCACTGCACTCCAGCCTGGGTAAGAGACCGAGTCTCCATCTCAAAAAAAAAAAAAGTACCTGATTCTCGGCCAGGTGCAGTGGCTCACGCCTGTAATCCCAGCACTTTGGGAGGCCAAGGTGAGCAGATTACTTGAGGTGAGGAGTTCAAGACCAGCCTGGCCAACGTGGTGAAACCCCATCTCTACTAAAAATACAAAAATTAGCTGGGCATGGTGGGGGGCGCCTGTAATCCCAGCTACTCAGGAGGCTGAAGCAGGAGAATCGCTTGAACCTGGGAGGTGGAGGTTGCAGTGAGCCAAGAACACACCACTGCACTCCAGCCTGGGAGAGAGAGCGAGATTAAAAAAAAAAAAAATTCTCCCATTCTCTCAAGAGTTCTACCTCAGCCGGGTGTGGTGGCTCACGCCTGTAATCCCAGCACTTTGGGAGGCCAAGGCAGGTGGATCACCTGAAGTCAGGAGTTCCAGGCCAGCCTGACCGACATGGTGAAACCCCGTCTCTACTAAAATTATAAAAATTAGCCAGGCGTGGTGGCAGACACCTGTAATCCCAGCTACTTGGGAGGCTGAAGCAGGACAATCGCTTGAACCTGGGAAGCTGAGGTTGCAGTGAGCCAAGATCATGCCATCGCACTCCAGCCTGAGCAACAAGAGCAAAACTCCACCTCAAAAAAAAAAAAAAAAAAGAGTTCTACCTTTCTCAAATGGAGTACGGGAGAAACAACTCCATCTGAAGAGTTAATACCCTAGGAAAAAACTTGGACAGAGCTTTTGGAATCCAGTGGCCAGAGCTGACTGGATTTCTGCCACACCTATAAGGCTTATAATAATTACGGGATTTGAGTTTTCACCTCCTTTTTAGCCTACTCTACAGGAATCACTGGCAAATACTGATTTGGTCTTTAACCATCTAGTAACAGAAACAACCTGCCTTACCAAATTAAGCTTTTAACAAAAGAGATGCAAAATAGTCCAATTAATATTACTATACTGACCAACTTTCTTTTTTGGGGGTGGGAGGGGAACTGGCGTTATTATTTTTGTTGGTTGAAGACAGACTTTGTCTCTTACTTAAGTGATTCACTATATTATCAAGGAGATACCAGAAAACTATTTTTAAAAATCATTTTGAGTAAAAAGTCATTTCGACTCAATCTTTAAAAACAACATTACTACTGCTCAGCATGAACTCTTAGAGCCATACAATTAACATCACAGTGTTAAAGGGAAATCAGCCACATTGTGCCAACATCTGAAATGCCCCATGGAACTCCTTTATACAAGTACCTACATTAAAAATGTTTTAGTCCTGGGCTCAGTGTGGTGGTTCACGCCTGTAATCCCAGCACTTTGGGAGGCCGAGGCGGGTGGACCATTTGAAGTCAAGAGTTCAAGACCAGCCTGACCAACATGGTGAAAGCCCGTCTCTACTAAAAATACAAAAATTAGCCAGGCGTGGTGGTGGGCGCCTGTAATCCCAGCTACTCGGGAAGCTGAAGCAGGAGAATCGCTTGAACCTGGGAGGTGGAAGCTGCAGTGAACCAAGATCGTGCCATTGCACTCCGGCCTGGGCAACAGAGAGAGACTCCATCTCAAAAACAAAAAAAATGCTTTATTCCTGTTTTACTGAAATCCTTTTAGCAACCTTTTATGATCTGGTTGCCTCACTTAACTTGAACAAATGGTGACAAATGGCAAATATTCTTTTATTTGGTTAACTGGTTAAACAGAAATATTCTGAAGCCAGACTGTCTGGGTTCAAAAAAGAATCTGCCATTGTAACCTCACTAAACTTTCTGTGCCTCGGATATCTCACCTGCAAAATGTTATTAATCATAGTATCTAATTTCATTTGGTTATTGAAAAGATTAAATGAATAAACACATTGGTAAACACACTTAGAATAATATGTTAGTTCAAAAAGTCTATCAGTTATGGTTGTTATTTTCTAGTATTGGTTAATCACTTTCTGGCCATAAGGCAATTAAGATACTCAGGAAGCCCTGAAGGTGATGCTAGACAATATTTATGCAGATGGTGGCCACTCTGTTTTTGACCTGCAGGCCATAAACAGTGGGTAGAGGAAAACCAAAAGAGCATCACATTCAATCTTACAAGCAGAACACGGCAGAAGTTAAGGTCCAAGTCTCCACTGCCACTACCCTTGCAAATGAGATTAGGAAGAACAGTTCTCTCCAAGAAGTAGCACTTAGACTGCTCAATACCTTAAGAGTAAGTAAAAGCATCTCTAAATGACCCCAACAAACCCATGGGACTTACCATAGATACAGCATGCTCAATAAGGAAAAATATAGATATGACTATGTACTTTCATTTTGGAATTTTAAAATCATCTTTAAAATACCTTATAGGAACTTTAAGGGTCGAACATTCTCCATGATCTGTAAATCTACCTCATACCCATGCTTGTCCAATACTAATAAATTCCCATTACAAAAAGTTTAAAATATATGAGTATTTCTAATCTGGGGCAAAGGTGACATAAGACTACCTGCAGGCTATGAATTAGATGATGCACAGGAAGAATAAAGAAGAAAAATGGTTACTTACTTCATATTTATACTTCTCACCAGCTTTAGCCTTTTTCAGTCTTTCTAGGGCTTCTTGGCGCCCCTTCTTTGATTTTTTTTCTCGCCGGGCTCGAGAAGATACAAAACTCCCTGAATCTGACAGAGCTGAAAAAAGAAAAAAAATTTACAACAGATGTTACAAAATTGTCAGCCATCTTCCCTCAAACACAAAGGAAAAGTTTCTAGCCAACAATAACATACAATTTTAGTAATATACAAGTAGATAATGTTTATAATGTAAATAATTCACAAAGCTCATGGCCAAACATACATATCCAAATATACATGACTCGCCAGAAAGTTCCTCCAAGATCCTGTTAAAACAATTAAAGTCACTGTTATTTTTTTCTCTAAAAAGAGGAAAATTCCCAATTCAACTGATATCCTGCGGAGACACTAAACAAGGGAGATCAGCTGTTAGCTAATTTATCACCTTTCCATTAGAAATGACCAGCCAGAAGTAATCCAGTGGGTTATAAAAGCACTATTCATTTTGCAATCTGTCAATCAATATCTAAAAGGCTTCAAGGAGCATCTACTCTTTGCAAAGTACTAGGCACTATGAGACACAAAGACAGGCTGGGCGTGGTGGCTCACACCTGTAATCCCAGCACTTTGGGAGGCTGAGGCAGGCAGATCACCCGAGGTCAGGAGTTCGAGACCAGCCTGGCCAACATGGTGAAACCCCATCTCTACTAAAAATACAAAATTAGCCAGGCATGATGGTGCATGCCTGTAACCCCAGCTACTTGGGAGGCTGAGGCAGGAGAAACACTTGAACCCGGGAGGCGGAGGCTGCAGCGAGCTGAGATCGCACCATTGCACTCCAGCCTGGGCAAAAAGAGAGAAACTCCATCTCAAAAAACAAAAAACAAAAACAAAAAACAACAACAACAAAAAAAGATAAAAAAGACATGGTCTCTGTACTCACAGAACTTACTATCTAACATGGGAGACAAGTAGCAACTGGCTCTAAACAATATTTAGAGATAATAAATGCCTTAAAAGAGATTCAGCCAAAGCACCCGGAAATTCAAAGAAGGAACAGATTGAGGGCTGGAGAAATTTAACAAAGATGGCTCTGAGGGGATTATTGGTATATCACTTATTTCAAGGCCTCAGTTGGTTATGACACAGGACATTACTAAAACAACTACAGGGACTTAAATGGTTTGTCAAAAATTACTGAAATATCAGAGGACTTCAGCGTTTATTCATTCAACTTTTGAATTATTCATGCTCCGATCATCATAAACTGACCGTTCCACACACACACTGAAAAAAATTCAAGCGGATGCAGTGGCTCACGCCTGTAATCCCAGCACTTTGGGAGGCTGAGGTGGGTGGATCACCTGAGGTCAGGAGTTTGAGACCAGCCTGACCAACATGGTGAAACCCCAACTCTACTAAAAATACAAAAATTAGCTGGGTGTGATGGCAGGCACCTGTAATCCCAACTGCTTAGGAGGCTGAGGCAGGAGAATCCCTTAAACCCAGGAGATGGAGGTTGCAGTGAGCCGAGATTGCACCACTGCACTCCAGCCTGGGTGACAGAGCGAGACTCTATCTCAAAAAAAAAAAAAAAAATTCATCCACAGAATTAAAGACTTTCACATACCCACTGATGAAAAACTAAGTCAAGCATAACAGTGCTGCCTGTCAACTACGAGTTTAGGCTCAGCATGATTGCCATCTATGTCTGTGAAATCTAGTATTTTACTGTGTTTGGTGCTAATTAATTTATAAAAAGGAGCAGGCAAAGAAAAGAAGTATGGATAAGAGGCAGCCTAAAACTCCAACCCCACTAGAATGTTCATAACAACATTAAGCTGCTTGACTAAGTGTTTGACTGAAATAGAAGATACAATTTAAAGAACATGTACCAAATGCTGGCAATAAACTGCTGGAAACTATAGCCTAAAGGTAAGGCATAATTAGAGATCTTATTTTTTTCTAGCTTTCTAGAAATGGAATCTCTCTTTATAATATCACACTCTATTGTTTGACTTTCACATTTGACTTTTAAATCCATTTTCAGAAAGACATTAAGTAAAAATTAAGGAATAAAGGTACTTAATGATGACAGCCACAAAAACTTGGATGTCACTCAAATGATTTCAAAAATCGTGAACAGGCCTACATGAAAAGGCTTTGAAGATTACTGAACATGACCCCTGAAAGTGAAAAGCGATTCCCCTCAAGACTCCCTTGATGCCTGACATCTGTAGGTCTTCAAATGCACTTACTCCATAGGCAACAATGTTCCACTACACAGGCAACAATGTTCCACTACACAGGCAACGTCCCACTACACAGGCAACAATGTTCCACTACACAGGGTTTAGGGTACAATCACAAATAAGACAGAGCTGCCTGTCCAAAAGAGGCCCCCAGTCAAGTAAAGCAAAGTACCTGAAATTACCATCACAATATAAACATGGTGCCATAGAAAAGGTAAGAACTCAGTACTGAGGAAATGTACAGAGGAGAGAGCTGTTAATTTTGCCTGGAAAATCAAGGAAGGCTTCACAGGAGAGGTTTCCAATACAGGCCTAGAAAAAGGAGTCAAATTTCACAGAGAACAAAGTAAAAAGTGGCACAAGCAAAAGAAGAGGCATGAGCCAAATTACAAAGGGATGAAAATGCATAGTGTATTCAGAAACTGAGAGAACTCAGTGTGCAAGGTAAATTCGACAAGGGAGTGTAGAGTGAGTAGGAGAACCAGGTTAGGGAGAAGCAGCACATTCCAGCTCTGCCATTTACTGGGTGACATGAGAACACCGGTTAACCAGTTAAGCAGCAGACAGGTGTCTTGTTATTTAAAGCAGCCTAGCATCTGAAACTGTTTGTGAAATCCGGCCCCCATCCCTTATAAGTCTTGATGAGACGCAGAGCCTATGCCCCATTACAGAAGCTGAAAAGGTTGATGCTCTTTCCCAGACACCCTTGCAGCCTAGAGCATGGGCATATAAAATAGGCGCTACCGATTAGGAACACCTGCTCAGACATTAAATCAGAAGCTAGTGTCACAAGGAAGGGGGCATGGGTTTTAAAAGATTCTACAAGTAGCAACAGCTGCAGAAGGATTACAAAACCGGCAACAATGTCAGCAATGTCCTAAGGTATGAGCTATAGCATCAAGTACTTGCTCGTGGTTGGCAATGACCTCCTCACTGGCCCATTTTTGTGGCACAATTTCACTCACTGTTCCTGGCTAAACAGCTCCCAGACTGGCTTACTAGTCCTCCTGGAGTTTCTGTGAACACAATATTCTTCTAACAAATTCTAACCAATCTGGTAGAGTTGGTTCCTGCAGCTTACAGATAGGGGCTCTGACTGATGCAGAGCCTCAGGGTCCACATCTGTGAAATGGGGATAATCATGTCTGCTTCAAAATCTGTTAAGGATTACATGAAGATGCCTATCTTACTTTGCACTTAGCAATATAGGAGCGGCTCATGTAACGCTTCCGCGTGTGAAGTCAAACACACATCCACATACCCCACACACACCATACCTAAGAGTACCAAGGTCTAGCTTTAGAAGGCAAAAACAAAGCAAAGCCGTTTTCTGCATATGATTAGATGTTTACCATCTGTACTTCATGAAGACAAACCATGTCCAGCCTACCCACCATCATAATGCCAGAGCCTGGCAGAAGGCTTATACCTAGTAGGTATATAATAAATATTTGCTGAATGAACCAATGAATGAACCACTGTACCTGCTTTTTTGATCATTAAACTTTCCCTGGCCGGGCGCAGTGGCTCATGCCTGTAATCTCATCACTTTGGGAGGAAGAGACAGGTGGATCACCTGACATCAGGAGTTCAAGACCAGCCTGGCCAACATGGTGAAACCCTGTCTCTACTGAAAATACAAAAAATTAGCCGGTGTGGTGGTGGGCACCTGTAATCCCAGCAACTCGGGAGGCTGAGGCAGAACTGCTTGAACCCAGGAGGCAGAGGTTGCAGCCAGCTGAGATCACGTCACTGCACTCCAGTCTGGGCAACAAGAGGGAAGCTTTGTCTCAAAAATAAATAAATAAATAAAAATTCCCTGATCTTTTTTCATATATAGTAACAGCTAGTTACAGACCTTTCAACTTTTCACTGCCATTATCAAGGTGCCCTGCCTGCTAATACTGAAGAAAAAAAAAAGCCTACATTTTGTTTTTTGGAGTATGTCTCCAATGCTTCACGTAGGTAACTTAGCAAAAAAAGAATAAGCATGAAAAAAATCCAGCTACAAAGGTTTAAATATTTGTTTCAAAATTACCATCTGGAGTATCTCTATCCTCCCCAAAAGCAGACAGACACTAGCTTACAGCAGTCTTTCAGGTAACAATCCTTCAGTCTGCTCTAAAGGAAAAATTCCAGTCACAAGTCCCCAGCAACTACTTAATGAACACCATGACCTAAGAGGAGTCTCAAGATTGCACAGTATCCTCCAAAGTGATTTCCTGATGTTCATAGATGACGTAGTTTTTAGGATGAAGAAAGGGCTTAGTGGCAAATCACTGATAGAGGCCTGCAAAGACTGTTCGTTCACATACTTACACCCAACATCCTATCTGTAATCCAGGCAGGTCGACTCTCCAAAATAGTCTTAAAAAACGAACGGCTAGAACAAATTGAAATCTGTGACTCACAACTAGGTGAATGCAAAGGAAGCTGATTAGGAAGCGAGTTCTCATTAATGGTGATGTATCTGAATGACAGGAGAGGTGACGCTTGAGCTAACAAAGTGAAGCATCTGATTTTAAGTTAGAAGTTAACTGAAGTCACGCTTTAGTTGAACACTTAAAAAATCAGACAAATCTATTTGCATTTTTGTATTCTATTTTTGGAAATAAAAGACACCCCTGACAAACGGAGTGATATACAGGGGATCCGAAATGCCCTAAATTGATGCCATTTTTTTGAAACTTCACCAGGAATGACTAGATTGTGAACAGGATTTCTACGCAGCACTTGAAGAACTTTCCAAAGAATCTGAAAGAAAAATTGTTAATGCATAAAGTAGAAACCCATTACCTAAAAATACAAAACGCGTTATTCCCCGATGACAGCACTTAGAGCTTTCTTTCCTGCTTAGTTACAATGTATAAAATTTTCCTGGAAGTTCCTACAAAAAGGGACACAGATCTGTTCTGTTCAAGCCTTCAAGTGGATACTTAGGGAGATCGCAGTGAAATACTTTCGGCCCCACGGGGCCAGTCTCAATAAAGTTATACCCAGCACGTGGGTGCAACTCACCAAAAGAAATAGAAACGCAATCGACTGTGGAGACTCTCAGTGGCAGAGGTGAGACAGCCTCCCAAACAAAAATCCCTCCAGGCTCTGGTCCTCCAAGAGCAAACCGCGCCTAAAGGAAGCCCGGTCCGACGCCAGAAGGGCCCCCGCCGGGGACGACCAAGGTCTGCGCCCAAACAAACCCGGGTGTGCGCCTCCCTCAGAACCCCCACCACCGGCAATCATGCCACTGTCCCAACCCGGAGCCCCGCGCGCGGAATTGTCCCTCACCACTCGCCCCTATCTCACAGTCGTCGCCGTGCACAGGTGCCATGGTCCCGAATCTCCCGATTCCGCGCCAACCAGCCCAAAACTGGCGCGGGGGCCGAGACAGGCGCCAGCCTGAAAGCCAATCAGCGGCTCGGGAGGCTGCGGACTTCCGGCCGGAAGGCCACTGACGTGCCGCGCCGCGCCGCGCTCCGCCCCCGGCCTTCCCGCGGACGCGCGTTTGGCGCCCTGTGATGACCCCTTAGGGAAAAGCTAGAGCTGAGGGGAAGCCGGAGGAGAGCAGGAGAAAGAAGCGGTCGGGCGCTGGAAAGGAGCCGCCTGGAGACTGCGCAAGCGCACGCATGCTGATGGGAAAAGATTTGGGCGCGTGGGAGAAAGGGCGCTCTGGTTCTCAGAGCCCATTTTCCCGGAAAGGAGGCGCGGGCGGGCAGGAGAGTGGGCGTGGTTGGATCGTTTTCCCCAGAGCCGGGAAAGCGACTGCCTCCTGCTGCGCGCCCTGAATTTTGCCTGATAGTTTGCTTCTCAGCAGTCTGGATACAGTGGCTGTGTGATTAACAACTTAAAGATATATGCTCCGTCTTAACCAAATAACCAGAAGTAGCATTACCAATAAATGGCCATCTGATCTCATATGCCTCCTGATGTAATGCGTATGAAAAAGGAAAAACTTCGCCTATATGGTCTTCTTGCAAAAAATGTCTAACCTGAATCTAACCATGAAGAAACAATCAGATGTATTCAAAATGTAGGACAATCTACAAAACACCTGACGTGAACTCCAAAATTTCAATGTTATGAAAAACAAAAAGGGTATTCAATTTTTGTGTATGATACAATGGCTGTAATGTGTACATCTCATGTTATCTCTTTCCAAAAAGGTATAACATTTTTATTAAATAATGCCTGCCACACATTTGTATTTTTTCCTACATTATTGCCCACATGCTTATTGATCCCTTCTTCATGTGACAACAATTTTGTAATATTTTCTCCAAAGAGGATATAAAGATAATTCAATCTGTCTTCTAGCATGGTTGATCAATACTTGTTTCTTAATTTCTGATTGTTTAGAAAATGTCTTTCAGCTTCATAATCATTTAATATCATGTTATGTGATCCATATGTTGTGATACATAACATGTAGTAATTTACACTTAGACATAACTTCCTATTTAAAGTACTACGACAGATTTATTCCTACACTTCCCTTTTAAAAACTGATGGAAGTTTTATAGTTTTATTATCAAGCTTTTTCCAACCAGGAGAGAACCATGTTGGCTAGTCATTAATAAGAACCAAATCCTTACCTTAACAATTTCACAGCTGATTACTTCCCACATGCCCGGGTATAACTCTAGGCATTTCAAACCTCTTTTCTCTTTCACTACTGCTGTGGTCTGAATGTTTCTCTCCACATAAAATGTATGCGTTGAAACCTAATCACCAGTGTGGTGGTGTTAGGAGGTAGGGCCTCTGGGAGGTGATTAGGTCATCAGCAGGAACCCTCCCTCATGAATAGGATTAGTGCCCTCGGAAAAGAGGCTCCAGAGAGCTGCCTTGCCCCTTCTTCCATGTGAGAACAGAGCAATAAGGCACCATCTATGGACCAAAAAGTGGGCCTACCCCAAACACTGAATCTGCCGGCACCTTGATCTTGGAATTCCCAGCCTACAGCACTGTGAAAAATAAATTCCTGTTGTTTATTAGCCACCCAGTTTGTGGTATTTTGTTATAGCAGCCTGAACAGACTGAGACAATGACCCACATACTTTGTGGGAAAAGACCTGTAGGACACTTTCTCTTTTTGAGATGGAGTCTCGCTCTGTCATCCAGGCTGGAATGCAGTGGCACCATCTCGGCTCACTGCAACCTCCACCTCCCAGGTTCAAGCGACTCTACTGCCTCAGCCTCCCGAGTAGCTGGGATTACAGGCGCCCGCCACCACACCTGGCTAATTTTTGTATTTTTAGTAGAGATGGGGTTTCACCATGTTGTCCAGGCTGGTCTTGAACTCCTGACCTCAGGTGATCCACTCATCTCAGCCTCCCAAAGTGCTGGGATTACAGGTGTGAGCCACCATGCCAGGCCAGACACTTTCATACCATGATATGTCTTCTGGCCCTACACTTTCAGTTCAAAACTCCTGGTAAGTCATCACACTGGGGTAGAAATATTCCTGGAAGCTATTCCTACACCAAGAAGTCTATGAATAACAGCCCGGCGCTGTGGCTCACGCCAGTAATCCCAGCACTTTGGCAGGCCGAAGCTGACAGATCATGAGGTCAGGAGTTCAAGACCAACCTGACCAATATGATGAAACCCCATCTCTACCAAAAATACAAAAATTAGCCGGGTGTGGTGACAGGCGCCTGTAGTCCCAGCTACTTGGGAGGCTGAGGCAGAAGAATAGCTTGAACCCGGGAGGCAGAGGTTGCAGTGAGCCGAGATTGTGCCAGTGCACTCCAGCCTGGGTGACAGAGTGAGACTCTGTCTCAAAAAAAAAAAAAAGTCTATCAATAACTTAAGTATATATGGCTTAAGTATATATGTGGGTTAAGTGCCTTCGACCCACATAAATAGAAGAAATAAGCCCAAACTAAATGCAATATCAACTCCATTTCCCCATAGTGGAATCCCAAAATGCCTATGCCTATTTCACTGCTACTATGCAAGAAGCGAAGTGTATCAGAGGGACAGTTGGAGGTTCTCAAGAGCTGATTGTTAAATATTCCAGTATTTTGTAATCTCCATGTTAAACTGTTGGTAGCTTGAAATCAGTCATGGTGGGAATATTTACACCCTGGAAATTGGCAAGTGGTACAAATCAGAGCTTTTTATTTTTTTAAGGTTTACCAGCAAACCACCAAGTGGAAAGTAGTCATATCTGATTGCAGCTAAAATATCTTACTTTTGTAGATCTACCATTTGATCCAGCAATCCCACTCCTGGGTATCTACCCAGAGGAAAAGAAGTCATTATACATGATAGATACTTGCACGCGCATGTTTACAGCAGCACAATTTATAATTGCAAATATATGGAACCAGCCCAAATGCCCATTAATCAACAAGTAGGTTAAAAAAAGTGAGATATGTGTATATATACATATGTGTGTGTGTATATATCTCACACACACACACACACACACACACACACACACACACACCATGGAATACTACTCAGCAGTAAAAAGGAATGAAATAAAGACATTCGCAGCAACCTGGATGGAATTGGAGACCATTATTCTAAGTGAAGTAACTCAGGAATGGAAAGCCAAACATTGTGTGTTACTCGTAAGTGGGAACTAAGCTACAAGTATCCGAAGGCATACGAATGATACAATGGACTCATTGTATCATAAGAATGATACAATGGGGACTCTGGGAAAGGTGAGAAGGAGGTGAGGGATAAAAGACTACACATTGGGTACAGTGTACACTGCTCAGGTGATAGGTGCAACAAAATCTCAGAAATCACCACTAAAGAACTCATTCACATAAACAATTAATTAAGTAATAATATTAATAAAAAGGATTGGGGTAGATTAGATGGGAATGAAGGAGGGAGCCAGGGTTGTTTTAGAATAAATGGAGCAAATAAATATGACAAATACTATCTTAAAATAAACAAATAAATAAAATGAAATATCTTACTTTTGCAAATGTTTACAAAAACATAAAACCATTGCTAGAACATCTCCCAGAGCCTTGCAAGTGGCCAATATGCAAATGAGAGGCCCTGGAGATTAAGTTTCAGCAGCTTTACTGTAAACCTACCTCTGTTATCTAATCATGCAAAAAAATCATAATTTGTCTTAAACTTCCTCTCTCCTGTCCAGGACCAGTTTTGCAAGTTTAAAGGTTTTTTTTTAACTTATAAACAAAGTAAAGCAAACTGAGACTGAGATACTATGTTCCACCATTTTCCCCCTTTTTATCTGTACATTTCTCTATATATAAATGTTATCCATTGCTGGTAAGCTTACAGTGTTGAGGCACAACTCATTTATTACAGGTGGCAGTGTAAGTTGGCACAATCTTTTGGAAAATAATATTGCAATATGTGACAAGTACCGTAAACATACTTGTATCTTTCAACCCTTTATTTCCACAGGTAAAAGTTTAATAAGAAATAATAGAAACAAAAAATGCAAAGACGTTAATGGCTGCTGTTTTCCATTAGCAAAAAGTTGGGACCTAAAAGTCCACATCATAACAAAGGTTTAATGTTGTGACATCAAAAAGATAAAATGATTAGAAAGACTCAAAATATGAAAAATGTTTATGATATTTCAGAAAGTGAAAACCACAGAGGGCAAAGTGATACATACCCACACTTATTTGCAATGATATATCAAACAGTTATTTACCTGAAAGCAATATGCAAAATGGAGTATATTTTGCCAGGATGATAGAATTATAGACTCTTTTTGTTTATAATTTGTCCTCTTTAATATTATATTGGAAGGATTAAAGACTCAGGTAGAGTCAGACTTAGGGTTTGATTCTTAGACTTCTACTTTTATGTGAATCACCACACTGTCTTCCACAATGGTGGAACTAATTTACAGCCATAAAAAAGAAACCAGGTGCAGTGGCTCACGCCTGTATTCCAAACACTTTGGGAGGCCACTCTGGGTGGGCAGATCACCTGAGGTCAGGAGTTCGAGATCAGCCTGGCCAACATGGCAAAACCCCATCTCTACTAAAAATACAAAAATTAGCCAGGCATGGTGGCGGGCACCTATAATCCTAGCTACTCAGGAGGCTGAACCAGGAGAGTCACTTCAACCCAGGAGGCAGAGGTTGCAGTGAGCCGAGATCGCACCACTGCACTCCAGCCTGGGCGACAGAGCACGACTCTGTCTCAAAAAAAAAAAAAAAAAAAAGAATGAGATCACGTCTGCAGCAACATGGATGGAGTTGGAAGCCATTATCCTAAGCGAACTAACATAGGAACAGAAAACCAAATACCACATGTTCTCACTTATAAGTGGGAGGTAAACATTGAGTACAAATGGACACAAAGAAGGGAACAACAGTTACTGGCACCAACTGAGGGTGGGGTGTGGTAGAGGGTGAGGATCAAAAACTACCTATGAAGTACTATGCTTATTACCTGGATGATGAAATAATCTGTACACCAAGCCCCCGTGACATGCTACTTACCCATATAACAAATCTGCACATGTACCTGAACCTAAAAGTTAAAAAAAAAAAAAAAAAGTATTCTGGTAGATCTGAAAGGGGACTCTTTTTTGCCTTTCTGCTTTTTCTCTTTTCTCTTTCTTCCTGCAACACAGATGTGATGGTTTAAGCTCCAGCAGCCGTCTTGTATCACGAGATAACTGTGGAAATGAAAGTCCCCACAGTGAGATGGTGGAACAGAATAAGAGCCTGGGTCCCTAACATCCATTAAGTCACCATACCATCCCTGAGCTGTCTACCCCCAGACTTCTACATGAGAGAAAAGTAAACATCTGTCATATTTAAAGCCACTGTTTTTTATTTTTTCTATTGTATTCAGTAGACCTAATTCTATAAATTATACTTTATTTATGAAGAAATGGAAACTCAAAAAGTAAGTAGCAGATGGAGATCAAGCCTCTTATTTGTCTAACTCCAAAGCAGGAACTTTTTTTTTCCATTGTCTGTCTCTGATGAATGAGTATTGTATCTTTTTTTTTTTTTTTTTTGAGACAGAGTCTTGCTCTGTTGCCCAGGCTGGAGTGCAGTGGTGCGATTTCGGCTCACTGCAGCCTCTGCCTCCCAGGTTCAAGCAATTCTCCTGTCTTAGCCTCCCAAGTAGGTGGGATTACAGGCGTGCACCACCATGCCTGGCTAATTTTTTTTGTATTTTTAGTAGAGATGGGGTTTCACCATGGTGGCGAGGCTGGTCTCGAACTCCTGACCTCAGATGATCCACCCGCCTCAGCCTCCCAAAGTGCTGGGATTACAGGCGTGAGCCACCACGCCTGACCTAAATGAGTATCTTCTCTCAATAGCAGTAACAGTTAAACACATGAAAACGTTGACGAAAATCATTCATTTAACAAATGTTTATTGAGTGCCTACTATTTTCTGGCACTATTCAAGGCCCTAGGGATAAGACAGTGAGCAAAAACAACTTCCCTTGCAATGATTTTCTACTCGTCAAGCAATCTTGCTTCTGGTAAACTAGATTTTTTTTCCCCTAAACTGGGGGAAAACCAGCCAACTGGATTATATTCTGGCACATCTGCCAGGTGTATTTCTCATGGCAAAGCAGTAAAGTAGCACTCTGGTTTCAATATCCATGTGCGTTTGTTAGCATGAATCTGGCCTTTGAGCCTGATTGTCTGTGGGTATGAAGATCGGCTTTGTGGCCATCCAAAGATTCTGAGCCCAACGAGGTAGTGTTGTTTATATGTAGCTGTGGAGAGAGGATTGTCTGCTAGCTGAAAAGAGGCCAGCAGTGAGAGGGCCTGGATATGCTCTCAGCATCCCACAAAGATTCTGGGTAATAAGAGAAGACACGCAACTCTCCTGAAACTCAAGAGACCATCTCTGGGTGTCCTAAGGAAATCCAGTCAATACCCACAACACTGAAGACAGGACCTTGGACCCTGGGACCGAGGAGGGTAACCCAAAGAAGCTTTCCCTAGAACCAGCCAGCACTTGGCACTCCCAGACCCCAATCTCACAGACACACCTTCCCTACTCAGGGGACCTCCTTATGAGGATTGACCTTCAAAAATACATCTCTGGGCTGTGCGTGGCAGCTCACATCTGTAATCCCAGCAATTTGAGAAGCCGAGGCCGGTGGATCACCTGAAGTCAGGAGTTTGAGACTAGCCTGGCCAACCTGGTGAAACCCTGTCTCTACTAAAAATACAAAAATTAGCTGAGCGTGGTGGCACACACCCCAGCTACTGGGGAGGCTGAGGCAGGAAAATTGCTTGAACCCAGGAGGTGGAGGTTGCAGTGAGCCGAGATCGCACCACTGTACTCCAGCCTGGGCGACAGAGCAAGACTCCATCTCAAAAATAATAAAAATAATAATAATACAAAAGATCCCACCCCTGTCATTAAGCATCTATCATCAATAGAAATCACAGTCTGACAGCATCTCTGTGGTTTGGATTTAGGGAATCAATTTTTGTTGTTTTGGAGACAACGCTCACTCCATCACCCAGACTGGACTGCAGTGATGCAATCATAGCGCACTACAGCCTCGACTTCCTGGGCTCAAGTGATCCTCCCACCTCAGCGTCCTGATTGACTAGAACCACAGGTGTGTGCCACCGTGCCTGGCTAATTTTTAAATTTTTCACAGAGATGGGGGCCTCACTTTTGTTGCCCAGGCTGGTCTCAAACTCCTGGCCTCAAGGAGTTTAATACTGAAACTGTTGGGATTACAGGCATGAGCCACTGCACCTGGCCAGAAAGTTATTTTAGTTCAAGCAGTCATCAATTGTTGCTTCATCATATTGCCCTCCTCGTTCCTTCAATAGTAAAGACAACTTATATTTCATTTCCCTTAGTCCCTAACTACTTATTGAATAATTCCTACCACTAAGACAAGTTTGCTCAATTAGTTATTAGTAGTTCAAGCACATTGAGAGTTTGTTTTACAATCGCCTGCTTTATTTATTTATTTATTTATTTTATTTTTTTAAGAGACAGAGTCTGCCTCTTGGTTACTCTATTGCCCAAGCTGGAGTGTAGCAGTACAATCATAACTCACTGCAGCCTCAAACTCCTGGATTCAACCAATTCTTTGACCACAGCCTCCCAAGTAGCTGGGACTACAGGAATGTGCCACTATGCCTGGCTAATTTTTAAATTTTTTATGGAGACGAGGTCTTGCTATGTTGCCCAGGCTAGTCTTGAACTCCTGGCCTAAAGTGATCCTCCCACCTCAGCCTCCCAAAAGACTGGGATTATAGGCATGAGCCACTATCCCTGGCATGTGCTTATTGGTCATTTGTAACTGCTTTTGCTTCACTGAGGTTATTCTCTCTCCTTCCTTTTGTTTCTTTTCATTTCTTTTCTTTCTTTTTCATGGAGTTTCACTCTTGTTGCCCAGGCTGGAGTGCAATGGTGCGATCTTGGCTCACTGCCACCTTTGCCTCCCAGGTTCAAGCGATTCCCCTGCCTCAGCCTCCCAAGTAGCTGGGATTACAAGTTTGTCTCACCATGCCCGGCTAATTTTGTATTTTTAGTAGAGGCAGGGTTTCACCATGTTGGCCAGGCTGGTCTCGAACTCCTGACCTCAGGTGATCCACCAGCCCCGGCCTCCCAAAGTGCTGGGATTACAGGCATAAGACACCATGCCCAGCCCTGTTCTATTTCTTTTTACCTCTCTTTTTCCACTTCTCTGGTTTTAATGGAGCAGTTTATATGACTCCATTTTATCTCATCTCTTAGCATATTATATATGCCTCTTTTTAGTTGCCCTGTGGTTTACAATATACATTTAAAAAATAATCTGAGTCCACTTCTAAATTAGCACCATAGTGCAGGTACCTTTTAACTGACTATTCCCAATTCCTCCCTCCCATCCCTTGTGACGTTACTGTCATTCATTTCACTTATCCATATGCCATATGCTATAATCAGCCAATACATTTTTACTATTTTGCTTTAAACAGTTATCTTTTAGGTCAATTAAGAATAAGAAAAATAGAAGATTTTATTTTACCTTCATTTATCTCTTCTCTGACGTGCTCCTTTTCTTTATGTAGATCCTAATTTCTGATTTATATCATTTTCCTTCTACCTAAAGAACTTCTTTAAACATTTGCGGAAGCCTGCTGGCAATGAATTCTCTCAGTTTTTGTTTGCCTGAGAAAAGTCTTTATTCCTCTTTCACTATTTTTTTGTGCTTTGGCCGCTTTATTTTTTAAGACCATACATATAATGAGAAGTTATTTCAAATCAGCATTTTAAAAGAAAAGAGTGACTGTATTGTAAACAGTATTTCATTTCCTACAGGAGATTAATCACTCAAAAATGGTAATTATCTAAAACACTGAAAAATTTAGCAATCGTTAAACAGGATTCAGTCTTTTGATATTAAATAGATGGACAGGATCTAAATAGCATTAGAAACAATGAAAAACTTTCATAGATGGCATAACGTTTTTTGTATTGATATTTCAAAATTCCACAAAAGATGATAAAAATGAAAACAACAAATTACACACAATTAAACTTGAAAAACATAAAAAGATTTATTACATATCCACAATAATGGGAATTAAAACAAAGATCGGTCTACATATTTTTCCACACAACATTCTTTGTTCTCTGGGCTTTATATGTCATCAAAATCAGAATAAGTGAAGTCAAGAATATTTCTGATCATTGCCAAGAATTGCTTTCAGATTTTCAATTCTCATCTTGCTTTTATTTTAAACAATTAAACAAGAATCTGTTATAGTTCTTAAATTCCACAAATTGCTTTTAAACACATCTTCCTCTTTCTCTTTGGAAGGATAATTTCCCTGGATATGGAATTCTAGGTTGGCAGGTTTTTTTCTTTCAACACTTTACAGATTTCACTCCACTGTCCTCTTGCTCGCCTAGTTTCTGATGAGAAGTCTACTAGAATTCTTATCCTCATTCTTCTATAAGTAAAGTTTTTCTTCATCCTCCAACTTCCTTCAAGATTTTCACTTTGTCTTGATTTTCTACAGTTGGAATATGATATCCCTGTTTTTTGTTTTGGTTTGGTTTTGGTATATATCCTGCTTGGTGTTCTCTGAGCTGCCTGGATCTGTGGTTTTGTGTCTATCATCTTAATGATATATTATTTGGAAAGTTCATGGCCATATCATTACTTCGAATATTTTTTTCTACCCTATTTTCTCTTTCTTCTACTGGTATTCCAATTATGCATATATTACACCTTTTGATAGTATCCTCCTGCTCCTTTCCCTGACTGCAGCACTTCCAATGCATTTTCTCAAGATGTTGCACCCTGTTGACTATGGTTATTTTCATTTTTCCTTAGGTGAGACAGGAAGACTGGAGAGGGCTGAAATTCCCTTCCCTCAAATAGAATAATGTTTCAGTATCTCCTTTTGACGAAGTCTTGCCCTCTGACAGTCTGACGGTCTTTCCCCCTGGAAGACTAGACTTTTTTTTTTTTTTGAGACAGAGTTTCACCCTTATTGCCCAGGCTGGAGTGCAGTGGCACCATCTCAGCTCACTGCAACCTCTGCCTCCTGGGTTCAAGCGATTCTCCTCCCTCAGTCTCCTGTGTAGCTGAAATTACAGGCACCCACCACTATGCCTGGCTAATTTTTTGTATTCTTAGTAGAGATGAGGTTTCACCATGTTGGCCAGATTGTTCTCAAACTCCTGACCTTAGGTGATCCACCTGCCTCAGCCTCCCAAAGTGCTGGGATTACAGGTGTGAGCCACCACGCCTGGCTGGAGAGTGGACTTTTGTGATGGAGAAGATTCTGGAAATGTTTCCCAATTGGCTACTCTTCCTCTTTTCCTGGCAGGTCCCCCTAGAAGATTGATACCATTTGGCTGTGTCCCCACCAAATCTCATCTTAAATTGTAGCTCCCATCATTCCAACGTGTTGTGAGAGGGACCTGGTGGGAGAGAATTGAATCGTGGGGGTGATTTCCCCCATACTGTTCTCATGGTAGTGAATAAGTCTCACAAGATCTGATGGTTTTATAAGGGGAAACCCCTTTTGCTTGGTTCTCATTCTCTCTTGCCTGCCACCACGTAAGATGTGACTTTGCTCCTCTGTCACCTTCTGCCATGATTGTGAGGCCTACCCAGCCATGTGAAACTATGAGTCAATTAAACCGCCTTCTTTTATAAATTACTCAGTCTCAGTTATGTCTTTATCAGCAGCGTGAGGACAGACTAATACGAAGATCTTCCTCAGATCCTCACAGTGAGAATCTGGTGGGCTTAAGCCCACCAAAATGTGCGGTCCCTCCCATGATACCAGCCTCTAGGAGTCTCTTACTCTCATGCTAATCCACATTCAGCCTCCAGCTATTAATCAAAGTTACCATCTAAGTGTCCGTACCAGTTTATGGCCCCAGCAGCTTCTGCTCCAGGTAGGCAGATCTGGACTGTGATTCTCTGTATATGCCTGTCTCTCTAGATTTGGGGATGGCAGTTTGCCCTGCTATCTCAGTTATCTTATGAGTCTAAGAAAAGTCATTAATTTTCATTCAGTTTGTCCATCTTTTTCTTGATATAAGGATGGTAGTGACAACTTCCAAACTCTTTACATGTGTGAGCTGGAACCAGAAATCTCTTGACCATCTCTTGTATATCTTCTTCTTCTTCTTCTTTTATTGGAGGGGAGGGAGCAAATAATTTTTAATTTTTTTTTTTGACAAATACACTTGAGAGTCATGCAATGCTACCAGAGCTGTATCTAATACTGGGGCACAATTCTGCACCCTCCTTCACAATCTGTCCTGTGATAGCAGAAATTTTTATCTTACCTTTATTATTTCCTATAACTTCCACATTATCTTCAAAATAAAGAAGCATTTCATCTTTTATCTGGTAAGACTTTCATTGTCAAATTACCACTGCTAGACCAGGCGCAGTGGCTCACGCCTGTAATCCCAGCACTTTGGGAGGCTGAGGTGGGTGGATCGCCTGAGGTCTGGAGTTCAAGGCCAGCCTAACCAATATGGTGAAACCCCGTCTCTACTAAAGTACAAAAGTTAGCTGGTCGTGGTGGTGGGCACCTGTGATCTCAGCTACTCAGGAGCCTGAAGCAGGAGAATCGCTTGAACCCAGGAGGCGGAGGTGGCAAGTGAGCTGAGATCGCACCATTGCACTCCAGCCTGGGCAACAAAAGTGAAATTCCATGACACACACAAAAAAAATTATCACTGCTGGGTGTACCTTCTTTCTAAGCTGTGGTTTGCCTTTCTTAACTGTAGCCATCACCACATCACCCACACCAGCAGCGGAGAGTCTGTTCAGCCATCCCTTGATTCCCTTCACTGAGAAAATACACAGATTTTTCAGCTCCTGTGTTGTCAGCACAGTTGATTCCACTCCTAACAGAAGACCCAGGGAAATCCAGAATTTCATACTGGAAGACCCATCACGTCCTCCCTTCAATATCTTAAAAGCTGGAAAAAGGCAGAAAGCTGTATACCTTTTTTGATGAAGTCTTTGTTCAAATATTTTGCCCCTTTAAAAAACTGAGTAACTTGTTTAATTATTAAATTGTGAACTTTTATACATCTGAAATAAAAATCCTGTAAAAATAAGTGTTTTGCAAATATTTTCTCCCAGTCTGTGGCTTACGCTTTTTATTTTCTTAACTGTGTCTTTGAAGAGTAAAAGTTTTTATTTTTGATGTAATTCAATGTACCCATTTTTTGTGGTTCATGTTTTTGTGTCCTATCTAAGAAATCTCTGCCTAACCCAAAGATTTTCTCCTGTTTTATACTAGATTTTTTATGGCTTTTACATTGAGGTCTATGATTCATTTCCATTTTTCTATATAATGTGAGATACAGTTCTTTTTTTTTCTTTTTTTTTTTTTTTTTTTTTTGCTTCTAGATATCCAATTGTTCTGGCATCTTTTTTATTTTTTAATTTTTATTGTGGTAAAATACATATGGCATAAAATTTATCATTGTAACTATTGTTAAGGATACAATTCAATTGCATTAAGTATATTCACAGTGTTGTGTGACCAATTTCCAGAACGCTTTTTTTTTTGAGACGGAGTCTCACACTGTCGCCCAGGCTGGAGTGCAGTGGCGAGATCTGGGCTCCCTGCAAGCTCCGCCTCCCGGGTTCACGCCGTTCTCCTGCCTCAGCCTCCCGAGTAGCTGGGACTACAGGCGCCCACCACCATGCCCGGCTAATTTTTTTGTTTTTTTAGTAGAGACGGGGTTTCACCGTGTTACCAGGATGGTCTGGATCGCCTGACCTCGTGATCCACCCGGCTCGGCCTCCCAAAGTGTTGGGATTACGGGCGTGAGCCACAGCGCCCGGCCCAGAACGCTTTTTATCTTACAAAACTCTATACCAGTTAAACAACAACTCCCCATTCCCCACTCTCTCTAGCCCCTGGCAATCATCTCTCTACTTTCTGTCTCTGTAAATTTTACTACTCCAGGTACTTCATATAAGTGGAGTCAAACTGTTTGTATTTTTGTTGTTGGCTTATTTCACTTAGCATAATATTCTCAAGGTTCATCTATGTTACAGCATGTGTCAGAATTTCTTTTCCTTTTTAAGGCCGAATAATATTCCATCGTATGTATATACCACATTTTGTTTATCCATTCATCCATCAATGGGTACTTGGGTTGTTTCTACTTCTTGGTTTTTATGAATAATGCTGCTATAAATGGTGCACTTTTTAAAAAGGCGATTGTTTTTATCATGGAAGTACCTTGGCATTTTATTGCAAATCAATCTACCACACACGTGGATCTATTTTCTGGATTTTCTATTCTGTTCCATTTACCTATCTGTCTATACTCATGGCAATATCACATTGTTTAAACTACTGAAGCCTTATAGAAGTCTTAAAATCAGGGAGTCTGAGTTCTCCAACACTGTTCTTCTTTTCGAAATTATTTTGGCCAATTTAAGTCTGCATTTTCATATAATTTTTATGATCAGTTAGTCAATTTCTACCAAAACTCTTGCGGGAATTTTGACTGGGATTACACTGAATCTATAGATGAATTTGAGGGATGTCTCAGTCCCGGCTGCTATAACAAAGTACCTTAGACTGGGTAATTTATAAATAACAGAAATTTATTGCTCACAGTTTGGGAGGCCAGGAAGTTTGAGATCAAGATGTCAGCAGATTTAGTGTCTGGTGGGGGCCTGTTTCTTATAGATGGCACTGGATGTCTAAGTGTGTTTCTCTTCTAATCACAAATTGATGCAGTTGCATTGTCCACAGTCATGAACATCTGGAGGTGAAGTTCTTAGAAATCCTTAACTTGCGGCCCCTCCAACACAACAATTTCTTCAGGATTCACATTTGAAGGTAAAGACTCTCTTTTGCCTTGGTAGATGGGAGAATGGAGAAGAGGAAAGGGGAAGGTGGGAAGATACAATGGGTTAGGCTCTCAGGTCAAGCACAGATATCTTGCATCATGCAAGGGTTGCTGGCAAATGGCAAAAAGTCACGAGAAAGATGTAAAAGCAACTACAAAATATATTATGCTCAGTTTTCTTCTAACTCAGTTTCACACCAAGCAGAAAGTGAGTTTTTCTATTAGTAAGAAAAATGTCTGCAAAGTGCCAGTGATCCATTAAAATAATTGTTGTGAGGTAGGGGAAAGAAAACAATGTCTGAGTCGCTTGGCTTATCACTCCAACAGCTCAGAGAAGTTTTGTTAATGGCCTAATGGATCAACAAACTTTAAAGACATTTATTTGCTTGGAACTGGGTTGTTTCACCAAGTTACTGCAAATAAAACTACTGTGTGTCTAAAAAGAAAACTAATAAATTCCGAACGTTGTTGTTCCCTACAATTTTTCAACGCATATATTTTTCTTTGACACTAGTTGTTCTCCAGATCCTATCTCTATCTTTAGCATTATTTATCTGCCAATAGTTCTTTCAGGAGTATCTCTTGTTGTGAAATCAGATTGTTTTTCTTTGCATTATTCTCCTATCCACTCAAAGCCATGTTGAAGAAGAAGAAAATAGGGCAATTTCAATGCCAAAATCATTTGTTCATTCACAAAATGTTTATTGAGCACTTAATATGTGCCAAGCACTGTTCTAGGCACTGGGGATATCAGCAGTGAGGCAAAGTCCCTGCCCTTACATTCTGTTGGGAGAGACAGACAATAAACCAATAAACATAATGTATTAATATTCCTTTGTAATTGGTATTCTAAAACAAAGTAAAGCAGGGTAAGGGGGAAAAGAGAGTGATGCTTTGGAGTTGGGGCATGAAATTGATCATTTAAGTCAGGGAGATATTCAATTTAACAGAACTTGATATGGTTTGGCTGTGTTCCCACCCAAATCTCATCTTGAATTTTAGCTCCTATAATTCCCAGGTGTTGTGAGAGGGACCTGGTGGGAGGTAATTGAATCATGGGGGCTGTTTCCCCCATACAGTTCTCATGGTAGTGAATAAGTCTCATGAGATCTGATGGTTTTATAAGGCGTTTCCCTTTTCGCTTGGCTCTCATTCTCTTGTCTGCTGCCATGTAAGACGTGCCTTTCTCCTTCCACTATGATTGTGAGGCCTCCCCAGTCACGTTCCACGTGAGTCCATTAAACCTCTTTTTCTTTACAAATTACCCAGTCTCAGGTATGTTTTTATCAGCAGTGTGAGAACAGACTAATATAGAACTCATATACTGATTTATAATTCCATGAAGGTGGATACTGTCGTAATTGTCTTCATTTTTCACCTGGCTTCAGGCTTGACACACAGTAGATGTTTGATAAATCCAACAGAAACAGCGATATGCAAAAATACCTACATTCTGCTTTTGAACTTGTGTATGTCTTGGCATCACGTGGATGGACTATGATTCTAGTCCCTACTTTGGAAATGCAAAATCCATACTTTGCATTCCTTCTTCAGAACTGTTGATAGTTAATTTTAGGAAATCCAAAAAAGCAAAAAGGTAGGGAGTCATCAGTAGTCACTTTCCTCCAGGCCCATGGAGCCTACCATCTCCTCATCTGTTCCTTTATTTCATCTCAGGGCTAACATCCCCAGAGCAGCCTTGGATAACGTCATCAGTCAAAGAGGAGTTTCTGCAGCCCAGTTAATCAGCAAACACACGGCAAATGATGAGAAGCAGTTACAAAATGCTTCCAGGATTCATTTATTCACATAACGATAATTTTTATTTTTATTTTATTCTTTTTTTTGAGACAGAGTCTTGCTCTGTTGTCCAGGCTGGAGTACAGTGGCATGATCTCGGCTCACTGCAATCTCCGCCTCCTGGGTTCAAGTGATTCTCCTGCCTCAGCCTCCTGAGTAGCTGGGATTATAGGTGCATGCCACCACGCCTGGCTAATTTTTGTATTTTTAGTAGAGATGTGGTTTCACCATGTTGGCCAGGCTGGTCTTGAACTCCTGAGCTCAGGTGATCTGCCCATTTTGACCTCCCAAAGTGCTAGGATTACAGGTGTGAGCCACCACGCCTGGCCGACAATAATTTTTAAAGCAACTACTCTGTACCAAGAAGTACTCTAGGGGTAGAGCAGATTATTTCACCTTAGTCCAGAATCTAGCCCTCAGCTACTTTGATGCAGAAAATCATATTGTTCATATATTCAGAGATCATCAGATTTTTAATGACAATCTACCTGTAATTATCTGTATAATTAAAATCACCAGAAAATGCTAAGTCATTCATTTCCAGAGTGATTTCAAATATCCCTAGCTGGGTTTGCCTCTAACATTTGTGGGGTCAGAGCAAGAGTATAAATGGAGGCCCATGTATCATAGGTCTAAATATTTAAAAGTTTGAAATCTTGCTAACAGACTGTACATATATGTGTGTATACACACACACACACACACACACACATACACACACACACACACACACACACATCCCATCTTCCTAACTTGACAAACATATCTTGTTAATGACCTAGGAGGTCAAGTGGCTTGGAGTTCTTTGCAGGAAAGGTGGTGGGGAGCAGAGCCCCTTCTCTGTTCCCCACCACAGGGTGGAACCAGCCTAGATATCCAGGTTCTGCTCACATCCTCCTGCTACAATCCCTTGCTTGACCACCCCTTGTGCCTAGAGATGTGCAACTCTGCAGTGAGATTACTCCTGAGAAGGTGGCCATGAGGAAGAGGCCAAACAGGCCCTGGAAGCAGGCTCAGGAATTTGGGCAGAGAACTCCAGAGTGTTCTAGAAGGAGGATGGGGGTCTCCATATGTGCACCCTGTCTCCTTGGCCCATGGACTCCTCAGAGGAGGAGAGCCAAAGCAGGACCCTTAAAATGGGGCCCAAGTCCATGATTCAGGGCACCCCCTACAGACAGATGAGGTACTAGAAAGGCAAACAAAATGCTGCTGGGGAATTAGTGGAAAAGGAGGACGGTTCACCAGCTCTGGAGCTGAGGCCTAGTTGACCATCCCTCCTGGCATAGAATACCCCCTGGCCAGAGAAGATACTTGTCCTCCAAATTCAGGTGTGTATCTCCTGTGATGGGGCTAACACAGTTTGCTTCCTCAACAACTCCGTTTTCTCTGAGGATCAGTGGCTGCAAAGGCTCCCTGCAGACTGGGAGATTACATAGGGCTCACCACGTAGGGCTGCTTCAGCTCAGAGGAGTACCTTTTTTTTTTTTTTTAATTCACACAAAGTGCCATACAAGGTAGCTGAGACCTGCTGCTGCCAACCCATTTCCAACTATACGGAGCTGGGCGATTCTCAGAGCTCTGGAGCACCCCTTGTGGTAGAAGAGAGTAAAACACATTTTTTTTCTTTTTTCCCTTTTAAAATTATTAATTTTTTTATTTGTAGAAATTTATGGGGTACATGTGAAATTTTGTTACATGTATATAATGCATATTGGTCAAGTCAGGGTATTTGGTGTGTCCATCACCTGAGTACAATACACTTCTGTTGACTATAGTCACCCCACTCTGTTATTAAACATTGAATTTACTCCTTCAATCTAACCCTATGTTTGTGCCCTTTAACCCACTTCTCTTCATCCTCCCTCTCCCACCACTCACCCTTTCCAGTCTCTGTTATCTGTCTTTCCACTCTCCACTTCTGTGTGATCAAACTTTTCAGCTCCCACATATAGGTGAGAATGTACAACATTTGTCTTTTTTTGCCTGGCTTGTTTCACTTAAGATAACGACCTCCAGTTCCATCCATGTTGCTGCAAATGATCTTTTATTATTATTATTTATAATTGACACATAATAATTGTACGTATTTGTGTGGTACAGTGGGATATTTTAATACATGTGTGCAATGTGTAATAATTAAATTGGGTAATTAGCAAATCCATCACTTAAACATTTATCATTTCTTTGTGTTGGTAACATGCAAGTTTTTCTTCTAGCTATTTGTAAAGATGCAGTAAACTTCTCTTAACTATAGTCACTGCACAGTGCTACAGAACTTTCAATACGAATCCCTGATACCATTTTAGTTCATGAGATTCTCAAAAGTAGAGAAGACCCTAGAAAGCCACCAATAAGTGTTTGGATAACAGACACCTCCATAATCCAAGGGTAAACGGCTTGATTTACTGACCCAACTAGGTCTGTGATGAGAATAGCCTATGTAGTGGTATTGGTGACTCTGTCCTCATTATCTTTGTTTTATAGTCATAATTAATCAAAACCTACCCTCTCACCTTTCTTGTGCTCATGACAAAGAATTACCTGCTCTAAGCAGGAATTAACTGAGGGAGTAGATTGGTAGTGATTCTTCTTTGGGATGTGAAACAAGAAGCTTGGAAATATAATCAAATGCACTGTTATTCTAAGGTATGACAGCAAGAAGCAATTTCAAAATATGCCTCTCTTGTAAACCATTGGGCCTTAATGACACAAGAGTGATTTTTCCATTACTGACAAGAGCAAACAAGTGCAAATAGAGGTGGGTGATTTTTCCTGACAGCTGAACCAGGCTTCAGTTAGTTTCAGAGAAACTTTCTATTTGAGTTGACCTGTTCGTGCTCCATCAAGTTGGGACATCATTTTAATGGATCCAGTGAATAAATCTGGAGGAAATAATGTGCCCAGGACTTGGGTATGGTTTTTTTGTTTTTTTTTTTCTGTTTTAATTCACTACTTGGAACCTACCTCTACAGTGTGGCTTACCTTTGATGGCCAATCCCAGTCTCTTTTGGGGAATCATCTATGCAAGATAAGAATAAGGATGAGGGCTGGGAGCGGTGGCTCATGCCTGTAATCCCAGCACTTTGGGAGGCCAAGGAGGGTGGATCATCTGAGTTTGGGAGTTTGAGACCATCCTGACCAACATGGTGAAACCCTGTCTCTACTAAAAACACAAAATTAGCCAGGTGTGGTGGCGCATGCCTGTAATCTCAGCTACTAGGGAGGCTGAGGCAGGAGAATCACTTGAACCTGGGAGGCAGAGGTTGTGGTGAGCCGAGATCGCACCATTGCACTCCAGCCTGGGCAACGAGATCGAAACTCTGCCTCAAAAAAAAAAAAAAAAAAAAAAAAAAAAAAGAATGAGGATGAGGATGAGGACAGCCAGGCTCGGTGGCTCACGCCTGTAATCCCAGCACTTTGGGAGGTGAGGCAGGTGGATAACCTGAGGTCAGTAGTTCTAGACCAGCCTGGCCAACATGGTGAAGCTCCATCTCTACTAAAAATACAAAAATTAGCTGGGCATTGTGGTGCACGCCTGTAATCCCAGCTACTCAGGAGGCTGAGGCAGGAAAATCACTTGAACTTGGGAGGTGGAGGTTGCAGTGAGCCAGATCATGACATTGCACTCCAGCCTGGGTGACAGAGTGAAACTTCATCTCCAAACAAACAAACAAACAGAATGAGGATGAGGGGAAGCCACAAGAGGGAAGAAGAAAGAAGAGCTAACTGTTTGGATCTGAAGAAAGGCTTTGCAGGGTGAGGGCTATCAGCAACTGTAGGGAGAGATCTGATACAAATATAACATCTATTTCCTTGGGGTCCTCAGATACTTTTCGATCCAACTTCCATGGAGTTTTCTCCCTGCGGCCCTCTAACCTCTCTCCATGCTGAGGATGCTCTCCTAACAGTGCTTGTGTTGTTTGGAAACAGTAAGTGTTATTAATCTGAATTCAGTCACAGAAGCAGAACCACGATGAGCTGTGGAGGAAGCGATTTATCATAGGAATTAGTCCTGGCCCCATTGTGAGAGGGATGGGGGATTGAAGGTCCAGGAGGAAATTGGAAGATGGGAGGAGCCACCCACCATCAGTCTGAGAAGCCCAGCACATCCAACTGTGCAAGTGGAAGGGGAAGCCGGTTGGGGAGACCTATGGGAAGCTGTTCCTACCTCTATGGGCCTGCAGCCAAGTGTCCAGTGGTGGCCCTGGGGCTCCTGTTGGTCAACAGGATCAGCACTCACAAAGAAGATCTGGACACAGAGTGAGGGAGAGTGAGGACAAGCGGGATCCGATTTCACGTCTACCTCTGTTTGTTACCATACCTAACCACAACAACCGTTGCAAAATAACCGCTCCTACTTCACTTCCACCTCCCATATCTTATGCAAATTCTTCTTTTGGTCAACTCTAACCCAAAGCCTTCAGGGAAGGGAATCCTGGGAAATGTGATTCCAACTTAGCAAGTCAGAACACTACACACTACCACACTAGGAAACAGTGTGGCCACCGGCAGAGCTCCCCCAGCAGTTGGCAGGGTACCCAGATGCAGAAGGTATAGGATGAATGAATGGTGGGGAGGGGTGAGGGAGTCTGAAAAGCATCCTTCAACCAATCAGAGCACGTTTTACTGTCCTGGAGCTTAAAATAGAGGAGAAAGCATTCTAAGAGTTTTCCTGCTAGGATGGGACAAAGGATATCTTTACTTGGCAAAGGTGAGTTTAGGTGGACCAGCTGCCTTCCCTCTAAACTGAGGTAACAGTCTGCAGCCAAGGTTTCCATAGCCCTTTGGTGCAGCCAGATTTAAAAAGAATGTTGTTCTTAGAAAGCCTGAAGCACATGCATATTTAAAGAGTTCTTTTAACACAGAGTTATCTGAGAGAAAATTACCTTAACACAAATTCCGAAGACTCCACATAGTTAAGATGCACAAATTCATTATCAATGGTGCTGAGAATAGCTCCTTGGAAGGGATAAAATGTTTATTAGAATCAATTAAAGTATGTTTGAGAGATTTATTTTTTCCATCTTTATTCTCCTATTTAAAGAAAGTGCTGAGTTGTATATTAACACTTCAAGGTCTCGGTCACTGTTTGTCTTGAAAAAAAGAGAGAAAATGTTTGTCATTCCAGGAGCATAATCAGTTGAGCCAGTGCACAATGACATAGTTAATTCACCAACGGAATTTGTTGCCATAGCTTCAGCGAGGGACGGGGTAGATTAAACAATAGCCTTTTTCACGACTGCAGCTTTCACCACAACCCGCCTGTCCCCGCACAACAGGCCATCATAGCGCTAGTTCAGAGCACAGCAATTGTCAATGAACAACAGCCCAGAGGGGACAAGAGGAGGCTTGTGGTAAGTAAAGCAAGAGTGCCTAGCAACTCAAATCTCTCCTTATTCAACAACTGGGACACTCCGAGCTCCTCCGAGCTTATCTTTGAGCGCTGGGCACAGAGAGCCTGCTTGACCTTTGGTCAAGTGAGCAACAAAAATTTCATCCTGTGACTCAAAAGAACTCCAAAGGGTAGAGGCCTCTAGAGAAGATAAAAAGATCAGGAGCAGGCATGGTAGGCCATCAGGAGTGCATCATGGAAGAGGACAATCGCGCTCCCCAATTGTGGCGCAAGGTAATGTGAATACTTTCTTATTGATTTTTGCCTTATTGAATATCAAAGTCAGTTCAAAAAGTAAAGTCCTATGTATCTGCAAGTGTAATGAATCTGTGCTAATTAATAGTCACACTAAAAATGGAAACATTATCTTCTCCGTCTTAAGTTGATTTAAAAAAAGACAAAGAAAAACAAATTGTGACTAATATTTCTTTATCCCCTTGCAGAGTATGTCAGCTCCCTGGATAGACTTAGATGACAAGAACAAATTTGCTTACTAAAAAAAAGGTCAGATCAATATGCTATGGGAGCCTGAGGGTATTGCAGAAATGTTTTAACAAAATGTTCTTTATCCTATGAAATGAGAAATTCTCCTAGTAGAAACGTCACAAAATCCTGATTAGAATACCCATTCCTTTTATTCTGAGATGGAGTTACGCTCTTGCTGCCCAGGCTGGAGTGCAATGGCACGATCTCGGCTCACTGCAACCTCTGCCTCCCGGGTTCAAGCGATTCTCCTGCCTCAGCCTCCCAAGTAGCTGGGACTACAGGCGTGCACCACCATGCCCAGCTAATTTCTGTGCTTTTAATAGAGACAAGGTTTCACCATGTTGGCCAGGCTGGTCTCGAAATCCTGACCTCAAGTGAAGACAATCCATTTCTGAATTCAATGTTATGCAACTGTCACTTAAGTGAGACCACTGTATATGGTCTTTTCTCTTGGGCAGAGGGTGCCCGGAGAATGTATTTCAAGGGGAACCTTGTTAAACTGAATGAGTTCTAGATGGAGAAAGTTTAGGCAGTGGGACAAAGTGTTAAGAAGGACCCCAGATGATGTGAAGAAGAGATTGAGGGCCAGAGGCAGCTTCCCAACAACGAGGCAGAGGGAATTTCTCTGCTTAACGGTGAAGCTGGTTTCACTCCACTACCCTGAGAATGGACACAGGCCCTGGTCTTTCCTGTACCAGCATCCCTTCAAAACCTTCTCATGCCCCTTGGAATGGATATGGGTGGCTGGTTTAAGCACCATATTACTCAGAAAGTAGTCTAGGTTCATATCCAGCAGACACTTGAGCTACATGACTGATTGATCATTTCGCCCAGTTGGTCCCTTCCCCAGTCACCTCCATGTTATCTTAAATTTGGAGAAATTTGTACTGTATATTGAAGACTCATGAGTTTTACTAGCCAATTGTATTGAGTTAATGGGGGAATCAGGAGGCATTGATTGATTGATTGATTGATTCATTCATTCATTCATTCATTCATGCCTCATTTCAAAATTAGATTTGAAGTAGTATCAAAATAACTAGATGTAGGCCAGCCACAGTGGCTCACACCTGTAATCTCAGCACTTTGGGAGACCTAGGCAGGCGAATCACTTGAGGTAAGGAGTTCTAAACCAGACTGGCCAACATGGTGAAACCCCCTCGCGACTAAAAATACAAAAAAATTAGCCAGGCATGGTGGTGGGCACCTGTAATCCCAGCTACTTGGGAGGCTGAGGCAGGAGAATTGCTTGAACCCAGGAGGTGGAGGTTACAGTGAGCCAAGATCATGCCACTGCACTCCAGACTGGGTAACAGAGTGAGACTCTGTTGCCAAAAAAAACAACTAGATTCAGTTCTGGACTGGTGCAGATATGGAAAGTTGAGATGATTCTTCTATGTTCCAGTCATGTAGAATTAAATCTGTGCAAATATCACTCCGTATTCTGATACCTTTTGCAAATTGAAAATAGACAAAGGCCTCTAATTTCATGGTCTCCCAAATGTATCACTTATCATTATTATAATAGTTGACATTATAGGGTGACATGTCCCGGGCTAAGTACTTTCCATGGCTTATTTTATGTAATTGTATTCAACAAAAGGACTCAAGCTCCTGACCATTTGCCTATGCTGCTAATTTGTGCCTTGATTTCTCTATTAAATTGAATAGGCTTATTTAACCTCCTTGAGCAATTAAAATGGATTACATTATTAATGGTAACAATAATAAAGAATGATTTTATTAACATTTTTCTCATGCTTTTCGGTTCTCAGTGTACTTTTCTCACACAGGCAGGCTCAACTTCTGTAAATTAAACTTTCTGACTACCAGCCCTTTGTGTACCATAGATTGATACCCCCACCCAAGCTGACACACGACCATTTCTGGTTACTGCTGGTGGAGTTACTTAACAGCCAATAGTTACAAGCATTGCTGCTAAATATTGAATCTGAAAGGTGAAAATAATCATGAACTTAATAATCTTTTATAGCTCTCAGGAAATGGAAACTACCTTTAAATAAGAGAGTTGAGTATTTATTTTCCACATGTTTAATTTTGGTACTTGGTTGGTACTTATTTGGAAATAAGAGAATGCCCAGACATTACCTCAATTCCTCTTACTTCAAATACTGTGATGTAGATATTATTTATATTCCCATTTCCTTCCTTCCTTCCTTCCTTCCTTCCTTCCTTCCTTCCTTTCTTTCTTTCTTTCTTTCTTTCTTTCTTTCTTTCTTTCTTTCTTTCTTTCTTTCTTTCTTTCTTTTTTTTTGAGACAAGGTCTTACTCTGTTGCCCAGGCTCGAGTGCAGTGGTGGAATCATAGCTGACTGTAACCTCAAACTATTAGGCTCAAGTGATCCTCCTGCCTCAGCCCCCCAAGGAGCTAGGACTGCAGGCATGCACCACCACATCTGGCTAATTTTTAAATATTTTGTAGAGATGGGGGTTTTGCTGTGTTTCTCAGGCTGGTCTTGAACTCCTGGCCTCAAGCGATCCTTCCACCTAAACCTCCCAACGCACTGGGATTACAGGTATGCGCCACTGAGCCCTAGCCTATATTCCCATTTTCAAGTGAGAAAATTGAAGCTCACAGAGGTTAATTGTCCAAGATAGCAAGGATAGAGCTGGAATTTGGGTTCCCAGCATCCAATTTCACTTTTTCTTTAAATCTACACTGTTGAATAAGGTAGCCGCTAACCACATACAGCTGTTTAAATTAGAATTTTAATTACTTAAAATTAATTAATTAAAATTTAAAATTCAGTTCCTCAGTCACACTAGCCACTTTTTTTTTTTTTTTTTTTTTTTTTTCTGAGACGAAGTCTCACTCTGTCACCTAGGCTGGAGAGCAATGGCACGATCTCGGCTCCTGGGTTCAAATGATTCTCCTGCCTCAGCCTCCCGAGTAGCTGGGATTACAGGCACCCACCACCATGCCCAGCTAATTTTTGTACTTTTAGTAGAGACGGGGTTTCGCCATGTTGGTCAGGCTGGTCTCGAACTCCTGACCTCACGTGATCTGCCCACCTTGGCCTCCCAAAGTGCTGGGATTACAGGCATGAGCCACTGACACTAGCCACATTTTAAGTGCTCAGTAGTTATATGTGGCTCGTGACTATTCTATTTGGACAACGCAGATATAGAATATTCCATCATTGCAGAAAATTCTGCTTTAAACCATAATATCTCTTTTAGATATGCTGAGGCATGTCCTCAAAATATGTTGCAGTTCTGTTACAAGTAATATGGATTTTAAATTTTACAGTAAAATCTCATTCATTTGAAGTCCCCTCATTTGCATAGCACAAAGTTAACTTTGATCTGCAAATTAATAATATAGATAAGAGTTAAGAAGATGGTTAAATGCACTTCAGAGACCAAAGATTTTTAAGCACCATCAAATAACTCCAGAAGCACTCACTTAGATGCAAGCAATTGATATGATAATTACACATCATTTTTATTTATTCATTAAAACAGGGATCCCCTAAGGTGCCCTTGTAGGAAATAATGTGGTTAGCCTAGTTATTTCTACCAACCCTTCTGCTATTTTGAAATTCTATGTGAAATCATTTTACACTACTTGGTTTATATCCAAAGGCAAGGAGGAAGGAACCTTCCTCCTTGCCTTTGGATATTAAAGTAGAATGGTAGCATAAAACACTTTCACACTGAAATTTTGACTGGATCAAGATCTAATTCCAAAGCCCTCACTTCTTCCACTATATTCTGTGATTCCCTGGAAAAGGTACTCCTGTGGGCTCTGCACAGTGCCTGGTATGAAATAAGGGTTCAATAAATATCTGCTGATTGACTGACAGAGACAGTTCTTTCAAGAGACCATTTATTGAAGTGGACTCCGATTTTCTACAGCGAATACATTTATCAAAAGGAAAACTGACTCCCAGTTTGTTCTTTCCTCTTTACCAGTCTTTGCTGCCAAGTCTTCATGGTGAGATAAGGGCTTCCTGTCTGTGAGAAAGAGATGATTCCCAGGCATTCACTTGCGGGGAGGGGGAGTGTGATCTGGCCAGAGGCTTTGGAAACTAAATCTTTCAGCTCCTTCAGAAGTGAGAACAGGGTGGCAAACATGCTGCCTTCCCAGACACCAGTCATCAGTTAGCTCCATCAGTCCTCAGATCTGTGGGGCACATGTTCCAGGTCCCATGCTGGTTCTAGGTAATAAATAGGAGAGAAGAGAGAATGTTGAGTTATTAGAGAAGAATGGCACTTGCATTTCCATAATATCCTTAGCAGAGGTGGTTTCTTACAGCTTGCTGGGACTGGTCTATGACATATAGCAAACATTAATGCCATGTCTTTTTAGCAAAAATAAAACCCAATTCCTCAATTTAGCAGTGAGCATCAAAGGATATGGTTTGTCCCTTCCTTGTCTTCTTTAAGGAAAATTTTTAGCCATAGTGAGGAAAGAAAAATTAATAGAAACAATGTAAATGTACATTAAATATTTAGTCCTTATTTGGAAGGAATTGAACAACTTAAAACTCTCCAAATTTATGAAGCTTAGATATCTGAACATTTTTTAAAAGCCACTTAAAGGGAAAGGAGATATTATATTTTTACCTTTTTTTTTTTGAGATGGAGTCTCACTATGTTGCTCAGGCTGGAGTGCAGTGGTGCGATCTCAGCTCACTGCAACCTCCATCTCCCGGGTTCAAGCGATTCTCCTGCCTCAGCCTCCTGAGTAGCTGGGATTACAGGCACCCACCACCATGCCCAGCTAATTTTTGTACTTTTAGTAGAGACGGGATTTCACCATGTTGGCAAGGCTGGTCTCAAACTCCTGACCTCAAGTGAACTGCCCGCCTCGGCCTCCCAAAGTGTCGGGATTACAGGTGTAAGCCACTGCATCCAGCCTTATTTTTATCTTTTGTTCCAAACATCAGTAGGCCTTCTTTCCTCTTATCTATCTCCCTGCAATTCCTCTACCTGAGCCCTAATATTACAGGTATGTATGTGTACAGCCTTCAAGCTAACCCAACACAGTTTTGTCTCCTTCAGAAACTAAGGGGTAGGCTGATTCAAGAGTCCTCTTAACTCACCTAGTGGATGTATAATCACTGCCATAGGCTGCTCTGCTGATAGTTCTCACTCTGAACATTGACAGGTGGAGCAAAGGCTAATTCTGAATCTGGCTCTCCGCTTGATCTTAGCCAAAAGGCCAAGAAGCGACGTGAATCTGGCTCTCTAGAGTGCACTAACCTCTCCCTGGCAGACCCTAGATTCCTACCCACTGTGGTCCTCTAAGGCAAGTTTTGGTGACCATGCCTTCCCTAACTCCTCTTTGGCTCCCTGAAATGGCCCAATTACCATGCAAGCAGATGTGGAGTGAGAGGCTAGACTTGTGAGTGTCTCTTGTGAAATCTGGGGCTTCCCCAGTCTTCCCAGTGCTGGGAACAATGTGAGAGAAAATAAGTCTTATGAGTTTATCTTATTTTTGCCCTTTATTCTCAAGGACTTGGAGCCAGCTCTCAAATACTATGGGGTAAAGAAAATGGTGCAACTGGCATAAAATTAATTTTGCCCCATTCTCACAATGAGGCCTCAAGAAGTGAAATATATTTTTTATATCAGTCCTGCCCCAGGTATTAGAACATTTTAAAGTTTTCTTTGTCTTTCCATGAACTACAAATTCTCTCTCTCTCTCTCGCTCTCACACACACACACACACACACACACACACACTCACACACATACACGGAAAGAGAAAAGAAAATTTAAAAATTGGTAAATATGGCCCAGGAGAAAGACAAAAATAATACCTATTTCAAATCTGTTTTTCTTAGCTCCATTGATGTAAGTCATAAATAAAAGTATAGAATAACTTAATGATAATTTCTTTTGGAAGCAAAGACTAACATGATAATTTTTAATAGTACCATTATATTTACCAAAAAATCAATCTTTAAGAGTTTGTCCTACATATATCTTTACATATATCTTCTTGTTCTATATATCCTTTGAGAGTGGAGATGATCACATTTATCTTGGATGCATGACTTCCAACATGCTTAGTAAATGTCTGTAGAATGAGTGAAAGGAATTTAAATCACTGTTTATTCTGTATCCTCCTTGCCCAGAGAAACTCCTGAGTTTGTCCATCTAAGGTCATCTCTAGGCTGTTCAGGAGAATGAGTGGGTTTCAACCCAGATTTTGAGTGAGACATGGATCAATGTTGGATGGACCAACTCCAACTTGACCCTAGCGTCTAAATTGATTGACATTATCATTAACACCAGCAACACAGATGTTGTGATCACTGTTTACAAGGCTCTCTACCTCAACCCTGCCAGACTCCTAGGGTTGTTAGAGGTTTCTGATGTCTGAAGGCCAGGCGAGACCCACCTAGAGATACCACAGATGGCAGACTCAACCTTCTACAACTCCTCAGCTTTCTCAGAGGTAGGCAGGAGCTGGGGCAGCCTCGAAGAGAGATAGGTAAGACTTGTGCACCTACCTGCCTCATAAATTTTTTTCCATGTGGTTACTACATCTTACCTTAGGGTGGCAAATGAAGGACTTTCTTAAGTCTCACACAAAGAATTCAAAACAAAAAAATGGAGAATTAATAAAAAAGCTTTGTAGGGCTTTCTCCATTATACAAGGTAGGAGAGAGTTATAGTCACCAGGAAGTACAGTAGAAGTCTTCTTACCCTCTACAGTGGGGACCAGTTGGTCAGTTAATTGAAAAATAAAATGGGGCCAGGCGCGGTGGCTCACGACTGTAATCCCAGCAGTTTGGGAGGCCGAGGCAGGTGGATCACCTGCAGTCAGGAGTTCGAGACCAGCCTGGTCAACATGGCGAAACCCTGTCTCTACTAAAAATACAAAAATTAGCTGGGCGTGGTGGCACGCGCCTGTAATCTCAGCTACTCAGGGGGCTGAGGCAAGAGAATCAACTGAACCCAGGAGGCAGAGGTTGCAGTGAGCCGAGATCACACCACTGCACTCCAGCCTGAGTGACAGAGCGAGACTCTGTCTCAAAAAAGAAAAGAAAAGAAAAATAAAATGAGTATAATGGGGACTCACTTAAAAGTGATAAATGCATACATTAAACATTTTATTTAAATTTAAAATAAATATATTATTAATTTGCCAAACCTTTGATTGGGCCACTGATTAGAGCTCTGTGTTGTATTTTTTCATTAGGCAGACACATATGCATTGCCTATTATTTCCATTTTTAGTTTATTCTAAATTGAGTGAAAACTTAAGATATCTTCAAAACACTTTGAATATGGAATCCTAGGTGTTTTTCAATGTTGTCCCCTAGCTTTTACAGTTGTCTTGCCCTTACCTAATTCAACAGTAATTTTTAATTTTAATTTTTTTTTTGAGACAGTCTTGCTCTGTCACCCAGGCTGGAGTGCAGTGGTGCTATCTCAGCTCTCTGCAACCTCTGCCTCCCAGGTTCAAGCGATTGTCCTGCCTCAGGTTCCCGAGTAGCTGGGACCACAGGCGTGCGCCACCATGCCCAGGTAATTTTTGTATGTTTAGCGGAGATGGAGTTTCACCATCTTGGCCAGGCTGGTCTCAAACTCCTGACCTCAAGTGATTTGTCTGCCTCAACCTCCCAAAGTGCTGGGATTACAGGCGTGAGCCACTGCACCTGGCCAAAGATGGGCTATTTTAACAAGAGAAATATAATCTGTTTGTGGAGCAGTGTCTGAATCCCCTTCATCTCAATCCTCCCCCATTGGCATAATAGTTGGAAACAAAGACTACAGAGCTGTCAGGAGATGGTACGTCCTTTCCACGAGTTAATAAAGTGATGCCCCGCTTTCACAATCTATTAATTAAGAAGGTAATCAGTGCATGCTTTGAGTTTGGTAAGTGAAACTTGAAGGCAATAAAATCAGAACACTACTTGGATTTTTTTTCTCATAAAGAAATGAATAACAAATTAGGGCCACAGAGCTAGAGTAATCACATTTCGAATTTCTCCTGAGCATGTCTTTAATAACCTGTATGCGTTAGGTAAGAAGAACAAAGAAAGGCAAAGTTAATTACCCAGGAAAGGTTCATCAAGAAATTTTGGTTACATTAGCCCAGGGTTTCTCAACCTTGGTATGACTGATATTTTGGGCCAGATAATTCTTTGTTGTAGGGGCTGTCCTGTGCATAGGACATAGGATGTTTAATAGCATCCCTGGTCTCTAACCACTAGATACCAGTAGTACTCCCCTTCCCCAAGTCATGACAACCAAAAATGTCTCCAGACATTGTTAAATGTCTCTTGTGGGACAAGATCACCCCCATTCAGTAGCTGAGAACTACTGAATTCACCATATACATTCCTTCTCATTCCCCATCCCCTGGAGCCCTCCAGGGTTTGCTGTGTGTTTTGTTTTGTTTTGTTTTGTTTTGTTTTTGAGACGGAATCTCGCTCTGTCACCCAGGCTGGAGTGCAGTGGAGTGATCTTGGCTCACTGCAACCTCCACCTCCCGAGTTCAAGTGATTCTCCTGTCTCAGCCTCCTGAGTAGCTGGGATCACAAGTGCCCGCCACCACGCAGTGGCTAGTTTTTGTGTTTTTAGTACAGATGGGGGTGTCACCATGTTGGCCAGGCTGGTCTCAAACTCCTGACCTCAAGTCATCCCCCCCAGCCTCGGCCTCCCAAAGTGCTGGGATTACAGGCATGAGCCATTGCGCCTGGCCAGTTTGCTGTTTTAAACACTTAGAATAAAACGCTTCAGATCAGGGCCATCTATCTACATTTTCCAGGGAATTATTTGGAAAGAAATCGACTAGATCAAAATTACTTGTCCAGATAACAAGAAGGGCTCTTTGCATTTCTGTATTGAAAAGCAGCAGGCAAAAAGAACAAAGGAAGATGGTCTAATAAAGGTATTTATTTAAGGCATTCAGCCAAACACTTGACTTATATTTAATCCCCACAAAACCCCCAGGGGGCATAAGTAGTTTTATTTTATTGTGGAAGAAACTGAGGCTTAAAGAGGTCAAGTACTCGCTCAAGAACACAGAGTTTGTAACTTACTGGTGGAGCTAGAAATCTGACAGCAAAGTTTGTGCATTTGTGCATATTGCCTCAGTATATGTACTTAAAATGTCATACATCTAAAAAAGCAAGGTGACCAGTTTTTATCCTTCTTAAAGTAATTTTTTTTATTAGGGAAAGCTTCAACCATACACAAAATTAGACAAGATATTAATAGTACATTACCATTTGTACTGTTCATGTACTTGCCACCTACTTCAACAGTAATCAACTCATGACCCATCTTGCTTCATCTAGAGCTTCTCAACCTCAGCATAATAGACATTTTGGGCTAGAAAATTGTTTGTCATGGGTGTCAAGCACACACAAGACAAGGCAAGGTCTGAATGACTTGACTGGTAAAAGTATAACTAATCACTTTTAGATTAAGACAGTTTATTACTTACATAGCAAAGGAAACAGTAGCCTGTGGTGCCAGCTTCGTACTGTGCTTGTCCCACATACCAAAAAGAAGGACTCTACAACAAAAGGGGCCGGATAACCTCGACTCCCATTGCTGAGGAGCCCACTGTAGATTGCAACTAAGTGTTTTTCTGTTCTGTAACTTTGTACTGGGAGGGGCAGGGCAGGAAGACCCATATCCCAACCCAAACAAAGAGACTATTAGAAACTGCTTCATGACAGTTGCTCAGGGGAGATAAGGAGGTGAGTGGCAAATAGCCCTGGAACAACTCTTCACAGGCCTCCCTGTTCCAGGAGAGCTTGTTCCAGGAGGATCACAAGGCGTTCTCCAACACTCAGATGAGCTGCACGTCAAGCCTTTGCCTCTATGGACACATTCAAGGTCATCAGGGTGCCGGGGCAGAGCCATTATCTTACAGTGGACGATTGTCCTGTGCATTGTAGGATGTTTAGCAGCATTTATGGCCTTCACCCACTAGATGTCTACAGCACCCCCAGCCCCAAGATGTGACAACAAAAACTGTCTCCAGACATTGCTAAATGTACCTTGCAGCAAAATTGTACCCAGTTGAGAACCACTGATTCTATCCACTCCCCACATCCAAACAACATATTTCATCTGCAAATATTTCAGTATATATTTCTAAAATAGTTTTGAAAACATAAACACAATACCTGTTTGTTTGTTTGTTTGTTTGTTTTTGAGACAGTCTCACTCTGTTGCCCAGGCTGGAGTGCGGTGGCGCAATCACAGCTTACTGCAGTCTCAACCTCTTGGGCTCAAACAATCCTCCCATTTCAGCCTACCAAGTAGCTGGGACCACAGGCGCACACCACCACACCCAGCTAGTTTTGCTTTTTTATTTTTAGTGGAGATGAAGTCTCACCATGTTGCCCAGGCTGTTCTCAAACTCCTGGGCTCAAGGGATTCTCTGGTCCTGGCCTCCTTAAGTGCTGATATTACAGGTGTGAGTGACCTCAAGCAGCTACAGTATCATTATTATACCTAAATAAATTAACAATAATTCCTTCATAGCATCCAGAAATTGTTCAAATTTCTAACTGTTTTATAAACATTGTCATTTTTACAGTGTTTTGAATTAGGATTCAAATAATACAGTGTACATATTGCAATTGATTGATATGTCTTTTAGATCTCATTTAATCCATAGGCTTCTTGCAATTTTTTGGTTGAAGAAACAAGGTTTGTTCTATAGAGTTTTCCACAATCTAGATTTTGCTGATTGCATCCCTGTGGTGTTAACATACTCCTTTATCCCTTCTGTATTTCCTGTAAATTGGCCTCAGATCAAGAGGTGTGATCAAAGCCAGGTTCTATTTACTTGGCAGACTATTTCATAGGTAGTACATGTACTTCTATTAGGAGTACATAATGTTTGGTATTGCCTGTCTTTCTGTCATGTTAGCAGTAGTTGATGCTAAGTGCCTAAGCCCAATCTTTCCTTAGGGGTTATAAAGTGGACATAATTCATTACCATCTTACCTTCTTCATTACTCATTCTAAGACAAGATACTTCTCTTGTTTGGTGACCTAGAGGGACAGTTTGTATAGGAAAGGTTAAATAAAGGCTTGATCATTTCCCAGTTTTCAAAATAATGTGTTTTTCTCTAGCATCCTTCAATGCAGACAAATGAGGCTTAGGGGTTACTTTTGATAGTATTATGAACTCATGCATTGAAAAACATTAGATACGTTTCCATCAATTGCAGTTCTTATCCTTATTGATGCTTAAACTTTTCATCTTTGGCTGTCAGGAGTCTCCAAAGTCTTTTTGATGATTTCTATCTTTTTTTAAAAAGGATAATATAACTTATATATTCATATGAGTATTGTTATCTTCACACTTTCAAATGATGACCAAAGACTTATTCCAAAAATGTTTTGAGCAATGGTAGTACCATATGTGCTAGAGACTGCCATGGTTCACTGCTAATGGTTTTGCTCCTGTTGAGTTCCTGCAATTGAATGGTGGAATGAGGTTGTTATCCAGACCATTTTGTAGAAATAAAGGATTATTTTTCTTTGAAGATGTGCTTATATCATACTTGCTTACTCAAGAGAATATCTTCTCAAAGCAAGGGTGGGCTTCTGTGAAAGATCATTGACCGCATATAGCTACTCTCAGGCACCCTTAGTGTCTTTTTTTTCCTCTTTTTTTTTTTTTTTTTTGAGATAGAGTTTTGCCCCTGTTGCCCAGGCTGGAGTGCAATGGTGAGATCTTGGCTCACTGCAACCTCCACCTCCTGGGTTCAAGCGATTCTCTTGCCTCAGCCTCCCAAGTAGCTGGGATTACAGGCGCATGCCACCGCATCCAGGTAATTTTTGTATTTTTAGTAGAGACAAGGTTTCACCATGTTGGCCAGGCTGGTTTCGAACTCCTGACCTCAGGTGATCTGCCCGCCTCAGCCTCCCAAAGTGCTGGGATTACAGGCGTGAGCCACCATACCTGGCCTCCTTAGTGTCATTTGACATGGCCTCTCATCTGGCATTTTAGTAGACTAGGTGTTTAAAATGATTGCTTTTGGAGATATTGAAAGTTTTTACATAGCCAGCTTCCTGGGACACATACACAAATAGGGTTTCTCACTCTTGATACAAACAAAATAGAGATCCTTTTTTTCTATTTGAGAGCCAAATAGTTTTGGGGTCAAAATCCATGTATGAATAAAGTGTCTCATCATCTCTCCTTCATCACAGTGGTTCTGAACTTTTTTTTTGTTCTAAACTTTTAAAAGCCCTGATGCTAAACCCCAGGACAATTAGATCAGAATCTTTAGGGAGCAGGAATCAGCCCTCAGTGTTTTTGAAAGCTCCTAAGGTGATTCTAATGCACAACCAAGGTTGAGAACCTTCCAGAATAAAGCAAAGTGGATAAGCGTCTTTATTAAGAGATTAACTTAGACTTCCTGCTATGGTTTGAACGTGTCCCCCAAAGTTTATGTGTTAGAAACTTAATCCCCAATGCAACAGTGTCTAATAATAGGTGATTAGGTCATGAGGGCTCTGACCTCATGAGTGGATTAAAGTCATTAACACAGGAGAGGCTTAGTTACCACAAGGGTGGATTTGTTATAAAAGCAAGTTCAACTCCCTCTTGCTTCCTTGCTCTTGCCTTCTCTTGCCCTTCTGCTTTCTGCCATGGGATGATGGAACACAAAGGCCCTCACCAGATGCTGGCACCATGCTTTTGGTCTTCCCGGCTTCCACAACTATGAGCCAAATACATTTCTGTTCATTATAAATTACCCACTCTGTGGTAGTCTGTTATAGCAGCATAAAACAGACTAAGACACCCCTAAAGTGTTAGACACTCTTTGTCAAGAATAGGATATTTGTATACTCGTGGGCTTTTGGAAAGATCATTTCTCACCAGCACCACCTGTTATTCACAGATTTACACATTGCCCACAGAGAAGAAAACCTGGTGAGGCCACTTCTGTTTGTATTGCAGAGGAAGAACCCATTTGATGCCACTTTTAGGAAGATTTATTAGAGGATATGGAGACATTATCTTCAATGTGTGTTTTGTGATGACATCCTGCACTGGCACTTACTGAATGAGTCAAATATGATATTTATAGGGCCTTAATAAAAGCTTTTATCTAGCTAGGTTGTATTATTAAATGTCAAACAAACTAAATGAAAAGCTTTCAACGTGAAGGCTATCCAAAAAGAGCAGAATGAGCAGAGCATTAAAAATGTTGAGGTACCAAGGCATCATGCATTGAGTGGGGGCTTTGAGGTCCCACAGTCCTAAATGTGAAACTCAGTTCTGCCACTGACCAGTTCTGTGACCTTGAGCAAATTATTTAATGTCTCTGAGCCCCAGTTCTTATCTGCAAACTAGACATAATGCCTGTTTCTGATACAGAGAAGGATGTCATAAATTACTAAGTCTTAAAATTGTAGACAATGTTAGCAATTGTCTGCAATTGAATGACTGTTAGCCATATTTCCATAATATCTGGAGATGAGATACCAGGCCCAGCTCATGCTAAGGAAGATGTGATAGGAAGAATAAGGGCCTCCCAAAGATGTCTACATTGTAATTTCCAGAACCTGTGAATATGTTACCTTATATGGCAAAAGAGACTTTATAGATGTGATTAAGTTAAAGGTCTTGAGATGGGAGAGATTATCCTGGATTATCCAAAGGAACTCAATGTAATTACAAGAGTCTTTTGAAGTGAAAGAGGAAGGCAGGAGACTTAGAGAATATGTGACCAGTGAAGCAGAGGCTGGAGTGATGCAATTGCTGTCTTTGAAGATAGAAGAAAGCAGGCCAGGAGTCAAGGAATGCATGCAGCTTCTAGAAGCTAAAAAAAAAAAAAAAAAAAAAAAGCAATGAAACAATTTCCCCTAGAGCCTCCAGAAGAAATGCAGTCCTGCAGGTACATTGATTTTAGCCCACTGAGACCCATTTCAGACTTCTGACCCTGGTCCAGAACTTTAAGATAATATCTTTGTGTTGTTTTAAGCCATCACATTTCTGGTACATTGTTACAGCAGCCGTAGAAAACACACAGAAGCACAGAAGATTAAACGGAGTCTCTCTTTGAGCATTCAAAGACTCTGAGTGCAGATTTTGCAAGACAAAGAATCACTTTGGAGACCATGTCATTCAAAATCTATTAGTATAAAGTCCGATGATTGTAATAATAGTTTACTTGCAAATGAATGTATCCCTCCTGGCGTCAGATGGTCCTGATGACTCACTTGTCAATCAAGCTCATTTGTATCATATGCAGAAGGCCCCCCGGCACAATCCTCAGGACCCTGCAGTACTTGCTGTAGTACTGGGAAACTGCCTGGTAGGACAGCAAGGAGGAAATCTGGTTATGGTACACCAATAATCAAGAAAGACCACTCTTTAGGGGTATGCAAAGAAGTGTACATATGGTCACCCATGCTGGAGGATAATTTGATAACAGTGTCAAAAAAACATGTATCAAAAGCTTTAAAAACATAAATACTCTGACTCAGCAATTCTACTTTAAGAAAATTCATCCTAGAAGGAGAAAAACTGGATTAATATGCACATCATTCACCTGCTTAAAAAAATCCTTTTCTGGTTCCTATAATTGCTTATAGAATAACACTTGGGGAGACTGAAGGGAGACAGCAGTACATCCACTTATGTTAGCTAATTAAGACTGGCAGGTGTTCATACTGGGCGTAGCTTGGTGTAGACTTGAACCTGGTTAGATTATTAACCTTGAAGGTCTCTGAGCCACCTTTGCTACATTTGCTCTTTTTCATTAAAATGACTGAAACAGTGATTGTGACTAAGAGTTTCAATGTTAAGTCAGTGCCTGGCCTTGTACATTTATCATAAACTATCATCCAATTTTGTGGGTTAAATAAATTACAATTTTATATGTGTGTGCAAATGAGCCCTTAAGTGTTGAAAATTACCTATGGTCTTACTCATCCACTGACATTCAGATAATATATTTGGCATGCAAAAGTTGTGAATCCAAATTATGCTCAAATATAAGTGAGGAATATTTATCCATTTTTTTTCTGATGTATTATCTGTTTCAGCTGCATGTCTGGACTCAAACCCCATAAAGAAGGGACCAAAATTTACATGGCACTCTTGAGTATGATGGCGGCTGTATTTGGAGTTTTGATTAAACTGCACTACATGTGTGATTATTACTTGTAAACGGATGATTAGATATTAATTAGACAATAAGTGATTGTAAAGCACTTAGAAAATAAAAGTGTTTATAAATACCACCAAGTAATAGCAACAATCATTCTTTACTGACTACACAGCTGCTAATGTCAATAAGAATGATTTATTCCAGCTAAGGGCAACTTTAATTTATGCAAAAAACCCTGCCGTCATATTTGTTTTGCTAGAGCAAAACAAAATATATCATATATACAACTGATTTTATCAGCATTTAAATAATACATCTTGTTTTGATTTTAAAAATATCTCTTTTAAGACCTTCTTAAACACAGGTGCAATGACTGGTGTCCTTGAGTGCTAAGAATATTGGAGCTGGGCCTGGCGCAGTGGCTCACGCCTGTAATCCCAGCGTTTTGGGAGGCCGAGGTTGGGGGATCACTTGAGGTCAGGAGTTTGAGACCCGTCTCTACTAAAAATACAAAAATTAGCCGGGTGTGGTGGCGCATGCCTGTAATACCAGCTACTCGGGAGGCTGAGGCAGAAGAACTGCTTGAACCGGAAGGCAGAGGCTGCAGTGAGCCGAGATCATGCCACTGCACTCCAGCCTGGGAAACAGAGCAAGACTCTGTCTCAAAAAAAAAAAAAAAAAAAAAAAGGAAAAAAAGAAAAAAAAGAATATTGGAGCTCCTTACTGTTCATCTCCCCAACCAATTGCAAATATATATTTCTTTTAAATGTAAGATGTAAAATGGCATTTTGTTAGCTGTATTTTCATGTATGCAATAGGTTTGTCATGTTGGGTCTGCGCAGTTTCTCCCTAGCTCCTTAAAACTGCACTTACATTCAAATTTTGGTCACATTGATGAGTGAAGGTCATTTCTTTTTTGGTTATTATAGAAGTTAGAAAAAGAAGAAAATCAATTTTAATAATAAAACAAAGCACTTTCATTCTGTCTTCTTGATTACCACCCCCCCCCGCGACCCCCTGCAATAATAGATTTTGAAGCCCTGACTATTTTCATGTCTCACCATTATTTTTTTCCCCTAATGGGCTTTTTTTTTTTTTTTTTTTTTTTTGAGATGGAGTTTCGCTCTTGTTGCCCAGGCTGGAGTGCAATGACGCGATCTTGGCTCACTGCAGCCTCCGCCTCCCGTGTTCAAGCAATTCTCCTGCCTCAGCGCCCCGAGTAGCTGGGATTACAGGCGCCTGCCACCAGTCGGCTAATTTTTTTTTTTTTTTTTTGTATTTTTAGTAGAGACGGGGTTTTGCCATGTTGGCCAGGCTTGTCTGGAACTCCTGGCCTCAGGTGATCCACCTGCCTTGGCCTCCCCCTAATGGCCTTTATAGGTCATAGACCTGAATCAGCCGAGCTCTTGACCCACTGGTGTCCCTGGAAATGCAACTGTGTTTTGTTTTGTTTTTGACACAGGGTCTCACTCTGTCACCCAGGCTGGAGTGCAATAGCACAATCTTGGCTCACTGCAACCCTCCGCCTTCCAGGTTCAAGTGATTCTCCTGCCTCAGCCTCCTGAGTAGCTGGGATTACAGATGTCCGCCACCACGCCTGGCTAATTTTTGTATTTTTAGTAGAGACAGAATTTCACCATGTTGACCAGGCTGTCTTTGAACTCCTGACCTCAGGTGATCCGCCCACCTCGGCCTCCCAAATTGTTGGGACTACAGGCGTGAGCCACTGCACTTGGCCGCAACTGTGTTTATTTTTCTTGTCATTAGTAAATTCAAGATTTAAAATGAGTCCAAATCCACGGTTGCACAAATATGAAATGAACTGAATGAATAAAAGTAAAGAGTGCTTCATGTACATGAATTCAATAGAAAAGGGGTTAAGGGGTTATATTAGATGATGAGATCTGCATGAGTTAGCTCAGCAGGCTTGTTAATAAAGCAAATCTAACTACTGTGTATCACACAATGAGGCAGCGTGGTTTGGTGGAAAACAGTGTTGAACTTTGATTCAAGAGACCTGGATTCAAGTGATACTTCTACCACTTACTATGTGACCATGGTCAAATCACTTAACTGCTCTGAATTTGTTCATTCATTTGAAATTTTTCAGTATAAAAACATGTCAGTCTCATAGTGTTATTATAAGTCAATGTGTAAAAGCACCAAGGGAGGGGTGAAACGCTTTCTACTGAAAAATATTTTTACTACTATAATTTTCCTGGAATGGGTGGAAAGGATTTATGTATGGATTTCATTACTTAGTATGGTAGAGTATTTTCCTGTACTATTAGGCCCAGACCTTAAGCCACATGTGGACAACTGGGAAAGTGGCTCAAAACAGAGACATAAAAGTAGCAAAATTCCATAGGAGGTAATAATGCTTTCTGGGAAATCTGAAATTCTTCTGTCATCTTTACCCCGTGTTTTCCATCTCCCTTCCTCCCTTCCTTCTTCATGATACATTTCTTTTTTTTTTTTTTTTTTTTTTTGAGACAGGGTCTTACTCTGTCATCTAGGTTGGAGTGCACTGGCGCAATCTCGGCTCACTGCAACCTCTGCCTACCAGGTTCAAGCAATCCTGCCTCAGCCCCCAGAGCAGCTGGAACTACAGGTACATGCTACCATGCCTGGCTCATGTTTTTGTATTTTTAGTAGAGACCAGGTTTTGCCATGTTACCCAGTCTGGTCTCGAACTCCTGGGCTCCAGCTATCCACCTGCCTCGGCCTCCCAAAGTGCTAGGATTACAGGTGTGAGTCACGCCACCCCGCCATAAATTTCTTGTTTGGTAAATCTGGGGCAGTGAGAAGAAAATGAATAAAAAAGGAAACGTGGGCCAGGCGCGGTGGCTCACGCCTGTAATCCCAGCACTTTGGGAGGCCGAGGCAGGCGGATCACAAGGTCAGGAGTTCGAGACCAGCCTGGCCAATATGGTGAAACCCCCCGTATCTCCTAACAATACAAAAAAATTAGCTGAGCGTGGTGGCGCATGCCTGTAATCCCAGCTACTTGGGAGGCTGAGGCAGGAGAATTGCTTGAACCTGGGAGGCAGAGGTTGCAGTGAGCCGAGATTGCACCACACTGCACTCCAGCCTGGGCAACAGAGTGAGACTCCATCTCAAAAAAAAAAAAAAAAAAAAGAAAGAAAGAAAGAAAAGAAACGTGGAAGGAATAGTAGAGTCAGGCCTGGGCATGGTGGCTCATGCCTATAATCCCAGCACTTTGGGAGGCTGAGGCGGGCAGATCATTTGAGGTCAAGAGTTTGAGACCAGCCTGGCCAACATGGTGAAAACCCGCCTCTACTAAAAATACAAAAAAATTGGCTGGGTGTGGTGGTGTGTGCCTGCAATCCCAGCTACTTGGGAGGCTGAAGCAGGAGAATCGCTTGAAACCAGGAGGCAGAAGTTGCAGTGAGCCAAGATGATCACACCACTACACTCCAGCCTGGGTGACAGAGTGAAGCTTTGTCTCAAAAAAAAAAAAAAGAATTTTATGGTGGGCACCTTAATGGTATCTTGAGACCTTCTGAGATGCCCCATAAGCTGGCTCTGCAAGAAAGATTCAAGTTCAAGTAGTTTATTTGGGAGATGATCCGATTCCAGGAAATACAGGAGCATGGGTAAGTGAAACAAGGAAAGGAAGGCAACTGATAAAGGGTGCCCTGTGGCAAGTGGAACTTAATCCCACTGGGGGACTCTGGGAGTTAGGGTAGAACATGCAGTTCAGAGTTATTTCACTTGAGGGCTGAGGAAACTAGGGTATTTATACACTGACTTCTATCAATCATTGGTTGAGAGCTCTTGGGGATATGGGCTGTTAATTTTCTGGCCCTTTAGTTCTGACTTAATGGTGGTGTTGGGAGGGCAGGGCTTTCCAATGGCCAGATAAAGCCCTCAGGCAGAGAGATGCAGGTGCTGGCAGTTGACAGTGGGTCAGGTGTTGACTATGGTAACGTCATAGTCATTATGGTAAGTCCTGAGGGGATTTCGGCAGGGTTCAGACAGCATCTCCTCCAAAGAGAGTACTTTATTAGGTTGGCGCAAAAGTAATTGCGGTTTTGTCATTATTTTCAATGGCAAAAACTGCATTTACTTTTGCACCAACCTAGTAGTTCTTCTTTGCAGATCTTTGAAAATACTGTTTTGTTTTGTTTTAAGATGGAGTCTCCTCTGTCGTTCAGGCTGGAGTGCAGTGGTGCAATGTCAGCTCACTGACACCTCCTCCTCCTCCTGGGTTCAAGCGATTCTACTGCCTCAGCCTCCCGAGTAGCTGGGATTACAGGCATGTGCCACCACGCCTAACTAATTTTCTGTGTTTTTAATAGAGACTGGGTTTCATCATGTTGGCCAGGCTGGTCTTGAACTCCTGACCTCAAGTGATCTGCCCGCCTCAGCCTCCCAAAGTGCTGGGATTACAGGCATGAGCCACCGTGCCTGGCCGAAAATAATGTTTTCAACAATTTGATGACGTTGATGTGAGGACTGCTTGTAGGAAGGTAGATGTCATTTGTAGGTGTGTTCCAAGCTGAAGTTAAGGTCTCTATGGCTTGGCTTCCTCATCTTCAAAGTGGGGCAACTATACCTATCTGATTGGGTGTTGTCAGGGCTATAGGTAGGCTATGATAAGCATTAGGTTGGTGCAAAAATAATTGCGGTTTTTTGTCATTACTTTTTTTTTTTTTGAGACGGAGTTTCGCTCTTGTCGCCCAGGCTGGAGTGCAATGGTGTGATTTCTGCTCACTGCAACCTCCGCCTCCTGGGTTCAAGCGATTCTCCTGCCTCAGCCTCCTTAGTAGATGGGATTACAGGCGCCCACCAACACGCTTGGCTAATTTTTGTATTTTTAGTAGGGACGGGGATTCGCTATGTTGGCTAGGCTGGTCTTGAACTCCTGACCTCAGGTGATCCGCCCGCCTTGGCCTCCCAAAATATTGGGATTATAGGCGTGAGCCACCACGCATGGCCTGTCATTACTTTTAATGGTAAAAACTGCAATTACTTTTGCACCAACCTAATACCATAGTGCTAAAGACATAAGAGGTACTCAATAAACAGTAGAAATAATCATGATAGTCCTTGTTAGGGACAGCACTGATCTGACAAGTTCTCACAGAAGGCATGCTCTTCTTGTAGAGGTCATGGGACTCAGAAGCCCTGTTCCTAAACATTCTCTGGGACTTTTCTGAACAGCCTACCTCCAACATGTTTCCTCTGCCTCTGCTAACTGGAGATAGGACTTTAGGACTTTGCTCCAGCTTTGTTCCTCGGTTTCAGCTTTTTTGTTTCCTCTCACTGAGGTCTGTGCATCTTTCTATTTGCTCATGAGCTAACCATGCCTGTCTCACCCCAACCCTAATACCCAGCTCTTGATGACTTTGGGGAGGACAGTAATGTTCATTGTTTTTTTCTAATTATAAGACTAATATAGGGTTGGTGCGGTGCCTCATGCTTGTAATCTCAGCAATTTGGGAGGCCGAGGCAGGCAGATCGCTTGAGCTCAGGAGTTCAAGACCAGCCTGGGCAACATGGTGAAACACCATCTCTACAAAAAATTAGCCAGGCGTGGTTGCGTGTCCTGTAGTCCCAGCTACCTGGAAGGCTGAGGTGGGAGGATCACCTGAGTCTGGGAGGTCGAGGCTGCTGTGATCACGTGACTGCACTCCAGTCTGGGCAACAGAGTGAGACCCTGTCTCAAAAAAAAAAAGAATAATATATGCTCATTTTTGAATATATATATATATATATATATATATATATATATATATATATTTTTTTTTTTTTTTTTTTGAGATGGCATCTCGCTCTGTTGCCCAGGCTGGAGTGCAATGGCGTGATCTCGGCTCACTGCAACCTCCGCCTCCGAGGTTCAAGCGATTCTCCTGCCTCAGCCTCCAGAGTAGCTGGGACTACAGATTCCTGCCAACACGCCCAGCTAATTTTTATATTTTTAAAATAGACGGGGTTTCACTGTTTGGCCAGGATGGTCTCGATCTCTTGACCTCATGATCCACCCACCTCAGCCTCCCAAAGTGCTGGGATTACAGGCGTGAGCCACCGCGCCCAGCCTTGAATATTTGTTAAAGGCAGAAAAATTTGTTTTAAAGTAAAACAAAAATCTTCCATAACCCCACAGTTTAAAGATTTCACTTTTAGCATCTTGATATATTTCCTTCCAATGCTTTTTTCTGTGCATGTACATATGACATAATTGGGCTCATGTTTTTGGAATCACATTTTGCAGCCTGCTTTTCTAACACTATAATGCTAACACGTGCCCATAACATTAGAATTTCTTCAAAAACATGACTCTTAGTGAGTGTACAATACTATATTATATGGACTTATTTTTATTTGAACTATTCCTACTATTGCTGTAAGTTGTATCTTTTTTGCCTTTTATAAATAATTCTGCATTAAGCATCTTTGTACATAATTATTTGTGTGCTTCTCTATTTCTTTTGGGATAAATTACCAAGTGGAATCCCTAGGTCAAAGGGTATGAATATTCTAAAGGCTGTTAGCATATACTGACAAATATCCTCTATGGAATTTCTAATGAAGTTAACACATGCATGGATTTTTTGAAATCATTACCATAATCAAGATACATAATGATTCTTGGACGGCCACAGTGGCTCACGCCTATAATCCTAGCACTTTGGGAGGCCGAGGAAGGTGAATCACTTGAGGCCAGAAGTTCCAGACCAGCCTGGGCAACACAGTGAAACCCTGTCTCTACCAAAAATATAGAAAGATTAGACAGGAGTGGTGGCATACACCTGTGGTCCCAGATACTTGGGAGGCTCAGGTGGGAGGATCGCTTGAGCCTGGGAGACAGAGGTTGCAGTGAGCTGAGATTGCACCACTGCATTCCAGCCTGGCAACAGAGTAAGATCCTGTCTGAAAAAAAAAAAAAAAAAAAAAGCTACATAATAATTCCATTACCCCAATAAACTCTCTCCTGCTATCCCTTCATAGTCATCCCCTTCATAACCCTTATGGAATATTTAGCTCTGTAGTGTGGAATTAACTGATCATTCTTAGCTAATTGTCTTGATAGCATTACAATGCCCCCAAGTTAAAATAACTCACTCAAGTATTATCAAGAAGTTTCTGAGTCAGGTTGTAGCAGCTGCCAGGACTGGTCTCCAAAGTGGGTGGATCTGTTAAGGACTCCTCTCAGAGTGGTGCCTGAAAGAGCCTATTTCTGCCATTAAGACTGCAAGACATGCTGAGATTCAATCACAGGACTGTGGGGAGAGGAGCAGGAAGAAGCCAGGACTAGGCTGGAGCAGAATTAGTGGGAATGGAATTAGTTATAGAGCTGACCCTCAGGGCAGTTAGACAGAAGTCTAAATTTCAAAGTTCAAGGACTTGGGATGAGTAAGTGTCAGGTGTGACGGACTTAGCACAAAGTAGCACTGAAAGCTAAGGATTTGATGTGGGTAATACAATGAAGATATCCTAGGCAAAGGCAGTATCTTGGTTCAATGGGACAGGGGAGGATTAGGAGGAGAAGAAGGTGAGGAAGGGAGACAGAAGATATTGGGAGTCTAAAGGAATGGCCTAGGCTCTTGGACAAGAGTTCACAAGGACTCAGCTAGACATCAGAACTCTTTAAAATGAGCAGGTGAACAGGTGAACCTCTCATTCTGGAGAGAGAATTAGGTGACCAATTAGGAACCAAGGGGTGGCTCAGTGGCCAAGAATACAGTGGGGTTTAGGTGCTTTCCAATGTGAACAGTGACTCTAAGGTAGTGGTTTGTAAACTTTAGCGTGGGTCAGAATGCCTCCCAAACCAGGAGGTTTTGATTCAGTAGGTCTGGAGTGGGAAGCCAGAATTTCTGATTCAGTAGGTCTGGGGTGGGGATCCAGAATTTCTGACAAGTGACCAGGGCTGCTGCTGCACTTCTTGGAGAAGTACACTTTGAGAACCACTGCTCTAAGGCAAAAATACATATATTGAGATTAGAATAACCATGTCATTTGCACGTCACCCAGTACACGTAGGAAAAGGGCTCCTAAATGTAACACAGGGCTTGGCTCTTCCAGGTGATGAGCTGGTAGAGTTAAACCTGCTGCTGGAAGTGTTTTGTGCTTCCAGGAGGGCAAATAGGGTAGGAAGCATCACTGGAATTCTCACAACACTGGAGTTCTGTCCTGTATAGGTCATAATACTCTTAAGTGATGTTATTCTGACTTAAAGGGCCAGCATCTAAAACTGTCAAACTGTAATTCTCTGCTACAGAATCCATTTTCTTCTTCTTTTAGGACTAGCCCTCTTTGCTTATTGAGGAGTAATAAAAATAATGTCCCCTTATATTAGCATAGCACGTTCTAATTCAAAAAGTGCAATGACATGATATCTCATTTGATCTCCTTTCTGTGATGGAGGCAAGCCCGGTATTTTTATCCCATCCTTTGGGCTACTGATTCTCAAAGTATAGTTCCCAGACCTGCAGCATTAACAACACCCAGAAACTCTCTAGAAAAGCAAATTCTGACCCCACCCCAGACTTACTGAATCAGGTCCGGGGTCTGGCAGGGGGCCAATAATTCGCATTTCTAACAAGTTCCCTGGTGATGCTGATGTTGGTGCTGCTGGTCCCAGACCACACTTGAATGAAAACCACTACTGTAGATAAAAATGAAAGATGTAGAAGCCCAGGGACTTGTCCTAAGAGGACTCCTGCCTAGATCCTTTTCTTACTACACCTGCTGCATCCCTGGTCCCTACGCGCCCGCCCCCACCACCTCGCCCTTCGCAAAAAAAAAAAAAAAAAAAAAAAAAATTCCTTCAAATCCCAGCTGCATTATTTTAGAATTTTGTGAATGTGAATACCTGTAAAATGAGGATAACAATAGGATCTACCTCTTTGGGTTCTCACAAAGATTAAACAAGAACTAGGTAAAGTACTTAGCACCGTGCTTGTGCTTAATAAATGCCAGGGATCATCATGATTTTTTATTAATATTAAAAGTGACAATTCACAATGAATACCTTGGTAAGTTCTTTGGATGTGTGTCTTCAGAATGCTCCTCTTAAAATGTGAATGTCCCTAGATAATGTAGACATTAAAGCACCTGATCGTTAACATTCCATCTCTGATTGCCATGAGCATTTGGCTGAGAGCAGGGTACTTCGGAAATGGGACCCACGACTGGTAAAGTAGGAACCAAGAGAAAATAGAGCAGTGCATGGAACAGTGTATTGAAAGGCACACAACAGCAAGACTTCTTGAGGAAACTTTGAATAGCTGGGGAAGGGGAAGAGTGGCTGACAGAGGAAGCAACTGCGAAAGGGCAGCCAGGAGTAGGAGGCAGGCTGTTAAAGACAATCTACCTCCTTCAAAGTTCCCCCTAGGGCAGCCCCAGGGGAGGGCTCCAGGGCTACACCAGGCCACGAGGGGATCTGCCAGGGTTCACGTTGCATGAAGTCCAGGGGTCGAACACTCAGGTGCCCATAGTGAATGCCCGGAGGGGCCCTCCACTGGCAATTAGCACAATGAATTTGGGCTCAAAAGTGGCTTTGTCTTCAGGGTGACTCCTATTTGGCAAATATCCTGACTACAGCACATCATGCACTAGCTCATCCCAGGGACATGGTCCTTTATTAGTGGAGGTCTGCTATGTTGTTTCTCAAGGCGTCCTAGGCCCCTCAGGAAGCGGTTTTATGTTATCTGGGTGGCGCAGCCCGGGTCCCGTGCCCAGAGAGGACGGAGACCTTTGCAACTGAATTAAACAGAAGAAACAAAAGCAGCAAGTTCGGGCCCGTGGGTACGGAGGGCTAGCCAATGGGGCCCGGCCGCTTCCCGGCGGAGTGGTACTATGATGACAGTAGCCAACCAGCGCGCTCTATGCAAATGAGATACTGTATCCCGCACCAGCCGCTTCAGTGTCGTCTGGTTGTTATAGTGATAAACTGAGGCCTTGCCTCTTGGCTTCTGGGAGAGAGAGAGAGAGAGAGGGGCGGGGGGTAACCTCTTTACTTCCCCTAGGGAAGACAGAAAGAAGGGGAGAAGAAGCGGGGGGATGGGTGGAGGGTAGAGGGGAGAAAAATACGTGACAAAGAAAACATTCTCTGCCTGGGAGGAGACTCTCTGAGGGTGTAGAGCTAGAGGGAGCATTCACTGGCCATGCCAGTAGTTACCACTGATGCTGAGTCAGAAACAGGTATCCCAAAATCCCTTTCCAATGAGCCTCCCTCAGAAACCATGGAGGAAATAGAGCACACATGCCCACAGCCTCGACTGGTAAGTAAAGACAAAGGATGGAAATGTATGCGTGGCTATGGCATAAAAGAGTTCCTTATGCGCCCGCAGCCAGCGAGGAAAACGATGCTTAGAGGATTTTCATGTAAATGAGAAGAGCGCTACCGCCTAATCCTTCTCAGCTGTTTATACTTAGCTTCTATACCGGGCGCTGCTCTCAGTTTACAAAGCGTTATTGTATTGGCTGGGTAGGAAACGGGCTGCTTGGGATATGCTGTGTTTTTGTGCTTCGGGAGGAGGGGAGGGCCTTTTTCCTTTTAGGTGTGTTCTTGTCTGAAGGTAAAAAAATCCTACAGTGCAATTTTAAAATGGTATTCTCTTTACCAAGCTCGGGAAGAGTCCCTTGTTAAGTTTTAAATTCTAGCTAAGGAATGCTTCGTTCCTCAACTGATTTTGGTGCCTAATGCCAATTTGGGGGGAAAAAAATGGAAACATGGAAGCAAAACTTCCCCATCCGTTTGAAAATGTTCAAAATAAATAAATAAATAAATACATAGGAGTCCCTCAATGATTTAGTTAGAAATAATACGCATTTAAAACGAATTGTAAAACATTTCCAGAGTGTGCTGTGAGGGTTTCTCTTCAGGTAGTGGAAACCTGGGGAGCTACATTTATTTAGAAAGGGGTTGCATGCCTTTAAGAATGAAAGTGTGGAAACGGGGTACTGAGAGCGTCCTTCCGCCTCCGTAACTGCACCGTAACTGCTCTCCCAAATTTGGTCGTCTCTCTATCCCTGGTCATGATCTTTTAGGTAGATGTGAAACTTCGTTCCCAACCACCTCAGCATGTGTCCTCAAGGAATCAAAAACACGCATGGGTGGTGGGTTTTCTGTGGTCCGAAGTCTTGTGGAACTTGGGGAGACCTCTCTTTGAGTCCCCCAATCCAAAAGACACACTAGTTAAAGCTATCCTTTCCTTTAGCGATTTCCCTCAAGTTAAAAGGTGGAATATTTTGATTGGCTGTGGAGTTTGACCCTGGGAAGAGTTTTTTAAAAAAGGATTTTGTGATGTAGCATTTTCTGTGAACCTGCAAAATTAGGGCTCGCAGATGAGAAGGCCAACCCATCATAAAACTGTTATTTCTTAATAAGAGTTAATAAGGGTTCAAAGGAGGCTTAGAACAACTTCCTAAAAAGCACAAATACAGAGGAAGTTATATTAGAGCCCTGTGGGCTTTTTTCCCCTATGCTTCTATTTTTAAAAATGTTTTCTCTTAGGGCAGTTTAATAGTAACTGTGCCCTAGCACTTTAGCCACTTACTGAATGACATACACAGTGCAGTGTCTATGTTCTCATGAGATACAAACCATCCCAATAAGTTTGTTACTAAGGGATTCCTTTGAGTCACTAAACAACTTATGGTTTAGCATAAAGGAAAATGACCACTAAAAGCATATTACAAGATTATCATATGCACATATACATATATACACATAAATAGAGAGAGAGACTCACTCTGTTTTCCAGGCTGGCCTCAAACTTGAACTCCTGGACTCAAGTGATCCTCCTGCCTCAGCCTCCCAAGTAGCTGGGATTACAGGCTTGTGCCACAGCACTGGACCAATATATATATGTGTGTATATATATATATGTATATACACACATATATACATATATACACACATATGTATATATATTTGTGCCCATGCTTACCCAAAAATATATTTTTTAAAGTAACCACAATCTTCAAATTTGCATCACATACCTTCCTGACAGAGGTAAAGGGCAGAGGAGAGAAAGGCGGCATCCAGCTCCAGTTTGTGCATCATTTCAGTCTCTTTTGCCTACTATTTTTCCTTCCATTTTTACCTCTTAGCTATTCTGCTTCTTGATTGCTTCTGCCTGAGGGAGATGGGCAGAGAAAATTAAGGGAAAGAAGAAAGTTCAAGTTACTTTCTTGTTTTTTTAAGATGGAGTCTCACTATGTCCTCCAGGCTAGAGTGCAGTGGCCTGATCTTGGCTCACCACAACCTCCACCTCCCAGGTTCAAGCGATTCTCCTGCCTCAGCCTCCTGAGTAGCTGGGATTACAGGTGGGCAGCACCATGCCTGGCTAATATTTTTTTGTATTTTTGGTAGAGACGGGGTTTTGCCATGTTGGCCAGGCTGGTCTCGAACTCCTGCCCTCAGGTGATCCGCCCACCTTGGCCTCCAAAGTATTGGGATTACAGGTGTGACCCACTGCACCTGGCCAAGTTACTTTCCACTTTCACTCGTGACAGCTTATTCCAGGTGGTAACTCACAAGAACCACGCAAAGCTGGCAATGTGCTCTACACCCTCACCTCCCACCCATTGTAGAAATAAGGAAACTGAGGTTCAGAGAGGGTAAGTGACTTGCCCAAGGGTCACACTGCTTTGAAGGGGGCAGAGCTGGGATTTGAACCCAGAGCTCTACACCGGAAAAGTGGAAGATCTTTCTTCTATAACATACTCATAAGTGAGATACATTCCCTTCCCATCTTTTTGGCAGTTCTGGTTTCGTGTGTGTGTGTGTGTGTGTGTGTGTGTGTGTGTGTGTGTATCATGCACATGCATAGGTATGATACAGATGTACATAAGTTGAACTGTTGAAGCACCTGCTTTGATTTACTTATGATACAAAATTTTCCACGTTGTTCATCATTGTCATGGGCTACTGAAATTTGACTCTGTTTAAACAGGGGCTTGCAACCAATTTATAAAACACTACTAAAATTTTCAAATTGCCTTCTCTCTTATTAGCTAACTTTGATCACTGTAGGGTTATATTCTAAATTTAGATTTATACTTTATAGCCTAACTTTCCTTTGCTAATGATCTTACTTTAATAACTAAGGCACATGCTAACTACTTAATAAAAAAGTTTGTTGATGAAGAGAGTGAGCAGCAAGTGAAAACATGAAATTAGCATTTCTTTCTCTGGTTTTTAGTAGTTTCTGTTGATCTTGTAGCTTTGCTAGTGTCTTCATATTTCAAATTGTATAAATTCTGCATTTCTCCCAGCACCCAGGCATATAGCTCCAAATTGTATGTGGGTCACTGACACCACAGCCATCAACAGAGTGTGGCTACTGAGTTGCTTAACTAACTATGGAAAGTGTATGAAATATTTGCAGGGGGCCTGTTTAGGATTGAAGCTCCACACTTGGATTCTCCTTCAGAGGGCAGGCTCCTTCTCCTAGTTGCTGAAATGAAGTGGGGAGCTGGCATACGTGAGTGAATAAATAGACTTTAAAGCAGTCTATATTTTAGATCCCTGTAAGTAACAAATTGATAATAATATTGCAGATATGATTGAATTATATTTCAAGGGGAAGTTCTTCTGCCAGGAAAACTTGTAGTTTCTCTACCTGCCTTATTCTTCATTAGAGGAAAATATAAGAAAGGAGACGATTAAATAGAATGCAGTAACTCTGATAAAGAAATTAGAAAAGAAATAACAAAAGCATTACCTAGGTTTTATGATAGAGCCTATATTTTAGGAATATAATCTTACTACTCTTACCATTTTACCATGGTGCTCTGATTTGAGATGCTTCTGAGAACTCTTTACATTGTTACAATGTTTACTCTTGATTCTTGACTTGTTTTCAGTTCTTTACTATTTTCCTGATTAAACATGATGCAAGGTGACTCATCAGCTTGACTGTCAAGATGAGAAACTGAGTGGCCTTGGGTGATATGATGTAATAGCCCTTCTTGGAAATCTAACTCCTGAGATACAAGGACTCCTCTGAGCAAGGACTGTGTCCTCATATCTTCCCAGCCCTCAGATTATGCCTAGAAAGATCCTCTGGGCTCAGCAGGTGTCCCAGAAGCCCTTTCTAACAAGGCCCAGCCACCCTGAAAGTTGTCTGCTTGAGAATTTGGTTAATGACCTTGGACAAGTTCTTCTAGGGGTGCATTCTGTTGTCAGAAGGAATTGTAATTCTAGACTGCAATAGTCACTTCCATGAAGATGGATATACTATGGATCAACTGAGAAGGCCTTGGAAATAAAAAAGGGTTGGTTCAACATGCCACATTAGCAGGAGGAGTTCATTTCGGGTTTTACTTCAAAGTGGAGCAGTGCCAAGAGACTGCTGTCTTGCAGAAGGTGCATTATGTCAGTTTGGAGGTAGCATGCTCATCTGCTAGTATTCAAAAAGATGACCAGATTTCCAGAGACATCAATGGCTTCCTTTGCTAATATTGCCATCTACTTAGCCACCCAGAACAGCATACATTTTAAAAGTGAAACACTCTTAATGCGCAATATTGGCGAAAATAAACAAACGTGAGCTTCCTTGGGTATTTACTGTGGTCAACTGGAATTCTGCCTAAGGTTATTATTAGGTATCTTCCTGCTGGTCTCTATCCAAATGCAACATCCATGTCTTGCAAATTGATACTAGTCAGGTGTATTTAGCATGGAATCAATCAATTAGTTTCTTCCATTCTTTTAGGTTTGTTCTCTCACTACCCCTCCAACCCAATTTGCCTAATGCTAAACCCTTATGGAAGAAATAAACCTAAATCAAATATAATAGGTAGCTTCTGTGTTTTATTTTGATGATTTAGCATATAGAAATCAAAAGAGTGCATGTATATGTCCTCAATCAGGCAGTGAGGAAGATTTAAAGTATTTAGCAATGCAGAGTTTTGGAAGATAACTGAGAGAAAACTGAGTCTCTTACCAATCCTTACCAACCCCTACCATCCCCTTACCCATGGGATCCACAGTCAGCCAGGTGGTTAACAACTTCCAGACACAGCAATGCACCAGGTGCTGTGGAGAGAAATAAAAGAAGTGAATCCAAACCCCTTGCCCCTAAAGGGGCATTTCCGTTTAATAGAAGGTAGTAGTTTGGTTTGTGGAAGCATGCCAGGATGCTGAAATCCCTTAAGAGAGCTTTTTTGTAAGTTTGACTTTAACATATTAGACTTTCTTAAAAGCTATTTTTTATCCATTGAGGGGAAGTACTTCCCAGCAGGGAGGACTCTGTTAACCCAATCCCCAAGTTAAGAAAAGTCCCTGCATTTGAAGAAAAGGTTTTACTTGCTCACCCCAATACATATTTTGGGACATGGAAAGGATCAATCCATTTTTGAGTGGATCTTAAGCCCCCATTGTGGGTCACATACTGGCCTAGAACTCTAGAACAGCTCTGCCCAGTAGAAATACAGCATGAGCCACATGTGTAATTGAAAATTTTCAAGTGGCCACAGTTTTAAAGGTTAAAAAAGGTGAAATTAATTTTGTATCCAAAATATTATGTCAGCATGCAATATAAAAATTATTAATGAGATCTTATATTATTTTCTTCATACTAAGTCTGAAATCCAATGTGTATATTGTGCTTGCAATACATCTCAATTCGGACTAGCTAATTTCAAGTGCTCAGTGACTACATGTGGCTTTACAGGGAGCTTAGACACTTGTCCAGCCCTGTTAGGATCAGTTCTGAGGACCTACAATGATAAATACTTTTCATGTTGCACAGTTCACGTATACATATATGTAGTCATAACTAAAACCAAACATCACTTTTCCTTACTTCATGTTTTGCACTCTTATACTTTCTATGCTATCCTATCTTATTCTATTTCAGTTAAGAGACTGTTGCAGTAATCTAGATGAGAGTTAATAAGTTTGAAATTATAGAAGGACAGTGGGAAAGGAGAGAACTAGATGGATATGGGAAACACTAAAGAGATAAATGCCCCAAGATTTGATAACTAAGTCTGAGCATGGGGCAGGTTCAGTGAAAGATCAAGGGGCCAGGCGCAGTGGCTTATGCCTGTGATCCCAGCACTTTGGGAGGTGAGGCAGGTGGACCACTTGAGGTCAGGAGTTCAAGACCAGCCTGGCCAACCTGGTGAAAACCCATCTCTACTAAAAATACAAAAATTAGCCGGGTATGGTAGTGTGCTCCTGTAATCCCAGCTACTTGGGAGGCTGAGGCAGGAGAATCGCTTGAACCCGGGAGACGGAGGTTGCAGTGAGCCGAGATCATCCCTCTGCACTCCAGCCTGAGTGACAGAGCGAGACTCCATCTCAAAAAAACAAAAAGATCAAGGAAGGCACAGTTTGTTTTCTGGCTCCAACTAGTGAGTGCCATCACTGAGATGGGTGTGCCAGGGAAGTAGAGTTTGTGAGAGTTATGTCTGAGGTGCCATGGGGACTTCCACTTGGAGGTGTCTAGTTCATGTTTGGTTGGGGAACTCAGGAGAGAGTTCTGAGCTGGAGATATAGATCTGGGAGATAGCATGGAGGAGATGGAAGTGAAATTGAGGCAGTGAAATGGATGAGAGTGAAATTGAGATAGTTTCTGGACTGAGAAGGAAGTGGATGGAGATGGTTACCTAGGAAGAGTGCCTCAGGATAATCCCACTACAGGGCTAATTCTAGAAAGTAACTGACCCTGAGCCATCCTATCAGGTTCTTAGAGGGGGAAAATAGAGGAGCTGTAATTAAAGCTATTAGACTCCTCCTTCTATTCATCTGTCTCTACATGAAATCTGGTTAAGCTAATCTACTTTATCCCAGAATCTTCCCAGGTTGGAACCCTAAGAAAGACTACTTAAAGGGCCAATAGAAGAAGGATCATGAAAAGAAGACAGAGAAGTATTTCTCAAATAACTGGGAGATCAAGGGACCAAGGGCAGGGTAAGTTTCATGGAGGGAATGTCCAATAGAATCAAATGCAGTAGAGAGATCAAATGAGTTAAGGAGGAAAAGTTTCCTTTGGATTTAGAAAGAAGAGGTCAGTGGTGATGTTTCAGTGAAGTGGTGGGAGCGGAGGCTGGATGGCAGTAGATTGAGGAGCCTATAGGTGGTAGGGAAGTGGAAGCTTGACTGAGAGAGGAAGCAGATAGAATGTACAGTACCCAGAGGTGGACAAATCAGGGCTTAGGGTTACTAGAGACTAGCTTTTCCCCTTCCTTCTTTCGTTCCTTTCATCTTCCCTCCCTTCATCTTTTTTTCCTTTTATTTCTCATTCCTTTCATCCATCCAAGATGTCAGATCTTTTGGTTGGCTCATTCTTTTAAGATGATAGCAACTTGTGCCTAAATATAAATGGGAAAGAGCCAGTGGGAGAGGGAAGGGGCGATGGTGATGGGGACAACTGATGAAGGGAATGTCTCTTAGGCTGGACAGGTTGGGCTCCAGTGCACAAGTGGAAGGATTGGCTTCAGGGAGAAAAAAAGACACCTCTCCCACTGTAGTGGCAAGGAAGCTGGCAAGGATGGTTTGGGCAAGAACAAGTTATAAGAGGAAGGGTACTGAAAGTTGAAGGCCTCTCTATCTGATAGCCTGTTTTTCATCTGTGAAGGTGGAAGCAAAATCATGGTGGCTTATTTCTGGCTAGTACGGAACTATAATTCTGGTATATCCTGGGTAGTTGAGTCCAGCCCCAGGATATGTCCTCTCCTGAGGCCTCCAGGCTGTGGGTAGGGAGAAGTGGAAAGGCTGAGATGGTTCCTGATGAGATGCAGTGATGAGAGCAAATGGATCTGCTTCGTTGTGGCCTCTGGGACTCCACACCAATGCCCATCAAGCCAAGTCTAGATCTGGCCAGGGAGAGCTGAACTAGCCCACGGTGAAAGGACAGGGGGCTGTCAAGACAAATGTGCTAAAGCTTGGTCTGGACTTGCTGGAGCCCATAGTCTTGTTCCAGTGTCAGTTTTGCCATTGAATTATTGTGTGCACTTAAGCAAATCACTTTCCTCTCTGGATTCCATTCTGTCCCCGACAATGGATTGGATAGATCCTTAGAGTGTGATTCTAGCTTTCATTGCCTTGGAACTTGGTCTACTGCAGTATGTTCTGTTTGAGCTCATGCTCCTATCAAAAGTCTGGGCTACCCCATTCCTCACCCCCTGTTGGTTTTATCCATTTGGGGTAAAAACAGGTTGCATGATCTTATGGTAAGACACACTGGCTAAATATGAATAACAAATGTTCACAAGCACTTTGAAGTTTTACATTGATGTTGTACAAACCACTTCTGCTGTCTTCTGTTTTATTCTTCAGATGCTTTCTCAGACAGGTTGAATGTATTCCAAATCATATATGGAATGTTCTATTCATTGTTTCGGGAAACCTGTGTTGAATCTCTTCTTAATGTGAACAGTAGCCTCCTAATTTATCTATTTCATACTACAGAAGTTTGAAACATTGGGCCTTCTTTGAGGCATGGCAGTATGGGCTTGAACTATAGAGGCCTTTCTTAATCAATGTTGTCCATCTAAGCTTGCTACTTGGGGTTAAAGTCCAGCAATGGGTCAGGCTGTAGTCCCAAAACTCTTACATCTTTAGCTGGTGCCCCACACAAAGCTTCTCAGTGACTGTTAGGGAAATAAATGCAGGAAAATAATTATCCCATCAGATCACTGGGGGGAAGAATGAAAAGGAAAAAAAAGCAAGGAAGGTAGAAACAAACTAAGTCATTGCAAGCTAGGCCTATTTTCTTCCAATAATCTCCCAGGTAACAGCCTCTACCTTGCTAGGATCTGATTACCCGTTGCTGGCCTCAGACCATAGCATTATTGTTTTAACATTCCTACCTTCCTCTTTATCCCAGCATGAACTGGGTTGTATGGGAGGCTGGGAAGCTGACCTTGCTTGGGGATAAAGAGACAGTTTAGCACTCAACAATCTTGAAGGCAGACTTGAAAACACAGTGATTAGAAAATAAAGCAGTGAGCCCTGGTAGTGTGCGCCTGTGTAATAGTGTGCAGGGCCACACGGGGCTAGCCTATTGAGCAGAATTCATTTTCATATAATCTCCTCCCTCCCGCCAAAATCTTTGACTTGGTGTTTTTGTTTTCTACTCGGTAATTCATGCATGCTGAACCTGACATCAGGATGCTGAGGGTTATTTAAACTGTCATTTAAGAAAAATAACAACGGTAATAGGTTAATAGAAACATCATGAATGATGTGTACAGCCTATTGCCAACCAAATGATGTTGAAAGCCCATTCCTGGTACATGCAGGCTTCTGTGTTTCATCTCTGGTGTGCCTAATATTGACTGTAGGCACAGTCACATAATAATAAATTCTATTGTACCTCCAAATTGTTTAGTTATAAGGTAATTGTTCTATATGGGATGCAAGGCTAGTGGTCTCACTCCTTTTTCTCCATGGGCAAGTCGGGGAATTGAACAACCATTCACAGTGCACACTGTATTGGGCACTGTGTTGAATGCTCTATATGTATTATCTCATTTAATCAGGCTGCAGACCCATGAAATAAGCATTACTATTCCTCATGTTATAAGTAAGGAAATAAATAATCAAGTAATTTCCCAAAGATCCAAAAAGATACATATGTATATTTTTGAGATGAAGTCTTGCTCTGTCACCCAGGCTGGGTGCAGTGGCATGATCTCAGCTCACTGCAACCTCCGCCTCCCAGGTTCAAGTGATTCTTCTGCCTCAGCCTCCCCAGTAGCTGGGATTACAGGTGCACGCCACCACGCTCAGCTAATTTATATATATATATATATATATTTT